>NC_000004.12:9322916-9947916 GCF_000001405.40 Homo sapiens
GATCCGACGTGGTGTTTCCGTGGAAATGATTGTGGGAAATGGCCCCTTCCTTTTCTCTATTTGCTGATTAGACTTCATGGTCCCTTTCTCGTCAGGTACAGTGATCAAAGTTGACCAACCCCAGAGGAAAGCTGCCCAGGGCACAACTCAGGGCTCCGTAGAACCACAGAATCTTGGGCGCAACCCTGCTCAAGCACCCAAATGTGCATACGAACAGGGTCTCCGTGTGACGTGTGTGAAAACTACAGTGTGATGAGCATGACTGGCAGACAGCTTATCGATTGGGCTCCCCTCAAAATCGGTTATGAGCATTCAAGCACACCGATGCCCAGGTCCCGGCTGCAGGAATAAGACCCTCCAGGGTCTTGTGTGAAGCCTCGGCATCTGCATTGCTCATGCTTCTGGGGATCATTCTCCTGAAAATGGTGGCTCCTTTCTCCCTGTGGAGCATCTTTCTAAGCAGTGCTCTTTTCTTCCCCCAGGACACTTTACATCCGGCACAGGAAGCCTTCTGATGGAGCACACCTGGCCCATGAAAAGACAAGGGAAAGAAACGGGGCCAAAGGTCACAGTCCTCTCATCCCATCATCCTCCTTAAAATCATCCTAATTTCATGGGCCCTGAAGCCAGGGCTGTTTCTTTACACCTAGAGGCCTTGGCGCCGGGCCTCAATTCCGCCCTGTTCCTTACCGTCTAAGACATGTTGGGAAAATCCCTAGAGCCAGGATCTTCATTCCTGCTAAGCCAGACAGCCGGAAGACACACCCAAATTCTGTCCCTCTTACTTCAGGGAACATGTCCACTTTCGGCAGCATTACAATTTTGGCACCAAATGTGCTAACTGCAATTCCACCATACAATGCGTAACTGGAAATGGAGGCAACATCTCCGATCCTGAACGATCGATGCGAGAATCCAGGATATGCACGGCTTATTTTGGCCTTTTCCCACTGAAACAAGGGCCAGTATTAAAAATGGCACGCTATCCTCTGTTTCACTCCCTGCTTTTAAACGTCTCCGATGTTTCTCCCTGAGACAGGGCCTCACTTCCGTCAGCCGGGCTTTTCTACGGTATAATTTTCCTTGTTTGCTTTTGTCCAAATTAGAACTTTTTATTTCATCTCTAGGAAACGTTGATCCATTATCACATACGTATGGAAATATTATCACACATGCTGTGAGATACGTTGTTTTTATTTTCATCAATTCCTTAATAAACAAAAGGTTATAGCTGGGATACCTTCTGAGTTCTCAAGTTTTTTGTTTCGTGTTTTCTTAAACTGCCGTCGCACGTCCGAAACCGCTCACTATGCGGTGTCATGACCGTCTCTCTTTTCTGGCAAACATAAATTTGGGGATTGTCATCAATTAGTCTCTCGGGGATTGCATGATTTCCCCAAAGGCTTTCACAGTCTACTTTGTGCACTGAGTATCTCTTCAAACTTCAGTGCATGTTTCTACCATTTGATGCTTTCTTATTTGGCAATCTAGCTTCCACAAGAGCATTTCATGCAAAGACTTGTCTTGTTCTCCACTGGCAGGTAATTTCACTCGGACAGAGAATCAATAGGCTCAACGTGGAAAGGTTATCGCTGGAAGGTCTGTTTGATTCCACGGATCTCTCCTTTCTCACTAGGGAAGAAAATACGCTGTGCTAAATACTATACTTCATTGACTATTCTCAGGTCAGAAAGCGCACTTTCGACTTCTTGTCCTTCCTTCGCTGAGAGGATGATGGCAGCTGCCAAAAGTACCTACTTGGAGGTTCATCCCAGCACAAACACACACACACACACGCCCCCCCCACACACACACAAACACACTCACACACACACACGCACACGGTTTCCTAGGTAAAGATTTCTTCCCTGCCATTGCTTTACCTAAAATAAGGCAACTGTGAGGCCACTGTCCCAACCCGGTTACACTCCTATTATATGTGCCTATCATCCTGAGGAGTAATTTGATTCAGGTGTTCTGGAAGTCATGCTGTGGGCTGTGTCTGTTGAATTCCCAGCGATGCCAGGGGACACACCCTGTGACTCCTTCCTGAATTGAGTGCTGATATTTGATTGGCTTATCGCGCACCTGATGAGTGGGTGGGGTGTTCGCGGTTGGTGGGGGTGACTTACAGAAGGGCTGATGCGGCCAGAGAGCTCGTCATTTGAAGACTCTCTCGGAAGGGATAGCGTCTTTCTGCAACCTGCGGTCCCAGCAGACAAACCTTGTGATCCTCGTTCCAGTCGACATGGAGGACGACTCACTCTACTTGAGAGGTGAGTGGCAGTTCAACCACTTTTCAAAACTCACATCTTCTCGGCCCGATGCAGCTTTTGCTGAAATCCAGCGGACTTCTCTCCCTGAGAAGTCACCACTCTCATGTGAGACCCGTGTCGACCTCTGTGATGATTTGGCTCCTGTGGCAAGACAGCTTGCTCCCAGGGAGAAGCTTCCTCTGAGTAGCAGGAGACCTGCTGCGGTGGGGGCTGGGCTCCAGAATATGGGAAATACCTGCTACGTGAACGCTTCCTTGCAGTGCCTGACATACACACCGCCCCTTGCCAACTACATGCTGTCCCGGGAGCACTCTCAAACGTGTCATCGTCACAAGGGCTGCATGCTCTGTACTATGCAAGCTCACATCACACGGGCCCTCCACAATCCTGGCCACGTCATCCAGCCCTCACAGGCATTGGCTGCTGGCTTCCATAGAGGCAAGCAGGAAGATGCCCATGAATTTCTCATGTTCACTGTGGATGCCATGAAAAAGGCATGCCTTCCCGGGCACAAGCAGGTAGATCATCACTCTAAGGACACCACCCTCATCCACCAAATATTTGGAGGCTACTGGAGATCTCAAATCAAGTGTCTCCACTGCCACGGCATTTCAGACACTTTTGACCCTTACCTGGACATCGCCCTGGATATCCAGGCAGCTCAGAGTGTCCAGCAAGCTTTGGAACAGTTGGTGAAGCCCGAAGAACTCAATGGAGAGAATGCCTATCATTGTGGTGTTTGTCTCCAGAGGGCGCCGGCCTCCAAGACGTTAACTTTACACACCTCTGCCAAGGTCCTCATCCTTGTATTGAAGAGATTCTCCGATGTCACAGGCAACAAGATTGCCAAGAATGTGCAATATCCTGAGTGCCTTGACATGCAGCCATACATGTCTCAGCCGAACACAGGACCTCTCGTCTATGTCCTCTATGCTGTGCTGGTCCACGCTGGGTGGAGTTGTCACAACGGACATTACTTCTCTTATGTCAAAGCTCAAGAAGGCCAGTGGTATAAAATGGATGATGCCGAGGTCACCGCCTCTAGCATCACTTCTGTCCTGAGTCAACAGGCCTACGTCCTCTTTTACATCCAGAAGAGTGAATGGGAAAGACACAGTGAGAGTGTGTCAAGAGGCAGGGAACCAAGAGCCCTTGGCGCAGAAGACACCGACAGGCGAGCAACGCAAGGAGAGCTCAAGAGAGACCACCCCTGCCTCCAGGCCCCCGAGTTGGACGAGCACTTGGTGGAAAGAGCCACTCAGGAAAGCACCTTAGACCACTGGAAATTCCTTCAAGAGCAAAACAAAACGAAGCCTGAGTTCAACGTCAGAAAAGTCGAAGGTACCCTGCCTCCCGACGTACTTGTGATTCATCAATCAAAATACAAGTGTGGGATGAAGAACCATCATCCTGAACAGCAAAGCTCCCTGCTAAACCTCTCTTCGTCGACCCCGACACATCAGGAGTCCATGAACACTGGCACACTCGCTTCCCTGCGAGGGAGGGCCAGGAGATCCAAAGGGAAGAACAAACACAGCAAGAGGGCTCTGCTTGTGTGCCAGTGATCTCAGTGGAAGTACCGACCCACACGTAGGGGTGCACACACACACGCACACACACAGACACACACATAACTACACCCAGAAGCGCGCACGCAAACACACACACACCCACACAAACACGAACACCGTCAATCCTACATAAACTAATGAGGAGCCCAACTTTCTGTCTCTACAACAGGGACAACTGGATAGTGATGGCTACATCTCAGGATGAGCCCGCATATGGGAAACATCAAGTTTTGGGGTCGTGAGTCTTCCGAACCTCTGGAGGGACTGTCTGAGTGTTTGTGTTCATGATAGGTGACATTCAGTGTGTATTTCTGAATATGACCTACCGACGTGTAGGTTTGCGTGTGAGGTAATTGCAGGGGACTCGGTTTCGTATTTTCTCTTGGGGTGTGTTTCATTCGTCAGTTGTTGGTCGGCATGAGAAGGTGAAATGTGGCTCATGTGGGACATCCGTGGATCATTCTCGCCACCTTGAATAGTGGAAACTGGAATGCATTTGGAAGAGAAGAACGGTGCTCTTCTTTCTTCCCCGGGCTCGCCGTTTTTACACTGGTTCCTGAATGGACCTCAGGCGCCCTGGGACTTGTGCTCTTGCTGGAACCCACATAACGCCGGAAGCGGACAGACCGACTTGCCTGTTTCACGGTGCCCGCTTCCCATGAGTCGAAACGGAAAATTTTCCCACGGGCATGTAAGTCATCTGGAAGTAAGCTGTATTGATAATAAAGGAAAGCAAACACAGGAGTGTGTGTATTCAACTGAAATAAATTCAGAAAGCCCTGAAATCAATCTCACTGGGTGTGTTTAAAAATGGCATTTGGGGAATTTCTGGGTCATTTGTCCAGCTGCGAAAGCTGCATCTCTGAAGCACAGTCCCTGTCCCGCAGTGAGACTTATTGATCCGACGTGGTGTTTCCGTGGAAATGATTGTGGGAAATGGCCCCTTCCTTTTCTCTATTTGCTGATTAGACTTCATGGTCCCTTTCTCGTCAGGTACAGTGATCAAAGTTGACCAACCCCAGAGGAAAGCTGCCCAGGGCACAACTCAGGGCTCCGTAGAACCACAGAATCTTGGGCGCAACCCTGCTCAAGCACCCAAATGTGCATACGAACAGGGTCTCCGTGTGACGTGTGTGAAAACTACAGTGTGATGAGCATGACTGGCAGACAGCTTATCGATTGGGCTCCCCTCAAAATCGGTTATGAGCATTCAAGCACACCGATGCCCAGGTCCCGGCTGCAGGAATAAGACCCTCCAGGGTCTTGTGTGAAGCCTCGGCATCTGCATTGCTCATGCTTCTGGGGATCATTCTCCTGAAAATGGTGGCTCCTTTCTCCCTGTGGAGCATCTTTCTAAGCAGCGCTCTTTTCTTCCCCCAGGACACTTTACATCCGGCACAGGAAGCCTTCTGATGGAGCACACCTGGCCCATGAAAAGACAAGGGAAAGAAACGGGGCCAAAGGTCACAGTCCTCTCATCCCATCATCCTCCTTAAAATCATCCTAATTTCATGGGCCCTGAAGCCAGGGCTGTTTCTTTACACCTAGAGGCCTTGGCGCCGGGCCTCAATTCCGCCCTGTTCCTTACCGTCTAAGACATGTTGGGAAAATCCCTAGAGCCAGGATCTTCATTCCTGCTAAGCCAGACAGCCGGAAGACACACCCAAATTCTGTCCCTCTTACTTCAGGGAACATGTCCACTTTCGGCAGCATTACAATTTTGGCACCAAATGTGCTAACTGCAATTCCACCATACAATGCGTAACTGGAAATGGAGGCAACATCTCCGATCCTGAACGATCGATGCGAGAATCCAGGATATGCACGGCTTATTTTGGCCTTTTCCCACTGAAACAAGGGCCAGTATTAAAAATGGCACGCTATCCTCTGTTTCACTCCCTGCTTTTAAACGTCTCCGATGTTTCTCCCTGAGACAGGGCCTCACTTCCGTCAGCCGGGCTTTTCTACGGTATAATTTTCCTTGTTTGCTTTTGTCCAAATTAGAACTTTTTATTTCATCTCTAGGAAACGTTGATCCATTATCACATACGTATGGAAATATTATCACACATGCTGTGAGATACGTTGTTTTTATTTTCATCAATTCCTTAATAAACAAAAGGTTATAGCTGGGATACCTTCTGAGTTCTCAAGTTTTTTGTTTCGTGTTTTCTTAAACTGCCGTCGCACGTCCGAAACCGCTCACTATGCGGTGTCATGACCGTCTCTCTTTTCTGGCAAACATAAATTTGGGGATTGTCATCAATTAGTCTCTCGGGGATTGCATGATTTCCCCAAAGGCTTTCACAGTCTACTTTGTGCACTGAGTATCTCTTCAAACTTCAGTGCATGTTTCTACCATTTGATGCTTTATTATTTGGCAATCTAGCTTCCACAAGAGCATTTCATGCAAAGACTTGTCTTGTTCTCCACTGGCAGGTAATTTCACTCGGACAGAGAATCAATAGGCTCAACGTGGAAAGGTTATCGCTGGAAGGTCTGTTTGATTCCACGGATCTCTCCTTTCTCACTAGGGAAGAAAATACGCTGTGCTAAATACTATACTTCATTGACTATTCTCAGGTCAGAAAGCGCACTTTCGACTTCTTGTCCTTCCTTCGCTGAGAGGATGATGGCAGCTGCCAAAAGTACCTACTTGGAGGTTCATCCCAGCACAAACACACACACACACACGCCCCCCCCCCCACACACACAAACACACTCACACACACACACGCACACGGTTTCCTAGGTAAAGATTTCTTCCCTGCCATTGCTTTACCTAAAATAAGGCAACTGTGAGGCCACTGTCCCAACCCGGATACACTCCTATTATATGTGCCTATCATCCTGAGGAGTAATTTGATTCAGGTGTTCTGGAAGTCATGCTGTGGGCTGTGTCTGTTGAATTCCCAGCGATGCCAGGGGACACACCCTGTGACTCCTTCCTGAATTGAGTGCTGATATTTGATTGGCTTATCGCGCACCTGATGAGTGGGTGGGGTGTTCGCGGTTGGTGGGGGTGACTTACAGAAGGGCTGATGCGGCCAGAGAGCTCGTCATTTGAAGACTCTCTCGGAAGGGATAGCGTCTTTCTGCAACCTGCGGTCCCAGCAGACAAACCTTGTGATCCTCGTTCCAGTCGACATGGAGGACGACTCACTCTACTTGAGAGGTGAGTGGCAGTTCAACCACTTTTCAAAACTCACATCTTCTCGGCCCGATGCAGCTTTTGCTGAAATCCAGCGGACTTCTCTCCCTGAGAAGTCACCACTCTCATGTGAGACCCGTGTCGACCTCTGTGATGATTTGGCTCCTGTGGCAAGACAGCTTGCTCCCAGGGAGAAGCTTCCTCTGAGTAGCAGGAGACCTGCTGCGGTGGGGGCTGGGCTCCAGAATATGGGAAATACCTGCTACGTGAACGCTTCCTTGCAGTGCCTGACATACACACCGCCCCTTGCCAACTACATGCTGTCCCGGGAGCACTCTCAAACGTGTCATCGTCACAAGGGCTGCATGCTCTGTACTATGCAAGCTCACATCACACGGGCCCTCCACAATCCTGGCCACGTCATCCAGCCCTCACAGGCATTGGCTGCTGGCTTCCATAGAGGCAAGCAGGAAGATGCCCATGAATTTCTCATGTTCACTGTGGATGCCATGAAAAAGGCATGCCTTCCCGGGCACAAGCAGGTAGATCATCACTCTAAGGACACCACCCTCATCCACCAAATATTTGGAGGCTACTGGAGATCTCAAATCAAGTGTCTCCACTGCCACGGCATTTCAGACACTTTTGACCCTTACCTGGACATCGCCCTGGATATCCAGGCAGCTCAGAGTGTCCAGCAAGCTTTGGAACAGTTGGTGAAGCCCGAAGAACTCAATGGAGAGAATGCCTATCATTGTGGTGTTTGTCTCCAGAGGGCGCCGGCCTCCAAGACGTTAACTTTACACACCTCTGCCAAGGTCCTCATCCTTGTATTGAAGAGATTCTCCGATGTCACAGGCAACAAGATTGCCAAGAATGTGCAATATCCTGAGTGCCTTGACATGCAGCCATACATGTCTCAGCCGAACACAGGACCTCTCGTCTATGTCCTCTATGCTGTGCTGGTCCACGCTGGGTGGAGTTGTCACAACGGACATTACTTCTCTTATGTCAAAGCTCAAGAAGGCCAGTGGTATAAAATGGATGATGCCGAGGTCACCGCCTCTAGCATCACTTCTGTCCTGAGTCAACAGGCCTACGTCCTCTTTTACATCCAGAAGAGTGAATGGGAAAGACACAGTGAGAGTGTGTCAAGAGGCAGGGAACCAAGAGCCCTTGGCGCAGAAGACACCGACAGGCGAGCAACGCAAGGAGAGCTCAAGAGAGACCACCCCTGCCTCCAGGCCCCCGAGTTGGACGAGCACTTGGTGGAAAGAGCCACTCAGGAAAGCACCTTAGACCACTGGAAATTCCTTCAAGAGCAAAACAAAACGAAGCCTGAGTTCAACGTCAGAAAAGTCGAAGGTACCCTGCCTCCCGACGTACTTGTGATTCATCAATCAAAATACAAGTGTGGGATGAAGAACCATCATCCTGAACAGCAAAGCTCCCTGCTAAACCTCTCTTCGTCGACCCCGACACATCAGGAGTCCATGAACACTGGCACACTCGCTTCCCTGCGAGGGAGGGCCAGGAGATCCAAAGGGAAGAACAAACACAGCAAGAGGGCTCTGCTTGTGTGCCAGTGATCTCAGTGGAAGTACCGACCCACACGTAGGGGTGCACACACACACGCACACACACAGACACACACATAACTACACCCAGAAGCGCGCACGCAAACACACACACACCCACACAAACACGAACACCGTCAATCCTACATAAACTAATGAGGAGCCCAAGTTTCTGTCTCTACAACAGGGACAACTGGATAGTGATGGCTACATCTCAGGATGAGCCCGCATATGGGAAACATCAAGTTTTGGGGTCGTGAGTCTTCCGAACCTCTGGAGGGACTGTCTGAGTGTTTGTGTTCATGATAGGTGACATTCAGTGTGTATTTCTGAATATGACCTACCGACGTGTAGGTTTGCGTGTGAGGTAATTGCAGGGGACTCGGTTTCGTATTTTCTCTTGGGGTGTGTTTCATTCGTCAGTTGTTGGTCGGCATGAGAAGGTGAAATGTGGCTCATGTGGGACATCCGTGGATCATTCTCGCCACCTTGAATAGTGGAAACTGGAATGCATTTGGAAGAGAAGAACGGTGCTCTTCTTTCTTCCCCGGGCTCGCCGTTTTTACACTGGTTCCTGAATGGACCTCAGGCGCCCTGGGACTTGTGCTCTTGCTGGAACCCACATAACGCCGGAAGCGGACAGACCGACTTGCCTGTTTCACGGTGCCCGCTTCCCATGAGTCGAAACGGAAAATTTTCCCACGGGCATGTAAGTCATCTGGAAGTAAGCTGTATTGATAATAAAGGAAAGCAAACACAGGAGTGTGTGTATTCAACTGAAATAAATTCAGAAAGCCCTGAAATCAATCTCACTGGGTGTGTTTAAAAATGGCATTTGGGGAATTTCTGGGTCATTTGTCCAGCTGCGAAAGCTGCATCTCTGAAGCACAGTCCCTGTCCCGCAGTGAGACTTATTGATCCGACGTGGTGTTTCCGTGGAAATGATTGTGGGAAATGGCCCCTTCCTTTTCTCTATTTGCTGATTAGACTTCATGGTCCCTTTCTCGTCAGGTACAGTGATCAAAGTTGACCAACCCCAGAGGAAAGCTGCCCAGGGCACAACTCAGGGCTCCGTAGAACCACAGAATCTTGGGCGCAACCCTGCTCAAGCACCCAAATGTGCATACGAACAGGGTCTCCGTGTGACGTGTGTGAAAACTACAGTGTGATGAGCATGACTGGCAGACAGCTTATCGATTGGGCTCCCCTCAAAATCGGTTATGAGCATTCAAGCACACCGATGCCCAGGTCCCGGCTGCAGGAATAAGACCCTCCAGGGTCTTGTGTGAAGCCTCGGCATCTGCATTGCTCATGCTTCTGGGGATCATTCTCCTGAAAATGGTGGCTCCTTTCTCCCTGTGGAGCATCTTTCTAAGCAGCGCTCTTTTCTTCCCCCAGGACACTTTACATCCGGCACAGGAAGCCTTCTGATGGAGCACACCTGGCCCATGAAAAGACAAGGGAAAGAAACGGGGCCAAAGGTCACAGTCCTCTCATCCCATCATCCTCCTTAAAATCATCCTAATTTCATGGGCCCTGAAGCCAGGGCTGTTTCTTTACACCTAGAGGCCTTGGCGCCGGGCCTCAATTCCGCCCTGTTCCTTACCGTCTAAGACATGTTGGGAAAATCCCTAGAGCCAGGATCTTCATTCCTGCTAAGCCAGACAGCCGGAAGACACACCCAAATTCTGTCCCTCTTACTTCAGGGAACATGTCCACTTTCGGCAGCATTACAATTTTGGCACCAAATGTGCTAACTGCAATTCCACCATACAATGCGTAACTGGAAATGGAGGCAACATCTCCGATCCTGAACGATCGATGCGAGAATCCAGGATATGCACGGCTTATTTTGGCCTTTTCCCACTGAAACAAGGGCCAGTATTAAAAATGGCACGCTATCCTCTGTTTCACTCCCTGCTTTTAAACGTCTCCGATGTTTCTCCCTGAGACAGGGCCTCACTTCCGTCAGCCGGGCTTTTCTACGGTATAATTTTCCTTGTTTGCTTTTGTCCAAATTAGAACTTTTTATTTCATCTCTAGGAAACGTTGATCCATTATCACATACGTATGGAAATATTATCACACATGCTGTGAGATACGTTGTTTTTATTTTCATCAATTCCTTAATAAACAAAAGGTTATAGCTGGGATACCTTCTGAGTTCTCAAGTTTTTTGTTTCGTGTTTTCTTAAACTGCCGTCGCACGTCCGAAACCGCTCACTATGCGGTGTCATGACCGTCTCTCTTTTCTGGCAAACATAAATTTGGGGATTGTCATCAATTAGTCTCTCGGGGATTGCATGATTTCCCCAAAGGCTTTCACAGTCTACTTTGTGCACTGAGTATCTCTTCAAACTTCAGTGCATGTTTCTACCATTTGATGCTTTATTATTTGGCAATCTAGCTTCCACAAGA
The DNA here is from genome assembly GCF_000001405.40 of Homo sapiens. Classification (NCBI taxonomy): domain Eukaryota; kingdom Metazoa; phylum Chordata; class Mammalia; order Primates; family Hominidae; genus Homo; species Homo sapiens. Next base: position 9,333,910 of record NC_000004.12, read on the forward strand.
GCATTTCATGCAAAGACTTGTCTTGTTCTCCACTGGCAGGTAATTTCACTCGGACAGAGAATCAATAGGCTCAACGTGGAAAGGTTATCGCTGGAAGGTCTGTTTGATTCCACGGATCTCTCCTTTCTCACTAGGGAAGAAAATACGCTGTGCTAAATACTATACTTCATTGACTATTCTCAGGTCAGAAAGCGCACTTTCGACTTCTTGTCCTTCCTTCGCTGAGAGGATGATGGCAGCTGCCAAAAGTACCTACTTGGAGGTTCATCCCAGCACAAACACACACACACACACGCCCCCCCCCCCCACACACACAAACACACTCACACACACACACGCACACGGTTTCCTAGGTAAAGATTTCTTCCCTGCCATTGCTTTACCTAAAATAAGGCAACTGTGAGGCCACTGTCCCAACCCGGATACACTCCTATTATATGTGCCTATCATCCTGAGGAGTAATTTGATTCAGGTGTTCTGGAAGTCATGCTGTGGGCTGTGTCTGTTGAATTCCCAGCGATGCCAGGGGACACACCCTGTGACTCCTTCCTGAATTGAGTGCTGATATTTGATTGGCTTATCGCGCACCTGATGAGTGGGTGGGGTGTTCGCGGTTGGTGGGGGTGACTTACAGAAGGGCTGATGCGGCCAGAGAGCTCGTCATTTGAAGACTCTCTCGGAAGGGATATCGTCTTTCTGCAACCTGCGGTCCCAGCAGACAAACCTTGTGATCCTCGTTCCAGTCGACATGGAGGACGACTCACTCTACTTGAGAGGTGAGTGGCAGTTCAACCACTTTTCAAAACTCACATCTTCTCGGCCCGATGCAGCTTTTGCTGAAATCCAGCGGACTTCTCTCCCTGAGAAGTCACCACTCTCATGTGAGACCCGTGTCGACCTCTGTGATGATTTGGCTCCTGTGGCAAGACAGCTTGCTCCCAGGGAGAAGCTTCCTCTGAGTAGCAGGAGACCTGCTGCGGTGGGGGCTGGGCTCCAGAATATGGGAAATACCTGCTACGTGAACGCTTCCTTGCAGTGCCTGACATACACACCGCCCCTTGCCAACTACATGCTGTCCCGGGAGCACTCTCAAACGTGTCATCGTCACAAGGGCTGCATGCTCTGTACTATGCAAGCTCACATCACACGGGCCCTCCACAATCCTGGCCACGTCATCCAGCCCTCACAGGCATTGGCTGCTGGCTTCCATAGAGGCAAGCAGGAAGATGCCCATGAATTTCTCATGTTCACTGTGGATGCCATGAAAAAGGCATGCCTTCCCGGGCACAAGCAGGTAGATCATCACTCTAAGGACACCACCCTCATCCACCAAATATTTGGAGGCTACTGGAGATCTCAAATCAAGTGTCTCCACTGCCACGGCATTTCAGACACTTTTGACCCTTACCTGGACATCGCCCTGGATATCCAGGCAGCTCAGAGTGTCCAGCAAGCTTTGGAACAGTTGGTGAAGCCCGAAGAACTCAATGGAGAGAATGCCTATCATTGTGGTGTTTGTCTCCAGAGGGCGCCGGCCTCCAAGACGTTAACTTTACACACCTCTGCCAAGGTCCTCATCCTTGTATTGAAGAGATTCTCCGATGTCACAGGCAACAAGATTGCCAAGAATGTGCAATATCCTGAGTGCCTTGACATGCAGCCATACATGTCTCAGCCGAACACAGGACCTCTCGTCTATGTCCTCTATGCTGTGCTGGTCCACGCTGGGTGGAGTTGTCACAACGGACATTACTTCTCTTATGTCAAAGCTCAAGAAGGCCAGTGGTATAAAATGGATGATGCCGAGGTCACCGCCTCTAGCATCACTTCTGTCCTGAGTCAACAGGCCTACGTCCTCTTTTACATCCAGAAGAGTGAATGGGAAAGACACAGTGAGAGTGTGTCAAGAGGCAGGGAACCAAGAGCCCTTGGCGCAGAAGACACCGACAGGCGAGCAACGCAAGGAGAGCTCAAGAGAGACCACCCCTGCCTCCAGGCCCCCGAGTTGGACGAGCACTTGGTGGAAAGAGCCACTCAGGAAAGCACCTTAGACCACTGGAAATTCCTTCAAGAGCAAAACAAAACGAAGCCTGAGTTCAACGTCAGAAAAGTCGAAGGTACCCTGCCTCCCGACGTACTTGTGATTCATCAATCAAAATACAAGTGTGGGATGAAGAACCATCATCCTGAACAGCAAAGCTCCCTGCTAAACCTCTCTTCGTCGACCCCGACACATCAGGAGTCCATGAACACTGGCACACTCGCTTCCCTGCGAGGGAGGGCCAGGAGATCCAAAGGGAAGAACAAACACAGCAAGAGGGCTCTGCTTGTGTGCCAGTGATCTCAGTGGAAGTACCGACCCACACGTAGGGGTGCACACACACACGCACACACACAGACACACACATAACTACACCCAGAAGCGCGCACGCAAACACACACACACCCACACAAACACGAACACCGTCAATCCTACATAAACTAATGAGGAGCCCAAGTTTCTGTCTCTACAACAGGGACAACTGGATAGTGATGGCTACATCTCAGGATGAGCCCGCATATGGGAAACATCAAGTTTTGGGGTCGTGAGTCTTCCGAACCTCTGGAGGGACTGTCTGAGTGTTTGTGTTCATGATAGGTGACATTCAGTGTGTATTTCTGAATATGACCTACCGACGTGTAGGTTTGCGTGTGAGGTAATTGCAGGGGACTCGGTTTCGTATTTTCTCTTGGGGTGTGTTTCATTCGTCAGTTGTTGGTCGGCATGAGAAGGTGAAATGTGGCTCATGTGGGACATCCGTGGATCATTCTCGCCACCTTGAATAGTGGAAACTGGAATGCATTTGGAAGAGAAGAACGGTGCTCTTCTTTCTTCCCCGGGCTCGCCGTTTTTACACTGGTTCCTGAATGGACCTCAGGCGCCCTGGGACTTGTGCTCTTGCTGGAACCCACATAACGCCGGAAGCGGACAGACCGACTTGCCTGTTTCACGGTGCCCGCTTCCCATGAGTCGAAACGGAAAATTTTCCCACGGGCATGTAAGTCATCTGGAAGTAAGCTGTATTGATAATAAAGGAAAGCAAACACAGGAGTGTGTGTATTCAACTGAAATAAATTCAGAAAGCCCTGAAATCAATCTCACTGGGTGTGTTTAAAAATGGCATTTGGGGAATTTCTGGGTCATTTGTCCAGCTGCGAAAGCTGCATCTCTGAAGCACAGTCCCTGTCCCGCAGTGAGACTTATTGATCCGACGTGGTGTTTCCGTGGAAATGATTGTGGGAAATGGCCCCTTCCTTTTCTCTATTTGCTGATTAGACTTCATGGTCCCTTTCTCGTCAGGTACAGTGATCAAAGTTGACCAACCCCAGAGGAAAGCTGCCCAGGGCACAACTCAGGGCTCCGTAGAACCACAGAATCTTGGGCGCAACCCTGCTCAAGCACCCAAATGTGCATACGAACAGGGTCTCCGTGTGACGTGTGTGAAAACTACAGTGTGATGAGCATGACTGGCAGACAGCTTATCGATTGGGCTCCCCTCAAAATCGGTTATGAGCATTCAAGCACACCGATGCCCAGGTCCCGGCTGCAGGAATAAGACCCTCCAGGGTCTTGTGTGAAGCCTCGGCATCTGCATTGCTCATGCTTCTGGGGATCATTCTCCTGAAAATGGTGGCTCCTTTCTCCCTGTGGAGCATCTTTCTAAGCAGCGCTCTTTTCTTCCCCCAGGACACTTTACATCCGGCACAGGAAGCCTTCTGATGGAGCACACCTGGCCCATGAAAAGACAAGGGAAAGAAACGGGGCCAAAGGTCACAGTCCTCTCATCCCATCATCCTCCTTAAAATCATCCTAATTTCATGGGCCCTGAAGCCAGGGCTGTTTCTTTACACCTAGAGGCCTTGGCGCCGGGCCTCAATTCCGCCCTGTTCCTTACCGTCTAAGACATGTTGGGAAAATCCCTAGAGCCAGGATCTTCATTCCTGCTAAGCCAGACAGCCGGAAGACACACCCAAATTCTGTCCCTCTTACTTCAGGGAACATGTCCACTTTCGGCAGCATTACAATTTTGGCACCAAATGTGCTAACTGCAATTCCACCATACAATGCGTAACTGGAAATGGAGGCAACATCTCCGATCCTGAACGATCGATGCGAGAATCCAGGATATGCACGGCTTATTTTGGCCTTTTCCCACTGAAACAAGGGCCAGTATTAAAAATGGCACGCTATCCTCTGTTTCACTCCCTGCTTTTAAACGTCTCCGATGTTTCTCCCTGAGACAGGGCCTCACTTCCGTCAGCCGGGCTTTTCTACGGTATAATTTTCCTTGTTTGCTTTTGTCCAAATTAGAACTTTTTATTTCATCTCTAGGAAACGTTGATCCATTATCACATACGTATGGAAATATTATCACACATGCTGTGAGATACGTTGTTTTTATTTTCATCAATTCCTTAATAAACAAAAGGTTATAGCTGGGATACCTTCTGAGTTCTCAAGTTTTTTGTTTCGTGTTTTCTTAAACTGCCGTCGCACGTCCGAAACCGCTCACTATGCGGTGTCATGACCGTCTCTCTTTTCTGGCAAACATAAATTTGGGGATTGTCATCAATTAGTCTCTCGGGGATTGCATGATTTCCCCAAAGGCTTTCACAGTCTACTTTGTGCACTGAGTATCTCTTCAAACTTCAGTGCATGTTTCTACCATTTGATGCTTTATTATTTGGCAATCTAGCTTCCACAAGAGCATTTCATGCAAAGACTTGTCTTGTTCTCCACTGGCAGGTAATTTCACTCGGACAGAGAATCAATAGGCTCAACGTGGAAAGGTTATCGCTGGAAGGTCTGTTTGATTCCACGGATCTCTCCTTTCTCACTAGGGAAGAAAATACGCTGTGCTAAATACTATACTTCATTGACTATTCTCAGGTCAGAAAGCGCACTTTCGACTTCTTGTCCTTCCTTCGCTGAGAGGATGATGGCAGCTGCCAAAAGTACCTACTTGGAGGTTCATCCCAGCACAAACACACACACACACACGCCCCCCCCCCACACACACAAACACACTCACACACACACACGCACACGGTTTCCTAGGTAAAGATTTCTTCCCTGCCATTGCTTTACCTAAAATAAGGCAACTGTGAGGCCACTGTCCCAACCCGGATACACTCCTATTATATGTGCCTATCATCCTGAGGAGTAATTTGATTCAGGTGTTCTGGAAGTCATGCTGTGGGCTGTGTCTGTTGAATTCCCAGCGATGCCAGGGGACACACCCTGTGACTCCTTCCTGAATTGAGTGCTGATATTTGATTGGCTTATCGCGCACCTGATGAGTGGGTGGGGTGTTCGCGGTTGGTGGGGGTGACTTACAGAAGGGCTGATGCGGCCAGAGAGCTCGTCATTTGAAGACTCTCTCGGAAGGGATAGCGTCTTTCTGCAACCTGCGGTCCCAGCAGACAAACCTTGTGATCCTCGTTCCAGTCGACATGGAGGACGACTCACTCTACTTGAGAGGTGAGTGGCAGTTCAACCACTTTTCAAAACTCACATCTTCTCGGCCCGATGCAGCTTTTGCTGAAATCCAGCGGACTTCTCTCCCTGAGAAGTCACCACTCTCATGTGAGACCCGTGTCGACCTCTGTGATGATTTGGCTCCTGTGGCAAGACAGCTTGCTCCCAGGGAGAAGCTTCCTCTGAGTAGCAGGAGACCTGCTGCGGTGGGGGCTGGGCTCCAGAATATGGGAAATACCTGCTACGTGAACGCTTCCTTGCAGTGCCTGACATACACACCGCCCCTTGCCAACTACATGCTGTCCCGGGAGCACTCTCAAACGTGTCATCGTCACAAGGGCTGCATGCTCTGTACTATGCAAGCTCACATCACACGGGCCCTCCACAATCCTGGCCACGTCATCCAGCCCTCACAGGCATTGGCTGCTGGCTTCCATAGAGGCAAGCAGGAAGATGCCCATGAATTTCTCATGTTCACTGTGGATGCCATGAAAAAGGCATGCCTTCCCGGGCACAAGCAGGTAGATCATCACTCTAAGGACACCACCCTCATCCACCAAATATTTGGAGGCTACTGGAGATCTCAAATCAAGTGTCTCCACTGCCACGGCATTTCAGACACTTTTGACCCTTACCTGGACATCGCCCTGGATATCCAGGCAGCTCAGAGTGTCCAGCAAGCTTTGGAACAGTTGGCGAAGCCCGAAGAACTCAATGGAGAGAATGCCTATCATTGTGGTGTTTGTCTCCAGAGGGCGCCGGCCTCCAAGACGTTAACTTTACACACCTCTGCCAAGGTCCTCATCCTTGTATTGAAGAGATTCTCCGATGTCACAGGCAACAAGATTGCCAAGAATGTGCAATATCCTGAGTGCCTTGACATGCAGCCATACATGTCTCAGCCGAACACAGGACCTCTCGTCTATGTCCTCTATGCTGTGCTGGTCCACGCTGGGTGGAGTTGTCACAACGGACATTACTTCTCTTATGTCAAAGCTCAAGAAGGCCAGTGGTATAAAATGGATGATGCCGAGGTCACCGCCTCTAGCATCACTTCTGTCCTGAGTCAACAGGCCTACGTCCTCTTTTACATCCAGAAGAGTGAATGGGAAAGACACAGTGAGAGTGTGTCAAGAGGCAGGGAACCAAGAGCCCTTGGCGCAGAAGACACCGACAGGCGAGCAACGCAAGGAGAGCTCAAGAGAGACCACCCCTGCCTCCAGGCCCCCGAGTTGGACGAGCACTTGGTGGAAAGAGCCACTCAGGAAAGCACCTTAGACCACTGGAAATTCCTTCAAGAGCAAAACAAAACGAAGCCTGAGTTCAACGTCAGAAAAGTCGAAGGTACCCTGCCTCCCGACGTACTTGTGATTCATCAATCAAAATACAAGTGTGGGATGAAGAACCATCATCCTGAACAGCAAAGCTCCCTGCTAAACCTCTCTTCGTCGACCCCGACACATCAGGAGTCCATGAACACTGGCACACTCGCTTCCCTGCGAGGGAGGGCCAGGAGATCCAAAGGGAAGAACAAACACAGCAAGAGGGCTCTGCTTGTGTGCCAGTGATCTCAGTGGAAGTACCGACCCACACGTAGGGGTGCACACACACACGCACACACACAGACACACACATAACTACACCCAGAAGCGCGCACGCAAACACACACACACCCACACAAACACGAACACCGTCAATCCTACATAAACTAATGAGGAGCCCAAGTTTCTGTCTCTACAACAGGGACAACTGGATAGTGATGGCTACATCTCAGGATGAGCCCGCATATGGGAAACATCAAGTTTTGGGGTCGTGAGTCTTCCGAACCTCTGGAGGGACTGTCTGAGTGTTTGTGTTCATGATAGGTGACATTCAGTGTGTATTTCTGAATATGACCTACCGACGTGTAGGTTTGCGTGTGAGGTAATTGCAGGGGACTCGGTTTCGTATTTTCTCTTGGGGTGTGTTTCATTCGTCAGTTGTTGGTCGGCATGAGAAGGTGAAATGTGGCTCATGTGGGACATCCGTGGATCATTCTCGCCACCTTGAATAGTGGAAACTGGAATGCATTTGGAAGAGAAGAACGGTGCTCTTCTTTCTTCCCCGGGCTCGCCGTTTTTACACTGGTTCCTGAATGGACCTCAGGCGCCCTGGGACTTGTGCTCTTGCTGGAACCCACATAACGCCGGAAGCGGACAGACCGACTTGCCTGTTTCACGGTGCCCGCTTCCCATGAGTCGAAACGGAAAATTTTCCCACGGGCATGTAAGTCATCTGGAAGTAAGCTGTATTGATAATAAAGGAAAGCAAACACAGGAGTGTGTGTATTCAACTGAAATAAATTCAGAAAGCCCTGCAATCAATCTCACTGGGTGTGTTTAAAAATGGCATTTGGGGAATTTCTGGGTCATTTGTCCAGCTGCGAAAGCTGCATCTCTGAAGCACAGTCCCTGTCCCGCAGTGAGACTTATTGATCCGACGTGGTGTTTCCGTGGAAATGATTGTGGGAAATGGCCCCTTCCTTTTCTCTATTTGCTGATTAGACTTCATGGTCCCTTTCTCGTCAGGTACAGTGATCAAAGTTGACCAACCCCAGAGGAAAGCTGCCCAGGGCACAACTCAGGGCTCCGTAGAACCACAGAATCTTGGGCGCAACCCTGCTCAAGCACCCAAATGTGCATACGAACAGGGTCTCCGTGTGACGTGTGTGAAAACTACAGTGTGATGAGCATGACTGGCAGACAGCTTATCGATTGGGCTCCCCTCAAAATCGGTTATGAGCATTCAAGCACACCGATGCCCAGGTCCCGGCTGCAGGAATAAGACCCTCCAGGGTCTTGTGTGAAGCCTCGGCATCTGCATTGCTCATGCTTCTGGGGATCATTCTCCTGAAAATGGTGGCTCCTTTCTCCCTGTGGAGCATCTTTCTAAGCAGCGCTCTTTTCTTCCCCCAGGACACTTTACATCCGGCACAGGAAGCCTTCTGATGGAGCACACCTGGCCCATGAAAAGACAAGGGAAAGAAACGGGGCCAAAGGTCACAGTCCTCTCATCCCATCATCCTCCTTAAAATCATCCTAATTTCATGGGCCCTGAAGCCAGGGCTGTTTCTTTACACCTAGAGGCCTTGGCGCCGGGCCTCAATTCCGCCCTGTTCCTTACCGTCTAAGACATGTTGGGAAAATCCCTAGAGCCAGGATCTTCATTCCTGCTAAGCCAGACAGCCGGAAGACACACCCAAATTCTGTCCCTCTTACTTCAGGGAACATGTCCACTTTCGGCAGCATTACAATTTTGGCACCAAATGTGCTAACTGCAATTCCACCATACAATGCGTAACTGGAAATGGAGGCAACATCTCCGATCCTGAACGATCGATGCGAGAATCCAGGATATGCACGGCTTATTTTGGCCTTTTCCCACTGAAACAAGGGCCAGTATTAAAAATGGCACGCTATCCTCTGTTTCACTCCCTGCTTTTAAACGTCTCCGATGTTTCTCCCTGAGACAGGGCCTCACTTCCGTCAGCCGGGCTTTTCTACGGTATAATTTTCCTTGTTTGCTTTTGTCCAAATTAGAACTTTTTATTTCATCTCTAGGAAACGTTGATCCATTATCACATACGTATGGAAATATTATCACACATGCTGTGAGATACGTTGTTTTTATTTTCATCAATTCCTTAATAAACAAAAGGTTATAGCTGGGATACCTTCTGAGTTCTCAAGTTTTTTGTTTCGTGTTTTCTTAAACTGCCGTCGCACGTCCGAAACCGCTCACTATGCGGTGTCATGACCGTCTCTCTTTTCTGGCAAACATAAATTTGGGGATTGTCATCAATTAGTCTCTCGGGGATTGCATGATTTCCCCAAAGGCTTTCACAGTCTACTTTGTGCACTGAGTATCTCTTCAAACTTCAGTGCATGTTTCTACCATTTGATGCTTTATTATTTGGCAATCTAGCTTCCACAAGAGCATTTCATGCAAAGACTTGTCTTGTTCTCCACTGGCAGGTAATTTCACTCGGACAGAGAATCAATAGGCTCAACGTGGAAAGGTTATCGCTGGAAGGTCTGTTTGATTCCACGGATCTCTCCTTTCTCACTAGGGAAGAAAATACGCTGTGCTAAATACTATACTTCATTGACTATTCTCAGGTCAGAAAGCGCACTTTCGACTTCTTGTCCTTCCTTCGCTGAGAGGATGATGGCAGCTGCCAAAAGTACCTACTTGGAGGTTCATCCCAGCACAAACACACACACACACACGCCCCCCCCCCACACACACAAACACACTCACACACACACACGCACACGGTTTCCTAGGTAAAGATTTCTTCCCTGCCATTGCTTTACCTAAAATAAGGCAACTGTGAGGCCACTGTCCCAACCCGGATACACTCCTATTATATGTGCCTATCATCCTGAGGAGTAATTTGATTCAGGTGTTCTGGAAGTCATGCTGTGGGCTGTGTCTGTTGAATTCCCAGCGATGCCAGGGGACACACCCTGTGACTCCTTCCTGAATTGAGTGCTGATATTTGATTGGCTTATCGCGCACCTGATGAGTGGGTGGGGTGTTCGCGGTTGGTGGGGGTGACTTACAGAAGGGCTGATGCGGCCAGAGAGCTCGTCATTTGAAGACTCTCTCGGAAGGGATAGCGTCTTTCTGCAACCTGCGGTCCCAGCAGACAAACCTTGTGATCCTCGTTCCAGTCGACATGGAGGACGACTCACTCTACTTGAGAGGTGAGTGGCAGTTCAACCACTTTTCAAAACTCACATCTTCTCGGCCCGATGCAGCTTTTGCTGAAATCCAGCGGACTTCTCTCCCTGAGAAGTCACCACTCTCATGTGAGACCCGTGTCGACCTCTGTGATGATTTGGCTCCTGTGGCAAGACAGCTTGCTCCCAGGGAGAAGCTTCCTCTGAGTAGCAGGAGACCTGCTGCGGTGGGGGCTGGGCTCCAGAATATGGGAAATACCTGCTACGTGAACGCTTCCTTGCAGTGCCTGACATACACACCGCCCCTTGCCAACTACATGCTGTCCCGGGAGCACTCTCAAACGTGTCATCGTCACAAGGGCTGCATGCTCTGTACTATGCAAGCTCACATCACACGGGCCCTCCACAATCCTGGCCACGTCATCCAGCCCTCACAGGCATTGGCTGCTGGCTTCCATAGAGGCAAGCAGGAAGATGCCCATGAATTTCTCATGTTCACTGTGGATGCCATGAAAAAGGCATGCCTTCCCGGGCACAAGCAGGTAGATCATCACTCTAAGGACACCACCCTCATCCACCAAATATTTGGAGGCTACTGGAGATCTCAAATCAAGTGTCTCCACTGCCACGGCATTTCAGACACTTTTGACCCTTACCTGGACATCGCCCTGGATATCCAGGCAGCTCAGAGTGTCCAGCAAGCTTTGGAACAGTTGGTGAAGCCCGAAGAACTCAATGGAGAGAATGCCTATCATTGTGGTGTTTGTCTCCAGAGGGCGCCGGCCTCCAAGACGTTAACTTTACACACCTCTGCCAAGGTCCTCATCCTTGTATTGAAGAGATTCTCCGATGTCACAGGCAACAAGATTGCCAAGAATGTGCAATATCCTGAGTGCCTTGACATGCAGCCATACATGTCTCAGCCGAACACAGGACCTCTCGTCTATGTCCTCTATGCTGTGCTGGTCCACGCTGGGTGGAGTTGTCACAACGGACATTACTTCTCTTATGTCAAAGCTCAAGAAGGCCAGTGGTATAAAATGGATGATGCCGAGGTCACCGCCTCTAGCATCACTTCTGTCCTGAGTCAACAGGCCTACGTCCTCTTTTACATCCAGAAGAGTGAATGGGAAAGACACAGTGAGAGTGTGTCAAGAGGCAGGGAACCAAGAGCCCTTGGCGCAGAAGACACCGACAGGCGAGCAACGCAAGGAGAGCTCAAGAGAGACCACCCCTGCCTCCAGGCCCCCGAGTTGGACGAGCACTTGGTGGAAAGAGCCACTCAGGAAAGCACCTTAGACCACTGGAAATTCCTTCAAGAGCAAAACAAAACGAAGCCTGAGTTCAACGTCAGAAAAGTCGAAGGTACCCTGCCTCCCGACGTACTTGTGATTCATCAATCAAAATACAAGTGTGGGATGAAGAACCATCATCCTGAACAGCAAAGCTCCCTGCTAAACCTCTCTTCGTCGACCCCGACACATCAGGAGTCCATGAACACTGGCACACTCGCTTCCCTGCGAGGGAGGGCCAGGAGATCCAAAGGGAAGAACAAACACAGCAAGAGGGCTCTGCTTGTGTGCCAGTGATCTCAGTGGAAGTACCGACCCACACGTAGGGGTGCACACACACACGCACACACACAGACACACACATAACTACACCCAGAAGCGCGCACGCAAACACACACACACCCACACAAACACGAACACCGTCAATCCTACATAAACTAATGAGGAGCCCAAGTTTCTGTCTCTACAACAGGGACAACTGGATAGTGATGGCTACATCTCAGGATGAGCCCGCATATGGGAAACATCAAGTTTTGGGGTCGTGAGTCTTCCGAACCTCTGGAGGGACTGTCTGAGTGTTTGTGTTCATGATAGGTGACATTCAGTGTGTATTTCTGAATATGACCTACCGACGTGTAGGTTTGCGTGTGAGGTAATTGCAGGGGACTCGGTTTCGTATTTTCTCTTGGGGTGTGTTTCATTCGTCAGTTGTTGGTCGGCATGAGAAGGTGAAATGTGGCTCATGTGGGACATCCGTGGATCATTCTCGCCACCTTGAATAGTGGAAACTGGAATGCATTTGGAAGAGAAGAACGGTGCTCTTCTTTCTTCCCCGGGCTCGCCGTTTTTACACTGGTTCCTGAATGGACCTCAGGCGCCCTGGGACTTGTGCTCTTGCTGGAACCCACATAACGCCGGAAGCGGACAGACCGACTTGCCTGTTTCACGGTGCCCGCTTCCCATGAGTCGAAACGGAAAATTTTCCCACGGGCATGTAAGTCATCTGGAAGTAAGCTGTATTGATAATAAAGGAAAGCAAACACAGGAGTGTGTGTATTCAACTGAAATAAATTCAGAAAGCCCTGCAATCAATCTCACTGGGTGTGTTTAAAAATGGCATTTGGGGAATTTCTGGGTCATTTGTCCAGCTGCGAAAGCTGCATCTCTGAAGCACAGTCCCTGTCCCGCAGTGAGACTTATTGATCCGACGTGGTGTTTCCGTGGAAATGATTGTGGGAAATGGCCCCTTCCTTTTCTCTATTTGCTGATTAGACTTCATGGTCCCTTTCTCGTCAGGTACAGTGATCAAAGTTGACCAACCCCAGAGGAAAGCTGCCCAGGGCACAACTCAGGGCTCCGTAGAACCACAGAATCTTGGGCGCAACCCTGCTCAAGCACCCAAATGTGCATACGAACAGGGTCTCCGTGTGACGTGTGTGAAAACTACAGTGTGATGAGCATGACTGGCAGACAGCTTATCGATTGGGCTCCCCTCAAAATCGGTTATGAGCATTCAAGCACACCGATGCCCAGGTCCCGGCTGCAGGAATAAGACCCTCCAGGGTCTTGTGTGAAGCCTCGGCATCTGCATTGCTCATGCTTCTGGGGATCATTCTCCTGAAAATGGTGGCTCCTTTCTCCCTGTGGAGCATCTTTCTAAGCAGCGCTCTTTTCTTCCCCCAGGACACTTTACATCCGGCACAGGAAGCCTTCTGATGGAGCACACCTGGCCCATGAAAAGACAAGGGAAAGAAACGGGGCCAAAGGTCACAGTCCTCTCATCCCATCATCCTCCTTAAAATCATCCTAATTTCATGGGCCCTGAAGCCAGGGCTGTTTCTTTACACCTAGAGGCCTTGGCGCCGGGCCTCAATTCCGCCCTGTTCCTTACCGTCTAAGACATGTTGGGAAAATCCCTAGAGCCAGGATCTTCATTCCTGCTAAGCCAGACAGCCGGAAGACACACCCAAATTCTGTCCCTCTTACTTCAGGGAACATGTCCACTTTCGGCAGCGTTACAATTTTGGCACCAAATGTGCTAACTGCAATTCCACCATACAATGCGTAACTGGAAATGGAGGCAACATCTCCGATCCTGAACGATCGATGCGAGAATCCAGGATATGCACGGCTTATTTTGGCCTTTTCCCACTGAAACAAGGGCCAGTATTAAAAATGGCACGCTATCCTCTGTTTCACTCCCTGCTTTTAAACGTCTCCGATGTTTCTCCCTGAGACAGGGCCTCACTTCCGTCAGCCGGGCTTTTCTACGGTATAATTTTCCTTGTTTGCTTTTGTCCAAATTAGAACTTTTTATTTCATCTCTAGGAAACGTTGATCCATTATCACATACGTATGGAAATATTATCACACATGCTGTGAGATACGTTGTTTTTATTTTCATCAATTCCTTAATAAACAAAAGGTTATAGCTGGGATACCTTCTGAGTTCTCAAGTTTTTTGTTTCGTGTTTTCTTAAACTGCCGTCGCACGTCCGAAACCGCTCACTATGCGGTGTCATGACCGTCTCTCTTTTCTGGCAAACATAAATTTGGGGATTGTCATCAATTAGTCTCTCGGGGATTGCATGATTTCCCCAAAGGCTTTCACAGTCTACTTTGTGCACTGAGTATCTCTTCAAACTTCAGTGCATGTTTCTACCATTTGATGCTTTATTATTTGGCAATCTAGCTTCCACAAGAGCATTTCATGCAAAGACTTGTCTTGTTCTCCACTGGCAGGTAATTTCACTCGGACAGAGAATCAATAGGCTCAACGTGGAAAGGTTATCGCTGGAAGGTCTGTTTGATTCCACGGATCTCTCCTTTCTCACTAGGGAAGAAAATACGCTGTGCTAAATACTATACTTCATTGACTATTCTCAGGTCAGAAAGCGCACTTTCGACTTCTTGTCCTTCCTTCGCTGAGAGGATGATGGCAGCTGCCAAAAGTACCTACTTGGAGGTTCATCCCAGCACAAACACACACACACACACGCCCCCCCCCCACACACACAAACACACTCACACACACACACGCACACGGTTTCCTAGGTAAAGATTTCTTCCCTGCCATTGCTTTACCTAAAATAAGGCAACTGTGAGGCCACTGTCCCAACCCGGATACACTCCTATTATATGTGCCTATCATCCTGAGGAGTAATTTGATTCAGGTGTTCTGGAAGTCATGCTGTGGGCTGTGTCTGTTGAATTCCCAGCGATGCCAGGGGACACACCCTGTGACTCCTTCCTGAATTGAGTGCTGATATTTGATTGGCTTATCGCGCACCTGATGAGTGGGTGGGGTGTTCGCGGTTGGTGGGGGTGACTTACAGAAGGGCTGATGCGGCCAGAGAGCTCGTCATTTGAAGACTCTCTCGGAAGGGATAGCGTCTTTCTGCAACCTGCGGTCCCAGCAGACAAACCTTGTGATCCTCGTTCCAGTCGACATGGAGGACGACTCACTCTACTTGAGAGGTGAGTGGCAGTTCAACCACTTTTCAAAACTCACATCTTCTCGGCCCGATGCAGCTTTTGCTGAAATCCAGCGGACTTCTCTCCCTGAGAAGTCACCACTCTCATGTGAGACCCGTGTCGACCTCTGTGATGATTTGGCTCCTGTGGCAAGACAGCTTGCTCCCAGGGAGAAGCTTCCTCTGAGTAGCAGGAGACCTGCTGCGGTGGGGGCTGGGCTCCAGAATATGGGAAATACCTGCTACGTGAACGCTTCCTTGCAGTGCCTGACATACACACCGCCCCTTGCCAACTACATGCTGTCCCGGGAGCACTCTCAAACGTGTCATCGTCACAAGGGCTGCATGCTCTGTACTATGCAAGCTCACATCACACGGGCCCTCCACAATCCTGGCCACGTCATCCAGCCCTCACAGGCATTGGCTGCTGGCTTCCATAGAGGCAAGCAGGAAGATGCCCATGAATTTCTCATGTTCACTGTGGATGCCATGAAAAAGGCATGCCTTCCCGGGCACAAGCAGGTAGATCATCACTCTAAGGACACCACCCTCATCCACCAAATATTTGGAGGCTACTGGAGATCTCAAATCAAGTGTCTCCACTGCCACGGCATTTCAGACACTTTTGACCCTTACCTGGACATCGCCCTGGATATCCAGGCAGCTCAGAGTGTCCAGCAAGCTTTGGAACAGTTGGTGAAGCCCGAAGAACTCAATGGAGAGAATGCCTATCATTGTGGTGTTTGTCTCCAGAGGGCGCCGGCCTCCAAGACGTTAACTTTACACACCTCTGCCAAGGTCCTCATCCTTGTATTGAAGAGATTCTCCGATGTCACAGGCAACAAGATTGCCAAGAATGTGCAATATCCTGAGTGCCTTGACATGCAGCCATACATGTCTCAGCCGAACACAGGACCTCTCGTCTATGTCCTCTATGCTGTGCTGGTCCACGCTGGGTGGAGTTGTCACAACGGACATTACTTCTCTTATGTCAAAGCTCAAGAAGGCCAGTGGTATAAAATGGATGATGCCGAGGTCACCGCCTCTAGCATCACTTCTGTCCTGAGTCAACAGGCCTACGTCCTCTTTTACATCCAGAAGAGTGAATGGGAAAGACACAGTGAGAGTGTGTCAAGAGGCAGGGAACCAAGAGCCCTTGGCGCAGAAGACACCGACAGGCGAGCAACGCAAGGAGAGCTCAAGAGAGACCACCCCTGCCTCCAGGCCCCCGAGTTGGACGAGCACTTGGTGGAAAGAGCCACTCAGGAAAGCACCTTAGACCACTGGAAATTCCTTCAAGAGCAAAACAAAACGAAGCCTGAGTTCAACGTCAGAAAAGTCGAAGGTACCCTGCCTCCCGACGTACTTGTGATTCATCAATCAAAATACAAGTGTGGGATGAAGAACCATCATCCTGAACAGCAAAGCTCCCTGCTAAACCTCTCTTCGTCGACCCCGACACATCAGGAGTCCATGAACACTGGCACACTCGCTTCCCTGCGAGGGAGGGCCAGGAGATCCAAAGGGAAGAACAAACACAGCAAGAGGGCTCTGCTTGTGTGCCAGTGATCTCAGTGGAAGTACCGACCCACACGTAGGGGTGCACACACACACGCACACACACAGACACACACATAACTACACCCAGAAGCGCGCACGCAAACACACACACACCCACACAAACACGAACACCGTCAATCCTACATAAACTAATGAGGAGCCCAACTTTCTGTCTCTACAACAGGGACAACTGGATAGTGATGGCTACATCTCAGGATGAGCCCGCATATGGGAAACATCAAGTTTTGGGGTCGTGAGTCTTCCGAACCTCTGGAGGGACTGTCTGAGTGTTTGTGTTCATGATAGGTGACATTCAGTGTGTATTTCTGAATATGACCTACCGACGTGTAGGTTTGCGTGTGAGGTAATTGCAGGGGACTCGGTTTCGTATTTTCTCTTGGGGTGTGTTTCATTCGTCAGTTGTTGGTCGGCATGAGAAGGTGAAATGTGGCTCATGTGGGACATCCGTGGATCATTCTCGCCACCTTGAATAGTGGAAACTGGAATGCATTTGGAAGAGAAGAACGGTGCTCTTCTTTCTTCCCCGGGCTCGCCGTTTTTACACTGGTTCCTGAATGGACCTCAGGCGCCCTGGGACCTGTGCTCTTGCTGGAACCCACATAACGCCGGAAGCGGACAGACCGACTTGCCTGTTTCACGGTGCCCGCTTCCCATGAGTCGAAACGGAAAATTTTCCCACGGGCATGTAAGTCATCTGGAAGTAAGCTGTATTGATAATAAAGGAAAGCAAACACAGGAGTGTGTGTATTCAACTGAAATAAATTCAGAAAGCCCTGCAATCAATCTCACTGGGTGTGTTTAAAAATGGCATTTGGGGAATTTCTGGGTCATTTGTCCAGCTGCGAAAGCTGCATCTCTGAAGCACAGTCCCTGTCCCGCAGTGAGACTTATTGATCCGACGTGGTGTTTCCGTGGAAATGATTGTGGGAAATGGCCCCTTCCTTTTCTCTATTTGCTGATTAGACTTCATGGTCCCTTTCTCGTCAGGTACAGTGATCAAAGTTGACCAACCCCAGAGGAAAGCTGCCCAGGGCACAACTCAGGGCTCCGTAGAACCACAGAATCTTGGGCGCAACCCTGCTCAAGCACCCAAATGTGCATACGAACAGGGTCTCCGTGTGACGTGTGTGAAAACTACAGTGTGATGAGCATGACTGGCAGACAGCTTATCGATTGGGCTCCCCTCAAAATCGGTTATGAGCATTCAAGCACACCGATGCCCAGGTCCCGGCTGCAGGAATAAGACCCTCCAGGGTCTTGTGTGAAGCCTCGGCATCTGCATTGCTCATGCTTCTGGGGATCATTCTCCTGAAAATGGTGGCTCCTTTCTCCCTGTGGAGCATCTTTCTAAGCAGCGCTCTTTTCTTCCCCCAGGACACTTTACATCCGGCACAGGAAGCCTTCTGATGGAGCACACCTGGCCCATGAAAAGACAAGGGAAAGAAACGGGGCCAAAGGTCACAGTCCTCTCATCCCATCATCCTCCTTAAAATCATCCTAATTTCATGGGCCCTGAAGCCAGGGCTGTTTCTTTACACCTAGAGGCCTTGGCGCCGGGCCTCAATTCCGCCCTGTTCCTTACCGTCTAAGACATGTTGGGAAAATCCCTAGAGCCAGGATCTTCATTCCTGCTAAGCCAGACAGCCGGAAGACACACCCAAATTCTGTCCCTCTTACTTCAGGGAACATGTCCACTTTCGGCAGCATTACAATTTTGGCACCAAATGTGCTAACTGCAATTCCACCATACAATGCGTAACTGGAAATGGAGGCAACATCTCCGATCCTGAACGATCGATGCGAGAATCCAGGATATGCACGGCTTATTTTGGCCTTTTCCCACTGAAACAAGGGCCAGTATTAAAAATGGCACGCTATCCTCTGTTTCACTCCCTGCTTTTAAACGTCTCCGATGTTTCTCCCTGAGACAGGGCCTCACTTCCGTCAGCCGGGCTTTTCTACGGTATAATTTTCCTTGTTTGCTTTTGTCCAAATTAGAACTTTTTATTTCATCTCTAGGAAACGTTGATCCATTATCACATACGTATGGAAATATTATCACACATGCTGTGAGATACGTTGTTTTTATTTTCATCAATTCCTTAATAAACAAAAGGTTATAGCTGGGATACCTTCTGAGTTCTCAAGTTTTTTGTTTCGTGTTTTCTTAAACTGCCGTCGCACGTCCGAAACCGCTCACTATGCGGTGTCATGACCGTCTCTCTTTTCTGGCAAACATAAATTTGGGGATTGTCATCAATTAGTCTCTCGGGGATTGCATGATTTCCCCAAAGGCTTTCACAGTCTACTTTGTGCACTGAGTATCTCTTCAAACTTCAGTGCATGTTTCTACCATTTGATGCTTTATTATTTGGCAATCTAGCTTCCACAAGAGCATTTCATGCAAAGACTTGTCTTGTTCTCCACTGGCAGGTAATTTCACTCGGACAGAGAATCAATAGGCTCAACGTGGAAAGGTTATCGCTGGAAGGTCTGTTTGATTCCACGGATCTCTCCTTTCTCACTAGGGAAGAAAATACGCTGTGCTAAATACTATACTTCATTGACTATTCTCAGGTCAGAAAGCGCACTTTCGACTTCTTGTCCTTCCTTCGCTGAGAGGATGATGGCAGCTGCCAAAAGTACCTACTTGGAGGTTCATCCCAGCACAAACACACACACACACACGCCCCCCCCCCACACACACAAACACACTCACACACACACACGCACACGGTTTCCTAGGTAAAGATTTCTTCCCTGCCATTGCTTTACCTAAAATAAGGCAACTGTGAGGCCACTGTCCCAACCCGGATACACTCCTATTATATGTGCCTATCATCCTGAGGAGTAATTTGATTCAGGTGTTCTGGAAGTCATGCTGTGGGCTGTGTCTGTTGAATTCCCAGCGATGCCAGGGGACACACCCTGTGACTCCTTCCTGAATTGAGTGCTGATATTTGATTGGCTTATCGCGCACCTGATGAGTGGGTGGGGTGTTCGCGGTTGGTGGGGGTGACTTACAGAAGGGCTGATGCGGCCAGAGAGCTCGTCATTTGAAGACTCTCTCGGAAGGGATAGCGTCTTTCTGCAACCTGCGGTTCCAGCAGACAAACCTTGTGATCCTCGTTCCAGTCGACATGGAGGACGACTCACTCTACTTGAGAGGTGAGTGGCAGTTCAACCACTTTTCAAAACTCACATCTTCTCGGCCCGATGCAGCTTTTGCTGAAATCCAGCGGACTTCTCTCCCTGAGAAGTCACCACTCTCATGTGAGACCCGTGTCGACCTCTGTGATGATTTGGCTCCTGTGGCAAGACAGCTTGCTCCCAGGGAGAAGCTTCCTCTGAGTAGCAGGAGACCTGCTGCGGTGGGGGCTGGGCTCCAGAATATGGGAAATACCTGCTACGTGAACGCTTCCTTGCAGTGCCTGACATACACACCGCCCCTTGCCAACTACATGCTGTCCCGGGAGCACTCTCAAACGTGTCATCGTCACAAGGGCTGCATGCTCTGTACTATGCAAGCTCACATCACACGGGCCCTCCACAATCCTGGCCACGTCATCCAGCCCTCACAGGCATTGGCTGCTGGCTTCCATAGAGGCAAGCAGGAAGATGCCCATGAATTTCTCATGTTCACTGTGGATGCCATGAAAAAGGCATGCCTTCCCGGGCACAAGCAGGTAGATCATCACTCTAAGGACACCACCCTCATCCACCAAATATTTGGAGGCTACTGGAGATCTCAAATCAAGTGTCTCCACTGCCACGGCATTTCAGACACTTTTGACCCTTACCTGGACATCGCCCTGGATATCCAGGCAGCTCAGAGTGTCCAGCAAGCTTTGGAACAGTTGGTGAAGCCCGAAGAACTCAATGGAGAGAATGCCTATCATTGTGGTGTTTGTCTCCAGAGGGCGCCGGCCTCCAAGACGTTAACTTTACACACCTCTGCCAAGGTCCTCATCCTTGTATTGAAGAGATTCTCCGATGTCACAGGCAACAAGATTGCCAAGAATGTGCAATATCCTGAGTGCCTTGACATGCAGCCATACATGTCTCAGCCGAACACAGGACCTCTCGTCTATGTCCTCTATGCTGTGCTGGTCCACGCTGGGTGGAGTTGTCACAACGGACATTACTTCTCTTATGTCAAAGCTCAAGAAGGCCAGTGGTATAAAATGGATGATGCCGAGGTCACCGCCTCTAGCATCACTTCTGTCCTGAGTCAACAGGCCTACGTCCTCTTTTACATCCAGAAGAGTGAATGGGAAAGACACAGTGAGAGTGTGTCAAGAGGCAGGGAACCAAGAGCCCTTGGCGCAGAAGACACCGACAGGCGAGCAACGCAAGGAGAGCTCAAGAGAGACCACCCCTGCCTCCAGGCCCCCGAGTTGGACGAGCACTTGGTGGAAAGAGCCACTCAGGAAAGCACCTTAGACCACTGGAAATTCCTTCAAGAGCAAAACAAAACGAAGCCTGAGTTCAACGTCAGAAAAGTCGAAGGTACCCTGCCTCCCGACGTACTTGTGATTCATCAATCAAAATACAAGTGTGGGATGAAGAACCATCATCCTGAACAGCAAAGCTCCCTGCTAAACCTCTCTTCGTCGACCCCGACACATCAGGAGTCCATGAACACTGGCACACTCGCTTCCCTGCGAGGGAGGGCCAGGAGATCCAAAGGGAAGAACAAACACAGCAAGAGGGCTCTGCTTGTGTGCCAGTGATCTCAGTGGAAGTACCGACCCACACGTAGGGGTGCACACACACACGCACACACACAGACACACACATAACTACACCCAGAAGCGCGCACGCAAACACACACACACCCACACAAACACGAACACCGTCAATCCTACATAAACTAATGAGGAGCCCAACTTTCTGTCTCTACAACAGGGACAACTGGATAGTGATGGCTACATCTCAGGATGAGCCCGCATATGGGAAACATCAAGTTTTGGGGTCGTGAGTCTTCCGAACCTCTGGAGGGACTGTCTGAGTGTTTGTGTTCATGATAGGTGACATTCAGTGTGTATTTCTGAATATGACCTACCGACGTGTAGGTTTGCGTGTGAGGTAATTGCAGGGGACTCGGTTTCGTATTTTCTCTTGGGGTGTGTTTCATTCGTCAGTTGTTGGTCGGCATGAGAAGGTGAAATGTGGCTCATGTGGGACATCCGTGGATCATTCTCGCCACCTTGAATAGTGGAAACTGGAATGCATTTGGAAGAGAAGAACGGTGCTCTTCTTTCTTCCCCGGGCTCGCCGTTTTTACACTGGTTCCTGAATGGACCTCAGGCGCCCTGGGACTTGTGCTCTTGCTGGAACCCACATAACGCCGGAAGCGGACAGACCGACTTGCCTGTTTCACGGTGCCCGCTTCCCATGAGTCGAAACGGAAAATTTTCCCACGGGCATGTAAGTCATCTGGAAGTAAGCTGTATTGATAATAAAGGAAAGCAAACACAGGAGTGTGTGTATTCAACTGAAATAAATTCAGAAAGCCCTGAAATCAATCTCACTGGGTGTGTTTAAAAATGGCATTTGGGGAATTTCTGGGTCATTTGTCCAGCTGCGAAAGCTGCATCTCTGAAGCACAGTCCCTGTCCCGCAGTGAGACTTATTGATCCGACGTGGTGTTTCCGTGGAAATGATTGTGGGAAATGGCCCCTTCCTTTTCTCTATTTGCTGATTAGACTTCATGGTCCCTTTCTCGTCAGGTACAGTGATCAAAGTTGACCAACCCCAGAGGAAAGCTGCCCAGGGCACAACTCAGGGCTCCGTAGAACCACAGAATCTTGGGCGCAACCCTGCTCAAGCACCCAAATGTGCATACGAACAGGGTCTCCGTGTGACGTGTGTGAAAACTACAGTGTGATGAGCATGACTGGCAGACAGCTTATCGATTGGGCTCCCCTCAAAATCGGTTATGAGCATTCAAGCACACCGATGCCCAGGTCCCGGCTGCAGGAATAAGACCCTCCAGGGTCTTGTGTGAAGCCTCGGCATCTGCATTGCTCATGCTTCTGGGGATCATTCTCCTGAAAATGGTGGCTCCTTTCTCCCTGTGGAGCATCTTTCTAAGCAGCGCTCTTTTCTTCCCCCAGGACACTTTACATCCGGCACAGGAAGCCTTCTGATGGAGCACACCTGGCCCATGAAAAGACAAGGGAAAGAAACGGGGCCAAAGGTCACAGTCCTCTCATCCCATCATCCTCCTTAAAATCATCCTAATTTCATGGGCCCTGAAGCCAGGGCTGTTTCTTTACACCTAGAGGCCTTGGCGCCGGGCCTCAATTCCGCCCTGTTCCTTACCGTCTAAGACATGTTGGGAAAATCCCTAGAGCCAGGATCTTCATTCCTGCTAAGCCAGACAGCCGGAAGACACACCCAAATTCTGTCCCTCTTACTTCAGGGAACATGTCCACTTTCGGCAGCGTTACAATTTTGGCACCAAATGTGCTAACTGCAATTCCACCATACAATGCGTAACTGGAAATGGAGGCAACATCTCCGATCCTGAACGATCGATGCGAGAATCCAGGATATGCACGGCTTATTTTGGCCTTTTCCCACTGAAACAAGGGCC
Organism: Homo sapiens; assembly: GCF_000001405.40. Taxonomy (NCBI): domain Eukaryota; kingdom Metazoa; phylum Chordata; class Mammalia; order Primates; family Hominidae; genus Homo; species Homo sapiens. The sequence goes on from NC_000004.12 coordinate 9,357,099, forward strand.
AGTATTAAAAATGGCACGCTATCCTCTGTTTCACTCCCTGCTTTTAAACGTCTCCGATGTTTCTCCCTGAGACAGGGCCTCACTTCCGTCAGCCGGGCTTTTCTACGGTATAATTTTCCTTGTTTGCTTTTGTCCAAATTAGAACTTTTTATTTCATCTCTAGGAAACGTTGATCCATTATCACATACGTATGGAAATATTATCACACATGCTGTGAGATACGTTGTTTTTATTTTCATCAATTCCTTAATAAACAAAAGGTTATAGCTGGGATACCTTCTGAGTTCTCAAGTTTTTTGTTTCGTGTTTTCTTAAACTGCCGTCGCACGTCCGAAACCGCTCACTATGCGGTGTCATGACCGTCTCTCTTTTCTGGCAAACATAAATTTGGGGATTGTCATCAATTAGTCTCTCGGGGATTGCATGATTTCCCCAAAGGCTTTCACAGTCTACTTTGTGCACTGAGTATCTCTTCAAACTTCAGTGCATGTTTCTACCATTTGATGCTTTATTATTTGGCAATCTAGCTTCCACAAGAGCATTTCATGCAAAGACTTGTCTTGTTCTCCACTGGCAGGTAATTTCACTCGGACAGAGAATCAATAGGCTCAACGTGGAAAGGTTATCGCTGGAAGGTCTGTTTGATTCCACGGATCTCTCCTTTCTCACTAGGGAAGAAAATACGCTGTGCTAAATACTATACTTCATTGACTATTCTCAGGTCAGAAAGCGCACTTTCGACTTCTTGTCCTTCCTTCGCTGAGAGGATGATGGCAGCTGCCAAAAGTACCTACTTGGAGGTTCATCCCAGCACAAACACACACACACACACGCCCCCCCCCCACACACACAAACACACTCACACACACACACGCACACGGTTTCCTAGGTAAAGATTTCTTCCCTGCCATTGCTTTACCTAAAATAAGGCAACTGTGAGGCCACTGTCCCAACCCGGATACACTCCTATTATATGTGCCTATCATCCTGAGGAGTAATTTGATTCAGGTGTTCTGGAAGTCATGCTGTGGGCTGTGTCTGTTGAATTCCCAGCGATGCCAGGGGACACACCCTGTGACTCCTTCCTGAATTGAGTGCTGATATTTGATTGGCTTATCGCGCACCTGATGAGTGGGTGGGGTGTTCGCGGTTGGTGGGGGTGACTTACAGAAGGGCTGATGCGGCCAGAGAGCTCGTCATTTGAAGACTCTCTCGGAAGGGATAGCGTCTTTCTGCAACCTGCGGTCCCAGCAGACAAACCTTGTGATCCTCGTTCCAGTCGACATGGAGGACGACTCACTCTACTTGAGAGGTGAGTGGCAGTTCAACCACTTTTCAAAACTCACATCTTCTCGGCCCGATGCAGCTTTTGCTGAAATCCAGCGGACTTCTCTCCCTGAGAAGTCACCACTCTCATGTGAGACCCGTGTCGACCTCTGTGATGATTTGGCTCCTGTGGCAAGACAGCTTGCTCCCAGGGAGAAGCTTCCTCTGAGTAGCAGGAGACCTGCTGCGGTGGGGGCTGGGCTCCAGAATATGGGAAATACCTGCTACGTGAACGCTTCCTTGCAGTGCCTGACATACACACCGCCCCTTGCCAACTACATGCTGTCCCGGGAGCACTCTCAAACGTGTCATCGTCACAAGGGCTGCATGCTCTGTACTATGCAAGCTCACATCACACGGGCCCTCCACAATCCTGGCCACGTCATCCAGCCCTCACAGGCATTGGCTGCTGGCTTCCATAGAGGCAAGCAGGAAGATGCCCATGAATTTCTCATGTTCACTGTGGATGCCATGAAAAAGGCATGCCTTCCCGGGCACAAGCAGGTAGATCATCACTCTAAGGACACCACCCTCATCCACCAAATATTTGGAGGCTACTGGAGATCTCAAATCAAGTGTCTCCACTGCCACGGCATTTCAGACACTTTTGACCCTTACCTGGACATCGCCCTGGATATCCAGGCAGCTCAGAGTGTCCAGCAAGCTTTGGAACAGTTGGTGAAGCCCGAAGAACTCAATGGAGAGAATGCCTATCATTGTGGTGTTTGTCTCCAGAGGGCGCCGGCCTCCAAGACGTTAACTTTACACACCTCTGCCAAGGTCCTCATCCTTGTATTGAAGAGATTCTCCGATGTCACAGGCAACAAGATTGCCAAGAATGTGCAATATCCTGAGTGCCTTGACATGCAGCCATACATGTCTCAGCAGAACACATGACTTCTTGTCTATGTCCTCTATGCTGTGCTGGTCCACGCTGGGTGGAGTTGTCACAACGGACATTACTTCTCTTATGTCAAAGCTCAAGAAGGCCAGTGGTATAAAATGGATGATGCCGAGGTCACCGCCTCTAGCATCACTTCTGTCCTGAGTCAACAGGCCTACGTCCTCTTTTACATCCAGAAGAGTGAATGGGAAAGACACAGTGAGAGTGTGTCAAGAGGCAGGGAACCAAGAGCCCTTGGCGCAGAAGACACAGACAGGCGAGCAACGCAAGGAGAGCTCAAGAGAGACCACCCCTGCCTCCAGGCCCCCGAGTTGGACGAGCACTTGGTGGAAAGAGCCACTCAGGAAAGCACCTTAGACCACTGGAAATTCCTTCAAGAGCAAAACAAAACGAAGCCTGAGTTCAACGTCAGAAAAGTCGAAGGTACCCTGCCTCCCGACGTACTTGTGATTCATCAATCAAAATACAAGTGTGGGATGAAGAACCATCATCCTGAACAGCAAAGCTCCCTGCTAAACCTCTCTTCGTCGACCCCGACACATCAGGAGTCCATGAACACTGGCACACTCGCTTCCCTGCGAGGGAGGGCCAGGAGATCCAAAGGGAAGAACAAACACAGCAAGAGGGCTCTGCTTGTGTGCCAGTGATCTCAGTGGAAGTACCGACCCACACGTAGGGGTGCACACACACACGCACACACACAGACACACACATAACTACACCCAGAAGCGCGCACGCAAACACACACACACCCACACAAACACGAACACCGTCAATCCTACATAAACTAATGAGGAGCCCAACTTTCTGTCTCTACAACAGGGACAACTGGATAGTGATGGCTACATCTCAGGATGAGCCCGCATATGGGAAACATCAAGTTTTGGGGTCGTGAGTCTTCCGAACCTCTGGAGGGACTGTCTGAGTGTTTGTGTTCATGATAGGTGACATTCAGTGTGTATTTCTGAATATGACCTACCGACGTGTAGGTTTGCGTGTGAGGTAATTGCAGGGGACTCGGTTTCGTATTTTCTCTTGGGGTGTGTTTCATTCGTCAGTTGTTGGTCGGCATGAGAAGGTGAAATGTGGCTCATGTGGGACATCCGTGGATCATTCTCGCCACCTTGAATAGTGGAAACTGGAATGCATTTGGAAGAGAAGAACGGTGCTCTTCTTTCTTCCCCGGGCTCGCCGTTTTTACACTGGTTCCTGAATGGACCTCAGGCGCCCTGGGACTTGTGCTCTTGCTGGAACCCACATAACGCCGGAAGCGGACAGACCGACTTGCCTGTTTCACGGTGCCCGCTTCCCATGAGTCGAAACGGAAAATTTTCCCACGGGCATGTAAGTCATCTGGAAGTAAGCTGTATTGATAATAAAGGAAAGCAAACACAGGAGTGTGTGTATTCAACTGAAATAAATTCAGAAAGCCCTGAAATCAATCTCACTGGGTGTGTTTAAAAATGGCATTTGGGGAATTTCTGGGTCATTTGTCCAGCTGCGAAAGCTGCATCTCTGAAGCACAGTCCCTGTCCCGCAGTGAGACTTATTGATCCGACGTGGTGTTTCCGTGGAAATGATTGTGGGAAATGGCCCCTTCCTTTTCTCTATTTGCTGATTAGACTTCATGGTCCCTTTCTCGTCAGGTACAGTGATCAAAGTTGACCAACCCCAGAGGAAAGCTGCCCAGGGCACAACTCAGGGCTCCGTAGAACCACAGAATCTTGGGCGCAACCCTGCTCAAGCACCCAAATGTGCATACGAACAGGGTCTCCGTGTGACGTGTGTGAAAACTACAGTGTGATGAGCATGACTGGCAGACAGCTTATCGATTGGGCTCCCCTCAAAATCGGTTATGAGCATTCAAGCACACCGATGCCCAGGTCCCGGCTGCAGGAATAAGACCCTCCAGGGTCTTGTGTGAAGCCTCGGCATCTGCATTGCTCATGCTTCTGGGGATCATTCTCCTGAAAATGGTGGCTCCTTTCTCCCTGTGGAGCATCTTTCTAAGCAGCGCTCTTTTCTTCCCCCAGGACACTTTACATCCGGCACAGGAAGCCTTCTGATGGAGCACACCTGGCCCATGAAAAGACAAGGGAAAGAAACGGGGCCAAAGGTCACAGTCCTCTCATCCCATCATCCTCCTTAAAATCATCCTAATTTCATGGGCCCTGAAGCCAGGGCTGTTTCTTTACACCTAGAGGCCTTGGCGCCGGGCCTCAATTCCGCCCTGTTCCTTACCGTCTAAGACATGTTGGGAAAATCCCTAGAGCCAGGATCTTCATTCCTGCTAAGCCAGACAGCCGGAAGACACACCCAAATTCTGTCCCTCTTACTTCAGGGAACATGTCCACTTTCGGCAGCGTTACAATTTTGGCACCAAATGTGCTAACTGCAATTCCACCATACAATGCGTAACTGGAAATGGAGGCAACATCTCCGATCCTGAACGATCGATGCGAGAATCCAGGATATGCACGGCTTATTTTGGCCTTTTCCCACTGAAACAAGGGCCAGTATTAAAAATGGCACGCTATCCTCTGTTTCACTCCCTGCTTTTAAACGTCTCCGATGTTTCTCCCTGAGACAGGGCCTCACTTCCGTCAGCCGGGCTTTTCTACGGTATAATTTTCCTTGTTTGCTTTTGTCCAAATTAGAACTTTTTATTTCATCTCTAGGAAACGTTGATCCATTATCACATACGTATGGAAATATTATCACACATGCTGTGAGATACGTTGTTTTTATTTTCATCAATTCCTTAATAAACAAAAGGTTATAGCTGGGATACCTTCTGAGTTCTCAAGTTTTTTGTTTCGTGTTTTCTTAAACTGCCGTCGCACGTCCGAAACCGCTCACTATGCGGTGTCATGACCGTCTCTCTTTTCTGGCAAACATAAATTTGGGGATTGTCATCAATTAGTCTCTCGGGGATTGCATGATTTCCCCAAAGGCTTTCACAGTCTACTTTGTGCACTGAGTATCTCTTCAAACTTCAGTGCATGTTTCTACCATTTGATGCTTTATTATTTGGCAATCTAGCTTCCACAAGAGCATTTCATGCAAAGACTTGTCTTGTTCTCCACTGGCAGGTAATTTCACTCGGACAGAGAATCAATAGGCTCAACGTGGAAAGGTTATCGCTGGAAGGTCTGTTTGATTCCACGGATCTCTCCTTTCTCACTAGGGAAGAAAATACGCTGTGCTAAATACTATACTTCATTGACTATTCTCAGGTCAGAAAGCGCACTTTCGACTTCTTGTCCTTCCTTCGCTGAGAGGATGATGGCAGCTGCCAAAAGTACCTACTTGGAGGTTCATCCCAGCACAAACACACACACACACACGCCCCCCCCCCCCCACACACAAACACACTCACACACACACACGCACACGGTTTCCTAGGTAAAGATTTCTTCCCTGCCATTGCTTTACCTAAAATAAGGCAACTGTGAGGCCACTGTCCCAACCCGGATACACTCCTATTATATGTGCCTATCATCCTGAGGAGTAATTTGATTCAGGTGTTCTGGAAGTCATGCTGTGGGCTGTGTCTGTTGAATTCCCAGCGATGCCAGGGGACACACCCTGTGACTCCTTCCTGAATTGAGTGCTGATATTTGATTGGCTTATCGCGCACCTGATGAGTGGGTGGGGTGTTCGCGGTTGGTGGGGGTGACTTACAGAAGGGCTGATGCGGCCAGAGAGCTCGTCATTTGAAGACTCTCTCGGAAGGGATAGCGTCTTTCTGCAACCTGCGGTCCCAGCAGACAAACCTTGTGATCCTCGTTCCAGTCGACATGGAGGACGACTCACTCTACTTGAGAGGTGAGTGGCAGTTCAACCACTTTTCAAAACTCACATCTTCTCGGCCCGATGCAGCTTTTGCTGAAATCCAGCGGACTTCTCTCCCTGAGAAGTCACCACTCTCATGTGAGACCCGTGTCGACCTCTGTGATGATTTGGCTCCTGTGGCAAGACAGCTTGCTCCCAGGGAGAAGCTTCCTCTGAGTAGCAGGAGACCTGCTGCGGTGGGGGCTGGGCTCCAGAATATGGGAAATACCTGCTACGTGAACGCTTCCTTGCAGTGCCTGACATACACACCGCCCCTTGCCAACTACATGCTGTCCCGGGAGCACTCTCAAACGTGTCATCGTCACAAGGGCTGCATGCTCTGTACTATGCAAGCTCACATCACACGGGCCCTCCACAATCCTGGCCACGTCATCCAGCCCTCACAGGCATTGGCTGCTGGCTTCCATAGAGGCAAGCAGGAAGATGCCCATGAATTTCTCATGTTCACTGTGGATGCCATGAAAAAGGCATGCCTTCCCGGGCACAAGCAGGTAGATCATCACTCTAAGGACACCACCCTCATCCACCAAATATTTGGAGGCTACTGGAGATCTCAAATCAAGTGTCTCCACTGCCACGGCATTTCAGACACTTTTGACCCTTACCTGGACATCGCCCTGGATATCCAGGCAGCTCAGAGTGTCCAGCAAGCTTTGGAACAGTTGGTGAAGCCCGAAGAACTCAATGGAGAGAATGCCTATCATTGTGGTGTTTGTCTCCAGAGGGCGCCGGCCTCCAAGACGTTAACTTTACACACCTCTGCCAAGGTCCTCATCCTTGTATTGAAGAGATTCTCCGATGTCACAGGCAACAAGATTGCCAAGAATGTGCAATATCCTGAGTGCCTTGACATGCAGCCATACATGTCTCAGCCGAACACAGGACCTCTCGTCTATGTCCTCTATGCTGTGCTGGTCCACGCTGGGTGGAGTTGTCACAACGGACATTACTTCTCTTATGTCAAAGCTCAAGAAGGCCAGTGGTATAAAATGGATGATGCCGAGGTCACCGCCTCTAGCATCACTTCTGTCCTGAGTCAACAGGCCTACGTCCTCTTTTACATCCAGAAGAGTGAATGGGAAAGACACAGTGAGAGTGTGTCAAGAGGCAGGGAACCAAGAGCCCTTGGCGCAGAAGACACCGACAGGCGAGCAACGCAAGGAGAGCTCAAGAGAGACCACCCCTGCCTCCAGGCCCCCGAGTTGGACGAGCACTTGGTGGAAAGAGCCACTCAGGAAAGCACCTTAGACCACTGGAAATTCCTTCAAGAGCAAAACAAAACGAAGCCTGAGTTCAACGTCAGAAAAGTCGAAGGTACCCTGCCTCCCGACGTACTTGTGATTCATCAATCAAAATACAAGTGTGGGATGAAGAACCATCATCCTGAACAGCAAAGCTCCCTGCTAAACCTCTCTTCGTCGACCCCGACACATCAGGAGTCCATGAACACTGGCACACTCGCTTCCCTGCGAGGGAGGGCCAGGAGATCCAAAGGGAAGAACAAACACAGCAAGAGGGCTCTGCTTGTGTGCCAGTGATCTCAGTGGAAGTACCGACCCACACGTAGGGGTGCACACACACACGCACACACACAGACACACACATAACTACACCCAGAAGCGCGCACGCAAACACACACACACCCACACAAACACGAACACCGTCAATCCTACATAAACTAATGAGGAGCCCAAGTTTCTGTCTCTACAACAGGGACAACTGGATAGTGATGGCTACATCTCAGGATGAGCCCGCATATGGGAAACATCAAGTTTTGGGGTCGTGAGTCTTCCGAACCTCTGGAGGGACTGTCTGAGTGTTTGTGTTCATGATAGGTGACATTCAGTGTGTATTTCTGAATATGACCTACCGACGTGTAGGTTTGCGTGTGAGGTAATTGCAGGGGACTCGGTTTCGTATTTTCTCTTGGGGTGTGTTTCATTCGTCAGTTGTTGGTCGGCATGAGAAGGTGAAATGTGGCTCATGTGGGACATCCGTGGATCATTCTCGCCACCTTGAATAGTGGAAACTGGAATGCATTTGGAAGAGAAGAACGGTGCTCTTCTTTCTTCCCCGGGCTCGCCGTTTTTACACTGGTTCCTGAATGGACCTCAGGCGCCCTGGGACTTGTGCTCTTGCTGGAACCCACATAACGCCGGAAGCGGACAGACCGACTTGCCTGTTTCACGGTGCCCGCTTCCCATGAGTCGAAACGGAAAATTTTCCCACGGGCATGTAAGTCATCTGGAAGTAAGCTGTATTGATAATAAAGGAAAGCAAACACAGGAGTGTGTGTATTCAACTGAAATAAATTCAGAAAGCCCTGAAATCAATCTCACTGGGTGTGTTTAAAAATGGCATTTGGGGAATTTCTGGGTCATTTGTCCAGCTGCGAAAGCTGCATCTCTGAAGCACAGTCCCTGTCCCGCAGTGAGACTTATTGATCCGACGTGGTGTTTCCGTGGAAATGATTGTGGGAAATGGCCCCTTCCTTTTCTCTATTTGCTGATTAGACTTCATGGTCCCTTTCTCGTCAGGTACAGTGATCAAAGTTGACCAACCCCAGAGGAAAGCTGCCCAGGGCACAACTCAGGGCTCCGTAGAACCACAGAATCTTGGGCGCAACCCTGCTCAAGCACCCAAATGTGCATACGAACAGGGTCTCCGTGTGACGTGTGTGAAAACTACAGTGTGATGAGCATGACTGGCAGACAGCTTATCGATTGGGCTCCCCTCAAAATCGGTTATGAGCATTCAAGCACACCGATGCCCAGGTCCCGGCTGCAGGAATAAGACCCTCCAGGGTCTTGTGTGAAGCCTCGGCATCTGCATTGCTCATGCTTCTGGGGATCATTCTCCTGAAAATGGTGGCTCCTTTCTCCCTGTGGAGCATCTTTCTAAGCAGCGCTCTTTTCTTCCCCCAGGACACTTTACATCCGGCACAGGAAGCCTTCTGATGGAGCACACCTGGCCCATGAAAAGACAAGGGAAAGAAACGGGGCCAAAGGTCACAGTCCTCTCATCCCATCATCCTCCTTAAAATCATCCTAATTTCATGGGCCCTGAAGCCAGGGCTGTTTCTTTACACCTAGAGGCCTTGGCGCCGGGCCTCAATTCCGCCCTGTTCCTTACCGTCTAAGACATGTTGGGAAAATCCCTAGAGCCAGGATCTTCATTCCTGCTAAGCCAGACAGCCGGAAGACACACCCAAATTCTGTCCCTCTTACTTCAGGGAACATGTCCACTTTCGGCAGCATTACAATTTTGGCACCAAATGTGCTAACTGCAATTCCACCATACAATGCGTAACTGGAAATGGAGGCAACATCTCCGATCCTGAACGATCGATGCGAGAATCCAGGATATGCACGGCTTATTTTGGCCTTTTCCCACTGAAACAAGGGCCAGTATTAAAAATGGCACGCTATCCTCTGTTTCACTCCCTGCTTTTAAACGTCTCCGATGTTTCTCCCTGAGACAGGGCCTCACTTCCGTCAGCCGGGCTTTTCTACGGTATAATTTTCCTTGTTTGCTTTTGTCCAAATTAGAACTTTTTATTTCATCTCTAGGAAACGTTGATCCATTATCACATACGTATGGAAATATTATCACACATGCTGTGAGATACGTTGTTTTTATTTTCATCAATTCCTTAATAAACAAAAGGTTATAGCTGGGATACCTTCTGAGTTCTCAAGTTTTTTGTTTCGTGTTTTCTTAAACTGCCGTCGCACGTCCGAAACCGCTCACTATGCGGTGTCATGACCGTCTCTCTTTTCTGGCAAACATAAATTTGGGGATTGTCATCAATTAGTCTCTCGGGGATTGCATGATTTCCCCAAAGGCTTTCACAGTCTACTTTGTGCACTGAGTATCTCTTCAAACTTCAGTGCATGTTTCTACCATTTGATGCTTTATTATTTGGCAATCTAGCTTCCACAAGAGCATTTCATGCAAAGACTTGTCTTGTTCTCCACTGGCAGGTAATTTCACTCGGACAGAGAATCAATAGGCTCAACGTGGAAAGGTTATCGCTGGAAGGTCTGTTTGATTCCACGGATCTCTCCTTTCTCACTAGGGAAGAAAATACGCTGTGCTAAATACTATACTTCATTGACTATTCTCAGGTCAGAAAGCGCACTTTCGACTTCTTGTCCTTCCTTCGCTGAGAGGATGATGGCAGCTGCCAAAAGTACCTACTTGGAGGTTCATCCCAGCACAAACACACACACACACACGCCCCCCCCCCACACACACAAACACACTCACACACACACACGCACACGGTTTCCTAGGTAAAGATTTCTTCCCTGCCATTGCTTTACCTAAAATAAGGCAACTGTGAGGCCACTGTCCCAACCCGGATACACTCCTATTATATGTGCCTATCATCCTGAGGAGTAATTTGATTCAGGTGTTCTGGAAGTCATGCTGTGGGCTGTGTCTGTTGAATTCCCAGCGATGCCAGGGGACACACCCTGTGACTCCTTCCTGAATTGAGTGCTGATATTTGATTGGCTTATCGCGCACCTGATGAGTGGGTGGGGTGTTCGCGGTTGGTGGGGGTGACTTACAGAAGGGCTGATGCGGCCAGAGAGCTCGTCATTTGAAGACTCTCTCGGAAGGGATAGCGTCTTTCTGCAACCTGCGGTCCCAGCAGACAAACCTTGTGATCCTCGTTCCAGTCGACATGGAGGACGACTCACTCTACTTGAGAGGTGAGTGGCAGTTCAACCACTTTTCAAAACTCACATCTTCTCGGCCCGATGCAGCTTTTGCTGAAATCCAGCGGACTTCTCTCCCTGAGAAGTCACCACTCTCATGTGAGACCCGTGTCGACCTCTGTGATGATTTGGCTCCTGTGGCAAGACAGCTTGCTCCCAGGGAGAAGCTTCCTCTGAGTAGCAGGAGACCTGCTGCGGTGGGGGCTGGGCTCCAGAATATGGGAAATACCTGCTACGTGAACGCTTCCTTGCAGTGCCTGACATACACACCGCCCCTTGCCAACTACATGCTGTCCCGGGAGCACTCTCAAACGTGTCATCGTCACAAGGGCTGCATGCTCTGTACTATGCAAGCTCACATCACACGGGCCCTCCACAATCCTGGCCACGTCATCCAGCCCTCACAGGCATTGGCTGCTGGCTTCCATAGAGGCAAGCAGGAAGATGCCCATGAATTTCTCATGTTCACTGTGGATGCCATGAAAAAGGCATGCCTTCCCGGGCACAAGCAGGTAGATCATCACTCTAAGGACACCACCCTCATCCACCAAATATTTGGAGGCTACTGGAGATCTCAAATCAAGTGTCTCCACTGCCACGGCATTTCAGACACTTTTGACCCTTACCTGGACATCGCCCTGGATATCCAGGCAGCTCAGAGTGTCCAGCAAGCTTTGGAACAGTTGGTGAAGCCCGAAGAACTCAATGGAGAGAATGCCTATCATTGTGGTGTTTGTCTCCAGAGGGCGCCGGCCTCCAAGACGTTAACTTTACACACCTCTGCCAAGGTCCTCATCCTTGTATTGAAGAGATTCTCCGATGTCACAGGCAACAAGATTGCCAAGAATGTGCAATATCCTGAGTGCCTTGACATGCAGCCATACATGTCTCAGCAGAACACAGGACCTCTTGTCTATGTCCTCTATGCTGTGCTGGTCCACGCTGGGTGGAGTTGTCACAACGGACATTACTTCTCTTATGTCAAAGCTCAAGAAGGCCAGTGGTATAAAATGGATGATGCCGAGGTCACCGCCTCTAGCATCACTTCTGTCCTGAGTCAACAGGCCTACGTCCTCTTTTACATCCAGAAGAGTGAATGGGAAAGACACAGTGAGAGTGTGTCAAGAGGCAGGGAACCAAGAGCCCTTGGCTCTGAAGACTAATGAATTGTGTGTGAAACAAAATATCATGTCTAAATCTTGCAGCGGAGTATTTATTTTTCTCACTTTGTAGTCATTTAGTGAGCTTTAACGAATATCAGTGCCTAGTGCCTACCCCCCAAAGATAAGAACTTCCAGTCTCTTTTGTGTAACCCTGGTATCTGGGTTGCTCTTGATTCTTAAGATAATTCTCCTGACCCCAACGTTTCAGAATCACTTCAGGTAGTGGAAACAGTTAACCCATCAGTCCGTTTGTCTCTCTTTCTGTTCACTCAGGTAAACTCTCAGTGAGACCAAGGAAAATCCTATGGTTTACTAGGGACGAGGAGTTTTATCAGTAGTGATATTGGTGGCTTCTTCCTCCCTGTCAAATCTCTTCCTCAGGATTGCCCCTTTGTCTCTTCAGGACTCTGCTCATCAGGCCCAAGATGCCCCCTTGTTGCACATACCTGGCCTGTGAAGAAATAAGTGGAAGGAATGGTTCCAAAGACCATACTATGCTCAATCCACCATCGCCTCTGACATTATGATGACTTCATGAGCCCTGGGTTAGAAGTTATGTCTTTACACCTGTAGGCCTTGCCTCATGGCCTCACGACGTCCCCATTTCTTACATCTTATAAATTTTGACTGAACCGTCAGAGCCTAAATCTTCATTCCTTATAGGCCAAAGGGAGATTCACCAGAATTCTGTCCCTCTGAGACTGCAGGACATCTCAGCTTCCATCACATGAAATTTTACACCAAATATTGTTACTGCAGTTCCACCTCACAATGAGTAACTGGAAGTTCAGACAACATCTCAGACTCTATACAGTTTCTGGCCAAGTTCATTTGTTTTGACAATTCTTTTACTCTATAAAGCAGTTGTGAGAACACTTAGGATTCATATTATTTAGTCTTTTAATCAGTCTGTTATTGTTTTCAATGTATTTACTAGACTTTAGTATTTCTGATAAACTTTGATGCAAAATTTCTCGATATAATAGTGGCAAACCAAATCCAGCAACATATCAAAAAGCTTATCCTCCAAGATCAAGTCAGCTTCATCCCTTTGGTGCAAGGCTGGTTGAACATAAACAAATCAATAAATGTAATTCACCATGTAAACAGAACTAAAGACAAAAACCCCATGATTATCTCAGTAGACTCAGAAAAGATCTTTGATAAAATTCAACATTCCTTTAAGTTAAAAACCTCATGAAACTAGGTATTGATGGAACATATCTCAAAATAATAAGAGCCATTTATGAAAAACCCACAGCCAATATCATATTGAATAGGCAAAAGCTGGAAGCATTCCGTTTGAAATTCGGCACAAGGCAAGGATGCACTCTCTCACCACTCCTACTCAGTATAGTACTGGAAGTTCTGGCCAAGGCAATCAGGCAAGAGAAGGAAATAAAGCATATTCAAATAGTAAAAGAGGAAGTTGAACTGTCTTTGTTTGCAGATGACATGATCCTATATCTATAAAATCCCATCATCTCAGCCCAAAAGATTCTTAAGTTTATCAGCAACTCAGTAAAGTCTCAAGATAAAAAATCAGTGTGCAAAAATCAGAAGCATTCTTATACACCTACAACAGACAAGAAGAGAGCCAAATCACAAATGAGTTCCCATTTACAATTGCTGAAAAGAGTATAAAATACCTAGGAATACAGCTAACAAGGCAAGTGAAGGACCTCTTCAAGGAGAACTACAAACCACTACTCAAGGAAATAAGAGAGGGCACAAACAAAAGGAAAAACATTCCATGCTCATGTGTAAGAAGAATCAATATCATGAAAAAGCCATATTTCCCAAAGTAATTCATAGATTCAATGCTATTCCCATAAACTACCATAGACATTCTTTACAAAATTAGAAAAAACTACTTCAAAATTCATATGGAATGAAAAAAGAGCCCATATACCCAGGACAATCCTAAGGTAAAATAACAAAGTTAGAGGCATCATGCTACCTGACTTCAAAATATATTACAAGGCTACAGTTACCCAACAGCATGGTAGTGGTACAAAACAGACACATAGACCAACGGAATGGAAGAGATATATCAGAAATAAAACTGCACATCTACAACCATTTTATTTTTGATGAAAACAAGCAATGGGGAAAGGATTCCCTGTTTAATAATAAATGGTGCTTGAAAAACTGGCTAGACATATGCAGAAAACTGAATCTGTACCCCTTCCTTATACCTTTATACAGGAATGAACTGAAAATGGATTAAAGACTTAAATGTAAAACCCAAAGCTGTAAAAAATCCAACCCCATATAAAAGTGGGCAAAAGCTGGGTACAGTGGCTCATGCCTGTAATCCCTGCAGTTTGGGAGGGTGAAGTGGGCACATAACTTGAGGCCAGGAATTCAAGATCAGCCTGGCCAAGCTGGTGAAACCACGTCTCTACTGAAAATACAATAAATTAGCCTGATGTAGTGATGCGGGCCTGTAATCCCAACTAATCAAGAGCCTGAGAGAGAAGAATCGCCTGAATCTGGGAGGCAGAGGTTGCAGTGACCCGAGATTGTGCCACTGAACTCCACTCTGAGTGACAGAGCAAGGCTCTGTGTTAAAAAATTAAAATTTAAAAATTTCAAAAGTGGGCTAAGGACATGAACAGACACTTCTCAAAAGAAGACATTTATGCAGCCAACAAACATGAAATAAAAGCCCAACATTACTGATCATTAGAGAAATACAAATCAAAACCGCAGTGAGATACAATCTCATGCCAGTCAGAATAGTGATTATTAAAAAGTCAAAAAACAACAGATGCTGGTGAGACTGTGGGGAAATAGGAACATTTTTACACTGTTGGTGCGAATATAAGTTAGTTCAACCACTGTGGAAGACTGTGGTGATTTTTCAAAGACCTAGAATCAGAAATACCATTTGACCCAGCAATCCCATTACTGGGTTTATACCCAAAGGAATATAAATTCTTGTATTATAAAGATACATGCATGCATATGTTCATTGCAGCACTATTCACAATAGCAAAGACATAGAATCAACCCAAATGCCCATCAATGATAGACTGGATACAGAAACTGTGATACATATACACCATGGAATACTATGCAGCCATAAAAAGGAATGAGATTATGTCCTTTGCAGGGACATGGATGAAGCTGGAAGTCATTATTCTCAGCAAACTAATGCAGGAACAGAAAACCAAATACACATGTTCTCACTTATAAGTGGGAGATGAACAATGACAGAACATAGACACAGGGAGGGGAACAACACACACTGGAGTCTGTCTGGGGGTGAGTGGGGAGGGAGTGCATCAGGATAAATAGCTAATGCATGTGGGCTGAATATCTAGGCAATGGGTTGATAGGTACAGCAAACCACCATGGCACACATTTACTTATGTAACAAACCTGCATATCCTCACATGTATCCCAGAACTTAAAATGAAATAAAATAAAATTTTAAAAAACTTCATTTTTTCTAACCTTCCAAAATGCAGGGATTACAGGCGTGAGCCACCATGCCTGGCCCTGTTTTAACATATCTGAACAAGATTTAAAGACATCAGTTTGAAAAGAGCCCCTCTATGGCAGCAACATGAATTCTGTCAAACCTGAAGCAAGAACAAACATCAAATTTACGGTGAAGCTGGGGTACAAAAAATGGTGAAATAAATTATTCTTTAAGAAAAGTCTGTGGGAAAAATGACCTGAAGAATCAGTCATTTACAAATGGAAACCTTATTCTAAGAAGAGATAATACAATGTTGAAGATGAAGTCAACAGAAGAGGGACATCCATACCAATTTTTGAGAAAAAAAAAATCGTTTCTATGCCCTAATTGAGGAGGATTGACAATTAACAAGAGATATTATAGCCAACACCACAGACATCTCAATTGGTTCAGCTTACACAATACTGACTATAACGTGAAAGTTGAGAAACTTTACATTTGGTGAGTCCCAAATACCCTTGTGCTTAGATGAGCAGTGGACAAAAGCAGAGCTATTAGTGACTATTTTGAGTAAGCGGAATCAAGATCCTGCCGCATTATTTTGAAGAATTATAACAGGGAGTGAAACTGGCTTTATCAATAAGATCCTGAAGACAAAGCACAATTCAAGCAATGGCTACCAAGAGGTAGAAGTGGTCCAGTCAAAGCAAAAGCAAACTTCTCAAAAGCAAAAGCCATGGAGGTTTTGGGATGCTCAAGACATTTTGCTTGTTGACTTTCTGTAAGATTAAAGCACCATAACATCTGCTTACTAGGAGAGTTCTTAGAGAAAGTTAGCAAATACTTTTGCAGAAAAGCACCCTGTAAAGCTTCACTAGAGAGTCCCTCTGCACCACAACAACACTTCTGTTCCTTCCTCTCATCAAACATGGGTAATTTTGCAAGAGTTTTCATGGGAAATTATTAGGCATCAACATTACAGTCCTGATTTGGTTTCTTCTGACCTTTTTTTCCCTAATCTTAAAATAACTGTAAGGGGCACCCATTTTTCTTTAGTTAATAATAGAAGACTGCATTGACACGGTTAAATCCCCGTTACCCTCAGTTCTTTAGCAATGGACTGAATGGCTGGGATCATCCCTTAATGGAGTGTCTGGACCTCAGTAGAGCTTCTATTGAGAAATAAAGTCTATATTTATATTTTTGTTGTTAATTCCATTTTTCACTGACATTTTTAAGTCCCTTCACAATTCACATTTGTCTCAAAGGTATTTAAATTTAGAAATAATATCAAGTGTTAAAGAAAATTATATAGACAGAGGGAGAACAGAATCTATAAATATGCATGTTTGTGTACATACATCCATATACATACATATGTGTGTGCATGCAGTAATTTTATTCTCCTAAAGCAATGCCTCCGCCTTCCACCCTCACTGCACATGTCCTAGTCCTGTGATGTCCCTGGAACTGAGCACCTGATTTCCTTCTCTGCCTCCCACATGAACAGGGAATAGAAATGGAAACCACGCTCTGTGGTTGCTGTTGTGAAAATTCGTGTTCCCCACAGGCTGAGTTTGGCATCTTACATTCTACTTCCCATTGTAAAAAAGCAAGCAACAAACAAAAACTACAAAAGAAAAAATGAAATAGTTGAAAGTCTAGAGACACAGAGGTTCCGGATCCACCCAATGCCCACGGTGACCTCCACAGCCCTCCAGGCCTGAGGGCAGTTATGCCTGAACAGCCTGCCTCTTTACCATCCACGCACGAAAGTGACTTTAAACTTCAATAGCTACCACTCTGTTCCACAAGGAACCAGATCAACATTCAAAGTCAGTGGTCTGACAACTCTAAGCTTTGGCCAGAAAGTATTGGAAGCATTTAACTTGCAGTGGATGAAGCAGCCCGGCCCCACTGCACACAACACACTCACAGGGACTCAAAGGAAGAGACTCAGGATCCGCTGGGTGGAAGTGAGGACATACCCAGAAACACAGGGGGTAGGAGGGGGTCAAACCAGGAAGGCTCAGGACCTGACCTCCTCCTAGGCCCTGCCCCTCTAGAACTCGCAGTTTTTTCTGACCCAGAAGCAGATTTCACTGATGGAAAAGAAGTTCAGTATTTCTTGTCCAGCCCAGTAATCTGCTCCCGTTGCCCAGCCTTCCACACCCCTGCAGACGCCACAATCCCTGCACCCACTAACCTGACAAGGGAGCTATGCCTCACCTGGAGACAGTCCTAGGCCTGCACTCCTGTGATGGGGTCCAGGGTCTGTGTCCATTTCTGGTTAAAATTGCTGTAAGGCTGATCGCTGTCTTGGCCTCCACTCCTCACCCTATGTGAAGTTTTTACTCAGGAGATGGATTCTCACCCCTCTTGGAACATCAAGGACAGTGCCAGGACACCGTACCATCCCCTTGATCCTGGGATTCTGTAGACCTCAGTCTTCTCCTGAGGTCCCCTCCCTCCCTACCTCATTTTTTCCATACTTCTGGGGCCAGGGCCTGCTACACCTCAGGCTTCCTCTTCACAGTCACAGAGTGAGGGAGCCCCCTTCATCCTTGGGCTCTGGCCACAGCTCACCTGCTGCAGGACACTCAGCAGCTTTCAGTAGTTCATCCAGACATCCAGTTGGAAGTGGGATTTCCTGGAAGGAAAGCAGGAACCCAGAATTACACTGAATTCTAACACCAGGGCCCAGATTCCCCTTCTGCATGGGACACCAAGCTGCAAACACTACATAGGCACTTAATGCTCAGCTCTCCTTCTAACATCTGGTCCAGTTGTGTCCCTCCTCCTTGGAATATCTCAGAAAATGTATCTCCACCTAGAGTTGTTTGAAAGCATCATCCTATGTGATTCCAGACCATCAGGGGTTCAATGGGTCCTCACCAGTATTTCCACTCTGCTTGGAAGACTTAGAAAATCCTGAGGCTGCTCAGAGGGTCAGATTCCCATCTCTGTGTTTCAGTAAAACTTCAGTCTTCCCCAAACAAGTGAGGAGATAGAAAATGTCTAGTCTCTGGCACATCTTTTGCAAGCAATGGCGGCTCCCAGGAATCAAAACTATCAACGAATATATTTTTGAGACTCTGGTCAAAAGAAGAGTCATCCTGCAATTTCAGGTAGGATGGAGTGGTTCTGTGGCTTCTGAGGTGATTTTGAAAACATCTTGGCTCTCAGAAGGACCAAGGAGCACATTTCTGGCATTTCCAGACCTGGAAGAGTGACTGATGGACCTCCAGTGTTACTTGGAAAACTTTTTGTTGGACAGCTTTGTAATAAGAGGATCTTGTTTTGGCTTTCAGGCCTTCACATAGGTTGTTTAGATCATGGAAGTGTTTCTGCATTTCTGCATAGGCTCAGGATGCCTTCTCAAGTCGTCCCTGCAATTATGAGACAGTTGCTTTCTCCAGAGGTCACTTAGAATAATACAAGAGGCTTCACCCTCAAAGGGACACCAGACAATATAGCCACAGTCCAGCCAAGATTATCTGTATTTACATACCTGTAAAGTAACACTCCCAGTTATCTCCATTAACTTGGACTTCTCTCATGAATAGGGAAACTCTACTGATTGTTATATAACAGCTGCCACAAAAATTAACCAATAAAAAGAAATGATAAATGAAAAATAATTAATACTCATGATAATGAACGCAATGACCTAAATAGTACGAATTTTAATACTGGTGACAATATAAACATAAGGATACAAAAATTAATGTGGAGCTTCCCCTAAATATATGAAAACTTCACAAATTGGGTCCTCCTTGTGTAATTTGGAGTCAGAGTCAAAGAATTTCTCTATGAAATGTGTTCCATGATGGCAAACATCAAAAACAGGAGGTGAAAGAAAAGCAAGCCGCAGGAGACCATGGACTAAAATGAACATTTGTGTGCAAAACTCTCTCATCAAGAACTACCAGCCAGAGGTGAAGGGACTGTGATTTGTGTCCTGCCCACCACTGGGCACACAAAAGCTTTCAGTAGTGCAACCAGATGGCTGGTTTGGCCTGGCTCCCTGCAAGGAAGACATGTCTCTGATCCCCACCAGCCCATCAGTCCTGGAACTCAGAATCCTACATGCAGTAAACATGAAGCTCCAACTCCATAGCTGACTTTACCTCCTTACTGTCCTTCTGCCATCTGGTGTTGCAGGTGCTCTCCAGATCTGGACTTCTTGGCTCCCCTACCTTTACCAAGTGAACTCAGGATGTATCATTCTCAGTCTTCTCCTGCCCATCCAAAGTGAAACTCACCAATACAGGCATACCCTGGATTTGCTTCCTTGGAATATTTAGAAAACAATGAGCTTGCTCGTGGGTAGTGTGAGCTCTAGGAGTAGAGTTACAGTCTCCCATGGAAACCTGAGAGGACTTAGAATATTCCCAAAGGCCTAAGCTGCCCAATCTGTCCTGGAAACATCAGGAATGATATACTGGGTCTTCCTGAAGCTCCAAAATTTTTCTAAATAAACTCAGAGGTTACAGAACCATTTTTCTCTTGGGAACTGAAGTGGAGTTATTTGCCTTCTGCCAGCATCTCACTTTTTTTCCCTCTAAGTTAGCTTTTGGGCCCAGAAGTAGATATTCCTTGTATTTGATTTACACAGGGAAGTTCCTAGAATGCCCGTGCCTCTGGATATTTTCTGCATTCACTCAGGTATTGACAAAATGCTGCAGTTCTACTGAAAATCTCTGAGATGACCATTTGATCACCTGAGTAACTTTAGAATGTGTCTTCTATGGAAGCCCTGGAGCCTCCCTTCTGGTATTTCATACATTGCCGGTACCAAGTACCCAGGGTGAAACCCTCCATCAGACATTGTTGGCAATTCCAGTATGGAGATGACACTAACGTGATGGGGCTCAAGAATGAGATGGTAGAAGACCAGCTGGGAGGTGAAGTCTCAGTAGGCTAGGGGCTTAATGTTCGATGCAACACCAGACTTCTGAGACTCAGGAGGTGGGTGTGGATCTGTCTGCCCAGTGCCTCTCATCTACAGCCTGGACCAGCTATTTCTTGGGGTGAACTACTGAAGGCTTTTGTACGACCTGTGTCAGGCAAGACTCTGGCCAGACCCTTTGCCATAGTCCATTTGTAATGTATTTCCACATGGTATAGGTATCTCCACTTTTGCCCATGCTCTCATGTGGCTCAGAATTATTCTCCCCACTGCCACTCTTCTTTGCCATCACAGAATATATTTCAAGATGTAGCCCTAAGTTTCTCCATCTAATCAATAACATGAGGGCTCGTATGGGAACACTGTCACAGGCTTACAGGAATATGTTCTTAAATATCTGCTTTTTTATTACTCTCTTCATTAAATTGAGATTTATATCATCACCATTATGATTGTCATTAATGTTATTATTATATTGGTAGGGTTCTTTATCATGGATATATTTGTGGTCGTTTTTATGCAATGTTGAATTTTTTTTTATGTTCCTGAAGACTGTTGAATTTGCTGAAGATGATTAAAAGACAACCTTAAAACATAAATACCACAGCAACCCCAGGACTCCTACTGTACTGCCTGGTGTCTTGTAGAAGAATGGGCTTCCTGAATTATTCTTTTATTTTTCAGGCAAGTACCTATTCATACCAGCATAGGAGACTGATGAAGTGCACCCTCATCTTGCCATGGGCTAAGAAAGAATTCATATATATGCTTTATGTGATAGCAACTCTATGTGTAGGCTTGTGAGCCCTAGAATGCACTTTCTTTCACAAACTAGTCCACCTAAGAGTTTTCTAAGTCAAATCTCCTCTCCATGCTTGGATAGGTCATGAATGGCTTTCTGTTACCCACCTAAGATGAAGGGATATTTCTAAATCAGGTTTCTGGCCAAGAAACTTTTACCTGGAGTGGCAGGAGAGGGCCTACTTGTTCACCAGAGTGTCTGCAACATTTTCTTTTTTCTTCCTTTTTATTTTATTTATTTATTTTTATTTTATTATTATTATTATTATTTTTTGAGATAGAGTCTCGCTCTGTCGCTCAGGCTGGAGTCCAGTGTCACGATCTTGGCTCGCTGCAACATCCAACTCCCAGGTTCAAGCGATTCTCCTGCCTCAGCCTCCTGAGTAGCTGGGATTACAGGTGCGTGTCACCACGCCCGGCTAATTTTTGTATTTTTAGTAGAGAGGGGGTTTCACCATGTTAGTCAGACTGGTCTCAAACTCCTGACCTCATGATCCGCCTGCCTTGGCCTCCCAAAGTGCTGGGATTACAGGCATAAGCCACCGCACCTGGCCTCTGCAACATTTTCTAAGTCAGTATAGAAGCTCTTTGAACCACCTTTTCAGTCAAAGAACTCATGAAAAAGTCCTGCAAGAACTTGTGACCTTCTGGAAATTGTCAAAATCTCTACAGGTGTCCAGAGCCATCTAGATCTGTATTACAAGCCACTGACTGGGTTCCACCATTATTAAAGCAAATGCAAAATATGCCATGCCCACCAAAAAAAATCCAGAAGCCATGGTATTTAGCTGTTTCCATCGTTCTTGCCTCCTGCAGGTGGGAGAGTACTGAGTATCATGCCCTCCTACAGCCTCTGGAGGACATGCCAGTGCCTAGAGGTACCAGTAGAGAGGGGACATGAAAGAGCAGATGACAGCCAGGTGGCTGGGAATGACATTGTCCTGGAGCTTATTGCTTGTCATGAACTCTGCCACTGGGCAACATGTGCAGGTGTGGACCCATGCCTTCTCTGGATCCCTACCCCATCAGCCAGCTGTCTTATCTACTGAAAGCTGGTAGGTGTTGGTCAGCATGGTGTTCCAGGACCAGGATTATATTAACATTCCCTCTTAGGCTGAAACACCAGAAGTTAACACAGGAGTCCCCAGGTGTGCACATACTAACCTCCAGATTGTTTTTCTTCTCGTTCTAGATGTTCATCCTTGCTTTTTGGGACTTGAAATAACCCTACACAGCCAAATATTTATGCCTGTTATTCACTTATGGAAAACTTATATGTCCCAAGTCCATAGGGTTAGTTTATTATCAGTATTAAAACCATTAGTACTAGTATCATGATGATCATTATTCCTGTTAATATCCATCAATATTTTTATTACTGCCATTGTTCATATGGATTTTTCATTATTGTACAGCAATGAATATAGTTTATCCATTCACAAATGGTGTTCAGTTACCAAAGATGACTACAAGGCATGATCTACAGACATATACACACACAGCTGTCCTGGAGACCCAGCTTTGCCACCAATTGCTCTATCGTAAGATGAGATCCCCCAGTACCCACCAGTTTTTCAGGACTCGACCTGAGTTGGCTCAGCTAGACCTGGAAAAGTTTCCTATGCCCAAATGTACTTGGAAAATTTTAAAAGTCTCTTCAGAGGCCCAGTAATAGCTTTTGGCAGCTTCTAAGACCAGGGAGGGTTTCTTGGCCATTCAGAGCCATTCAAATATTCTAAGTAAACTCAAGGATCCAGAAACCCCACTTAAAGTCATGAAATACCAGTGAATGGCCTCTGTGAGTCTCTTCAAGGTTTTCAAAGATGACTGCCTGGGAAAGCTGGCCAGGAAGTCACCCAAGCCCAATCTTCTGCAGGATGTTCTATGTCAGCCAGGGACCCAGTGAATTGCCATTGAACAGAAGGGAGGAAAAGAGTCAGCATGCCTGAGCGTCTGGAAACATTCTAAGTGCCCTTGTTGGCCCAGAAAAGACTGGTGCTACCATATGAGGCACAGACTTGGCAACCTACCTACTCCAGGAACCACAGAAGGTTTAAACTTTCCCAGGAAGTCCCAGGAAGGGCAGCCAGGGCCCTTTAGAGCCATCAAATTTTATTCTAAGTCTACGTGGGAGACAGTGCGCTTAGCTTCATAAAAACACCAGTGGAGGTGCTAACACTTGCCCCAGTATCCAGTCTTTTCTACCTCATCTCAGAGCCAGGTCGCCAATATTTCCCAAAGCTGCTGTGCAATGAAAGGGGAATATTCTAGGCGCTCTCCTGTGCCCACGAAATTCTGTGGCTGCACTGAACGGCAGGAGTTGCCCTCCGGAATTCTCTTCAGAAATCTGACAACACTGGTCAAGATTAAAGAAGCTCAATTCAACGTCATACAAAACCAATCCCCCCCCCCAAAAAAAAAAAATATATGCATACTGAGACAAAATGGTGAACACACCTGCTAATAATCATGAATGACAATAATAATAACAATGATGATCTTAGTGATAATGCCACCAACACTGTTAATGGCAATAACAATAAACCTGAGGTAATGAGTGTTAGGGTCCCGATTCACCGATATGAAGGATGGCGACAATTTCTGGCCTCACAGAAATAAAGGAAAAGTAAACACCTGGAGGAAGAGGAGGTGAACCTGGAGCTCCCGCCGGCCTCTGGGTGCTCCTTGGTGGAAGGAGAGGGACTTGGTCCTGAGCCTGCCCCGGATCCACCTACACCAGAACCCCGGAGTCCCAGTCCCTGGATGGGCTCAGTCCCACCCAGGCCAGACGCCCCAGAGCCACGTAGCCCGGGTCCTCCAGCCCTCGCTGCCGCCGCTTCTCGCAGAGCCAGGCCCTCCAACCCGTGCCACCTCAGCCTCTGCGGGGCTCTGGGAGGGCAGCGCCGAGGATGCTCCGGGCCCAGCGGGGGCACCCGGGGCCCAGAGGGGTTATCTGGCCTGAGGCGGATACTGACGCCCTGAGGGCATGGAATAGGGCGGCTTGTGCAGGTCCCGCCGTCTCGGGCCTTGCAAAAAGGGCGGCCTCTCCAACGCCCCTACCGGAACCTCCCCGGAGGCCCCAGCCCCAAAGCCAGGGCGATGGCGCCTCCCTGACCATGGGTGAAGAAAACTCAGGTCCTCCCTGGAGACCCGGCCCGCCGCGGGAGGCAGACCGCGCATGCGCCCTGCATGGCCGGAAAGATGGGTTTCATTGCCCTCTGCCGGCCATGAGGTGGCAGCACAGGACGTTTGGCCTTAGCGGTGGACCTGAGTCTGAATCACTGAAATTCAGGTGTGGATTATTCAGTAATTTTCTTTTGGAAGATCAAATGGAAATTGAGTACGATATCTTGTGCTTTAATTAAAGAAGATGGAAATAAAGAAGCAAATTCAAAAATCAATATACAAAAGTCGATTGATTCCCTCTATGTGGAGGGAAGACGAGCTTGAATAAGAAGCATTCTGTGTTATGCTTTAATAATGGCTGGAGATCTGCCACCATGCATTTGTCAAATCCCATAGAATTTCACAGCACAAATAGTACATCTTAATGTGGCTCAGGAGTACATATAATGCCAGCCACAGTTTGTGGGTAAATTACATATTTAATTAAATAGATTAAACAATAAATAATGATATGAGCTCTGCCTGGACACAGTCCTTTCCTCTCCAACCAGTTTGCCAAGGGCTTGAATTTCTTGCTCATCATCCTCACAGTTGACATAAACCCTGGCTGCAGAGTAAAATCAATCACTTGTGGAGATTTTTTAATATAATTATGTGTCAATTTCTACCATGGGTAAGGCCATTTAGCCTTAGTAAGGCCGATCGTATTAAGATTGTGCCTGTTTGGCAAAATTTCAAGTCATCCCACTTGATATTCAGGAAATATTTTCTCTTGAGTTTTAGGTTCAGTGGTGAGGCTCCTTCACGGACAATACATTTCCCAATTCTCAGGACAAGGCAGAGGAGGGCCCCTCTGTGAGAGCTTTCATTTTGCTTCGGGAAAAGTACATTGAATCAAATATAGGAGAGGCTTGCAAGGTGGCTGACAGGTTCGGCTGTTTTATCATGCTGGTGTTTTATCTTCTGGACTGCAGTAAAAGGAGCACAGCTGTGTCTGTCTCTGTGTAATAACTCAGGACTTACCTGAATAAAATGTGGGGTGTTATGAGATGAACTGCTACTTCCAGTTAGAGAGGCTCCAGGGACACAATTTCAAGAGCCTTCTGAGGGATAGAAGAGAAGAGCTGCCTTATTCTCTGATTCCAGGTAACTGCTCAGAGACAGAGGCAAGGGCTGCGGACACCCAAATGCATATACTAGGTGTCTTTGATACAGCCTCCATTTCCCTGCTAAATCTATGCAATGACACACTGAGAAATCTAGCAAGTGGGACTGAAGATCCCTGGTGTGTCAACTCAAGGGTTGGATGGAAACAAGTGGTTTTAGTGGACGTTGAAGTAAAGGGAGGTGAGCTGTGAGGAAAGAGCTGTTGAAGACTGGGGAGACTCAGAAGTTGGGGTAGAATCTCGACCAAGAATCTCACTCAGGGAGTGCAGATGCAAATCGATTTGTTAAGGCTGTATAAATGAAACAAGGGTTTCGCCAACATACTAACTTTTTTCAACAACAGATTGTATTCTTTCAATATTTGTAAGTATTGATCTTTTGGAAAAGTTTAATGAGATTTCTTATATAATTCTGCATTCAATTTATTCCCTGGTCACTTTGTTATTATGAATTTACATGCCACATCTTTATGAATAGATATTTTCTCAAATTTCTGAATTATTTTGCTAAAGTATGTGTTAAGTGTTTTTTCTAGAGGTCCACCTTCTTGACTCACTTTTCTGATGAGAAATCTATCAGGTTTCTCCACAGTGATTTTCAAGTTTGATGTCTCCTCAATGTGAGAAACTTAATGTCAACTAAGAAATGAATTACCACTAAAGAATTCTCTCCTTTCAAGATGCTAACCATGTTTTGTCCAGTGTGAAATCTCACATGTGCCACAAGTGTTGCTCCATGAAGAAAGGATTTCTCATGATTTTTTCATTGCATAACTTCTCCAGTAAGAAGAGTTTGGTATTCCAAGAGAATTCATTGCCCTTGGAAA
Source organism: Homo sapiens (assembly GCF_000001405.40). NCBI lineage: Eukaryota > Metazoa > Chordata > Mammalia > Primates > Hominidae > Homo > Homo sapiens. Next base: position 9,383,333 of record NC_000004.12, read on the forward strand.
GACTTTCCCTTCTTATTTAGCTTATGAAGGCTTTCCTCTCTTATTTTCCATTTTAGCAGCATTTTATCACTGTGTTTTCTTGTGAACGTCAAGCCTGGTGCTTGGCTGAATGTTTATTCACAGAAAATACAAATAAAGGTCCATCCAAGTAAAGTTTTCTCATGTTATTTGACAATAAATTGCAAATAAAAACATTTTCACACTGAATGCAGAGTTAGAGATTCTCTAACTGAAAGTCCCACATGTTTTAAGTTAAAGCTGTTGCTGAAGACTTTTAGTTGATTATGTTGACAGTTTCAGCTCTCTCATGTCATTTATGCTCAGATCACTAACAAGTCTTTGGTACATACATGTCATACAATTTCTCTTCCATATGAATGTATTGATGTGGACTGAAGAATAAAGGTAACTGAAGTATCTTCCATGTTGTTTACAGTATTTCTTCAAAATGTGAGTCCTTTGGCATTTTTAGATGCTACAACTACAGCTGAAGTCTCTTCCACATTCCTTACCTTCGTCATTCCTATCACCGTGTCATCTAAAGTCAGAATATGTTCTGAAGAAGTTTATAATTTTCTCTCCTGGGTGAATTTTCTGATGCTATTTAAGATTAGTACATTGACTGAAGGCTTTCCCACATAAATGGCATTCATATGGCTTTTCTCCAGTGCTTGTTCTCTCATGTCATCTAAGGTCGGAAGACAGACTGAAGGCCTTCCCACATAGAAGGCAAGCATGTGGTTTCTCTCCAGTGTGAATTATTTTGTTTCCTCTAAAGCCAGAGCTTTGACTAAAGGCTTTCCCACTTTTATCACATTCATAGCACTTTTTTCCAAGGTGAGTTCTCTCATGTCTTCAAAGGTTAAAGGATTGAATAAAGGCTTTCCCACATTGAAGACTTATATGGTCTCTGTCCCGTGTGAGTTTTCTCATGCCTTCTAAGGTGAGAACACTGAGTGAAGGCTTTTCTACATAGATGACATGCATTTGGCCTCTCTCCAGTGTGAGTCATCTTGTGCCATCTAAGGTGAAAACAATTAGTATAGGCCTTTTCACAAAGATTACACTGATATGATTTACCTTTAGTATGAATTTGTTTATGTGGTTTAGGGGACAAAAGATTATGAAGGCATTTTCCACACTGTTTGCTGACATAGGGTTTCTTTCCACTATGAGTTAACAAACACTGAGTTATTGTGGAACTGTGAGTGCAACCTTCTCCCAAATCATTACATTCAAAAGGATCATCCAGAATGAGAGAGTTCTCCTTTGGGGCAAAGATTTAAAGCTCTTAATGGTTTACCCACATATATCTATACATTCATTTCACTACCTTTGAATCCTAGACCAACCATTCAGTGGTAGACCCCAGTTGAAATCTTTCCAATGTTTCTTGTGTGAAAGGAAATTAAATTTTGGGACCCCAAACTCATTTAACCAAAGGGAAAATCAAGCTGGGAATTGGGTCACACAAACCTGCCTCCCCCTTCTGGTTCCTAAATAATATGGCTACAAGATGAAAAGCTACATGCCTCCCCCATATTTTGCCCATGAGGAAATCCCTCATGAGCTGTTAAAATTACACCATGGCAATGCAAACTGATAACTTGTCTTTACAGGTGCAGTCACCCCCAGTTCACCAGACACAAATGCATATATGATTGTTTCCCTGCCCCATTTTGCCTATGTTGTCTTATGTAAAATGCAGCTTTGCTGCATTATTCCTCTGCCTCATTTGTTTATGTCATCTTATGTAAAAAAATCCAGATTCACTGAGCCAGAAAAATGCATGAATGACTATTTTTTTCTACCCACCTTTTACATGAAAATTGTGTACTTCTCAATATCACACCCTTTCCCCTTTAAATTTGGAGCCTTCAAAATCATCTTTGGAGAAAGGCATACACCTGTCCCCTGGGTGCATGTCCTTAACTTTGGCAAATAATTCTCCTAAAATTATTGAGACTTGTCTTGTCATTTTTCTCGATTGACATTTGCATACACGTTATCTCCTGCAGACACAGATATGTTCTCTTCTGTAACATCTCAACTGCAGAGTTATTGCATAATTGTGATTATGTAAATATCTTTCAATGCCTGGGCATGAGCAATGTATATGCACTTGTTCTATTTTAGAGATCTCATATTATGGTTTAGAACACAGGTCAATGTATTCACTAAATTCAAAGCATCTAATTTTTTTTTTTGCTTACAAAGCACTTAATGCCAGCCTAATTACACTCAGGTGATTGTGCTTCATTACTAACTTAACCCATTACCATGTCTTTAACTTAGATGACTGGTGTACACAGCTATAAAACTTACCATTGTCATACTGGTGGATGCATCTTTTCTGATGATAGGATGCATGGATATCGTGTGTGTTTTCTTAAGGGCACTTTCCCTGTCTGAAATAATTGAAAAATAAATTGTTACATTGGTATTATGGTAATAAAATTGTTTGAAAAGCCCCAAGGCCCATTCACTTTTTTTCAAAAATTGACACTTAGATGTGGCAAGTGTGTCAAATGAAGAAACTACTTGAATAGAAGAAATAGATTGTACAGTGTCAGCAATTAGAAAAGATTTTTAAAATTAAAATGTGAAAAGAGTTAAAATGGAGATGAGATATCAGGCAGGTAAATAGAGGGATAGTCTTCACAGGGGTATCAGGAAAAGAGTCAGCATATGAAAGTTTAACCCCAGCCAAGTACATGAATTATCCTTTTCCCAAAAGTAAAAGAAAAGAAAAAAAAGAGGACACAAGAGTAGCATCTGACACATGAACAAAATGATAATAACATCTAAGGAATTCTGCTCCAGTAGCCTAGCCTACATTTTAGAAATTATCACTCATTTAATAAAACCACTAATTAATATTCAACTGATATTATTCATTGACAAAGCACCTCCTCCTATTAGAGCACAGGACCCTGTTGCTTACCTGGATTCTGGTCTTGAAGAAATTCTCTTCCTTCCCGCCACAGCTCTTTTCCTTGCTCCAGCTGCAAAATTATATAGGATTTGCTCATCTGGTACCCTGTTAGTGGAAAGAATACATGTGTTTTGAGTTCACTGTCAATAAATGTGCATTATCACCAAGTGTAAGGCAGGCTATCAAGGAAGAATAAAAACAGTGAAGGTCAGCTCAGGCCACAAGACCTAGAACACAGAAAACTCCCCAGGATTTTTCTGACCCAACGTGAGACTAGAAAATAAATCCAAACCAAAGGTCCATCAGGAAAAGGAAATTCAAAACAGTCAAGACCTATGAATGCTGAGTCCATGCCTAAGTTCCAAGACACAATGCATAATACACAATCTTTTCAGAAAGAGAGTAATTAAATCTCTGCACAGTGTGTTTATTATTATTCTCACGCACAACAAAAAAATCATTCGTTTTAGAAATATAATTGGTGTTCTATATGGAAAAGATATTGCTATTGTTTTCACTAATTGGTCTCAGCCTAGGCATAGACTAAAGCAAAAGAGTTATTTAGAAAATATTTAATGTAATACATTGAAAATATTCATCAAGTTCCCAGGTCTGTTATGAGTATTAGAGACTGAGTACCAAAGAAACCATGAAATCCTTGTCAAGACTACATTCTAATTGAGTGACAAACTAAATAAAATAAAATAAAAAGAAAGATATTTATTTCAGATAGATTTAGAGAGTTCAAACTTTTTTCAGATGAGATCTGTGAGAGAAGCAGAGAAGAGATTAGAGTGAGATGTGGGGAAGCTGTTCTAACACTTATTGAATGAATGAGCGAATGTGTGTCTACATATGTACGTGAATGTTGAGGGACTCACCGAGGGACACCAGATGACTGATATTTTCCAGCGTCACATCTCTGTACAGCTTTCTCTTGGATGTGTCCATCATGGCCCACTCTTCCTGGGTGAAGTCAATAGCTACATCTTCAAAAGTCACTTTCTTCTAAAACATCACAGACATTTTAGTTTAGACAGAGAAATCCCTTTCAATGTCCGGAAGGGGAAGGCTGAGATGACATAGCTAGGAGCTGGGTATGCAGAATAATCAGTGTTTTGGTTCCAGCCAGTTCATTCTCAGTGCTAAGCTGGTATCTGCCTTTCAGATTCACTCACAGAGATATACCCACTCTGAATCCATTAAACTTTACTATAAAGAAATATCGCATGAGGTGTGGCATAATATAACCCAGATATTTTTCAGTAATGTGTTAATCACCTCTACATAACTGATTATAAAATTTTCACTTGAACATTCATAAATAAAATGAAATTTACCATGAATTTCAAGTAAATTACAGATTTGCCACAAGGCAAATAACCATGATTTACTACTTTTTAAACATGACTGTGATGAAATAAATTATTTCTCTAGATGAACCACAGGTTTCTCACCAATCAAATGGTTAAAAGACCTATGATGTGTTTTGAATAATCTAATGAACTAATAGAAAACGTGTTTCCTATCTAGCAAATATTTATTAAATATAAGTCATTGGTCCCTTACTCATTAAAAAGTTAGAAAGTAATGACCCAGACTCCAGCATTCTTCAGAACTGAACAAGCTTTATGCAGAATATAGGATTCAATTCATACATATAGTCTCTCTAATGTTATATAATTCAGGTGTTCATGACAAGGCTTAAAGACAGTCTAGCAGCACAAGACAAGACCGCTGAGGCTGCTATACTGAGGAAATCTTAGTCTGGTGATTCCTGTGATATGAAGCCTCCTGTTCTCAACTTTCTCTCGGCAATCCAAACATCAGTTGTCATTGTTTCTCTTTTAAATTTACCTCGTCACTTCACTTGTTCAAAGATTAAAAAAGCCTCTTCATTGTTTTTTTTTTCTAACTAGCCCTTATAAAGCATTTCCACAGAACCCTAAATTGTACTCTATCTACTATATTCCTTCTTCTGAGTGTGCAACCATAATTAAATAATTATATTTCTTATATGTTACTTACAGCTACCAGAAGGCAAAAAGGTTAATTACCAAAAGGTAAAATGAATGGGGATAAGAATAATAATGACTTCTTTAGTTGTCCTTTCACAAAGTTTTTAAAAGCTCAAATATATTTTATCAAACTCTTCTTTTCCCTCAACACTGCACAGCTCTTACCCAAGTCCTATCACACTGGATTTATTGAACTCAGCTGCTAGAACATCAGACTCATTGTTGGGCTGTGATGTTCTGCTCTTACTCATCTCTATCACCTGCATTCATCACAATCCTAAGTCTATTTCAGCCAACAGTACAGTTAATGGGTCAATTATTTCCCTATGAGATTATAGGATGGATAGAAGAAAAAGAAATATATAAATGAAACCTTTCATATCTTTTTTTTGTAAATAGCCTTAATAGGGGCTGGAATAAAGTAGTGTAATATTAGAAATTATATTGATAATTTAGGAGTCTTTGACACACGATACCCAACCTAAAGTCCTGAGAAAACTTAATTGGAGACCAGATACCTGAAAGCCTCCTGATTGCATTTGGAACACCCAGGCTGGGTGGATTTTACATCATAAAAACAAACAAAAAAAAGAATAAAAATGAAACACCCATGCAAATTGGAGAAAACTGCCCGTTTGCCAGCAATATAGGTATAATTTCAGTAGAAAGAGGCATCCCCTACTCACTAGTGAATGCATTGTCAGGAACTCAATTTCTCTCTGTCTTTCTCTGGATTTCCACTTGCAGACACTTTAGGCACTAAGAAAAGCTGAGGTTGGAGAAAGAACATGTGAGACACCAGTCTTGTGCACAATTTTCAGATCAACCTGTGATGAAAAGCCAGACTTTCACTGAAGTGTGACACCACCTACACCACAGCCTAATCAACAGACACAGACACACAGAGGCCTCTCCTCTTTTCCTGTGGTCAAAATTAGGAAGCCTATGACTATGGTTGCTAACCAAGAAGGAACACAGATATTTTGTGAATGAGAACATCAAAAGCACGGAATTTTGTATGTTAATTGGCACAAGTCCAGATATTCAATTCCCTCGCTGATTTTAAAACACAGGGATCCCTGACTCCATCTACATGTGGAATATGATTTCCACCTATAGATAAACACTGGGGTTTCTCAGATTTTATTATCCTAGCTTTATGCCCTAGCAATGTTTCTCCAACACCCACCACAGCCTCCTGAAGCCTTACTCCACTTTTACTTTCACTCAACTCCGACTTTTGTATTTCCCTTTGGAACTTGGAAATAATCAAGTAAGAATCTGTTTTAGGGTCAAGTGCGGTGGCTCACACCTGTAATCCCAGAACTTTGGGAGGCCAAGGCAGGTGGATCACCTGAGGTCAAGGGTTCGAGACTAGCCTGGCCAACATGGTGAAACCCCATCTCTACTAAAAATACAAAAATTAGCTAGCTGTGGTGGTGCTTGCCTGTAATCCCAGCTACTCAGGAGGCTGAAGCAGGAGAATCTCTTGAACCCAGGAGGCAGAGATTACAGTGAGCCGAGATCCCACGACTGCACTCCAGCGAGGGCGACAGAGCGAGACTCTGTCTCAAAAAAAAAAATCTGTTTTAGGATAGGGATAATCAATTCAGGGATTTATTTCCCTTAGAGGGTCAACACTCCCATCCTGCTACCCTTAGAGGGTCAACACTCCCATCCTGCTAATCTAGCCCTTAAAATCTCCTGCATCAGAAATTAGCAGGAGTACCCTGAGTCATGGTGTTTCTTTCCTGTGTATACAGTCACAATCCTCTAGGATGCTCAGAAAATACAAAATGACTTAGGGGTGGGAGAAATTTAGCAGCTCAATCTGATATTTTACTAATGTGGTATCTAAAATTCTTGCAATCATGGTTTATATTAGTCTTTGTTAGTTGCAATATCTCTGATTATCATGATACATATTTGCTGAGAAATACTGATGTCCATGTATATATTCATACATAGATATGTAGGTATATAGGTGCATATGTTTATATGAATGTATGTGTTTGAGACAGGGGGAAACATGCATGTATTATTTCCCTGCTAAAAATATAAGAATAATTAAATATATTTTATGTACAAATGATAGTTATGTGTCATAAACAAAAAATTTACTGACACATTTGTACATGAAGTCCAGGAAAAATAAAAAGGGTAACTTTGTATTAATTGTGACATTGTGCTTACAGATGTACATATATTTCCTTATTTAACCCTCATAATACCCCTGCTGATTACAGTTTATTTACCAATTTAATAAAGGATCAACAGTTTGAAAAATATGACAAAATTACAAAATTAGAAAATGACCCAGCAATACTTTTAATTATATTCTGCCTGTCGATGCCTTTTCTTGCTTTTTGACAAAATTACTCCCCTAACCAAGGTTCTCTATGATTCTGGGGACTCCAGTATTTAGACCCCAGTTCCCAAACATCATTTTGTCTATTTTTACTGCCACATTTAATGCACATTTACAGACTTCAACAAGCACTTTTCATTATGAAATTTTTTCTTATTCCTTGGACTATTTTCTACATCTGTTCATCAAGATTCCAGTAACATATGACTCCATCTGCCTGTCCCTTCCATGAATGTACCTGACAGTACATGTATTATGTAGTCTATAATTCAAGCAGAACAGATATTCCCTCAAAAAAATAAGATATTAGAGAAGGCCTACAAATCTTCAGTGAAACCAGCTGTAACCCTTAATATTATTACCATGTAAACTCTTCCTCGAATATCAAAATAAGATTTGGGCTTTAGAGAATATTTGTGTGTAATTATAACCCAAACATGAATGAAAAGTCATTTAACTGATCATATACAGACTGTGCCAGGGAAGAAAAAGGACAAATATTATAAGAAAGTTAAAGCATACTTATTTCATAAAGGACTCTTGTGTGGAATCTATAAAAACTATTTCAAGATGTACAGATTCAATATATTTTAAAACACATACATACACAAGCAATCTTTAGGAGAAACTTTTAAAAACTTATGTTATGGGTCTAAAATTTTCATTAATTCATGGAAAAAAAATGTATTAACAAACTTTTCACCAGAGCAGGAATAACAACTTATGTATTTGGTGACTTCAAGATGAGAGCCTGTACAGCTTAGTATCTCCCTCCAGATGTCTCTCTCTTTTTTTTTTTTTTTTTTTTTGGCGGAGTTTCACTCTTGTTGCCCAGGCTGGAGTGCAGTGGCGTGATCCCGGCTCACCGCAACCTCCACCTCCCGGGTTCAAGCAATTCTCCAGCCTCAGCCTCCTGAGTAGCTGGGATGACAGGCATGCGCCATCGTGCTTGGCTAATTTTGTATTTTTAGTCGAGACGGGGTTTCTCCATTTTGGTCAAGCTGGTCTAAAACTCCTGACCTCAGGTAATCCTCCAGCCTCCGCCTCTCAGAGTGTTGGGATTACAGGCGTGAGCCACCGTGCCCGGCCCAGATCTCTTAAAAAGTCATGAGGAAGGAGCCATTCTGCATCCTCAATATTACCTTAATATTTTAAGGGCATCCGTAAAAATTAAGAGGCCGACTTGTGACTTCCTAGCCCTTTCACGGCTATTTAGACACACCTTAGTGAAGTATTAGGAATGCATTATTAGGTCTCAAGTTCCTGGACAACAAAACCATGTTCTCCAACAGATCTTCAGTAAAAATAGCTGATGTCTATATTCTTTTGCCTGTCCTTTCCCTTCCTTTAATTCAGAACTGCAGTCTCGAAAAGTGTTATTATTTAGTAGATTCTCTCAATTCTCAACACCAGTGCTATACAATGTTGAATGACATCTCAGGTGCTTGTTAGGGAAACAGCAGCTGACATTCTAGCAATGAACAAATAGAAATGCAAAGATCACCACAGAGTAAAAGAGAATAGATTTTTTTAAAGTATGAAACCAAAACGAATATATATCAGATTACACCATAAATGGAAAATCCTATTATCTTGACAGGATTCCAAGCCTCTCATGGCTTCCAACATCCAATATATTCAAAGCAGTTCAGGAATGGTGAAAATGGAATGGAATTTAAAATTATTCTAAGGTCTTATGTGTGAAATCACCATGCCCTGAAACAAAATATTTATTTTTAAAGTGCATAATGAACACTGCATACAAAGTTTGTGTAACAGGAGAGAGGAAAAATCTCGCATTTTAAAAAAAGGAATATACAACATATTTACATACAATAAAATAAAATTAAATTAAAAAACAGCAATAGAAGACAGAATCTAACATCTGAAAATCAAGGGAGAAATCTATTTTAAATAAACTTGGCACAATTTTTAAAGTAAGTTATGAAAAATAATAATACCTGAATATAGTACATAAAAGTACCAATAAAATAAACCTAAAATAATATCCATGGAAAAATTATTTGCTGTACATTATTTTTAAAAAATTAAGTACTTACCTTAATAAGGTAAATGAATGAAATTTAAAAATTGCTTGAGAAAATCTGTGAAAGGAAATGAATATAGAGAAGCAGAATATAATTTAACTATAAACCACACAAATAGAATTTAAAAATAAGTGGTAGCCAACATGCCCAACACGATTTTCTGTGATGAAAGAACTTCTCTATATCTGCATTGTCCAATGCAGTAACTACCACAAATATGTAGTTACAGAATTTCTAGTTTGGCCACGACTTTGGCTATTACTACTAAGGATATGCCATTTAGTTATTTAATTATAATTAATTTACAATTTATAGTCACATGTGACTAGTAGTTACTATATTGGCCAATGCAGATCTAGAATCTTGGAGGAGGCAGTTAAAATAATGAGATATGGTCAAAACAGAAATGGAAAAGGCACACAAATAGTGAACACAGAATATGAGAATGTGAAGTAACAATTCACACAATAAAATGTAATAATGAGATGCTGCCTTGATGGGACAAATATCTAATGATATACAAGGCTTGTCTTGTTACAGGTAGAAGAGTATGAGCAGGGCAGGAGGAGGGCTCTTACCCTACCCACTAGAAATGTCAGGTTATGGCCTGTCAGTTATCACATTGCCTCTCTAAAAATGATAATTAGGCAGCACCAGAGAGAGGCCATTTCCTGATGGTCTACATCTGTTAACATCAAAAATGTGAATTAAATGCAGAACCCAGGAAGAAGCAACTTCTTGGGCATGCATGTTAAGAGACAAAAATGGCAAAGCATAATCTTCCGGGGCCACACTCTACCGGAAAAGGAAAGAAAGCTTCAGATGGACATGCAAATAACTCCCTAAACACACCGTGCATGCTCAATTTCAAAGGGTAAGGAAAGTACTGCCCATGGCGGAAACTCTCCCTAAAGGAAGAATCATGGGAAAGAGGCAAAACCATCGCAGGATCAAGGTTAAAGCCTCTTCTCTTTTCTTTCTTGGATCTTCAGGCATCTGCTCGGGTCTCTTCCAAGAGAATTTTACTCTCTTTCCTGTTCTAAAGCCTTTTTAAATAAACTTCCACTCCTGTTCTGAAACTTACCGCTCAGTCTGTTTTTCCACTGTATGCCCTTCAGTCAAATTCTTTCTTCTGAGGAGGCAAGGACTGAAGTTGCTTATGGACCTATGCAGATATGCTGCCAGTAACTGGAATCTCTTCTACTTGTAACAGTATCATTGTAAGGGAATGAGGCCAGTTCACATCTCAGTGCTTGGAGAACTCACCAGAAATAAAAAGTTGGAGGATGCAGTGAACTTAACTACCCTCCAAGGCAAGTCCCACAAGCAAGCAGCAAGACTCTCTTTCCCCAAGAGAGTCTTCAGATGCTCCTTCTCTGGGAAAATGCATCCTCTGATTGGCTTCCCCTTATATATGAAAAAAAAAAATAATAAACGTAATCACCACTACATTCCAAGAGACATGCCCTGATTGCACAGACACTGAATCGAATCAAAAACTTCATTCTGGAGACACTCCCTGTTCAATTTGATTGGATTTTTGAGACTACTACTAAAAACCCTCACATAAAGTTGGAAACCAGAGTTAAGGCTATTTTGAAGGAAAAATATGAACATTAATTCCTTTTTTTATTCATAAGTACTTTTGAGTGTATTATATGTACTAGAAAGCATTTACAGTCAAGGGATACAGCAAGAAACCAGACAAACTAGAGTCTTATGGAGACTCTATATTCTAAAATTCTTTGGAGGTAAACTGGACTTGAAAACAAATGGAAGGTGAATAGATATAAAAAGTTTCAATGTTCATGATGATGTAAAAAAATAAAATATATTGCATAAATGAAGTCAGGAAGTGTTATAGGGGTCATGTAGTACTTGTAAGACCACTGGTATTGTCTGAAATTCAAGCAGGCTGCAGAAATTTGGGTAACTAAAAGGAAAGCAGATGCTAATAGAAGACAATGAAGACAGGGCCTCAAAGACATTTCAGAGACCTTGGCGGGTGGAAGCCCCTCCCCTCAAAGGCCTGGAGGCCTAGGAGGGAAGAATGGTTTTGTGGGCTGGGCCCAGTGCAAGCGCAGGACAGTGCTCACAGCATTCTAGGTCTCAGCCACTCCAGCTCCAGCCATGGCTAAAAGGGCCCCAGACATAGTTTGGGCCACTGCTTTAGAGGGTGCAAGCCATAAGCCTTGGCAATTTCCATGGTGTATTAAACCTGCAAGTGCACAAAGTACAGGAGTACACTGCTGATAAAGATATACCTGAGACTGGGCAATTTACAAAAGAAAGAGGTTTAATTGGACTTACAGTTCCACATGGCTGGGGGGAGGCAGAAGGGAAAAGGCATGTCTTACATCACAGCAGGCAAGTGAGAGAATGACAGCCAAGCAAAACTGGTTTCCCCTTATCAAACCATCAGAACTCGTGAGACTTACTCACTACCACGAGAACAGCATGGGAGAAACTGCCCCCATGATTCAGTTATCGCCACTGGGTCCCCCCACAACATGTGGGAATTATGGGAGTACAATTTGAGGTGAGATTTGGGTGGGGACACAGAGACAAACCATATCAGAAGCCTTCGCCTGGATTTCTAAAGATGTATGGAAAAGCCTGTATGTCCAGTAGAAGTCTGCTGGGTGGAGACTTCATGGCGAATGTCTACTACAGCAGTGCAGATGCAAAATGTGGGGTTGGAGCCCCCACAGAGTCCACACTGGGGCACTGTCTAGTGGAGCTCTGAGAAGACAGCCACCATCCTCCAGACCCTAGAATGGTAGATCCACTGACAGCTTGCACCCTGAGCCTGGAAAAGCTGCAGGCACTCAACACTGGCCCTTGACAGCAGCCATGGGGACTGACCCTTATATCCAAAAGAAAACAAATTGTTCTACCATAAAGACGTGTGCACTCATATATTTATTATAGCATTATTTGCAATAGCAAAGCCATGGAATCAACCTAGATGTCCATCAATGTTAGAGTGGATAGACAAAATACAGTATATGTACACCATGGAATACTATGCAACCATAAAAAAATTACGTCCTTCGCACCAACATGGATGCAGCTGGAGGCCATTATTCTAAAATAATGCAGGAAGAGAAAACCAAATACCGTATGTTCTTAGTTATAAGTGAGAAAAAAGCATTGGTTGCACATGGATGTAAAGATTGGAACAACAGACACTGGGGACTACTAGACGGGGAAGGGAAGGTGGGGACAAAGGCCTGAAAAACTATCTATTGGGTATTATGTTTTCTATCTGTGTTACAAGATCATTCATACTCCAAGCCTCAGCATCACACAATGTGCCAATATAAAAACCTGCACATGCATACCCTGAATCTAAAATAAAAGTTGATTTTTTTTTTAAATGGACAAAGATCTGGCTAACATGGTGAAACCCTGTCTCCACTAAAAAAAAAAAAAAAAAAAAAAAAAAAAAAAAAAAAAAAAAAAAAAAAAATTACAAAAAATTAGCTGAGCATGGTGGCGGGTGCCTGTAGTCCCAGCTACTTGGGAGGCTGAGGCAGGAGAATGGCGTGAACCTGGGAGGTGGAGCTTGTAGTGAGCCGAGATCATGCCACTGCACTCCAGCCTGGGTGACAGAGCGAGACTCCATCTCAAAAAAAAAAAAAAAATGGGCAAAGATCTGAATAGACATTTCCCAGAAGAACAGATACAAATGGCCAACAAATATATGAAAAAATTCTTACCATCTCTAATCATCAGGGGAATGCAAATAAAAACCACCGTGAAATATCAACTGATACCTCTTAGAATAGTTATTATCAAAAAGATGTATAACAAGTATTAGTGAGGATGCGGAGAAAAGATAACCCTTGTATACTTGTGGTGGAAATACAAATTACTATGTCCATTTCAGATAATAGTATGAAGGTTTCTCAAAAATTTTTAAAATAAAACTACCTGCTGATGAGGCTGTTGAGATATAAGAACACTTTTACACTGTTGGTGGGAATGTAAATTAGTTCAACTATTGTCAAAGACAGTACGGTGATTCCTCAAAGACCTACAACCAGAAATACCACTTGACCCAGCCATCCCATTACTGGGTATATACCCAAGGGAATATAAATCATTCTATTATAATATGTTCATTGCAGCACTATTCACAATAGCAAAGACATGGAATCAACCCAAATGTCCATCAGTGACAGACTGGATAAAGAAAATATGGTACATACACACCATGGAATACTATGCAGCCACAAAAAAGAATAAGATCATGTTCTTTGCAGGAAAATGAATGGAGCTGGAAGCCATTATCCTCAGCAAACTAACCCAGGAACAGAAAACCAAACACTGCACATTCTCACTTACAAGTGGGAGCAGAATGGTGAGAACACATGGATATTAGGAGGGGAACAACACACACTGGGGCCTGTTGGGAGGCAGGTGGAGGGAGAGTATCAGGATAAATGGCTAATACATATAAGCAATAGAATATTATTCAGTGTTACATAATAATGAAACCCTGTCATTTGTGACAACATGGATGGACTTGGAGGGCATTACGTTATATGAAATAGACCAACCACAGAATGACAATTACTATATGATTTCACTTGTATTTGAAATCTAAAATAGACAAACTCACAAAAGCAGAGAGTAGAATGGTAGTTGCCAGGGGCCGTGGTGCTGGGGAAATGGGTAGATGTGGTTAGAGCACAAAGTTTCAGATATACCACATAAGTAAGTTCTGGAGGTCTCATTTACAGCATAGTGCTTACAGTTAAGAATACTGTATTGCATACTTAAAATTTGCTAAAAGGGTAGATTTTGTATTCTTATCAAAATTTCTTACCAAAAAAAATAATAATAATAAAGGGGGGGGACTTAGGGAGGGGAAGGATGTGTTTATAATCTTGATGGTAGTGATGTGTTCATGGTGTATCCTTATCCCCAAGCTCACTGAGATGTACACCTTAAATATGTACAGCTTTTTAAATGTAATCATAGCTCAACAAAGTCCGTTAAAAAAAAAAAACAAGAGGTGGTTGGTTAAAATACTTAAAAGGAAGGGTAGATGTTCCCTTGTTTTTCTCTCTTGGCTATTTTCCTTCCTGCTGCCTGGAATTCAAAAATGATAGGTGGGGATTTAGCAGCCAAACTAGAGCCTCTTCTAAAGTATAGCAGAACAGAGAGCTGGAAGGTTCCTGCGTCCCTAATGAATTTGGCAAGTATCTGTACTAGCCATGGTAGGTAGAACTATAGATTTAAGTGAGGGAGAAACAAACTTCTGCCTTCTTTAAGCCACTTTGTTCAGACTTAATTTTATATATAGAGAGAGAACACATGCTCCTTTATGAGTAGGAAAAATGTTTATGTCATATGGTCCATGATGGGTGTTCAGCAATGTAGGATGAGACTGATTATGATGACAATGGTGACAAATAGCATGAAATAATAAGCAAGTAAAAAAAGGTGGCCTAATAGTTGTGTATGGTTACTTTATTTAAAGATTCTGCTGCTAATATCATTCAATGTATTTGTATGCTGGTGGGAGTTTTATTCGATGTAGACTAAGAAAGTTTATATTATTTAATGAAAAATACTTGACCAATTTTTTTAAAAAAATAAAAATATCATGAGATGGAACTAAGCATCTGTATTGCAAAGTAACTCTCCCAGTTGATTTTCTGCATAGTAATGATTGAGAATCCCCTGATCTAGATCCAATAGATCTCGAACCTTATAGGTGCTATCAAGGAAGCACCTAAGGAAGACAATTTTCCTGACTATATCCATACCTCCAGTTAGTAATAGATCTAGAGATCTAGAACCCAAATCCAGACCTCTTGCCTCCATGTGCGGTGGTCTTTCGCTGTTGTTTTGTTCCACTTGGTGAAGAGGATTTGAGAATAAATAGCCACATGATTCAACTCCCTCCTCAGTTCTGAGTAATATAGCCTTGTCCTAGCAAGAAAGAAGTTCATATTGTCGTGGATGAGGCAAATATACATTCACTAATCTAACATACAAGGCAGTAAGTACTGTAACATAAACAAAGCACTTTGGACTTTCAGACCAGGAGCAAGTGGGGTGATTAATTCTTAGCAGGGCTAGTAAAGTCTGGGAAGTGTTCACTAACACAATGTCTGGTCATTAATGAAACCAACTGGTTTCTCAAAACAGTCTAATTTATTGTAACAATATAAATGGTTGTTTGTTCATAAACTTTCATCTTTTGCCAAAATGTTTGTAGCTTATGTCCCCATTTAACAAGGTTTTCTGGCCAAAACTGCACCCACATCATTCTAATGACCTGGCTGTCCAATAAAAAAAGGACTCTCAGTCTTCCCATAAAAGCAATTTTGCATGCATAGAACACCTCTATCTATGAATATCCCTAATGAGGTACAGAAAGACTCTTGTTATCCAAACAGAGACATTCCACTGGTGCTAGACAGCCACAGATGGAAGTTTTCTCTGCCTCCTGGAAATGAAGACAAACTTTTTTCTTTCTTCAGCCATGAGGATTGCTGTCCTCCTCTTCGCCATTTTCTTCTTTATGAGCCAAGTTCTACCAGGTAACAAAATAAACTTGGTAAGAGTAGAGTGCCTAACACCTTACAGGGATTCAATACTCAAAGAGAAATCACCATCAACTATGACCAGAAAAGAGGGTCTCATAGGAAATCTGGAAGACTCATTGGCTGAGAGGCCTGCGGCCATCTAATTCGTTAATTCTCCATAGCAACTCAGTTAAATGAAGTCAATGGTGTTTCAAGTCTTTGAAACCCTCTTATTCCATCTCCAAATTAGGCAAGTTTACTAGCAGTTACTAGACATCAAAAATTAAAAATCAGGCATTATTCTACTAAATATTGGTCTCCAAAGCTCCTCTAGTTTCTTTCAGCAACAGTTAGTTATCCTAAGAACTGGCATAAGAGCTATGCCAAAGCTGTGGTAGGCTCAGACAGAAGGGATTGGTGGAAGAAGTCTTTTTGAAAATATTATTATAATCTAAGAAATCTTTAACCTATTGCTCCCCAATACTGTTGGTCCCTGGGGCTTGACTTTTCCCCTTAAGGCTCCATCTCCATCCCTGGCTTTCCCTCTTCCTTCTCAGCATCTAGTCTTGTAATGTAGAATTTAAACACAGGAAGCAGGGATGACCCCACACCAGAGCATAGCCTACTGCATTCAGCATGCGAACATTAATCACAGGTATAAGGCCCCTTGCACAGACATGCTTTGGAGAAGTGTGTAAAGGACTTCTTGGATTTGCCCAAGGTGGTTACCAGACACCCAAAGTAGATTCGAAAATTTTCTGGAACTCCTGAACATGTGTATTCAAGGATGAATAAGCAACTTATTGCCTCTATTTTTGCTGTTTTATAGAGAAAAAAATTAAGGCCCTGGAAACTGAAGTGCTTTTCCCAACAGTGGGGTAAATGTCAGAGTCAATGCTTTGTTTTAATATCCTGGCTTTCCCTATACATCCCACCCTAGAGTTCTGTTGTGCTGTTCCTTTGTATGACTTTCTAAAGCCTGAAAAAAGGTGATACCATATCCAATTATATTAACTCGGTAGCACACAACATCGGGGACTGACATAAGATTATTATCCTTGTGGTATTACTGAAGTCCTGTCTCACTAGTACTTGTTAAATAGTCACCCTGGCTAAATACATGGCTTTGATTTTTTTTAATCAGTTAAAAATATTTTAAAATATGTGTCCTACATATATAACCCCAGAAAATCAATGCTTTTAATCAAGGTTTAAAAATTCCAAATTTGGATAAAAAAATTTGTTTTGTTTTGTTTTCACTGTCACTCAATCAAAATAGAAGCAACTAATTGGATAGAACAGCACAGGCAGAAGCATTACTCACAGTCAAAAATGGGATGCAACAAGACTGGAGAAGAAAACACAGGGTGGTGCTAAAGAATGCAGCCTTATGAAAGGTGGCATCTCCTCTGGATGTCCTTAGGTAGACATTGAAGAAGAACTACCAACTTTTTGTAGAAGGCTAGAGAAGAGAGGAGGACACAGAGAGAGGGCAAGAGTGGAAAATAGAATGAGGCTCAGAATACCAAACCTTAGTGCTGTCCCTATCATCTGCCTCACTCGATCACTGGGTAATCTTGGGCAAGTTTCTTCCTTTCCATCAGCTTATTCCCTCATCTTTAAGGTAAGTGACAAGACGAGACAGCCTATGTTCATTGTAACTCTAGCTTTTGTTCCTAAAGCAAATGGCTGGAAAAGACATAGTGTCCACAATATGCAATACACAAGGTTTACAAGCAAAGAACAAATGAAAACGAAAGATTTTTAAAATCCCTAATGTTACTTGAATTCTTACAAATGAACAATGGTACATCATAATTTTAAAAAGTCTTTTGTAATTTCAATTTTTAAAAATAATTTCAACCTTTATTTTAGATTCAGGGAGCGCATGTGCAGATTTGTTACATGGGTATATTGTGTGATATTGAGGTTTGGGGTATGAATAACTCTGTCACGTAAGTAGGGTGTACCCAAAGGGTAGCTTTTCAGACTTTACTCCCTCTTCCTCCCCTCCTGGTAAGACCCAATCTCTCTTGTTCCCATTTTTATGTCCATGTGCACTCATTGCTCGGCCCCCCCTTACAACTGAGAATATGTGGTATTTGGCTTCCTGTTCCTGAGCTAATTTGCTTAGAATAAAGTCCTCCAGCTGCATCCATGTTGCTGAAAAGGACACAATTTTGTTCTTTTTATGGCCACATAGTATTCCGTGACATATATGTACTACATTTTCTTTATTCAATCCACTGTTGATGAACACCTAGTTTGATTCCATACCTTTGCTACTGTGAATACCACTGTGATGAACATACAGATTTAGGTCTTTTTACAAGACTGATTTATTTTCCTTTGGATATACACCCAGTAGTGTGATTACTGGGTCAAATGGTTGTTCTGTATTAAGTTTCTTGAAAAGTGGTTTGAAAATATAATGCTCAATAGAATCAGGTATAGTAAAATAGTACACATGATTCAAAGACTGTGAACTGAGAGTAACAACAAATTTCCACACAAACATATTGCAAGTTAGAAAATAGCTGTATTTTAATCAATTATTCCACAATCATTTACTGAATAGCTATTATAAGCTAAGACTTTAATCAGATTCTGGAATATACATACAGAGGAGAATAAGGTATGATTCCTGTCCTCAAGAAATTCATTATCAAGAATTGAGGTCAGATGGGAAAACACCACCCGTGGTAGAATGCAAGAAGTACTACCACAGAGGGATGTTCAAGAGTGATTTATCACATATCACAAGACAGGTCAGTGGTTCTTCCTCTACACTATACTAATCTCTTATGACTCTTCCAGCTGCAAAGGGCCAATTTTAGCACAAGGCCAGTGGGCTTGGGTACTACTATACGTAGTAGCTGACTACTTACAGATAAAAGGAAGAGATGGAAAGCTCAGAGATCAAAAAACTCAGATTTCTGCCTGTTTCTACCAAGTGGTCAACCTTGACAATTACCACTGTCTTCAGAAAAGCATGACCTTTATTTCCCAATTTGCATTATAGATATAAATATGATGTTGCATATATTTGGTCTTCACATCAATCCACTAACCGCTTTGTGATCATTGAAAAGTTAAATGGAATCTAATACATTTGGATTTCAGTTCAATTAAAGAGGCATTTATTGAATGTTTATTAAAATTGCTGTACTGATTGAAATCTATTCTAGAATTGGCTTTTGTGTTCCAGAATAGAAAAAAAAAAAAGTGCTGGTTTTTATACCTCTCTTATTGCCAAGAAGTTATCATGGAAAAGGTGCTCTGTGTTACATACAAAGACTGCTCAGCATTAAAACACTTTTCAAACTAAATACCTCAGTGTGTGTGGCCTATCCCCAGAGCAGTGATATCTTAGGACATAAATGAAATACTATTCAATGTTTTCAACAAGTATAGTTTTTGAGCCTTTAAGAAGACCTTGAATGTTTCACTCTTAATATATGCAATGGTTTCTAGAGAAAAATTGCAACCTCAAAGACCAGTGCCAGAGATATAAGTAATGAGTGAAGTCTCAGTGTATAAAAAGTACTGGCACAGATATATTTGTGTATTAAACACATAGGAATATTGTTCCCTTCCACAGGAAAAATATCCTCTCTAACAATTAAAGTATATTATCTTTTAGGTCTATATTTCAGTTCTACTTTTGAAAGATAACATCTATTATAATCTATCATATAGAGTGTGTGTGTGTGTGTGTGTGTAGGAATAAAAACAGATGAGCCAAAAGAGATTTTCTTCTCTTTCACTCCAGGAAAATCCATAGTACAAGACATATTTTTTTAAAAGGCTGAAATCTCCCATCAGTGTTAGAAGATAATAAGGTGAAATAAACTGAAACTTGCATGCTCTAGAACTTGTAAAGGGGAGCGGGCTACTCACCTCCAGCCTTTTGTCATGTAGGTGCACCCAATAGTCTCAGATTTTTCAAGAACACCAAAAAATTCAAATTTTTGTGTGGCAGCAGATTTTTAAGTGTTTAAGAAATCAAATCACACACACACACACACACACACACACACACACACACAAATCAACACAAGGTTATTTTCAGGCACTGCCCCCTACGTCCATGTAATTCAATACAAAGTAAAGAAAGACCAATGAATGGTTACAATAACCCTCTTCTGCATGTGGCCAGGGGCAAATTCAAGGAGATCTGTGAACGTCCAAATGGCTCCTGTCGAGACTTTTGCCTCGAAACAGAAATCCATGTTGGGAGATGTTTAAATAGCCGACCCTGCTGCCTGCCTCTGGGGCATCAACCAAGAATTGAGAGCACTACACCCAAAAAGGACTGAAGCCTCTTGTTTTCTGGAGGTTTTATGTTTTCTTTTTTCTCTCTCCCTCTCCCTGTCTCCCTGTCTCCCTTTCCCTCTCTCCATTTTTCTCACAGGGATTTTTATTGAATCCTTAAAAAAGAATAAACCAAAACCAACCAGCACAAAACCTCTTTTAAAAGTTTATATTACTGGCTGGGTGCGGTGACTCATGCCTGTAATCCTAGCACTTTTGGGGGCCAAGGTGGGTGGGTCATGAGGTCAGGATATCAAGACCATTCTGGCCAACATGGTGAAACCCTGTCTCTTTTAAAAATACAAAAATTTAGCCAGGCATGGTGGTGGTCACCTGTAATCCCAGTTACTCAGGAGGCTGAAGCAGGAGAATCGCTTGAACCCATGAGGTGGAGGCTGCAGTGAGCCGAGATCCCGACACTGCACTCCAGCCTGGGTGAGAGAGCAAGACACTGTCTCAAAAAAAAAAAAAAGAAAGAAGTTTATATTACATGTTATGACTTGAATACTGTTTGGTTTCCAGTATCCTTCTATCCCATCTAGATGAGCTCTTAGTTGAAAATGACCTACAGGAGGGTGGGGGAACTTTCAACCATACCTATTGATTTGTCTAGCACTGTAACCCTTCACCCTGCATGTGGGAAGACAACTCCGCTTTTTTACTGGGAAAATGCGCCATCCTATTCCATGCAGCCTTGCAGGGGTCTGTCTCTCCCTGATAAAGGTGCAGCACATGGGAAAATTGCACAATCACATCAAACAGACTTCACCAGAAATCTAAATTATAAAAAGAGTTGCACTCATATTAAAGGCAATTTCTTCACCACCCTTTTCAGAGGCAATTCCCTGGGTCTGTACATGTATGCCTGGCCAAGATTCAGGGAATTCCTTTAGTTCCCAGCTTTCACTGGGCATAATCATTCAGCATTTTCTTCCATCTTTTAAAACACTGCATTGGCTTCCTACGGCTGCTATCACAAATTACAACAAACTTAGTGGCTTAAAGCAACACAAATGCATTATCTGACAGTTCTATAGGCTGCAGGTTTCAGATGGATTTCAGTGGGCCAACATCAAGGTGTCAGCAGGGCTGAGCTTTCTTCTGGAAGCTCTGCAGTTTTCTTCCTGCACCTTTATCCCAGCAATGGCAGGTTACTCCTGGGCACCATAGCTTCCTTCATCCATTTTCAAAGCCAGCAACGGAGCGTTGAGTCCTCACATTCCATCATTCTGAATTCATCTTCTCCCAACTCTTCCATTTTTTAGGACTCATGATTAGGTTGGGCCCCCCTGGATAATCTAAGATAATCTCCCTATTTTAAGGTCAGCTGATTAACAGCCTTAATTTCACATGAAACCTCAATTCCCCTTTGCCTTACAAGGTGGCACATCCACAGGACCCAGGAGTTAGAAAGTGGATAGCTTTGGCGGGAGACAGAGGGGACATTATTCTCCCTACAACAGCCACTGAGTGCTTTTACCACCTGTCACAATTTTGCTCCATTTAGACACATCTTTGGTGGCTTTGTGTGAGGAGAATCTCATTCATAGAGTTTTCTTTTTTGTGTAAAGTAGTGGGGGGCCTCCCCTTGGTCATTGAAAGAGTATAGAATCAAGATATTTAAAAGTATATTAGCTGGATTTTATTTTTCACTATGCCTGATTTGACCAAGAAACAATGTTAAGTTATGTCACATGGGCTACTTGAAATCTCAAAAAGTTCAAAACATTGGGTTCAAAATCTCAGAGATTGAGATATATTCCAACCAACTCAACCCTGTGGAAGTGCCAAGGTTTCCTCAGTGCCACTCTTGAAACTACATCACCAACTGACCCTTTAATGTATTTTTGCACTATATAACATTTATTTCTTAGAGTAAGTCCTTCCCTAGAAAAGAAGCAGTTTGGACACATATATTATTAAAGCCGTCACATAGAATATTATCCTCTCATTGCTAGAAGGTGGCCTTCAAGATGGCTGACTAGAGGTTCCAGGCACTGTGTCCTCCAAAAGAAAGACCAAAACAGCAAGTAGATAATCATACCTTGAAGAGGGCATGAAAGAGGGCACTAGAATTCAGCAGCAAAGTGACGAGGAATCTCTGAGGTATGGAAGGAAAGGAAAATGAAGCAGCAGCCCAGCCAGAATCAGCTTAAAGCCAGGACAGGCTCTCCAGTGTGGTGAAAAGGTAAAAAAGAGAGCCCCAGTGGTCCATATTCCCACTGTGGACACTGAAATCCTAGCCAAGGGACAGTCTCTCAGCCCTCGCAGGCCCTGAGACTACTATAGGGAGCTGCCTGGAATCTATGTGATGGTCATTGTCCCAGAGAAGGAGTTGGCACTGGATCGTCTGCACCCACCCCCAGACACAGACAGCTGTGGCACAGTGCCAATTTGAGAGCCCAGCCCCCAACAGACTACATCCTGCCCTGGGGCCCAACAGCCCCTGCATCTCCACATATCTGGACCCCCAGTGACATTCCCTCATGTCCACCCAGAGGCCTGCAGAGTCACAATACCAGCTGAACTCACCAGTGTATCTTGGTCCCCATCACTCTAGCCTACACAGTGTCCTACACTCCAGGGAACTGGCAGTGCCATTCACTAGGGAGGCTGCCCCCAGAACAAAGGGAGCTGAAGCAGGCACTCTTCACAAGTGGAGAGTCACCTTCCCAGGGCCACTGACACTGACAGCAATCCTGACCCCCAGGAGCAGGGCCACTGCACACCTGCAGGCATCCTCAGGGGACCTGGGGACTCACCTGCCTGGGCACTATTCCAGGGCCAGAGCACAGGCCCATCCCACCCATTGCTGTCACTACCACTACCCAAGCTCGTTGTCCAGGAGGCTGGGGATCAACCCACTCTGCTCTCTGTCATTGGCACCTGTGCATGCCTTCTTGTGACCTGAGAATGAGCCCACCCAGCCTGGTGGTGCCTGTGCACATTGTCTGGGAGCCTGGGGATTAATCCACCATGCCTATCACCATCAAGTACCTGTGTGTCTCCTGAGAGCCTAAGGATAGGACTTCCCAGCCTGCCATCACCACTGCCACCAGTGCCCACATATTTGCACCAAGTGAAAGCCTGAGGACTACTCTGTCCGTCATGTTGCCACGACTGCTGGTGTCTGCACATGCCATCTGGGGTCACAAGAGTTCACCTGCTATGAATACTGCAATTGCTGATGCTACACATGCCTCTCAGCGTCTTGAGGGCATGCCTATCTACCTAGCTCACCACTGTCACTGCTGGCACTTGAGAAAGCCACCTGACTCACACCTGTAATCCCAGCACTTTGGAAGGCTGAGGGGGGCAGATCACCTGAGGTCGGGAGTTCAAGACCAGCCTGACCAACATGGAGAAACTCCATCTCTACTAAAAAAAAAAAAAAATACAAAATTAGCCGGGCATGGAGGCGCATGCTTGTAATCCCAGCTACTCGGGAGGCTGAGGCAGTAGAATTGCTTGAATCTGGGAGGCGGAGGTTGCAGTGAGCTGAGATCATGCCATTGCACTCCAGCCTGGGCAACAAGAGCAGAACTCCATCTCAAAAAAAAAAAAAAAAAAAAAAAAAAAAGCCACCTGAAGGCCCAAGGATGGCCTGCCTGAAACTTCAACCACTAGTGCCCACGTTCATCACCCACAAGTTCAAAGACCAATGCAACTGGTGCCCAAGGACCAAACTGCCTGGCCTGTCTTTCCCCAGCAAAATCTCACCACAGCCTCCATTAACAACGAAGGCTAAGACACTGAGGAGCTCACAGACATCAGTGATGCTGATTATAGCTGAAGATATCATAGAAGTCTAAACTACTGAACCAACCCAGAACTAAAGGCAAAGTGTCTTACTGATTCAACAGTATAGATACAGCTACAGAAGTCAGTCTTTTACTACCAAAGCCAATCTATAAAATTAGAAGAAGCAACTGTTTTACCAGATATTCAAATATCAATGTAAGGACATAAGAAACATTGAAGAGCAAGGAAACATAGCATCTCTGAAGGAAAACCAATAATTCTTCAGCAACAGATTTCAATCAAACAAATCCATAAAATGAGTGAAAAGGAATTTAACAGCTGAAATTGAATAATTCAATAAATAAAATAAATAATACAATTTGAGAACCTCAACAATAGACTAGATTAAGAAGATGAAAGAATTTCTAAACATAAAGATCGGTCTTCATATGCAGGATTAAAGATTAAAGACTGAAGTGTGAAACACAAAACTATAAAAATCCTGGAAGACAACCTAGGCAATACCATTCAGGACATAGGCACGGGCAAAGATTTTATAACAATGACACCAAAAGCAATTGTGACAAAAGCAAAAATTGACGAATGGGATGTAATTAAAGTAAAGAGCTTCTGGACAGCAAAAGAAACTATTAACAGAGCAAAAAGACAACCTGCAGAATGGGAGAACATTTTTGCAAGCTATGCATTCGACAAAGATCCAATATACAGCATCTACAAGGAACTTAAACAAATTTACAAAAAAAAAAAACTTTAAAAAGTAGGCAAAGACATGAACAGACACTTCTCAAAAGAAGACACACATGCTGCCAATAATCTTATGAAAAAAAAAGCTCAAGCGTCATGAGGGATTATGACAGACAGGAGGCAGAACTAGATGGCAGCTCTGGACAGAGCAGCATGCGGAGGCTTGCATTGTGAATTTTAGCTCCAGATGGACTGCAAGAGCAGACCAGCAATCCTGACAGGACCCACAGACCCTCCGAAGGAAGCAGACTGCTCTTGCAGGACCTGGGAGACACCCCAAATACTTTAAGTCCCCTAACCACGGAAATGGGAAAGGGAGACCCTCGTCTCATGAACACACACCCGCACTGGAGAAGCTGAAAGTCTGTTTGTGGGAGAAGTTCCTCACTTCACCTGGAGCTGAGTCAAGTTAGAGAGCCGAGCTGAGCAACATACAGGAGTAGAGGAAGTAGCACAAAGGCACTGGAAGGCCGCTGGATCCCCAAGTAGCCCATTCCTGCCTGGCACCACAGGCATCCATCAGGAGGGTGGCCAGAGGAGCAGGGGGTAAAACTTCACAGGGAGAAGGACTTCTCTAGCTGAACTTTGTAAAAAATTGAATGCGGCAAGAAGCCTCCTGGCCAGAACTCGGGGGAGGGCGTGAATCCGGCTTGCAGACTTCACAGGCGGGGTAAGAACTGAGGCCCATTTCTTTGTCAGTCGGGAGGTAGAAAGCCTCAGATAAGTTTTCAAGCCAAATTCGCCTTTGGCCTGGAAACAGACTCCGGGCTATCGCAAGGGGCATTGTGGGAGTGAGACCCGCCTTTCAGCGTGCCTGGAAGCTAGCTTTCCCCCACTTCCCTGACAACCTGCATGACTCAGCAGAGGCAGCCATAATCCTTCTAGGTACACAACTCCAGTGACCTGGGAATCTCACCTCCATCCCCCACAGCAGCCAAAATAAGACCCCCCCAAGGAGAGTCTGAGCTCAGGCACGCCTAGCCCTGCCCCCACCTGATGGTCCTTCCATATCCACCCTGGTAGCAGAAGACAAAGAACATATGATCTTTGGAGTTCTGGAGCCCTGCCCACCACTGGTCCCTCTCCACAGTGTCCGGAATTGGTGGGTTCTTGGTCTCGCTGAGTTTAAGAATGAAGCCGCAGACCCTCCTGGTGAGTGTTAACAGTTCTTAAAGATGGTGTGTCCAGAGTTGCTCATTCCTCCCAGTGGGTTCATGGTCTGGCTGGCCTCAGAAGTGAAGTTGCAGACCTTTGCAGTGAGTGTTACAGCTCTTAAAAGTGGCGTGGACCAAAAGGTGAGCAGCAGCAAGCTATACTGCAAAAAGCGAAAGAACAAAGTTCCCACATCATGGAAGGGGACCCAACCCTGTTGAGCTGTGGGCTCTGGTGGCCTGCTTTTATTCCCTTGTCTGGCCCCACCCACATCCTGCTGATTGGTCCATTTTACAGAGAGCTGATTGGTCCGTTTTGACAGAGTGCTGACTGGTGCATTTACAAACCTTTAGCTAGACACAGAGTGCTGATTGGTGCATTTACAATCCTTTAGCTGGACACAAAAGTTCTTCAAGTCCCCCACCAGATTAGCTAGACCCAGAGAGCTGATTGGTGCGTTTACAAAGTTTTAGTTAGACACAGAGTGCTGATTGGTGCATTTACAATCCTTTAGCTAGACACAAAAGATCTCCAAGTCCCCAGCCGGCCCAGAAGCCCAGCCGGCTTCACCTCTTGATGGCACTCGCCAGACAGGACTTTGCAGCACCCAGCCCTGGCACTCCAGCAGCCTAGAGAGAGCTCATCCCCTGGTCAAGCCCAGCAGGCACTGGCCAGCCGCCCCAAGTGTGGGGCCCGCTGAGCCCGCGCCCACCCTGAACCTGCACCAGCCCACAAGGGCCACACACAGCCCCGGCTCCCACCAGGGCCTCTCCCTCCACAACCTGCGAGCAGAGGGAGCCAGCTCCGGCCTTGAACAGCCCCAGAGAGGGGCCCCCACAGTGCAGCGGCGGGCTGAATGGCTCCTTGAGTGCAACCAGAGTGGACATCGAGGCCAAGGAAGTGCTGAGAGCCAGCGAGGGCTGCTAGCATGTTGTCATCTCTCAACACTACTACAGCGCATGCTTCCTGGAAAGCGCCACCTCCCAGCAGGAGGCCCATCAGCACAAAAAATAGAGCCTTAAACCACCAAAATGGTGGAGGCAGTTTGAAAAACAGGTGGGCAGTTCTTAAAGAATGAAAAATAGAGTTACCGTATAACCCAGCAATTCCACTCTTAGGTATATACTTAAGAAAATAGTTTGTACCTAAGAGTTGAAAAATTCTCAGTGAATTCTCATAGCAGCATTATTCATAATAGCAAAAAAGCTGAAATAACCCAAATGCCCATCAGCTGATAAATATATAAACACAATGTGGTATATTTATATAATACAGTAATATTTATTGATAGAAGGAATGAAATAGCTATATATCCTACAACTTGGATGACCTTGAAAAATTATGCTAAGTTATGGAAGGCAGACACAAATGGGTATATATTTTATAATTCTAGTTATGTAATGTCCAGAATAGTCAAATCTATAGGGATAGAAAACAAATTAGTAGTTTCTGGGGATTAGAGAAGGAGTTTCTTTTTGGGGTGATGGAAAGGTTTTGGAATTAAATAGTGGTGATGGCTGCACAACATTGTAAATATACTAACATCTATTAAATTAAACAAATCAAAATGGTTAAAATAGTGAATATTTTGTTATGTGAACATTATCTTAATAAAAATTGTTTTGATAAATGTGATGTTTTGGAGTGTCCCTTTTTATTTGTTTTGTTAGAAGAGGTTGGATATAATTACAATTTTTTAAATTTCTGAAATGTTGTTGAAAATATAAGTTAAGTGCCCTCTTTTTTGGGAGGTTATTGATTACAGAATTAGTTGTTTTATTGATTACAGAATTATTTGCTTTATTAATTCAGGAAAACATTCTTATTTTCTGTTTCATCTTGAGTTAATTTTGTCAAGTTTCTTTAATGGTTTTGCATATTTAAAGGTGCTTCCTTTTTTCCTGTTATTTTTATTTGTGCATTTTATTTTCTTTGTAATTCATACTGCAAAGACTGAGATGTTTCGGTTTTCTATTATTATTTTCTTCTGAGATCAGATGAGATCAGGAGTGTTCATGATGGTATTGCCAAAGACTCACCATTATTATTTTCTAATATCAGCATTTATGACTCTGAATTTCCTCTTGAATATTGTACCAATGGAATCCAAAAAGTTTTAATAAGTAATATTTTAATTTCAATATATTTTATTCACTAAGATTTTTTTCTTCAATCAACTGGGTTTTAGAACCGTTTCTTATAATTTCATATCAGTGTGATAAATGAACACTTTCTGTAGAGTGTCAGTTATTTGACTTTGTTAAGATTTGGCATGTAGAACAAATCGTTATATGGTCAATATTTGTGCATATTCAATATGTCCTATTAAAATTGTATTCTGTAGTTGTTGAAGTTCTTTGTAATTATTCACTTCATAAAAATAGTAAATTTTTATTAACATCCAATGTATTGTTAATGTTTAAAGTCTTCTTTCTTTGAATGACTAAGAAAAATAAGTTATAATCTCCCGCTATAGTTCGGAATTTTTTCATTTTTCCTTGTAGGTTGCTTAATTTTTGTTTTATAAATTTGATGCTATGTTATTTAAGTGCACATGTTTTGATGTATATATTTTCCTGGTACCACACTGTTTTGGTGACTATGATCTTATAGTACAGTGTGAAATCAGATAGTATGATGCCTCCAGATTTGTTCTTTTTGCTTAGTCTTGCTTTGGATATGTGGGCTCTTTTTTGGTTCCATATGAATTTTAGGATTGTTTTTTCTAACTCTGAAGAATGATGGTGGTGTTTTGATGACCACCATCCAGTAGTACAAGTAATTTCTTGTACTACTTTTTTTTTATTTTTTCATTTTGCTTTAAGTTCTGGGATACAAGTGCAAAACGTGTAGGTTTGTTTCAAGGTTTACCTGTGCCCTGGTGGTTTGCTGCTCCTACCAAACCCTCATTTAGGTTTTAAGCTCCACATGCATGAGCTATTTATCCTAATGCTCTCCCTCCCCTCCTCCCCATCCCCTGACTGGCCCTGGTGTGTGTTATTCCCCTTCCTGTGTCCGTGTGTTCTCATTGTTCAACTCCCACTTATGAGTGAGAACATGTGGTGTTAGTTTTTCTGTTCCTGTGTTAGTTTGCTGAGGATGATGACTTCCAGCTTCATCCATGTCCCTGCAAAGGACATGATCTCATTCCTTTTTATGGCTGCATAGTATTCCATGGTGTATATTTACCACATTTTCTTTACCAGTCTATCACTGATAGGCATTTGTGTTGGTTACATGTCTTTGCTATTGTAAATAGTGCTGTAATAAATATACATGTGTTTCTGTCTTTACAGTAGAATGACTTATGATTCCTTTGGGTATATGCCCAGTAATGGGATTGCTGGGATAAATGGTATTTCTGGTTCTAGATCTTTGAAGAATCGCCACACTGTCTTCTACAATGGTTGATCTGATTTACATTCCCACCAACAGTGTAAAAGCATTCCCATTTCTCCAGAGCATCACCAGCATCTATTGCTTCTTGACTTTTTAATAATCACCATTCTGACTGGCATGAGATAGTATCTCATTGTGGTTTTGATTTGCATTTCTTTAATAATCAGTGATGTTGAGCTTTTTTTTATATGTTTGTTGGCCTCATAAATGTCTTCTTTTGAGAAGTGTCTGTTCATATTCTTTGCCCACTTTTTAATGGGGTTGCTTTTTCTTGTAAATTTGTTTAAGCTCCTTGTAGATTCTGGATATTAGACCTTTGTCAGATGGGTGGATTGCAAAAATTTTCTCCCATTCTGTAGGTTTCCTGTTCACTCTGATGATAGTTTCTTTTGCTGTGTAGAAGCTCTTTAGCTTAATTAGATCCCATTTGTCAATTTTGACTTTTGTTGCAAATGCTTTTGGCATTTTCGTCATGAAGTCTTTGCCCATGCCTGTGTCCTGAATGGTATTGCCTAGGTTTTCTCCTAGAATTTTTATGGTTTTGGGTTTTACATTTAAGTCTTTAATCCATCTCTTGAGTTAAATTTTGTATGAGGTGTAAGGAAGCGTCCAGTTTTAATTTTCTGAATATGGCTAGCCAGTTTTCCCATCACCATTTATTAGAAAGGGAATCACATCGTCTGCAAACAGAGACAATATGACTTCCTCTCTTCCTATTTGAATACTTTTATTTCTTTCTCTTGCCTGATTGCCCTGGCCAGAAATTCCAATACTATGTTGAACAGGAGCGGTGAGAGAGGGCATCCTTTTCTTGTGCTGGTTTTCCATCTCTGGTAGAATTCAGCTCTGAATCAGTCTGGTCCTGGACTTTTATTGGGTGGTAGACTATTAATTACTGTCTCAATTTCACAGCTTCTTATTGGTCTATTCAGGGATTCACCTTCATCCTGGTTTAGTCTTGAGAGGGTGTATATGTCCTGGAATTTATCCATTTCTTCTAGGTTTTCTAGTTTATTTGCATAGAGATATTTATAGTATTCTCTAGTGATAGTTTGTATTTCTATAGTGTCAGTGGTGATATCCCCTTTATCATTTTTATTGTGTTTATTTGATTCTCCTCTCTTTTCTTCTTTATTAGTCTAGCTAGTGCTCTATTTTGTTAATTTCTTCAAGAAATCAACTTGTAGATTAATTGATTTCTTGAAGTGTTTTTTGTATCTCTATCTCCTTCAGTTCTGCTCTGATTATAGTTATTTCTTGCCTTCTGCTAGCTTTTGGACTTGTTTGCTGTTGCTTCTCTAGCTCTTCTAATTGTGATGTTAGGGTGTCATTTTTGAAATCTTTCTAGCTTTCTGATGTGGGCATTTAGTGCTATAAATTTCCCTCTTAACACTGCTTTAGCTGTGTCCTAGAGATTCTGGTACGTTGTCTTTGTTCTCATTGGTTTCAAATAACTTCTTGATTTCTGCCTTAATTTCATTATTTACGCAGGAGTCATTCAGGAGCGGGTTGTTCAATTTCCATGTAGTTGTGTGGTTTTGAGTGAGTTTCTTCATCCTGAATTCTAATTTGATTGCACTGTGGTCTGAGAGACCGTTTGTTATATTTTCAGTTCTTTTGCATTTTCTGACGAGTGTTTTACTTCCAACTGTGCAGTCAATTTTAGAATATGTGTCATGTGGCACTGATTAGAATATATATTATGTTGATCTGGGGTGGAGAGTTCTGTAGTTGTCTATTAAGTCCACTTGATCCAGAGCTTAGTTCAATTCCTGCATATCTTTGTTAATTTTCTGTCTTGTTGATCTAATATTGACAGTGGGGTGTTAAAGTCTCCCATTATTATTTTGCGGGAGTCTAAGCCTCTTTGTAGGTGTCTAAGAATTTGTTTTATGAATCTAGGTGCTCCTGTATTGGGTGCATATATATTTAGGATAGTTAGCTCTTCTTGTTGAATTGATCCCTTTGTCATTATGTAATGCTCTTCTTTGTCTTTTTTTATCTTTGTTGGTTTAAACTCTGATTTGTCAGGGACTAGGATTGCAACCCTTGCTCATTTTTTCTGGGATTACAGGCATCGGCCACCATGCCCAGCTAATTTTCTATTTTTGATACACACAGGATTTCTCCATGTTGGTCAGGCTGCTCTCGAACTCCTGACCTCAGGTGATCCGCCCGCTTCGGCCTCCCAAAGTGCTGGGATTACAGGTGAGCAACTGGGCCCAACCTAAATCACATCTCATCTTTATACACTGTATGATCACCAACATAGGTTTATATTTATTGCTTTATGCATTGACTTTCTTTTTATTGTATTTAAGATATACAATATTATATTTGTGTATATATACATATACATATATACTTAGGGCAATGATTGCCATAATCAAGCAAATTAACATATCCATCATCTCACATAGTTACTTTTTTGTGGTAAAAGTATCTAAAATCTACTCTGGGCAAATTTCTGGAGTATGATACATTATTAACTACAGCTCTTGTGTTGTACATGAGATCTCTAGGGTTATTTATTTTATGTAGCTGAAACTTGTACCCTTTGGCTTTCATCTTCCATCTTCCACACACCTCCCACCTCTTTCTAACCTTTCTATTTCTTAGGGCTTTTGTGGGGCTTTTTTGTTTAGGGTCTACCTACAAATGAGATAATGCAGTATTTTTCTTTCTGTGCCTGATTTATTATTAGCATAATGTCTTCTAGGTTCATCCATGTTGATGCAAATGAAAGAAACTTCTTTACAAAACTGAGTGATATTTTATTATGTATATAATTCCTTTATCCATCTGTTCATAAACACTTAGGTTTTTTCAATAGCTTGGGTATTGTGAGTAATGCTGCAATGTGATGTGCAGTTGTTTTTAAATCAGAAGAAAAGAGGATATTGCTTATATATACTAAAGTTACCTTTATTAAAGTTATACACACACTCTCACCAGCATTTTTACTCCTTTATGTGTTTGAAATTACTATATAATGTTCTTTCATTTCAGCCCAAATAACTCCTCATAGAATTTTTTGTCATCCCACTGCATTCTTAAAAGAGGTCAGCTGTAAATTTACTGTGAATCACTAATAACTGATCTTCCCTTATCTGCAATTTTACTTTCCATGGCTTCAGTTACCTATGGTCAACTTTCACCTGAAAATATTAAGTGGAAAATTTCAGAAATAAACAATTTTCAGTTGCATGCCGTTCGAGTAGCATGATGAAATCTCATGCTATCTGGCTTCATCTCACTTGGGATGTGAACCATTCCTTTGTCCGGAATATTCATCCTGTATATGCTACTGACCCATTAGTCAATTAGCACCTGTCCTGGTTATCAGATTGACTGTTACACTATCACAGTCCTGTATGCAAGTAACCCTAATTTTACTTAATAATGGCCCCAAAATGCAAGAGTACTCCCCCTAATTTATATATTAAAATTATCAAATTTTAAACTTTGATTAAATGTTATTGTAAGTATGTATTAAAAAACATAATATGTGTATGATTCAATACTATCCATGGTTTCAGGCATTCACTAGGAGTTTTGAAATGTATCCCTCATGGATATGAAGGAACTACTATAAATGATAAGTCTCTTCTCTCCTACTGTTTTCAAGATTTACTCTTTGGCTTTGGATTTGAGCCATTTGGTTATGATATGTCTTCAGGTGGTCTCTTTGAGTTTATCCATCTGGAGTACATTGAGCTTATTGTACATGTAGATTAAATTTTTCATAAAATTTGGTAAGTATTAGACAATTATATCTTCAAATATATTTTCTGTACCTTTCTCTCTCTCTTTTCTTTTTGGAATTTCCATTATGCATATGTTGATATCTTGAGGGTGTTCCACAGTTCTATTAGGCTCCATTTATTATTCTTCATTCTTTTCTCTAACTGAGATTTTCTCTAAATGGGTAATCTCAATTGACCTATTTTCATGTTCACTAATTTTTTGTACCTCCTCAAATCTGCTGTTTAGCCCTCTAGAGCATTTTTCATTTCCATTACTTTATCTTTCAACTCCAGAATTTCTATTTGATTTCTATTTAAAAGAACATTATAAAATAAATAATTTTTTAAAAAAAATTATTGATAGTCTCTATTTTGTGAGATATCATTCTCATGTTTTTTTAAAAAAATTGTCTCTTATTGATATTCTCTATTTTTGTGAGATATCATTCTCAGGTTTCTCTTTAGTTCTTTAGATGTCGTTTCCTTTAGCTCTTTGAACATATCTAAAATAGTTGATTTAAAGTCTGATTCTATTAAGGCCAATGTCTGGATCTCCTCAGGGGTAGTTTTTATTAACTGCATTTTTTCTTTTCCATGTGCCATACTTTCTTCAGTTTTTTTTTTTTTTTTTTTTTTTTTTTTTGTATATCTCCTACTTTTTTTGAATACCAGATATTTCAAACATGATAAAGTGGACACTCTAGAAATAAGATTCTCCCTCCTCCCCACGTTGTACTCCTCGTTGTAGTTATTTGTTTGTTTAGTATCTTTTCTGAATAAACTTTGTGGTCTCTATTTTTTGTCACCTATGTAGATTAAAATATTTTTTCCATTAGCTTAGAGGTCAGCTAATAATTTGACAAAGATTTCCATATGTGCTTGGAACTTGCAGAGGGGCTTTGTGTATGTGTTGGGCCCTGCTTTCAACACTCAGCCAGACAGTTTTCAACTCTGTTTGGCCTACATTTTCTGCTTGTGCAGGGAAGGTAGAAATTTCCCAGGTTTTTACTGAACATGCACACAGCCTTGACATACACAGTTTGCAAATTCTCAGAAATATGTTGAAGCTTTTCAAAGCCCATATTCCCCAAAGCATCTCATTCCCAGTACTTTCTCTCAAGATTTTTGTTTAGTCTATTGTTTTCCCCAGTGTTCAGGCAGCAGTATTTATAATGTTTTTCAATAAATGTTTTCTAACACCGGCCCACACCAAGTAGCAGCTTTACCACTGCGTGAAGTCCAGATTAGGTGAAAAAACAAGGCTTTTGAGAATATATTTGAGGGAGTCAACAGGCAGATCAATTTTTCATGAATGAGGTCCATTCTGTTTTTCTGGCACTGGTATTAAGAATCTGGGCATTATTTTCAAGCCTGCTGCTTCTCTGAGAAGAATGGAAACAGGGTAAGTGAAAAACCACAAATCGATATTCTTACTGAGATGAGATATTTTGCTAGAATTAGCACTCCCTAGATTGCTAAAAACCTTAGGTTAGTTTTCAGAGTTCTAAAAAGCTTTATTTTGACAGTTGTTGCCAGTTTTCTAGTATATTTTATAAAGAGATAAAATTTTGAACATTTTTATTCCATTTTTGCTGATGTCACTACACCACAACCTTTTTATTAAACTATTTGTACCATAAAATTTATTCATTATACTATTATTATTACTTATTAGTCACAACAATTCCCAATATTAAAAATGAAGGACATTAAAATTCTGGCAGTTTTAGTCAAGAGCATAATGGATTGAACCAAGTAAAACTGACATTTTTGAAACTGAAAAAAATTATAGCTACAGTGGCACATTGTATTTTTCAAAAATGCGTTTCCAAAAGTTGTAGTTTTCTAAAAATATGTATTCCATCTCACAAGAACTTTTTATAATGTAACATTGATAATCCTCCACTGAGAGGTGAAGTCTATGTTCCCTCTGCTTGATCTGAGGCAAACCTTTGTAACTGCCTTAACTAATAAATACAGTGCAGACGATGCTTTCTGACTTCTCATGCTACATAATAAAAGGTTATATGACTTCTGTTTGTATCTCCCTCTCCAGAACCACTAGTTGAAAGACTGGAAATCTTAGCCAGAGCAATCAGGTAAGAGAAAGAAATAAAAGGCATCCAACTAGAAACAGAGGAAGTCAAACTATCTCTCTTCAGAGATGATATGACTCTATAATGAGAAATTTCCATAGTCTCTGCCCAAAGGCCATAGACCTGATAATCAGTAAAGTTTAGGGATGCAAAATCAATGTATAAAAAATCAATATCATTTCTATACACCAAGCTGCGAGCCACACCAAGAACAAAATCCCATTAATAACAGCTGGAAGAAAAAATAAAAATACCTAGGAATACAGCTAACCAGGATGATGAAAGATCTCTAAGTGAGAATTATAAAACAATGCTGAAAGAAATCAGGGATGACACAAACAAATGAAAAAACATTCTATGCTCATGGATAGGAAGAATCAATATTGTTAAAATGGCCATACTGCTCAAAGCAATTTACGGATTCAGTGCTATTCCTATCAAACTATTAATGACATGTTTACAGAGTTGGAAAAACTATTTTAAAACTCATATGAGACCAAAAAAAAAAAAAAAGAGTCTGATGAGTGAAAGTAATCCTAAGCAAAAAAGAACAACACTGGAGGCATCACACTACCTGACTTCAAACTATAAGACAAAGTTGCAGAAACCAAAACAACATGGGACTGGTACAAAAGCAGACACATGGACCATCGGAACAGAATCTCTATTCCAGAGATAAAGATTGCTGTAACACAGAAATAAAGCTGCACACCTATAAACATCTGCTCTTTGACAAAGTTGACAAAAATAAACAATGGGGAAAAGACTCCCTGTTCAATAAATGGTGCTGAGATAGCTGGCTAGCCATATGTAGAAGGATAAAACTGAATGCCTACCTTTCACCATATACAAAAAACTAACTCAAGATGGATTGAAGATTTCAATGTAAGACCTCAAACTATAAGAATTCTAGAAGAAAATCTAGGAAACATCATTTTTGACATTGGCCTTGGGAAATAATGCATGACTAAGTCCTCAAAAGCAACTGCAACAAAAACAAAAATTGACAAGTGCAGCCAAATTAAACTAAAGAGCTTCTGCAGAGAAAAAAAAAAACTATTAACAGAGTAAACAGCAAACTACAGAATGGGAGAAAATATTTGCAAACCATGCATCTGACAAAAGTCTAATATCCAGAATCTATAAGGAATTTAAGTCAACAAGCAAAAACTGAAACCTTTATTTAAAAATTTGGAAAACATGGACACTTCTCAAAAACAGACATACAGAGAGACACCCAACATATTTTTAAAAATGCCCAATATCACTAATAACTAGAGAAATGCAAATCAAAACCACAATAAGATCCCCTCTCACACCAGTCAGAATAGATATTATTAAGTCAAAAAATAACAGACCCTGGTGAGGCTTTGGAGAAAAGGGAATGCTTATACACTGTTAGCACAAATATAAATTAGTTCAGCTATAGTGGAAAGTAGCCTGAAGATTTCTCAAAACACTTAAAATAGAAGCACTATTTGACACAGCAATCCCATTACTTAGTATATATCTAAAGGAATATCAATTATTCCACCATAAAGATACATGCATGTGTATGTTCATTGCAGCATTATTCACAATAGTAAAGACATGGAATCAACCTAGATGCCCATCAACAGTGGACTAGATAAAGAAAATATGGCATATATGCGCCACAGAATACTATGCAGCCATGAAAAAGAAAAATCATGTCCCTTGCAGCAGCATGGATGCAGCTGGAGGCCATTATTCTAACCAAATTAACACAGAAACAGAAAGCCAAATACCATATAATCTTACTTAAAAGTGGAAGCTATTGGGAGGCTGAGGCAGGCAGATCACGAGGTCAGGAGATTGAGACCATCCTGGCTAACATGGTGAAACCCTGTCTCTACTAAAAATACAAAAAATTAGCTGTGCCTGGTGGCACACACCTGTAGTACCAGCTACTCAGGAAGCTGAGGCAGGAGAATCGCTTGGACCTAGGAGGCGGAGATTGCAGTGAGCCGAGATCATGCCGCTGCCCTCCAGCCTGGGCAACAGAGCAAGATTCTGTCTCAAAAAAAAAAAAAAAAGTGGAAGCTAAACACTGAATACACAGAGACACAAAGAAGGGAACAACAGACACTAAGGCCTACCTGGGGATGGAGGGTGGGAGGAGGGTGAGGATTGAAAATCTACCTATTGAGTAATATGCTGAATACCTGGGAAAATTATCTGTATACTAAACCCCCAGGACACACAATTTATCCATGTAACAAACCTGCGCATGAACCACTTGAATTAGTTACATAAACAAGAATGAGGGCATAAAAAAAAAAAGACTTAGCGCCTTTGTCAAAATCACTGAGCATGGATAAATATATATGGTCTTACCCATATACAGACCATTCATATGATGGTCTTATCCTTGACTCTCTATTATGTTCTGTTGAACTATATGTCTCTCCTTATTCCAGTATCACAGTGTCTTTATTATTGTAGCTTTGTCTTGAAACAAGGTAGTCTAAATTCTCGGGCTTTGTTCTACTTTTCCAAAAATATTTTGAATATTAGTCTTTTGGAACATTTATGCAAACCTAAAATTATTAAGGCATAAATTATTAATGAAGAAATAAATTAGCAAATGCTCATAAATACATCAGCTAACATGAAAATGATCAAAAGTAGTCAAATAAATGCTATATAAAAGTTATATTATATATGTATATAGAATTTTTCAAAAAAGACTGACACGATATATGAAAGTTTACAAATTTAAAAAAATATCAATTCAGGGAAGTATGCCAATAAGAAATTGAACAGAAGGCATATTTGTTTTGGGTAAGTTGGATTTTGGTCAATTGATTCTTGATTAAAGGCATGCTCTTAAGCTTTCAATATCTTGTTGCTATGTGGTGGGTTAGGGTGAAAGGTTAGGGGAATCTGTTTAAGGTATAGGCTCAGAGTCTTTTGACAGGAGCTGCGCACTTTACTCTGTCTTTTATCTTTCAACTGTCCTGATCTTACTTGTCTTGTTGTATGAGATAATTATACAAAGGATCCATAACGATGAAAAAATATTTGTTTTCAATGTGAATTAAATTTCTCCACCTTTCAGATGTGATTAAGAACACCTCAGGGCCGGCCACAGTGGCTCACGCCTTGTAATCCCAGCACTTTGGGAGGCCGAGGCCGGCGGATCACGAGGTCAGGAGATGGAGACCATCCTGGCTAACATGGTGAAACCCCGTCTCTACTAAAAATACAAAAAATTAGCCGGGCGTGGTGGCGGGCGCCTGTAGTCCCAGCTACTGGGGAGGCTGAGGTAGGAGAATGGCGTGAACCTGGGAGGCGGAGCTTGCAGTGAGCCGAGATCACGCCACCGCACTCCAGCCTGCAGCCTGGGCAACAGAGCGAGACTCCGTCTCAAAAAAAAAAAAAAAAAAAAAGTAGCTTTTCATGAATGGACCTTAGACAATACTCTTGTCCCTCTTGCAAAAAAAAAAAAAAAAAACAAAAAAAAACAGTGTATTATGGAAATGTTTCCTTACAAGCCCTAGGACTTTTGCAA
Source organism: Homo sapiens (assembly GCF_000001405.40). Taxonomy (NCBI): domain Eukaryota; kingdom Metazoa; phylum Chordata; class Mammalia; order Primates; family Hominidae; genus Homo; species Homo sapiens. The sequence continues at coordinate 9,421,992 of NC_000004.12, forward strand.
TAAGGATGTTCTGTACCCACATGGCTTTACTTCTTGGCCCCATTCAAAGAAGAAAATTAACTAAAGGTATTAATTAACCTCTGGTGAAATTGAGAGCCATAGAAAAAGGAAAGGGTTAGCCATCTGGTTTCCTACAATTAGGTTAATTTGTCACCAAATTTAGAGACCTTCGAGTTTGGAAATATTCCAACGGAAGCTGTTTTATTTCCTTTCTGTTAAGCTTCACTGAGCAAGAGGAACCTCAGGCCCCCAGAATTAAATAAAAGCCCCTGTGTTCCACCAGCCCTGATCACTCACCTCTCTATTGGGCACTCAACCACGAAACTCCATTCCCTTATTTCTGTTCTCCTCCTCTTTGTGACTTTAATACCAAAAGCTAAGATGGTGAATGATTGTAGAAGTCTATTGCGACGCCTAGACCGGAGGAGGTCTACTGAGATAATTATACTGTGGCCATCCTAACTCAGACCCCAATTCACAGCCTTAGGAATTCAGAAATCCAACATGTTTCTCTTCTTTGGTACTAATGAGGCCACAGTTGAGAAGCAGGACAAGGAGTTCTTTCAACAGAAAATGGGGGTTCAAGAGCTCGATAATTAGGAAATGGGGCCGAAATAGAGTTAGGGGTATAGAAGCTTTGATATGTGATTTAAAGGTTAGTAAATAAAGCAAAGAGCTATCACCAAGGCTTCACTCTCCAAAAAGGAGAGTGAAGATGATAGTTCTTGGTTCGAACTCGGTAGTGGATGGAAGTGATGTTGAGTCTATTGGTGAGGAATATTTGTGAAGGGTAGCAGTTAGGCAAATAAGATAGAGTTCAACAAGAAAATTTTACATCTACTTATAAAAGACCAATAGAAATTTGGGAGCAAGGGAATTTGGAAAAGAATAAACAGTGGCATGAAGCTTTAATGGCAAAATTTTAAGCATAAGACAAACAGTACAGAAAACACTTCAAGACTCGTAGTTGCATCCTCAGGGTCCATGATTCAGAAGTTTAAATATCAAAATGTAGAATCAAACAGAAAAGGGAATAAAGAATCATACATCTTCAGGGTGTTTCATCCAGATCCTGATAAGATATGATAAAATTATTATCTCCACTCTTAATAGTGGGATGTTCATATCCCCCAAAATAAAGTGTGTGGTCAATGAGCAAAGATCTCTTCCTCCCTTTATCTCTGAGATTATTTTTTAAATAATTCCAACTTATATTGTAGATTCAGGGGGTACATGTGCAGGTTTGTTATGTTGGTATATTTTGTGATGTGAGGTTTGGGGCATGATGGTAATCCCATCATTCAGGTAGTGAGCATAGTACCAAATAGTTTTTCAATCCTTGTTTTCCTCCCTCCCCACTCTAGTAGTCTCCAATGTCCCATCTTTAAGTCCATGAGTATCAAATGTTTAGCTCCCACTTATAAGTGAGAACATGCAGTATTTGGTTTTCTATTTCTGCATTAATTTGCAGTCCTCCAGATCATCCATGTTGCTACAAAGGATATGATTTTGTTCTTTTTTATGGCTTCATAGTATTCCATGGTCTATATGTACCACATTTTCTTTATCCAGTCCACCATTAATGAGCACCTGGGTTGATTCTTTGTCTTTACTATTGTGAGTAGTTCTGTGACGAACATAGGAGTGCAGGTATGTTTTGGGTAGAATTATTTGTTTTCTTTTGGACGATATACCCAGTAATGGAATTGCTGGGTGGAATGGTAGCTCTGTTTTAAGTTCTTTGAGAAATCTTCAGACTGCTTTCCACAGTGGCTGAACTAATTTACATTCCCACCAACAGTGTATAAGCACTCCTTTTCTCCACAGTTTCATCTGCATTTCTGTTATTTTTTGACTTTTTAATAATAGCCATTCTCACTGGTGTAAGATAGTTCTCATTGTGGTTTTGATTTGTATTTCTCTAGTGATTAGTGATGTTGAGCTATTTTTCATGTTTGCTGGCTGCTTCTATGTCTTCTTTTGAGAAGAGACTGTTCATGTTTTTCATGTCTTTTCCCCACTTTATTTGTTTTTTGCTTGTTGATTTAAATTCCCTGTAGATTCCGGATATTAAATTTTTGTCAGATGCATAGTTAGCAAATATTTTCTCCCATTCTGTTGTTTTCTGTTTACCCTGTTAATAGTTTCTTTTTCTCTGCAGAAGCTCTTTAGTTTAATTCGGCTCTAGTTGTCAACTTTTGTTTTTGTTGCAATTGCTTTTGAGTACCTAGTCATAAATTATTTCCCAAGGCCAATATCTAGAATGGTGTTTCTTAGGTTTTCTTCTAGGATTCTTATAGTTTGAGGTCTTACATTTAAATATTTAATCCATCATGAGTTAATTTTTTGTATATGGTGAAAGATAGGCATCCAGTTTTATTCTTCTGCTTATGGCTGGCCAGGTATCCCAGCACCATTTATTGAACAGGGAGTCCTTTCCCCGTTGCTTATTTTTGTCAACTGTGTCAAAGAGCAGATGGTTATAAATGTGCGGCTTTATTTCTGGGTTCTCTATTCTGTTCCAGTGGTTCATGTGCCTGCTTTTGTACCAGTCCCATGCCATTTTAGTTACTGTAGCCTTACAGTATGATTTGAAGTCAAGTAGGATGATGCCTCCAGTGTTGTTCTTTTTGCTTAGGATTATTTTGTTTGTCTGAGTTCTTTTACGGTTTCATATGAATTTTAGAATAGTGTTTTCTATTCTGTGAAAAATGTCATTGGTAGTTTGATAGGAATAGCACTGAATCTATAAATTGCTTTGGGCAGTATGGCCATTTTCACAATATTCATTCTTCCAATCCACAGCAGGGAATATTTTTCTATTTGTGTCATCTGTGATTTCTTTCAGTAGTGATTTTTAGTGTCACTTGTAGCGATGTTTCAACTCCTTGGTTAAATTTATTCATGGGTATTTATTTTTTTGTGTGGCTATTGGAAATGGGATTGTATTCTTGACTTGGCTCTCGGGTTGAACATTATTGGTGTATAGAAAGGCTACTGATCTTGTACATTGATGTTGCATCCTGAAACTTTACTAAAGTTGTCTATCAGGTCCAGGAGGCTTTCAAATAATCTTTAGGGTTTCTTAAGTGTAGAATAATATCATCAATAAAACGAGGTAATTTGATTTCTTCTTTTCCGATTTGGATGCCTTTTATTTCAAAATGCTGATTGCTCTGGCTCGTATTTCCAGTACTATGTTGATTAGGATGGTGAGAGAGGGCACTCTTGTTTTGTTCCAGTTCTGAGATTCTTTTAAGTGCAATCAAAGCTACTCAATTGTTTGATCTTTACCTAATCTGTGGACATGTTGAGATCCACCTCACATATGATTGCCTCCTTCTGAAGGAGCTTATGCAATTCTCATTTGGTTCTCAGCTTTGGTCAGAAGATACAATTGAGGCCAGACACACTTGTAGTGACATGAGATATGAAATTATATGATGGTAATAATTTCAAATTAAAGTAAAATTTAGCGGCAATTGTTTTTATTTTAGATAATAAAACCCATGTACAGATAAAGAATGTGATTTTACTCAGATCACATAGGTAGTAGCAACATTGCAGCTAAAAGCAAATCTCTTTAATCTGGGTCAATGTGGTTTTTAATCAATCCGTAGGTGTAGATATGCATACAAAAATGATAACTCTGATTTCTGCCAGACTTTTTTCTCAAAATCTTCTAATTATATATTGAGGAAACTAAGGAGGTTTTCTGCTATATATGACAGAATGGATGAACCTGGAGGACATTATGCTAAATGAAATAAGCCAGTCACAGAAGACAAATACTGCATGATTGCACTTATACGAGGTACCTAAAATAGTCAAACTCATGGAAACAGGTAGCAGAATGGTGGTTTCCAGGGACTGGGGAGGGAGGAGGAAATAGGGAGTTGCTATTTAATGAGTAAAAGTTTTCAGTTTTATTAGATGAATAAGCTCTAAATATCAACTGTACAATATTATATCTATAGCATTTAAAAATTTCTTAAGAAGGTAGATCTCACTTTAAGTGTTATTACCACAATAAAATAAAAGATGAAGAACAAGAGGTTATTTGAGGTTGAAAGCTGAGTTAATCTCCCCACAAATATGACAAGAATCCTTCAGAGGCCTGCCTTTCAAGCCGTGTCATCTTCCTGCAGGAATAGAAATATCAGCCCTTCTTTGTTCCTTCCAAATCTGTTATACCAGGAAGAAGGATTAAATGAAGGTCCTATAATTCTGCACAGGAGGGAATCACTTTTGAATATCCAGGTTTCTTGTGATCAGAGGATATTAAAACCATACATAAAGGTCAAAATACCTTAGTTTTGCATATTGAGATGTTCTTGGACACATTATGAAGTGGGACCCAGAACACTCAGGTCGAAAATTAGGAATTTCATTATCAGTTTTGTATGGTCTCTTAGTAATGAATAGTTAATTGCTGAGCTGTCTATACAATTTAATATTACTGCACTCCAAAAATTCTGATCTTAATTTCTACTGTGACTGTTGGGTATGTAGAATTTATCAGCTGTCTAGAAGCATTCTGATAATCTTAGATATTTTATAACTCCTATATAACTTTTAACTGATAAAATTTATTTTAAGAAAAATTGAGTGGCTAGATCATGAAGAGTTTTGTTAAAGACATTTTTATACCAAAAAAATCCAATTTAGTAAAAAAAGTTATTTTCATGAAAAAATTTCTCCAAAGAAACTACATAATCTGAAATATTAGTTTATCAGCTTAATGTCTGATGAATATTAAGTTATAGCTACTTGAATATATGTTTTTATATATCCTTATATTTATTCCAAGAAGAATCCATGGTATCTTATAAAAAGTTGGAATAGCTCATATAGATTTACATGTACACACAAACATACATATAAATGCTGCGAATATGAGTCTAAAGTGATTAGAATGGCATAAATCTTGAATTGCTGCATTAGCTCTCTGAGAATTAAGAAAATTATAGCATTCTTCTTACACTGACTGTGGAGAATAACATAATATCTAAATACACGACATTGGACAGGAGCAGAAGTCAGCTTGAACTCACATTATGTAGAGAAAAGGAAACTGCACTTCTATTTTTTGATTGATAAAGTTCCAGGAAGAGCCTGTTCCATTTAAATCCTCTACATCACCCAAAAAAGAACTTAAAAGTTACTGACTCAATGAGTTCTAATGCTAAGAAAGTTATATCCTTTTAGAAAGTAGATGAATGCGCTATTAAGGGTCTTTTCCAGTGTGATTCTAAGTCCTTCTCACTGCATCCACAGAAATTAATGTTGTGATATAATATGAAGTGAACATCTAAATTGTTTCTTTTTCCAAAGGCACTTATTAAATATGCATCCTTTCCTCAACTGCCATGCGATATAACCATTATAACATATTAATGTCAAATAAATTCTAAAGTGTATTAGAGAGTACCTCTCTTCTTTTGCTCTATATGTATATACTTCTGTCAATAAGTCTGAAAATAAATGTGAATATCTGGGAAGAAATTTCCTTCCTCATGAATGAGGAATATGAATCTGAATATGAATTAAGTAATTTAATCTTATCTTTTTGACTTAAACTAGTGCCCTTGGCATGACGATATGTCACAGTCATCGGTAAAAAGGGAGATTATAACTCTTTGGCTTCATGCTCAAAGCATACCTCCTTAAATTAAGCTTCCCATGTAGCAAGAAGCACATCACTGGTAGGATGAATTGTTCCACTCCTTTTGAGTGAAGCAAGGGACATCTCCCAAATAGAGGAATTGGCACTGTCTTAGGTTACATGCTGTGTCAGTAGGCTGAACTTTACAGTATAGTGAGTTACGCATCCTACTGAGAGGAAGTTCACTCTTTTGGCTTCAGCTGAAGATTCACATTTCACCTCATTTTGCATGGGATGCCTCTAAGTTCACATTCATAGGCCTCCTTGATGCCATACTCTGCCTCTTACTATATCTTTCCCAGTACTAATAACCCCCGATTTTAGCTTCATTTAAAAAGTCTGGCAATGTTGCCAGATGTTAAATGTATGGATGAAGTTATCAGGGAAAAGACCAACAGCTAGCAACAGGTTTGCTATGCTTCTCAGCATGAAGCCTGTGTTCTGTGTAGACAATGCAGTTGAACCAGCGCCTTCCACAACTGGCTGGGGAGACTTCAGGTCTCTCTCTGAAAGGCAACCACTTTCTCTTCCACAATAGTCTTGGAAAAAAGAGAGAATATTACAAGATATTACCCAACTCCCCCATCATGATATTCTCTTGCTGCACAGAAACCCTGAGTTTATGAACTGCTAGTCTGATAGTAGAGTATAATACCAGACTGCACTAGGTTGAAGCTTCTAACAAGAGTGGAAGACAATCTTGCATAGGTTATGAGCACTCAGTTCCAAAAGGCTGCATTGGTTTTTCTGGCTATGGATCTATTTCTACAGAGCAGAGAAACAATAATGATAGCCTCGTTTAAATACAAAACAATAACAAACAACAACAAAAAGATTGAGAGCTGAAAAGGCCACCAAACTGTTACTCATCTACAGAAGTAAAGAAACCAGACGTAGTATATTAGAGGACAGTAAAAACAAAATAAGATCCAGGTGTGTTAACAGGATGGTTCAGGAACTAATGTCTGTTAATGAACATCAGCAAAAGTGTTTTTCTTATATAACATCTGCAGTGATATAGAGTAGGAAAAATATACTATGGTTGTGCTGAGAAGGCAAGAGAAAGGATAGTAAGCATAGAGAAAACTACTGAATTAGAGCACACCCTTAGCCATATGCTTCTCAACAACCAGATGAATTAAGAGAACATGTGGATACACTTAAGGGAAAATACCTTTTAGCTCTGTGAGTAATTCTCCCCAGGTGTCTGTCTGTCTGTCTGTCTATCTATCTATCTATCTATCTATCTATCTATCTATCTATCTATCCATCCCTCCATCTATCTATGAGGTATTGAGCAACATAGGAAAGGTATTTCTTACATAGTCCTGAAATGAGGAAATTAGTTTAGATAAAATCTCAAGGATTGATAGGCTTTCTATGAAAGGAGATGAAGATATGAACATGAACCATTTGATAGGGATGATGTATGCACAGATGGGAATTTGGAGGGACAAATACTTCCTTTGAAACTGTTTCTTAGTGGTGGCATTGTTGGTGTTTGGTGCAAGACAATTCCTTAGGTGAAAAATTTAGCAATGCTGTGCTATCTGCTAAATACCAAAGACACCTTCCCTAGGCATGGTGGCAAGAACAAATTGTCCCACACATTTCAAAATGTACATGCTAGGGGATGACAATCCCTCTAAAGGATTTTAGAAATTGGCCTATTTCCTCCAAGGTGTATATAATCTACAATCTTAGCTCCCTTCCCATAAAAAGGCACTATTTCTCTCTACGGGTCTGATCCTTTCATATAGACAATGTTTTCTTTGTTATCCCAAAGCCATTCTTCTGGGTGTTTATTGTTTTATGTATATTTTCAATAGTGAATTATGATGTTTTTAAATCTCTTCCTGTGTAGGAAAGACTGGCGTTATTCCAGGACAAAAACAGTGTATTGCTTTGAAAGGCGTGTGCAGAGACAAACTATGCAGCACACTAGATGATACCATTGGTATATGTAATGAAGGAAAAAAATGTTGTAGAAGGTGGTGGATACTTGAGCCTTATCCAACTCCAGTTCCCAAAGGAAAATCTCCTTAGCTGGGAGCAAACATTAAGCCCTTTGAACTCTAGAATGGATGGATAAGTTTTGCAGACTCCTGTTTAATCCAATGTCTTATTCTTCCTTGACTGGAAATAAATGTTGTCCTAATCCCACATGTACTGACTGCCTCCTGTAGCATTTCTTCTTGATGCACATGCAAGCCTCTTAAGAACTATAAGAATAAAATAAATAACAGAAGAATCTCATACCCTACAGGTACTTACAAAAAATATGTTTCTAAGAAAAAAAGATTAAAATGTTAAATATGTAAAACAGTAAGAATATGAAGTATCAGTGGGCAGTGTTTGATTATTTGAAGTGCAATGTCAGTCTTCTTCCTCATCCAGTTCTGAACAAATATCATTTTCATTACTAATAGAGACCTACTTAGATAATATGGGTTAAAGCCTGCTAATCATGTAACCTTGCTAACATTGCACCTGAGAATTAGGCGCAAGACCATTCCAGTCATTCCAGCACTTGAAGCAGGGCTCCCCTCTACTGCCCCCTGCCCCTAGAGAAGTAGAAAAGAAGACCTGCTTTCTACAAGTAGCCTCACTAGGAGAAGCTGTAGAGCTGAAGAGTTGCTAACTCAGCATGCCTGGTTAGTTCTTTCCAAACTCTCCATCAGATAACTCCATTTCCTGGGGCCAAGAAAATTAAAGGGCAGGGAGGATACCAGGAGTATGACATGGCATGAGTGTCACAAAGGTGGAAAACATCTAGAATGAGGCCAAATTACCCCACAAACAAAATTCAAGAGTTCGTATTTTTTTAACCACAGAGCTTATGGTCAATGAATCAGGGGAGGATGGGTTATCTCCCTATGCAGAGGAGATGTCAGGAGTCTATTAAAATAACTTTAAACTCATCTTCATGGATCTGTTTCTTCAATACTAGTCACTACTTTTTCTATATCTTCTCAGAATCACTCATGAACGGCATGTTACTCTGAGATCAGATTCTAAGCTAATCTCAGAATAATACACTAATACAATTTTTACCATATACATCTTACATATAGCTGAAAATTTACATCTTCTCTTCTTTGTCATCTTAAGTTATGTGCCACTACATTATCCAGTGTAGCACATTAGAGATTCTTTGATAATTAAATGACATTAAGAGACTTTAAAAGTCATAAATACCCTCCTATATTAAAATGCTAAAAAAGAAAAATTTCTCACATTTGAATATAAACAAGTGTTCTTATAAAATTTCTAGGCATAAATTGAAGTTCAAAGATTGAATCTCTTCTATCTCTATGTTAAAGCCCAAAGACATTACAATCCAAATGAATTACTGCCTGAAATGAAATTATCTTTCCCTTGTTAAGTCCAAATTTTTCTATTAAATGTAAGCAAAAAAAAAAAGTCATCACTCATTTCTTATTCTCCGTCTTAGTGAATTAGTGAAAGTTTCTTCAGCGACTTGACATTGAATTAATATAACATCTCAACTCACTGAAGCAAAAAGAACTTTTTTTTTTTTTTTTTTTTTGAGACGGAGTCTCGCTCTGTCACCCAGGCTGGAGTGCAGTGGCGCGATCTCAGCTCACTGCAAGCTCCACTTCCCGGATTCCCGCCATTCTCCTGCCTCAGCCTCCCAAGTAGCTGGGACTACAGGCGCCCGCCACCACGCCTGGCTAATTTTTTGTATTTTTAGTAGAGACGGGGTTTCACCATGTTAGCCAGGATTGTCTCGATCTCCTGACCTTGTGATCTGCCCGCCTCGGCCTCCCAAAGTGCTGGGATAACAGACGTGAGCCACCGCACCTCGACAGAACGTTTTTTATATCTGAGCAAGAAGAAAAAACAGGTAAGGGAAATGAAAAAGATAAGGAACAAAAAGAATCAGTCCAGAAAATCTAATTTCTTTTTTTTTTTAAGTGAAAGTTTATTAAGAAAGTAAAGGAATAAAAGAATGGCTATTCCATAGGCAGAGGAGCCTCTAATTTCTAATCCTGATTGTTTTTCTTAATTTTCTTTTGGATAATACTCTCGATTTTACCATACAATATTGGCCATTTAATAAAGAAGTTCAGGGACAGACAATACAATATAAAGTAGAGCGATGTGTCTGATCTCCAGCACTGTCAACATTTTGAGAAGAACAATTTTTTTTTTTGCTGTGGGGAGCTTTCCTGTATATTGTAGGATGTTTAGCAGCCTCTCTTGCCTCTAAAACATTTCTCCCACCTGTGACCAAAAAATAAACAAATAAACAAACAAACAAATAAAAATCTCTACACATTACTAAAAGTCCTCTGAGGGCAACATTGTCCCTAGTTGAAAACCACTATAGTAAAGAAATTATCAGTTAAAGTTGAAAGTAAATAGGAGTTAGAAAATTCACTCAAGTAGAGACCTTTGTCTGTAAACTTTCAAAAAGTAAGACAGCTTCACATATAAAATAATAGATCAGAAAAGTCTTCTGACAATCCAAAGATGAATTATGTCTCTTTATCTGAAAGATATAGATCTAGAGATAACCCTTTGTTTTTTTTACTGCTGTGCTAGTTGTTATAAATACCTGACCATATCTTAACCATTGAGATTTTAGGGCAATATTGCTCTGATATCTCATCCAGAGGTGCAGAAATCCACGTTTTAGGGACATTTAAAAGATTTCTGGGAAAAGGCTGTCTGTGCCTTTTGATAGTAAGACTGGGTGAATTACATGCAATCTGTTGGAATACTTGACTATATCTTCTGGAAAAGGCCATGTTTACTGTATACAATGATATGATTCTGTGCATGGAACATATTATATTGATACTAATTTATGAGGGCATAGTTGATAAACCCCAAAGGAGTTAATTTTATTGTTATATAAAGGCAAAGGCAGGCCGGACGCAGTGGCTCACATCGGTAATCCCAACACCTTGGGAGGCCGAGGTCCGGAGTTCAAGACCAGCCTGGCCAACATGGCAAAACCCCATCTCTACTAAAAATACAAAAATTAGCCAGGCATGATGGTGGGTGCCTGTAATCCCAGCTACTAAAGAAGCTGAGGCAGAAGAACCGCTTGAACTCAGGAGGCAGAGGTTGCAGTGAGCCGAGATTGCGCCACTGCACTCGAGCCTGGGTGACAGAGCGAGACTCCATCTCAAAAAAAAAAAAAAAAAGACAAAGGCAATACCATATATCATGAAAGCTTGAGATACTCTCAGACCTTTGCCAGTTGTACATTTAGAAGTTCATTTTGTTCTTTCTATCTTTCTGGAAAATTTGATATGATCGAGACAATAGAGTTTCTGAATAAATGGCAAGTCACAAAAATATTAGAAAATAGTCCAAGTAAAATGGATTTTACTATCACTAGAAAAAGATTGCAATTTCCATATTCAAAATACAAAATAAATTATTTTTGCTGCTGTAAGAACCATAGCTCATATAACCTTGAAAGGTTTTTATATTAGATGTAAAGTAGTATGGCACCCAATGATAGACTGTGATGGGTTAAAGAGCAATACTATGAACACTAAAGCAACTCTTAAATAACACAACAGTTTAATAAGAAAAAAATTGAATAATCACAATGACCCAACTACTTGAAAAAAAAAAGAAAAATAAATCAAAGAACAAATGAAACAGAACATCTGTAAGATGGCTAAGTAGAAGGTCCCCAGCCTTCATCCACCCACAGAACACTGATTTGGCAACCATCCCTGGATAAAATGTCTTTGTGGGAACATCAGGACCCAGTCAGGAGCTCATGAAAACCCACTAGAGCCCAAGACCAAAGAAAACTGCTTTGAGAAGGCAGGCCCATGCCCCTGGGAGTAGGCTCACCAATCATAGACCTGGCCATGAGCACAGAAACACCGCCATCTGCCTGTGGACCCTGCTGCAGCCCTGCTTACATGTGGTTCCAGATGCAGCCTCAAAAGTCATTCCCAAAAGCCATTCAGGAGCAGGTTGTTTAATTTCCATGTAATTGTATGGTTTTTAGTGATTTTCCTAATATTTATTTCTATTTTTATTGGGATGTGGTCAGAGAGTGTGGTTGGTATAATTTCGAGTTTTTTGAATTTGCTGAATATTGTTTTATGGCCAATCACATGGTTGATTTTAGAGTGTGCACCATGTGCACATGAGAAGAATGTGTATTCTGTTGTTGGGTGGACTGTTCTGTAGATGTCTTTTAGGTCCATTTAGTCAAGTGTTGAGTTAGGGCCTACATATCTTTGTTAGTTTTCTCTCTCAATGATCTGTCAAATGCTGTCAGTGAGGTGTTGAAGTCTCCCACTACTACTGTGTGGTTATCTAAGTCTTTTTGTAGGTGCCTAATAACTTGGTTTATGAATTTGCGCACACTTGTCTTGGGTGCATATATATTTAAGATAGCTAAGTCTTCTTGTTGAATTGAACCCTTTACCATTATGTAATGCCCTTCTTTGTCTATCTCTATCTTTGTTGGCTTAAAGTCTGTTTTGTCTGAAATTAGAATGGCAACCCCTGCTTTTTTGTTTCCCATTTGCTTGGCAGATCTTTCTTTGAGTCTTTACTTTGAGCCTATGTGTGATGAATCTCACATGCAATGACACTGAAGACAGCATACAGTTGGGGCTTGCTTCTTCATCCAACTTGCCACTTTGTGCCTTTTAAGTAGGGCATTTAGTCCATTTATGTTCAAGGTTAATATTGCTATGTGTGGAGTTGATCTTGTTATTGTGTTGTTAGCTGGTTATTATGCAGACTTCATTGTGTGTTGCTCTATAGTGTCAATATCTATGTAATTAATTGTGTTTCGTGGTGGCTGGTACTCTTTCATTTCCATATTTAGCACTCCCTTAAGGACTTCTGGTAAGGCATGTCTGATGGTAACAAATTTCCTTAGCATTTGCTTTTCTGAAAAGGATTTTATTTCTCCTTTGCTTGTAAAGTTTAGTTTAGATGGATATAAAATTCTTGGTTGGGATTTCTTGTCTTTAAGAATGCTGAATGTAGGCCCACAATCTCTTCTGGCTTATAGAGTTTCAGCTTAACAGTCCACTGTTAGCCTGATGGGATTCCCTTTATGGGTTACCTGCTCCTTTTCTCTAGCTGCCTTTAATACTTTTTCTTTCATGTCGACCTTGGAGAATCTGATGACATATGTCTAGGGGATGGTTGTCTTGTGTAGTATCTTGCAGGCATTCCCTGCATTTCCTAAATTTGAATCAACCTCTCTAGTGAGGTTGGGGAAATTTTTATGGAAGATATCCTCAAATATGTTTCCCAAGTTGTTTGCTTTCTCTCCTGCTCTTTCAGGGATGCCAGTGAGTCATATATCTGGTCGCTTTACATAATTCCATATTTCTCAGAGGTTTGTTCATTTTTTGAATTCTTTTTTCTTTATTTTTGTCTAACTGAACAAGCCTTCAATCTCTGAGATTCTTCCCTCAGCATGGCCTATTTTTTTTTATTATTATTAGACTTTAAATTCTAGGGTACATGTGCACAACGTGCAGGTTTGTTACATATGTATACATGGGCCATGCTGGTGTGCTGCACCCATTAACTCGTAATTTACACTAGGTATATCTCCTAATGCTATCCCTCCCCCCTCCCATTACCCCATGACAAGCCTCAATGTGTGATGTTCCCCTTCCTGTGTCCAAGTGCTCTCATTGTTCAATTCCCACCTATGAGTGAGAACATGTGGTGTTTGGTTTTCTGTCCTTGGGATAGTTTGCTGAGAATGACGGTTTCCAGCTTCATCCATGTCCCTACAAAGGACACAGAGTCATCTTTTTCTTATGGCTGCATAATATTCCATGGTGGATGTGTGCCACATTTTCTTAACCCAGTCTATCACTGAGGGGCATTTGGGTTGGTTCCAAGTCTTGCTATTGTGAATACTGCTGCAATAAACATACGTGTGCATCAGCATGGCCTATTTTGCTGTTAATACTTGTGATTGTATTATTAAATTCTCATAGCGAGTTTTTCATATCTATCAGATCAGTTTTGTTCTTTCTTAAAAGGGCTATTTTGTCTTTCAACTCATAACGTTTTATTAGATTCCTTAGATTCCTTGAATTTGGTTTCAACTTTCTCCTGAATCTCGATGATCTTCATTCCTATCTTGATTCTAAATTATATGTCTGTCATTTCAGCCCAGTTAAGAACCATTGCTGAGGAACTACTGCAGTCCCTTGAAGGTAAGAAGACACTCTGGCTTTTTGAGTTACCAGAGTTCTTGTGCTGCTTCTTTTTAATCTGTGTAGACTGATGTTTCTTTAACTTTGGTGTTGCTGTCTGTATTAATCTGTTCTCAAACTGGTAATAAAGACATACCAGAGACTGGGTAATTTATAAGGAAAGAGGTTTCATTTGCTCACAATTCCACATTGTTAGGCTGGGGAGGCCTAACAGTCATGGCAAATGAGGAGCAAAATTACGTCTTACGTGGTGTCAGGCAAGAGAGTTTGTGCAGGGGAATTCTCATTTATAAAATCATCAGATCTCATGAGAGCTCACTCATGGGGGAACCACCCCCATGATTAAGTTATCTCCATCTGGTCCTGCCCTTGACACATGGGGATTTATTCAAGGTGACATTTGGGTGGGGACACAGAGCCAAACCATATCACTGTCCTTTGGATGGGGTTTTTGCTCTTATATTCTTTGACACCTTTGACGGTTTGATTGTGGAATAAGGTGGGTTCCGTTGACTGGCTTCATTTCTGGGAAACTTCTGGGGGCCAAGGCTCAGCTCATTACTCCTGGACTGTGTGCCCTAATCCTGGGAAGCTGGTACCAGGCTCCTGGCTTTGTTCTCTTGTCCCTTGAGGTGAGAAACCTGCTGAACTTGACATTGGACATTTTAAGTTCTAACTTAAAGTTCTAACTAAAGTTCTAACCGCAAAAGCACAGACAATGTAAGCAAAAATAGACAAATTCGATTATAATCAAAATAAAAAGCTTACGCACACCAAAGAAAACGATTAAAGAGACAATCTGCAGGTTGGGAGAAAATATTTGCAAGCCATACATCTGATAAGGAGTTAATAGACAAAATTTATAAGGAACTCAAACAACTCTACAGAAAGAAAACAAATAGTCCAATTAAAAAATGGGCACAGGAGGTGAATAGACATTTCTCAAAAGAAGACATACAAATAACCAATAAACTTATGAAAAAGTGTTCAACATCACTAATCATTAGGGAAATGGAAATTAAAACCACAATGAGATATCACCTCACACCTGCTAGAATGGCTACTACAGAAAAGAGGAAATGTAACAGATGTTAGAGAGGATGTGTAGAAAAGGGAACACTTGCACACTGTTGTAGGAATGTAAATTAGTGTAGCCATTATGGAAAACTTATAAGTTTCTCAACAAAAATAAAAATAAAATTGCATATGACCTAGCAATCTCACATCTGGGTATTTACTGAAAAGACTTGAAATTTGTATATTGAAGAGATGTCTGCATTTCCATGTTCATTGCAGCACTTTTTGCAATAGTCAAGTTTCGGAATCAACCTAAGTGTCTATCAACAGATAAATGGATAAAGAAAATATAGTATATATACACAGTAGAATACTATTCTACCTTAAAGAAAAGAAACTTTTTTATTTGAAGCAACAAAGATGGAATTGGAGAACATTATGCTAAGTGAAATAAGCCTGGCACAGAAAGACAAATATTACATGTTTCACTTATTTGTGGAATCTAAAACAATCAAACTCAAATAAGCAGATAGTAGAACAGTGGTTACCAGAGGCTGGGGATGGTAAAGGGATGAGGATATCATGGTCAAACAGTACAAAGACTCAACTGGACAGGAGAATAAGGTTTCTTTAAGATATACTGCACAGCATGGTGAATATAGTAAAAAATGTATTATACTTTTCAAAATTGCCAAAAGAATACATTTCAACCATTCTCAAGACAAAAAAATAATGATTTTAGGTGATTGGTGTGTGAATTACCATGATCTAATTATTCCACATTGAATTCATAAATCATAACATCACTTTGTACCCAATAAATAAGACAACTATAATTTATCAATTTATAATTAATAATTTGTTAATAAATAAGACAGGCAAAAGATTTGAGTGCACATTTCACCAAAGAAAATATGTGAATGGGCATAAACACATGAAAAGATTATCAGAATCATTAGTCATTAGTGAAATGCAAATTAAAACCACAATGAGAAGCCACTTAACACACACTAGAATAACTATAATAAAAATGACCAGCGATAAAATATGTCCATGAAGATGTGGCTAAATGAGGGCCCTTTACAATGCTGATGGAAATATAAAATAGTATCACTGCTTTGGAAAATAGTTTGGCCTTTTCTTAAAACTGATAAATATGAATATATCATGCAATTTAATGATACTATTCTTAGGTTTCTATCCCATATATTAGTATATGGATAGACAAAATGTACTATATCTATATGGAGAAACACTATTTCATAATAAAAAAGAACAAATACTAATAGATGATACATCATGGATGAACTTCCACAACATTATGCTACATGAAAAAAGCCAGTGAATGAGTTTATATATAACCCCCACACTCCCAGTCTTCAGATTAAAATGTAGCTCCAGCTGACAGCTTTTGTCTGCAACCTCAACACAGACCTTTAGCCAAAAGCACCCAGTTAAGCCTCATCCCACAGAAACTTGTGATAATCAGTTTGTTGTTTTAAGCCACGACATTTTGGGAAACCTTGTTATGCAACAATAACTAATACACTACCCCTGTGAAATTTCTATATTGTGCTTATTCTCTTTCATAAAATGTGTTGAGTAACCACCTAGCTCAATCTGTAATCTCAATTATTCTTAAGAGATAGGAATTATCACACTTTGGGAGGCCGAGGTGGGTGGATCACAAGATCAAGAGATCGAGACCATCCTGGCTAACAGGAGGAAACCCCATCTCTACTAAAAAATACCAAAAAAAATTAGCCAGGCATAGTGGCAGGCACCTGTAGTCCCAGCTACTCGGGAGGTTGAGGCAGGAGAATGGCGTGAACCTGGGAGGCTGAGCTTGCAGTGAGTCGAGATCTTGCCACTGCAATCCAGACTGGGTGACAGAGCAAGACTCCGTCTCAAAAAAACAAAAAAAAGAAATGGGAATTATCTATTCCTTCAGGATTGTACATAAAATCTTGCGAGTTCTAGCACCTTTTTGATGTAAAAGGATAGAACATTGACCACTTGTAAGTTTGTTTTGGTCAATATTATTCATTTGTATTTCCCTAAAAGTGTCCATTTCATTCACATATTCAGGATAGAGGGTTTAAAGGATGCTATCATGATATCAAAGCTCTTCTCTATCTGTAGTTTATGTTCCTTTTCTTCCCTGTATTATTTTTTTTTTCTCTTTTTCTCATGATGTTTTCCTAAGACTCAACTAATATATGAATCTTCCCATAAACTACCTAGTGGTCTTACTAAATAACTCTACAATGTTTCTTGCTTTGTTTTGTTTCTTATTTATGTGTGATATTAGTTTTGTTTATTGCCTCCTATTTTGTTTCAGGTTTTTCTTCTTTTTATTTTGTTATTTATTTCGATTCTTCAGTTGAGCAGTACGCTGCTTTCATACTTTCATGAATTCTAGTAAATGTCTTGAAAACCATAAATGTCCCTTTTTATACCACTTTGGCTGCAATCCACAGGATTTCATTTATAGTGCTTTCCGTTTCTTCAGATCTAATTATTTTGTATTCATTTTTATGTATGCCTTAGCCCAAGTGTTATGTAGGAATGTGTTGTGTTTTAATATCTCTGTGTATGAATTTGGGAATATATCTTATTGTTATTGATTTCTGATATTAGCAACTTGCTGCAGGGAGCATGCCGTTTTCAATATCAATTTTATTTTAGAATTTATTCAATAATCATGGAAAACCTCTCTGTGATGGTGACACAGGAACAAAGACTGAATGAAATAGGGGGACAGAGTTTCCATAGAAATATCTTAGAAAAGAATAATCCTTGCAATGGTAATAGTAAAAACAGAGGCTATGAGGTAGAAATGAGTTTGAAATGTTTATGGAAGAGCAAGAAAACTAATACTTGTGGAACAGAATGAAAAGAGGGAACAGTAGCAGGAAATAAAGGATCGGAGAAATATTCAGCAACCAAATCAGGTAGGACATTGCGTGCCATGTAAACAGACTGGATTTATTCTATGTAGTTTTTTTTAAAAAACATAATTAGATTTTCAATAAGGAAATAATTTGATTTAATTTGCATTTTAGAAACATATCTCTGGTGTCTGACCATAAATTAGAGTATGCAAAGCTCTCATAGAAACATAGAGACAAGTTAGAGGGCTCTCTCCAGAGACACTAGTGACTTGGACAATGGTGCAATGACAGAGGAAGTGAACAAAGGTTGGATTTAAGGCACATTTTAGGCCGGGCCCAGTGGCTCACACCCATAATCCCAGCACTTTGAGAGGCCAAGGCAGGCGGATCATCTGAGGACAGGAGTTTGAGAATAGCCCAACCAACATGGCGAAACTCCATCTCCCCAAAATAAAAATACAAAAATTAGCTGAGAATTGGTAGCTAGCACCTGTAATCCCAGTTACTCGGGAGGCTGAAATACAAGAATCGGTTGAACCTGGGAAGCAGAGGTTGCAGTGAGCAGAGATCGCACCATTGCACTCCAGCCTAGGTAACAGAGTGAAACTCTGTCTCAAAAATTTTTAAAAATAAAAAATAAAAGAGATATTTTAAAGATAGAAGTGGGCTTGTTAATGGGTTGTAATTATGAAATGAGAGAATCAAAGGTATGCTCAGAGTTTTTGTTCGTTTTTGTTTTTTAACCTAAACAACTAGGTACATGAGCCCATCATTGAGAGAGCAAGACTAAAGGGAGTGAGTATTAACAGAGAAAGTGGTATGAATCAAAAATTCATTTTGGAATTCTTGAGTTGCTTATTAGACATCCAAAAGTAGATGTCAAGTAAATAGTTGATTTTTTTTATTCTGAAGCTTATAGGGAACATCCAGGCTAGAGCCAATACTTCATTTACACAGAGAGAGAGAGCAACCTTGTGCCAATATGCTTCTCATAGCTATGGAGAGAATCTATCTATAGACTTGATCAACTCAAGTGCAGAAAGAGAAAAAAAAATTGCCTCCTAACAACTGATGGAGTGATTTTACTCATTTCTTTTGACCTTATGTCTATCATTTATTTTTACCCTATTTTCTATCTTTTTCTCTTATTTTGCTAGTTGAACAAAGTTATTATCCATTTTTTACCTATACTGGAAAATAGTCTATACTAAGATTCTCCTTTCAATTAACAACATATTGAACTAAATGTTTCACTCGCTCCATTTAAGTTAAGCACACCTGCAACTCCAGCAGCCACTTGGGTCAGGAGACCTAGCCAGAAATTGATTTGAAAATAGTAGAGAAGCCCCTTGGGACAATCTCATAACATTTAAATAGTGAAAGTATAAACAAAAAACAATGCCCAACAATGAAAGGATGATTACATAAATATATTATGAAATATCCATAATATGGAATATTATGCAGAAAGTGAAAATTACTGTTTTGGAGTATTTGAAAATAGTATAGGAAAATATTTACAATAAAGTAATACTTATTAAATAAATAAAACTATAGGTGAATCACAAGAATAAGAGAGAGAGAAATTTAATGGAAAGTAAATAAACTAAAATAGTAATGATCTTTTAAGTGATCAAGTAATGTGTTATATCTATTATCATGATAATCTTAGTTTTTCCAATTTTACATGAAATAATATTTAGGAATCAATAAAAATAAAATATACTTATAGGATATAGACATATATGTGTTTGTCTACTCTTATACAGAGAAAAACTTGTGAGTGATTTAGCAAAAGTATATTCAATGGAAAGCTGAGGAAAAATGTCAGCCACCTGTGGGGTAAGAAGTGAATGAAAGATAAAATGGAAATGAAGCATAGAGACTATGGTTTTCCTGAGGGGGAAAGGGAAAAGCTAGGGCATTCATTAAAAAAACAAACTAAATACAGGAAAGACAATTTTGTGTTTTGTTTTTAACGTGGCAGGAACTTGAGGATATTGACAGACTTAAAGTAAGGAAAACAATGGATGTAGAAAGCGGGCAGCAGCCGGGCACATAGCTCACTGCTGTAATCCCAGCACTTTGGGAGGCAGAGGCAGGCAGATCACTTGAGGCCAAGAGTTCAAGACCAGCCTGGCCAACATGGTGAAACTTCATCTCTACCAAAAATAGAAAAATTAGCTGGGTGTGGTGGCACACACCTGTAATCCCAGCTACAGGGGAGGTTGAGGCAGGAGATTCACTTGAACCTGGAGGTGGAGGTTGCAGTGAGCTCAGATCACGCTGCTGCCCTCCAGCCTGAGTGACAGAGTGAGACTCTGTCTCAAATAAATAAATAAATAAGAAAAAGAAAACCGGCAGCAACAAGAAGAAAAATAGATAATTAATGCCTCAAAGTCCCCAAAGCTGTCAGTACTGCTGAAGGCAGGAAAGGAAGGTAAACAATGAATACTTGATTATAAATTGTCTATTGAAAATCTGGTGCCTTCCTGGAGAGTTAGGTGCAATAAAACGCCATAATTTCTCGGTCAAATTTAATTATCTAATGGTAAATTACCTTCTTTCTTCTTCTACTGTGACAGCTTATATTTGATAGCTTGATAGCTATCTGATTTTCTTCTTGGTGTTCTTTTAAGGAAAGTCATTGGTCAAAGCACTTTATCTTTCTTTGCTGAAGCCCTCTGCAATCTAAGCCATCTTTCAATGCTCATCTGGTACCTACTGGTCCACCCCCAGAATGCAGTGAACCTTTCTCTGACCCTTCTTTGATATCCGTGATTGGTAGCCCATGGATTACACAATGTTCTTGGGCTTCCTGGGCAGAATTCCAAGCCTGCCTCCTGGCTCCAAATCTCTTAGGTTGGTGCAAACGTAATTGCGATTTTTGCCATTGAAAGTAATGGCAAAAACCACAAATACGTTTGCACCAACCTACAAGAGGCTGGCAAACAAATGTTCATAGAAAATATCAAGCAGTGAAAATTATGCCCTTAGTGTTCCATAAAGGATTTCAATTATTTGTTCTCATAAATTGTATTGCTTTGCAGTGTAAACTGTACTTCCAAAGCTTTTCCTCGTGATCAAGAAAGAAATAATTCCCAGAGAGGTGAGAAAAATCAGTAAATTCTGGATTCTGGATCAGAGATGCTAATGATCCTAGGCCATTCTGGCTTCAGTAAATGGAGCAGTCAGCAATAACCAGCACAATGACACTAAGATCCCCCTTTGAGTTTCTAGGGTGCTGGCAGAGGCTTGTGCCCAGGCACCGCTGCCCCAGCAACTCAGGAGGAAGGACCTGAATGGAGGTTTAGGAAAAAACATCCCCAGAGCTTTCATGCCCCTCACTGGCCCTCCTTAGGCTAAGACTTGGGAAGTTTGCCTCTTCCAAGACCTCCCCATCCCTGACTCAAGATTTCATTTTCAAAGTCTCTAAAGGCAGGGAAGACCTTCTGAAATAATGTAACCAAGTGTTCCATTCACTAACACTCTGAAGTATTATAGAAGTAGCACCAAGAAGAAGCCATGGAAGAAAGAGAACTTCCTTCTTGGTACTGAGAAAAGTTACTTCACCTGTAGTGACACCATCTAGAAAGGAATGAAGGTCAAGTAAGACCACGAATGTGCATGTACTTTGCAGTTTCTGAAGTTGATATTCTGGCCAGACGTGGTGGCTCACCCCTGTAATCCCAGCACTTCGGGAGGCCGAGGCGGGTGGATCACTTGAGGCCAGGAGTTCGAGACCAGCCTGACCAACATGGCAAGACCCTATTGCTACTAAAGGTACAAAACTTAGCGAGGCATGGAGACGTGTGCCTGTAATCCCAGCTACTCAGGATGCTGAGGCAGGAGAATCACGTGAACCCGGGAGGCAGAGGTTGCAGTGAGCCAAGATCGCACCACTGCGCTCCAGCCTGGGCAACAGTGTGAGACCCTGTCTCTAAATAAAAAATAAATAAATAAATAAAGTTTACTCATACCCTCTTTAAGCATTCCCTACGGCACCCAAAGTATTCTGGTGTTTATGTTCATTTCCTTAGTGTCTAAGAAGTAATTTGTGCCTCTTTGCCAGAAATATGCTCGTGTTGCATTGCCGTTTCTTTGTATATATTACTTGCTTTCCGAAGTGTATTATGGGTTCCCTAAGGCCCACTTTTCTTTCTTTAATTCCTCTCATATTACACATAACTGATGTGCAAACAATTTGTGTGAACTTAGATTTCAATAGAAAAATTAGTTTATCTCATTTGATCGATTGGACAGAAAGATAATCAAATAAAAGTTGTTCTGTATCTCACTAATCTGTTTATAATTTCATATTTAATTCCATTGCTTAAGCATGCTAACACACGGTGCCAAAATATTAATAAATAGGCATGCTCTTGTATTACGTGCTTCTTCCTATTATCAGAAAAATAAAATGAATGCTTTTCCTCTATAACTGCTTCCTTAACTTTTACAGTTCCTCCAGAATGCATAAGACAATGCTGATATTTCAAGTCTCTCTCCTGCCTTTGCCATGGCTGTGCTTTCTACTACCTTTGCACACACCCTCTTGACCTTTGATAAATGTACTTTAAATGACTGATAGTCGTGATGATTGCATGCTTTCTCCTGATATAAAATCTCCTTGAAACACAGAAATGTTCTTGCTCCTGAAAGGTTCAATAATCACTCAACAACTCACCTCTTCAGAGAACTGAATGTACACAGAAGTCCTCTTCATCTCAGCTACTGATTCTCTCTAACCTGCTTTACCTATTCAACCATGAGGGTCTTGTTTTTTGTCTTTGGAGTCCTTTCCTTGATGTTCACAGTTCCTCCAGGTAAGACAGAAACTTTTTTATTCCAAAGTTCTAAAAATATAAGTAAAAGAAAATGCAAGGTCTTTCAAGAGTCTGAAAATAAAATAGGCATGGGCAGATTTTACTGTACCATGAAGGCTGCTCAGAGGATTGAAGAGTTGATACTAAAGAAATAAATAAGGTGGTTCACTGCAGTGATTTAACCTATGATAAACTCACTTGAGGCCGGGCACAGTGGCTCATGTCTATAATCCCAGCACTTGGGGAGTTTGAGGTGGGTGAGCACAGGAGTTCTAGACCGACCTGGTGGGGGCAACAGGGTGAAACCCCATCTCTCCAAAAAAAAAAAAAAAATACAAAAAATTAATCAGGTATAGTGGCGCGTGTCTGTGGTTCTGGCTACTCAGGAAGCTTAGGCAGGATCGCTCGAGCCTGAGATGTCAAGGCTGCATTCAGCTTAGGTCATGCCACTGCACACCAGCCTGGGCAACAGAGTGAGACCCTGTCTCAAAAAATAATAATAATAAAAAATAAACTTACTTGAGAGTTATGTTTGATCAAAAGATGGTGAGAGGATACACACAGAACACAGGAAATTTAAAGAATTGGAAAAAGGAAAAGTGAATGATGACTAGAAGAAGGGCTAGAGGTGAAGAGGTGGATACTCCACCATAATCCTTGGTTCACAGGATAAATTCACCACTGATCCAGGCAAGGACCTAGCCTCTGTGTTCCTTTAAAGTTGAATAAAACTCATATGATATCATTTAATGTATATGGAAATTACTTTTTGTATGGTGAGAGTTAAGATTCCACCTTAATTTTTAACCACATAACTAGCCAATTATATATAAGCATATTAATTAAATAATCAATACGACTTTCCCACATTAATTTTAAAATTCATCAATACCCCATAATAAAAACATATTAAACTGCGGTTCATACCTGAGATTTAGATTACTGGTTGACTTATTGATCATTTCTGAAGCACATTTTAATACTTAACAATTCAAGATTCCCTCATTTATATAATACTTCATGATTCAAGATTCCCTTATTTATATAATTATAAATAATTATGCCTTTCCTCCATGAATGTTAGTGGGTTTTTTATATTTTTATGAGATACAATTTACCATAAAATTCATTGCCTTAAAGTGTTCTATTCAGTGGTTATCAGTGTATTCTTAAAATTGTGCACCCCTCACCATTATCTAATTCCAGAATATGTTTATAACCGCAAGAAGAAATCTCTCCTCCTCCCAGTCCCTAGCAACCACTGATCTAATTTTTGTCTCTATGTATATTCCTATTCTGGACATTTACTATGAACAGAATAAGAAATATGTGATCCTTCATGTCTGCCTTCTTTTATTTAGCATAATGTTTTCAAGATTCATCCATGTTGTGGCATAGATTCGTACTTCATTCCTTCATTCAGTGGTCATCAGTATATCCCACTCTAAGAATCCACTGATACTCACTAAATGGAACACTCTAAAGGAATGAATTTTATAGTAAATTCTATCTCAATAAAAATATAAAACACCAACATTCATGGAGGAAAAGTATAATTCTGTATAATTATATAAATGATAGAATCTTGAAATAAATTTTAAAATGTGCTCGGAGGTAATATGAGCCTCAGAAAAGATAAATAAGTCAATTGATAATCTAAATCTCAGGTATAAACCACAGTTTAATATGATTTATTATAAAGTATTGGTGGATTTTAAAATGAATTTGGGAAAGTTAGATTGATTATTGGTGTTGGTAAAAAAAAATTCTTCGTATGGATTATTTAGCATATGGTTGTTTATAACAGACTAATGATCCATTGTATTTCTTTTATATCAGTTGTAATGTCTCCTGTTTTATTTCCGATTTTATTTATTTGGCATTCTCTCTTTTGTTCTTGGTTAGTCTAGCTAGCAGTTTATAAAGTCTGTTTATCTCTTCCAAAAGTCAACTTTTTGTTTCATTAATTCTTTGCATTTTTTAAATCTTGAATTCACTTAGTCCTGCTCTGATTTTTATTATTTCTTTCCTTCTCCTAAGTTTGGATTTCATTTTTTCTTGTTTTTCTTGTTCCTTGAGGTGCATAGTAGCTTGTTTATAATATTACCATGTTCTTGCAGTAGGCATTTATTGCTATAAAATTCTCTCTTAGCACTGTCTTTGTTGTATTCCATAGGTTTTGGTATGTTGTGTTTCCATTTGCATATATTTCAAGAACATTTGTTATTTTCTTCTTTGTTTTTTCATTGACTCAATGGTTGTTCAGAAGCATGTTGTTTAATTTCCATGTTATCTGTATCGTTTCCAAAGTTCTTCCTAGTATTCATTTCTAGTTCTATTCTATTTTTGTCTAGAATATACTTGATATAATGTTGATTTTTCAAAATTTGTTGAAACTTGTTTTGTGTCTTAACATATGGTCCAGCCTGGAGAATGTTCTATGTGATGAGGAGAAGAATGTGTACTCCACAGCTATTGGATGAAGTGTTCTGTAAATGTCTGTTAAGTCTATTTGGTCTGCGGTACAGATTAAATTCAATGATTATTTGTTAGCTTTCTACCTAGATGATCTGTTCAATGCTGAAAGTGGGATATTGAAGCCCTCAGTTATCATGATGTTGAGGTGTATCTCTCTCTTTAGCTCTAATGACATTTTTAATATATCTAAGCATTCCACTACTTGGTACATATATATACATATTTGGAATTTTTATATCCTCTTGCTGAATTGGCCCTTTTATCATTATATGATGACCTTCTTTGTCTCTTTTTATGTTTTTTCACTTAAAGTCAATTTTGTCCAATATAAATATAGATGTATTAGGCCATTCTTGCATTGCTATAGGGTTATTATAATAAAGTACCACAGAATGGGTGCCTTAAATAACAAAAGTTCATTTTCTCACAGTTCTGGAAGTTATAATTCTAAGATCAAGATGTCAGCACATTTGGTTTCTCCTGAGGCCTGTCTTGGCTTGCAGCTGCTTGCCTTCTTGCCATGTCCTCTTATGGCATTTTTTCTGTGCACATGCATTCCTGGTGTCTCTTCCTCTTCTAACAAGGACATCAGCCATATTGCATGAGGGCCATACCCTGGGAGTCTCATTTTAGCTTTATCAGTCCTTAAAAAAAAAAAAAAAAACTTATCTTCAAATATGATTACATTCTGAGATACTAAAGATTGGGACTTCAACATACAAATTTTGGAGGAACACTTGTTAGCCCATAACGATGAATTCCTCAGTAGACTGATGTGATCAAGGAAAGAATCAGTGAGCTTAAAGAAGTTTAAATAGCAACTTCCAAAACTTAAAAGCAAAGAAAAAAGAATTAAAAAGAACAGAATATTTAATAAGTGTAGGCCAATTACAAAAGGAACAATATATGTGTAATGAAATATCAGGAGGAGGGGAAAGAAAGGAACAGAAGAAATATTTGAAGAAATTCTGACTGAGATTTTCCCGAAATTGAAAATAAGCAAAATGTACATATCTAGGAAGCTGAGAGAATAACACGCAAGATAAATACAAAAAATTTAAACATAGGCATATTATATTGAAACTGCCAAAAATCAAAGACAAAAAAAAAAAAATCTTAAAAGAAGCCAGGAGGGAAAAAATCTTTATCTATGGACAACCAAGGATAAGAATTACATCAGACTTCTCTTAAACCACATAAGCAAAAAGAGAGGAAAGTGAAATATTTAAAATGTTATAAAAGAAAAAAAAAAGAACACTATCTTAAAACTCTCTACTTAGTAAAATTATCTCTTTTTTTTAGACAGTCTCACTTTGTCACCCAGGCTGGAGTGCAGTGGCAGTGACCTTGGCTCACTGCAGCCTCTGCCTCCTGGGTCCAAGCAATCTCGTGCCTCAGCCAGCCACCACCATGCCTGGCTAATTTTGTATTTTTAGTAGAGACTGGATTCCGCTAGGTTAGCCAGGCTGGTCTCGAACTCCTGACCTCAGGTGATCCGCCCGCCTTGGCCTCCCAAAGTACCAGGATTAAAGGTGCAGGCCACCGCACCCAGCCTACCCTTTAAATTAAGGTAAAAATACATAATTTTCTTAGGTAAACAAAAATAGAGTTTGTCACCAGTAGTCCTACCTTACAATAAAAGTAAAAAGAAATTCTTCGCTCATACTCAATGGTGAAAAACTAAAAGCTTTTCTTCCAAGATCAGGAACAAGGCAAATGTGCCCCTTCTTGCCACATTTATTTAACATGATACTAAAAGTTCTAGCAAGAACAATTAGGCAAGAAAAGGAAATAAATGGCATCCAAACAGTTGGGGGGTGGGAATGAGTAAAATCATCTATTTCCAAATGACATAATTTTTTTGTAAAAAACTCTAAACTTCACTCTCCCAAAATTATTACAACTAATAACAAATTCAGTAAAGTTGCAGGATAGAAAATCAACATACGAATATCAGTTGTGTTTCTATAGCACTAACAACAAGCACTGGAAAGCAAGTAAAGAAAATCCCATTCATAATAGCAAGAAAAAGATAAGACACTTAAGAATAAACTTAACAAAAAGATGAAAGACTGGTACATTAAAAATTGCAGACATTCATGAAAGAAATTAAAGAAGACACAAATCAGTGGAAAGATATCCTATGTTCATGAATTGGAAGACATGATAATATTAAAATATCCATACTATTCAAAGCAATTTATAGATTATATACAATCCCTATCAAAATCCTAATGGCACTCTTGACAGAAATAGGAAAAACAATCTTAAACAGACATATAGGCCACTGGAAGAGAATAGAGGACCCAGAAATCAACCGACACTTACACAGTCCACTGGCCTTCAACAAACATGCGAAGAATATATAATGGGGAAAAGACGGTTTCTTCAATACTTCGTACTGAGAAAACTGAATATTCACATGCAAAAGAATAAAACTGGGCCTGTATCTTACACTACACACAAAAAGCAACTCAAAATGAACTACACATTTAAACATAATTACCTGAAACTGTAAAACTTATAGAAGAAAACATAAGGAGAACCTTTCATGATGTTGGTCATGGCAATTATTTTAACTTATAAATTGTAACAAAAGGATTTGGGAAGGACTGGTAGGTTTAAAGGGAATATTTATGGGAGATTATGGGTTATAGGCTCCTGTGCATATCTCAGTAACTTTCTCAATAAAGGACACATGGCCTTGAGCCCGAATACGCTGGGAAGCTGGAACTAAGACTCAACTCCTTCTGACCCTTCTCTCATTTAAGGATTCTTTTTTCTCATTTCACCAAAAACAGAGAAGCAACCAAAGACAGCTTTTCCACTTTCCCACCACCATATCTCTTCATATAGTTTTATATTTATCCATAATCTACCTTCTCTTCACTCTCTGATTCAAGGCCAACCCCTCTACTTACACTAGATTACATCCCCAATGACTTTCTCAAGAATTTAACTCCAGAAGTTAAACATTATTTCCTGCATTATGAATCTCTACACCACCCCCAAGCTGGATAATTCATTTTAGGTAGAAATATGTGGTAATAGTTCTCATTTAAAATTCTGTGCATTTCCAGCTACTGCCTCATTTATCTACTCTCTTTATAGAAGAAATCATCGCTTGTCTTTATTCAGCATCTCCACGTTTTCTCTTGCATTTTTTGCTGTTGATTTTGTTTTTCTGGGAAAGTTCTGTAATGTTTTTAATTTATTATAAAACATTTCAGACATTTAACAATAAAAAGTAAGTAATATTGTGTCATATAATTTGTCTTCTCTTTTTAAAGCCAGAAGCTTCATTTCTAATGATGAATGTCCTTCAGAATATTATCATTGCAGACTGAAGTGCAATGCTGATGAACATGCAATTAGATACTGTGCTGACTTCAGCATCTGCTGCAAACTGAAGATCATTGAAATTGACGGACAAAAGAAGTGGTGAAAATTCTAACTCCATCTTCTTCAGACTCCGGGACAAAAAACATGTCTTAAACTCTCTTATCTATGAATAATTAACATGATAGATGAAAATTATTATAATTGCATGTTTAGATGGTCAGGTGAAAATGAATATAAATTTTATAAATGCTTCCACTCTATTTTCATTTGTGCATTTTAACATTTACTACCTTAATTTACATCCACAGCCACATTGTTGTTTCACCCATAGTACTATATCCGATGCGGGGAGTAAGAGCCAGCCCTTCTTGCCCCCCTGGCTCTTAGGACCCCCATCGCAGGGGGGTGAGGCACCCCCCGCGATGCGGGGAGTAAGAGCCATCCCCTCTTGCCCCGCTGGTTTTTAGGATCTGCGGTGAACACACAGCCTGTTTATCATATTGTGAGTAATATCATCTCCCGCTCTGGAGATTATGAACTGTTTCACAAACCGGTGTACACTCTGGGTATACAGAGATTGTACACCCGTCTTTATTAGGTGTCATATCATCCTCTTCCTCCCTGAATATTAAGAACAGTATCACATGGGTGTTTCTACTCCCTGGGATATCGCGTGTCATATCCTCCTCTCCCACGTTGCAATTAGAAACAATATCAGTGGGGGCGAGTCCACCTTCTGTGATATTGAAAGTAATATCATTCTCTTCCCTCTGGGATCATGGGAACTATATCCTTGGTAGTGTCCACTTTCTGCCATATATATAGTCCTATCACCCCCTCCGCCTTGGAATGTTATTAAGGACCATCTCACACGGGGGTGTACACTTCCTGCTATGTTGGGAGTAATAGCATTGTCTTCTTCCGTGAATATTAGGAGCAAAATCACCGGGTGGATGCACACCCAGTGCTATATTGGCAGTAACATCATACTCCAGCCCCTGGAGATTATATTCGGATCAATATCACCGGCTGGGTGTACACCTACTGCGATGTTGAACGTAATATCATGCTCTCTCCCACCCTGGACATTAGGAGCAATATCACAGGTGGGTGTACACTCACTGAGGTATTAGGGAGTAATATTAGTGTGAATTATACCTCATTTCTTATTAACATGAATATGAATGACCGATATTAATATTAATATTAAGAAAAATTGCTAATAAAGTTTTCAGATTAATATTAATATGAATTATTAGGAGCTAATATTACTGTTTTCTAATGAATAAGATCAATATCAGTTATTAATATCAGGCGTCATTAATCATTAATATTAATCATGTATTGTTATCATTAGTATAACTATTTAATATTAATTATCATTATTATCGGTATTGATTTGAAAAATTATATTATCAGTTATTAATATTGATAATTATTAGTGTCAATTAATAACTGAGATTATTAATTGCGGTAAGTCGCATTGCGCCATTCCACCCCACTTCAGCAGCTCGTTTACGACCCAAAACGGGGTCACAAATGCCCCTGAGAGAGCAGCGGTAGACTGGGATAGATGAGGATAGTCACGTGGTGGAGAGGCGTGTTTTTGGGTACCAGCCCTTCACCTGCGTCGACCTTCTCAACTGGAAAAACAATACACCGCCCTATACCGAAAAGCCACAAGCCCTAATTGATTTGCTCCAAACTGTTATACAGACCCACAACCCCACCTGGGCTGATTGGCACCAGTTGCTCATGTTCCTCTTTAACAGCGAAGAAAGGCGGAGAGTCCTCCAAGCAGCAACTGAGTGGCTAGAGGAACATGCACCAGCTGATTATCAAAACCCCCACGAGTATGGAAGGACCCAGTTGCCAGGAACAGACCCCCAGTTGGACCCACATGAAAGAGAGGATATGCAAAGGCTAAACCGAGACAGGGAAGCTCTCTTGGAAGGATTAATGAGGGGAGCACAGAAGGCCACAAACGTTAACAAGCTCTCTGAGTTCATTCAGGGAAAAGAACAAAGTCCAGCACAATTGTACGAGAGACTGTGGGAGGCCTATCGTATGTATACGCCCTTTGATCCCGATAGCCCTGAAAATCAGCGCATGATTCACATGGCTTTAGTCCGTCAAAGCGCAGAAGACATGAGAAGAAAACTGCAGAAACAGGCTGGGCTTGCAGGGATGAATCCATCCCAATTACTAGAAAGAGCTAGCCAGGTGTTTGTAAACAGGGATGCAGTAAGCCATAAGGAAAAAGGCAAAGAGAATGGAGGTCAGGCCCGGTGACACGCCGACCTGTTTGTCAGCTGCAGCAATCAGAGGGCCCCCCCCAAAGAGGCAAGGGAAGGGGGGCCCTGGGAAAGAAACTCAGCTTGGCTGTCAGAGTTTGCAGCATAACCAGTGTGCTTATTGTAAAGAAATAGGACAGTAGAAAAACAAATACCCTCAGCTTAAAAGAAAACAAGGTGACTCAGAGCAGGAGGCCCCGGACAAGGAGGAAGGGGCCCTGCTCAACCTGGCAGAAGGGTTCTTGGACAGAGGGAGACCGGGCTCAAGCGTCCCCAAAGAGCCTGTGCTCAGAATGACAGTCAGGGGTGGAGACACTGACTTTCTTGTAGATAGCGGTGCTGAACATTCGCTAGTAACCGCCCCAGTCGCCCCCTTATCCAAAAAGACTATTAACATCATCGGAGCCACGGGGGTTTCAGCAAAGCAAGCTTTCTGCTTGCCTCGGACTTGTACTGTAGGAGGACATCAAGTTATTCATCAGTTTTGGTACATGCCTGACTGTCCCTTGAACTTTTCAGGAAGGGACTTGTTCAGCAAGCTGAGAGCCACTATCTCTTTGACAGAGCATGGCTCTTCGCTGCTAAAGTTACCCGGAACGGGAGTCATTATGACCCTTATGGTCCCCCGAGAGGAGGAATGGAGACTTTTCTTAACTGAGCTGGGCCAAGAGAGAAGACCAGCTCTGGCTAAGCGGTGGCCAAGAGTATGGGCAGAAGACAACCCTCCAGGATTGGCCAGTTAAGACTGGGGCCCTGCCAGTGAGGCAAAAAGAGGAGCCGGTCCCCAGAGAAGCCCTTCAAGGTATCCAGGTCCGTCTCAAGCACCTAAGAACTTTTGGAATGATTGTTCCTTGTCAATCTCCATGGAACACTCCCATCCTTCCTGTTCCCAAGCCATGGACCAAGGACTACTGGCCGGTACAGGATTTGCGCTTGCTTCATCAAGCTACACTGACTTTCCACCCAACAGTACCTAACCCGTCCACATTGTTGGGGTTTCCACCAGCTGAGGACAGCTGGTTCACCTGCTTGGACCTGAAAGACGCTTTCTTTCCTATCAGATTAGCCCCCGAGAGGCAGAAGCTGTTTGCCTTTCAGTGGGAAGATCCGGAGTCAGGTGTCACTACTCAGTACACTTGGACTGGGCTTCCCCAAGGGTCCAAGAACTCCTCCACCATCTTCGGGAGGCGTGGGCTCGAGACCTCCAGAAGTTTCCCAGCAGAGACCTAGGCTGCGTGTTGCTCCAGTAGGTTGATGAACTTCTGCTGGGACACCCCACGGCAGTCGGCTGTGCCAAGGGAACAGATGACCTACACCGGCACCTGGAGGACTGTGGGTAGAAGGTGTCCAAGAAGAAAGCTCAGATCTGCTGACAGCAAGTACGTTACTTGGGATTGACTATCCGACAGGGGTCGGAACGCAGCCCAGGATCAGAAAGAAAGCAGGTCATTTGCCATCTAGCAGATCCTAAGAGCTGAAGACAGTTGAGAGAATTCTTAGGAGCTGTGGGGTTTTGTAGACTGTGGATCCCAAACTTTGCAGTATTAGCCAAGACTTTGTATGCGGTCACCAAGGGGGCGGGGACCGGGAACCTTTGGAATGCAGATCCCAACAACAGCAAGTCTTTCATGAGTTAAAGGAAAAACTTCTGGCAGCCCCAGCCCTGGGGCTACCCGATCTGACAAAGCCTTTTCCATTGTATGCATCAGAGAGAGAAAAGATGGCTGCTGGACTTTGAACCCAAACAGTGGGGCCCAGGCCGAGGCAGGTGGCCTACCTCTCTAAACAACTAGACGGGGTTTTTAAAGGATGGCCCCCCTGTTGGAGGTCCTTGGCAGCAACTGCCCTGCTAGTACAAAAAGCAAATAAGCTGACTCTTGGGCAAAACCTGAACATAAAGGCCTCCCGTGCTGACTTTAATGAATACTAAAGGACATCATTGGCTCACAAATGACACACTCACCAAGTACCAAACTTTGCTCTGTGAAAATCCCCGTATAACCATTGAAGTTTGTAACAGCCTACACCCCGCCACCTTGCTCCCGGTATCAGAGAGCCCTGTCGAGCCTGGTTGTGTAGAAATGTTGGACTCAATTGATTCTAGCAGACCTGACCTCCGGGACCAGCCTTGGGCATCAGGAGACTGGGAACTATATGTGGATTGGAGCAGCTTCTTCAACTCCCAAGGAGAGAGAGATGCAGGGTATGCAGTGATAACCCTGGACACTGTTGTTGAAGCCAGATCGTTGCCCCAGGCCACATCAGCCCAGAAAGCTGAACTCATTGCTTTCACTGGGGCCTTAGAACTCAGTGAGGTTGAGACTGTAAGCATTTACACTGATTCTCCGTATGTCTTTTGAAACTTTCAAGTGCATGGAGCATGATAGAAAGAAAAGGACCTATTGAACTCTGGGGGAAAAGACAGAAAATATCAACAAGAAATCTTGCAATGATTAGAAGCAGTATGGAAACCCCACAAGGTGGCAGTTAGGCATTTCAGAGGACACCAGTGAGCTTCAATCTTGCTGGGTTTGGGGAATTCCTACGCTGACTCAGAGGCTCGAAAAGCAGCATCTGTCCCCTTATGGGTATCAGTGCTCCCTCAAGCACCTGATCTTGGACCTGCTTCTTCTAAAGAAGAAAAGGACTTTCTCCAGGTAGAGGGAAGCACAAGTGATGGAGGAAGGATGGATTCGGTTACCAGATGGGAGAGTAGCTGCGCCACAGCTGCTGGGAGCTGCAGTTGTACTGGCTGTGCAAGAAACCACCCATCGAGGTCAGGAGTCACTGGAAAAGTTGTTAGGCCGGTATTTCTACATCTCACCTTTGTCAGCCCTTGCCAAAACGGTGAGGCAGCGGTGTGTTACCTGCCGACAGCATGATGCGAGGCAAGGTCTAGCCGTTCCGCCCGGCATACGAGCTTATGGAGCAGCCCCCTTTGAAGGTCTCCAGGTGGACTTCACAGAGATGTCAAAATGTGGAGGTAACAAGTATGTACTAGTTCTTGGGCATACCTACTCTGGGTGGGTGGAGGCCTATCCAACACTAACTGAGAAAGCTCGTGAAGTAACCCCTGTGCTTCTTCGTGATCTGATTCCTAGATTTCGACGGCCTTTAGGGATCGGCTCAGACAAGGGGCCTGCGTTTTTGGCTGCCTTGGTACAGAAGACAGCAAAGGTATTGGGGATCAAACGGAAACTGCTTGCCCCCTCCCTGCCTCAGAGTTCCGGAAAGGTGGAGCGGATGAATCGGACTATCAAAAATAGTACTACTGTCTTCCCCTCTGGATATTTAAAACAACACCACAAGGGGCGTCAAACCACCTGCTAAATTTGAGGGAATGTTATCCTCTCCCCCAATCCCCGGCCCCGAATATTAGAGACAATAACACAGGGGTGATGTATACCCACTGCTTTATTGGGAGTAATATCATCCTCTCCCTTCTTGGATATTAGGAACAATATCACACTGTGCGTGTACGCCTGTTGCGAAATTCAATGGAATGTCATCCTGCGCCTCCCTGGATATGACGAACAATATCACGGGGGATGTACAACTTCTGAGATATTGGGAGTGATATCATCCTCTCCCTTCTGGAAGTTAGGGACTATATCACAGGGATAGTGTACACCCTCTGAGATGTTGGGACTAATATCATCCTCCCGCCCACTGGATAATAAAAACCATATCACAAGGGGCGTGTACACACACTTCGATATTGGTATGAATACCATCCTCTCCTTCTTTGGATATTCGGTGCCATATTTCAGGTGGGGTATACACCACCTGCAATATTGGCAGTAATATGATTTTCTCTCCCCCTGGATATCAGAAACAATATCACAGGGGGTTGTAAACAACCCCTGCGATATTTGGAGTAATATCATCGTCTCCCCTCACGATTATTAAGAGCAATATCGTAGGGGTGGAGGATGTACACCTCCTTTCATATTTGATATCATCCTCTTCCCCCATGGATATTAGGAACAATATCAGGAAGGGATGTACAGACCCTGTGACCTTTGCTGTCATAGAATTGTCTCTCCCCTAGATATTAGGAAAAAATGTCACTGGGGATGTGAACAGCCCTGCAATATTGAGAGCAGTATCATCCCCTCCCCCCTTGCATATTGGGAACAACATCACAGGTGGGGTGTACTGCGTCTGTGATATTGGGAGTGAAATTTTCCTCTCTTCCCCTGGACATTAGGAAGGGTATCAGAGGGGGAGGGTGTACATTCCCTTTCGATATTCAACGTAACCTTATCCTCTCACTCCCAGGGTATTCAGAACAATATTACAGGAGGGGTGTACACCTTCTGCGATATTGAGAGTGATATCATCTTCTTTCTCTCCGGATGTTAGGAACAATATCACAGGGTTGTGTACCCCCCCTGCGATATTGGGAGTCATATCATCCTCTCTCCCTGTGGATATTAGGAAGAGTATCACAGGGCTGTGGAAACCCCCTGCGGTACTGGGAGTAATATCATCCTCTCTCCCTCTGAATATAGGAAGATTTTCACAGGGGTGTGTTCACCCCCTGCGATATTGGGAGTCATGTCGTCCTCCCCAAACCTGGATGTTAGCAACGAGATCACAGAGGGGGTGTACACACCCTGCGACATTGGATGTAATATGATCCTCTCCCCACCTGGATACTGAGAAAGATACCACAGCACGGGTATACGTTTCCTACACTGTTGAGAGTAATATCGTTCTTTTCCTTTCTGGATATTAGGAAGAACATCACAGGGGTGCTGTACAATTACTTCGATATTGGGAGTAATATCATCCTCTATTTTCCTGGATATTGGGCACAAAAACACAAAAGGGTGTACAACCCCTGCGATATTGGGAGTAATAGCATACTCTCCATCCTTGGATGTTAGAAAACAATATCATCAGGGCTGAACACCCCCCGCGATAATGGGAGTCATGGTTACTCTTTCACAGGCCATTTGGAACAATATCACAGGGGATGTTTACAAACAGGGGTGGTGTACATCCCCTGTGATACTGGGAGTAACATCATTCTCTCCATCTCCAGATATTAAGAACAATATCCCGGCGGGAGGTGATACACTCCCAGTGATATTGTGAATAATGTCATCCTCTCCTTCCATGGATATTAGGAATGAAATCACAGGGGGGTGTACACCTTCTGTAATATTGGAAGCAATATCATCCTCTCCCCCGCTGGATATTAGAAAAAAATATCACTCACGGTGTACACCCACTGTGATATGAGGAGTAATATCTTCCTAGGGTATTATGAAAAATTTCACAGTCTGTACACACATGGTGTACACTCACTGTGATATTAGGAGTAATATCTACCTAGTAGATAACAAATACCATAGCAGTGTGTACACCCACTTTGATATTAGCTGTAATATTTTTCTAAGTTGTTACAAATAAGATCACAGGTTGCACCAAGATGGTGTACACTCACTGTGATATCAGGAGTCGTATCTCTGTAATATATTATGAATAATATCACAGGGTGTACACCCACTGTATTATTAGGAGTAATATCTCTGTAGGATGTTACAATTAAGATCACAGGGTGTAGAGCCACCATGATATTAGGAGCAATATCTTTCTAGGATATTACAAATAATATCACAGGGTGTACGCCCACTCTACTTTCAGGAGCAATATCTCCCTAGCATATCAAAAATCCTATCACAGGGTGTCCAATCTCTGCCTTCCAGGTTCTAAGGGATTCTCCTGCTTCAGCCTCCCGAGTAGCTAGGGTTACCAGCCACCACGCCCGGCTAATTTTTTTTTTTTTATTTTCACTGGAGACGGGGTTTCACCACGTTGGCTAGGCTGGTCTGGAACTCCTGACCTCAGGGGATCCATCAGCCTCGGCCGCCCAAAGTGCTGGGATTACAGGTGTGAGCCACGGTGCTGGG
Source organism: Homo sapiens (assembly GCF_000001405.40). NCBI lineage: Eukaryota > Metazoa > Chordata > Mammalia > Primates > Hominidae > Homo > Homo sapiens. The sequence goes on from NC_000004.12 coordinate 9,458,627, forward strand.
CCAAGACTTATAGATTCAATTCACTTGGAAACACAGCTCCCATTTTTGAGTGTGCATGTACTTTTATGAAGAAATGATGTCAGAAAACCGAAGGATGATAATAAATATGAAAAGTAACAGGCATGGGAAAAGCTCTTCCGATTGAGAACTATAAGGTTCGATTTCATTTTCAGATAATGGGGTCCTAGCTCTTTTGTCTTCCCTTTACATATTCTATATCAATGGAAGTGGTAGCACCGTGTCAGAATAAAGTAGAGTGTATTTCACAGCTTCTTAATTTCTTTCAATTAGACTGAGATCTTTTTCTTAAAGAGAGAAGGACATTGTTATTGCATTGTATTTTTTCTGAAAAAAGTAGGCCGTATTTTACTAAGATCACGGATTTGTTATATATGACGTTTCGGTCTTCTAATATTCTTCAGTGGATTTTCTCTAAAGTAGTATGTACAGAAAGCCTTGTAGAGCAAAAATGTAAATCACGTAATAATTCTGAGATTGTTGGAATTGTCACAACTGAGAAAGATTGCTGGCGGTGTATGGTCCGCAAGTGTGAAAATGTTCCTTGTGAATTGCTTGCATCCAGCATTAAGGGCAGGTTTTTATCTTTTCTTTTTCCAATCCTCTTTCCTTCTCAAGGTGTCAAAGACACACAGGGCCACGGAATCTCACAGATGTCTGAGAATTCCTCCTCCTGGGACTCTCAGAGGATCCAGAACTGCAGCCACTCCTCACTTTGCTGTCCCTGTCCCTGTCCATGTATCTGGTCACGGTGCTGAGGAACCTGCTCAGCATCCTGGCTGTCAGCTCTGACTCCCCCCTCCACACCCCCATGTACTTCTTCCTCTCCAACCTGTGCTGGGCTGACATCGGTTTCACCTAGGCCACAGTCCCCAAGATGATTGTGGACATGCAGTCGCATAGCAGAGTCATCTCTCATGCGGTCTGCCTGATACAGATGTCTTTATTAGTCCTTTTTGCATGTATAGAAGGCATGCTCCTGACTGTGATGGCCTATGACTGCTTTGTAGCCATCTGTTGCCCTCTGCACTACCCAGTCATCGTGAATCCTCACCTCTGTGTCTTCTTCGTTTTGGTGTCCTTTCTCCTTAGCTTGTTGGATTCCCAGCTGCACAGTTGGATTGTGTTACAATTCACCATCATCAAGAATGTGGAAATCTCTAATTCTGTCTGTGACCCCTCTCATCTTCTCAAACTTGCTTGTTCTGACAGCGTCATCAATAGCATATTCATATATTTCGATAGTACTATGTTTGGTTTTCTTCCCATTTCAGGGATCCTATGGTCTTACTATAAAATCGTCCCCTCCATTCTCAGGATTTCATCGTCAGATGGGAAGTATAAAGCCTTCTCCACCTGTGCCTCTCACCTAGCAGTTGTTTGCTGATTTTATGGAACAGGCATTGGCATGTACCTGACTTCAGCTGTGTCACCACCCCCCAGGAATGGTGTGGTGGCGTCAGTGATGTACGCTGTGGTCACCCCCATGCTGAACCTTTTCATCTACAGCCTGAGAAACAGGGACATACAAAGTGCCCTGCGGAGGCTACGCAGCAGAACAGTCGAATCTCATGATCTGTTCCATCGTTTTTCTTGTGTGGGTGAGAAAGGGCAACCACAGTAAATCCCTACATCTGCAAATCCTGCCCTTAAGTCACATTCTTTTTGTGGCTTGATGACATTTATTCCTTTCCGCATTTCCTTTGTGAATATTGCTTTCTTCGTTATGCCTTGAACGGAATGGGTGGCGATTCTGGGATCCTTTGTTTAGCAGAAACCTCATGACTGAATCCTCTATATCTAGGCGGCCTCTTTTAGTTTCTGAGCAATAACCCTGTCATCCAGGTGGAATCACAACCATCCTTTTATATACACGAAGTCCTCACTTCGTTTTGGAATTCCCTGAACACTGACTTTATGGAAACAATGTACAGGAGGTCCTCCAACACCATTGGTTGTTCAAAGTTGTGTAGTTATAATGTTGATGAAAAATAAGTGGTTTCACTATACACAATTTTGCTTCAAGGTGAAGTTTCCAAGAGACTTTCAAAGATGTTAAGTGAGGACATACTGTACATCAAATTCATATCCTCTTCCACAGTTCATGTGGAATGTCTTTATAAACTGCTCCTATAGAATCTATTTAGGCAGGTTATGTGGAGAGATCCACGTCGCCGTTCCTCAATCTTGGCTTTGAGTCAACTCACCTGGGGAGCTTACAAATGATGATGCCTGGGTCTCAATACCTGAGATTCTGATTACCTTGCACCTGTGTGAGTATGTGGATTTTTTTTTTTTTCTTTTAAAGCACTAGAGGTTGTTCCAATAACGAAGTTTTTAGAGGCATCAAGCTCCAATGAGTAAGAACAGAAATTAATTGTAATATGATTTCTTCAAATATTATCTTCAAATGCATTGTCCAGCAACAGCATACAAATATTTATTATGTTGTTTTTTCTTACCATTTCGCATTTTCTATTTCTTTCTTTTCCTTATTTTTTGAGTCAGAGTTTCACTCTTGTTGTCCAGGCTGGAGTTCAATGGCATGGTCCTGGCTCACTGCCACCTCTGCCTCCCGTATTCAAGCAATTCTCCTGTCTCAGCCTTCCAAGTAGCTGGGATTACAGGCATGCGCTACCATGACTGGCTATTTTTTTTTTTTTTTTTTTTGGTATTGTTAATAGAGACAATGTTTCTCCATTTTAGTCAGGCTGGTCTTGAACTCCCCACCTCAGGTGATCCGCCCGCTTCCGCCTACCAAAGTGCTGGGATTACAGGCATGAGCGACCGCGCCCAGCCACCACTTAACATTTACATTTTACATTTGCTGAAGTTATAGATTTATACATACTTTGGTTGCTGCTTTGTTGGACACTGGCTCATAAATAAGAGGGGATATAAAAAAGAATAAAATGGGCACAATATCCCTGAAGTTTCACATTCCTTGACATTTTAAAAATATTTGCTCTTCAGAAATTTGTTTCAATGAAGAAACTGTGGTATACACACCCAGTGAAGTATTATTCAACCTAAAAAGGAAGAAACTCCTCTCCATTGCAGACAAAATGGATGAGATTGCAGGTCTGTATATTAAATGAAAGAAGCCAGGCACAGAATGACAAATATTTCATGTCCTCACTTCTATGTAGGAAGGAAAAAGGAAACCTTGGCCAGGTGTGGTGGCTCACGTCTGTAATCCCAGCACTCTGGGAGGCGGAGTCGCACGGATCACTTGAGTCCAGGAGTTCGAGACCCGACTGGCGAACATGGTGAAACCCCGTCTCTACGGAAAACACAAACAATGAGCCGGGCGTGGTGACGCGTGCCTGTAGTCTCAGCTACTCCGAGGGCTGAGGCCCAAGAAGCGCTTGAACTCGGGAGGCAGAGCTTGCAGTGAGCCCGGACTGTGCCTGTGTACTCCAACCTGGGCAACAGAAAGAGACTCCATCACACACCTACACACAAAAGGAATCTCAGGAAGGTGGAAAGTATAAAGGTGGTTAGCAGACGCTAGGAAGAAAAGGGCTGGGATAGGGAATGAAGACAAGTGGATAATTGGGTCCCAAAATACAGAAAGATGGAATAAGTGAGTTCTAGTTTTTGATAGTATAGTATGAAAATTTTAGTTCACAAGAATTGCTTGCATATTTGCAGATGCTTTGGTAAGAAGCTTCCTAACTTTCTCATTATGCTGGTTTTTAAGCTCTTCTCTTTCTGCTCTTGAAATCATGCTGGTTTTTTGTTTTTTATTTTTATTTTTTGTTTTGAGATGGAGTTTCGCTCTTGTTGCCCAGGCTGGAGTGTCATGGTGCAATCTTGGCTCACCGCAACCTCTGCCTCCTGGGTTCAAGCGATTCTCCTGCCTCCAACTCCCGAGTAGCTGGGATTGCAGGCATGCGCCAGCACGCCCAGCTAATGTTGTATTTGTAGTAGAGACGGGGGTTTCTCCCTGTCGGTCAGGCTGGTCTTCAACTCCTGACCTCAGGTGATCTGCCCGCCTCGGCCTCCCAAAGTGCTGGGATTACAGGCATGAGCGACCGCGCCCGGCCCATGCTATATCCTTATCTGTTTTCTGTTGCTGTTTGTTTGTTTTGGAGACCAGAAATAACTTCTCACCTATATGTTCACATGATACTTCACATGAGTGCTAAGAAAGCTCATTGGTGGTAAAGCAGCCTTTTCAAGAAATGGTGTTGGAGAAACTTGATTTCCACATGCAGAAGAATGAAGGTGGACCCTATGTCACACCAGGAGCAAAAATTAACACAAACTGGATCAGAGACCTCACCCCAAGCGCTAAAAATATCATACACCTAAAAGAAAACATTGGCCACGCTTTCATGACATCAGATTGGGCAATGTTCTCTGTGACATGACACCAAAAGCATAGGCAACAAAAGAAAATTAGATTCCTTGGATTACATCTAAATGGCAGACACTTTTGTGCAGCAAAAAACACTGCAAACTGAGTGACAAGATAACCCATGGATTAGGAAAAAGATTTGCAAAGCATATATCTGAAAAGAGGCTGATAGCCATCATATATAAAGAACAGCTAGAACTAAACAACAAGAAACCCAAAGCATCCCATCAGCAATGGTCAGAAGTCTCGAGTAGACGTGTCCCTAAAGAAGATATCACAATGGCCAATAAGCATCTAAAATGATGTTCAAAATCACTCATCATAGGGAAGCGCAAATCAAACCAAGAATGTGATACCACACATTAGGATGGATGTGATAGACAAACAGGCATTGGTGAGACTAGAGGGAAGTAGGAATGCTCGAATCTGATCGGAGGGAATGTAAAACCGTGAAGGAATGGGGAAAATAGTATGGCATGTACTGGAAAAATTAGAAAAAGAATGATCAGATGTTCCCACAGTTTCATTTGTTGGTACCTACCAAAAAGAATTAGAAGCCAGGAGTGGAAGACAGATTTGTGTACACCCATATTCATAGCAGTATTATTCACAACAGCCAAAATGTGGAAGCAACCCAAGGGTTCGTGGACAGATGAATGAAAAAGCACACTGTAGTTCCTTCATACAATGGAAGACTATTCAGCCTTCAAAAAGCAGGCACTTCTGGCCAGTGCGGTGGCTCACGCCTGTAATTGCAGCGTCTTGGAAGACCGAGGTGGGCGGATCACCTGAGGTCAGGAATTCAAGACCAGCCTGGCCATCTTGGTGAAACCCTGTCTCTACTGAAAATGCAAAAAAAGAGACGAGCGTGGTTGCGTGTGCCTATAGTCCCAACTATTCGGGAGGCTGAGGCACAAGAATAGCTGGAACCCAGGAGGCAGAGGTTGCAGTGAGCCCAGATTGTGCCACTGCACTCCAGCCTGTGCGACAGAGTGAAACTCCATGGAAACACAAAACAAAACAAAGTCAAACGAACAAACAAAAAACAAAAAAACAAAAAAAAAAACAGAGAGGCACTTCTGACGCAGACCGCAACATGGATGAACCTTGAAAACATTATCGTCAGTGAAATAAATGAATCCCAAAAGGATAAACACGCCCAGGCTCAGTGGCTCCCACCTGTAACCCCAGCACTTTGGAAGGCTGAGCCAGGCGGATCACTTCAGGTCAGGAGTTCGAGACCAGCCAGGCCAATATGGTCTCTATTTAAAATACAAAAATTATCTGGGCGTGGTGGCGCACGCCTGTAATCCCAGCTACTCGGGAGGCTGAGACACAAGAATCGCTTGAAACCAGGATGTGGAAGTTGCAGTGAGGCGACATCACGCCACTGCACTCCAGGCAGGGTGACAGAGAAAGACACTGTTTCCAAAACAAAAAAATTAAACACGGTATGATTCCACTTATCTATCAAGTGTCTAGAGTAGTTAAACTCATAGAGTTGCAAACTAGAACGGTGGCCCCCGGGGGGGACGAGAAAGAGGAGTGGAGAGCTTGGTGAATGGGTGCAATTTCCATTTTGAAAGATAAAAATGTTCCGCAGACGATGACGGTGATGGTTGCTAAACAATGTGAACGTACTTACTGTCATGAAACTGTAAACTGAAAAGCGTGGAAACAGTAAATGTTTATACTGGCCATTCTATATGAACTAATATATATTTATAATTTTTAATATTTATACGTGGTATATTTTCTCATAATAAAAGATGAAAATTAAAGCAGTTGGATGTTTAAAAAGAAAAGAAAGAAGTGAAGAATACACACTAGCTTTCTCCTGATTAGAGGAAGAGCCCCAAAGCTTCTATGGACACTCACTTTTCTCTTCTTCTTGCATTATTATAAGGACATCCTTAGAGGTTGGGGAACTTGGGTGACTTTGGCTAATAAGGAGCTCTGTGCCTTGAACCCCCCAGGCCACAGAATAGTAAATACTCAGTCTGTGCGTCCAGCCCTGCAATGTGAGGTCCAGTCCTGTGGGCTCCACAGACATCACCTGTATCAAGAGGCTCACGTCTCACCCTGTCTTCTTGCCAGCCTTGAGGACAGAGCCTGAGCCTCCATGGTGCACCACACAGGGAAGACAGTGGACCTGTTCTCCGTGGTCATGGCCCAGCAGAGGGGAAGGACAGTTCAGTGAGTGTAGGCAAAAGAAACAGAGATCAGACTCTTACAGTGTCTATGTAGAAAGGAAAGACATAAGAGACTCCATTTTGAGAAAGACCTGTACTTTCAACAATTGCCTTGCTGAGATGCTGTTAATGTGTAGCTTTGCCCCAGCCACTTTGACCCAACCTGAAGCTCACAAAAACATGAGTTGTATGAAATCAAGGTTTAAGGGATCTAGGGCTGTGCAGGACGTGCCTTGTTAACAAGATGTTTCCAAGCAGTATATTTGGTAAAAGTCATCGCCATTCTCTAGTCTCAATAAACCAGGGGCACAATACACTGTGGAAAGCCTCAGGGAGCCCTGCCCTTGAAAGCGGCATATTGTCCGAGGTTTCTCCCCATGTGATAGTCTGAAAAGTGGCCTCGTGGGAGGAGAAAGACCTGACCGTCCCCGAGCCCGACACCCGTAAAGGGTCTGTGCTGAGGTGGATTAGTCAAAGAGGAAAGCCTCTTGCAGTTGAGAGAGAGGAAGGCCACTGTCTCCTGCCTTCCCCTGGGAACTGAATGTCTCAGTATAAAACCCGATTGTACGTTTGTTCAATTCTGAGATGAGGGAAAAACCGCCCTATGGCGGGAGGTGAGACATGTTTGCAGCAATGCTGCCTTGTTATTCTTTACTCCACTGAGATGTTTGGGTGGAGAGAAACATAAATCTGGCTTACGTACATGTCCTGTCATAGTACCTTCCCTTGAACTTCATTATGACATAGATTCTATTGCTCACATGTTCGTTGCTGACCTTCTCCTTATTATCACCCTGCCCTCCTACTACATTCCTTTTTGCTAAAATAATAATAATAATCAGTAAAACTGAGGGAACTCAGAGGCTGGTGCCAGTGCAGATCCTTGGTATCCTGAGCGCTGGTCCCCTGGGCTCACTGTTGTTTCCCTATACTTTGTCTCTGTGTATTATTTCTTTCCTCAGTCTCTCATCCCACCTGACTAGAAATACCCACAGGTGTGGAGGGGCAGGCCACCCATTCAAGTGAGTGCTGAGGGAGGGTCGGGAGCCTTGTTTGGTTTCCTCCTCCTCAGGACAAACAGGAGAGTGCGGTGGGCAGATGGGAGGAGACCAATGTGCAAACTGTCCTCTCAGCAGACTGTGCAGTTTCTGTTGTTGGTTGTGCTGGGGGTCTCAGAAATCTTATTCAAAATTTTGCTTTCCTCCCCCACTGGTTGTGCTTTTCATAGACATTTCACTCATGATAGCAGGGAATCAGTCCCTCTAAACTATTCCCTAAGAACAACAAAAAGATTATGTAGGTGATGATGAGGATAAAGAGGATGACGACAGACACCATGGCATCATGAACCCTTACTGAGGGCTTCCTAAAGGCCAGGCTCTGAGCTCTGTGCTCTATGCAGCTTGTTTCATTTCATCTGCGTAGTCTCCACGTTATTAGTGCACATTTCAGGATGATTTTACAGACGAGAAAAGGAGCAACGGCTTTCCATAGAACTCGTACTAGATCATGAAGTCAAAAAGGGTGAAGTCCAATTTGAACCAGGCAGTCTAAGTCCAGACACATGGCATTTGGCCAGTCCTCTCCCTGCAACCAACCTGCCTTCTCAAATCCTCGTCACTCAGGCGGAAGCCCCTGCTCATTGTTCCCTTCCCTTTGGGGGTTCCTTGTAGACCACAGCTAGACTAGTGGGTGCCACAATCACTGTGTCAAGTACGGAAAGGGCAGCTGAGATCACATCGAGGATTCCAGAAAGAATTGGCACAGGATCATTCGGGGCGCATCTCTCCCTTGCCCCTGTTCCTGGCTTTCCTTACAGCTCTCGACTTCCTCAAAGGAGTCATCAATTCGGAGTTTGGCTTCCATTCCTATTGAGGAAGCTGGAAAGTGTTTCAAAAATGCTCCTCCGATGTGCCTGTGGTTAAGACCTCTGAGCTCTGCTTAAAACTTTTGGAAGCTGGGAGCGGTGGCTCACGCCTGTAATCCCAGCCCTTTGGGAAGCTGAGGCAGGCGAATCACAAGGTCAGGAATTCGAGACCAGCCTGGCCAACATGGTGAAACCACGTCTCTACTCAAAATAGAAAAAAATGAGCCAGGCGTAGTGGCGGGCGACTGTCATCTCAGCTAATTGGCAGGCTGAGGCAGGAGAATAGCCTGAACCTGGGATGCAGAGGTTGCGGTGAGCTGAGATCACTCCACTGCACTCCAGCCTGGGCAACGGAACGAGACTCCATCTCAAAACAACAAAAACAAAAACAAAAACAAAAAAAACCCACAACTTTTTGAGAGTTGGAAGACCAGGAAGTATAGTACCTGGGACTTCGAGTCTGGCCATGAATTTTGAATACCACCCTTTCCACTTCTCTGTATGGCAAAGGGTGAGATGTCCATCCTCTGAGACTCAGCACTCTCATCTGACTTGATTTCCAGTTGATCCGATGGAAGTGAGTGATGATTAAGCTGATCGTGGGTGCCCGCTGCGTGATCTCTAGGTGACGGATGCCTAAAGTAAAGGCAAAGCCAATTTTAGATACATTCCTTAAGATTTTCAGCTTCAACTCCACACAATTCAACGGAAATATCCCCTGACCTGAAGTTCTGCTTTCCCTGCATTCCAGACAGCACATTTTGTTTTGTCCTTCTCTCAGTAAGGACTGAGTACTGTGAGAGGAACAAGTGAGTCTCTTTGGTTTCTGATTCCCCACAGCCTATATCGTGCTTGGCAGATAGGAGACAGCAAAAGTCAAATATATGTTAATGATTGAATTGACACTTCCTTGCTTCACCAAAATTGGCTGTCATCAGCGTGACTTTGACTTACTTGATTCTTTTTGTTTTTTGTTTTTTGAGACGGAGTTTTGCTCTCATTGCCCAGGCTGGCGTGCAGTGGTGTGATTTCGGCTCACAGTAGTCTCTGCCTCCCAGGTTCAAGCCATTCTCCTGCCTCAGCCTCCCGAGTAGCTGGGACTACAGGCGTGCGCCGCCATATCGGGCGAAGTTTTTGTATTTTTAGTAGAGGCGGGGTTTCACCATGTTGGCCAGGATGGTCTTGATCTCCTGACCCAGTGATCCGCCCTCCTTGGCTTCCCAAAGTGCTGGGATTACAGGCGTGAGCCACCGCGTCCGGCCAAACTTTCTGATGAAAATTCTAAGTCCACCTAAGCTAAGGACAGGAGTTAGAGCTTCCATGAATTTTAAAACAAGACCCATCGATTTGAGTAAGCAATTACTCTCTCGAAGGAGAAAAGTCCGAAAACACAATGATGAAATCACTAGGACCTAACTGGCATGTGGAACTATTTTCTGCTGATGAACTATCAACTTTCATTTCATTTCCAGATGGCATGGTCTGAGCTGTTATACAGTGTTTACAAATGTTCTAAATCAAGGGAATTTGTATCAATCTAGTAGAATAAATAAAATATTTGAGTTCTTAATTTCATTTAATTAGGATAACCTTTTTCTTAAAGTGAAGACAATGGTTTTATTACATCTTGTTCTTCAGAAAAGATAGGCTGTATTTTCTAGCAATTACGAATTTGTTATATATGATGATCTGGTTCTTGGAACGTTCTTGAAGCTAGTGTCTCTAAGGCAGGTGTGTATAGCAAGACGTGAATAACACAGCAATCGATGTTGAAAGCATTATAAGGCAATTGAGCTTGTCAGAACTACAAAATATTGCTGAGTGTGGATTGCTCTGAAATCTGAAAACATTACTTGTGAATTGCTTCTATCTAAAATGCAGACATAATGCTGGGTATTGGTTTACTTGTTTCCGATTTTTCAACCCTCTTTTCCAGGCAAAAGAGGGTTGTATCCAAACGATACAGACCCACAGAGTCTAACAGATGTCTCTATATTCCTCCTCCTCGAACTCTCAGAGGATCCAGAACTGCAGCCGGTCATCGCTGGGCTGTTCCTGTCCATGTGCCTGGTCACGGTGCTGGAGAAACTGCTCATCATCATGGCAGTCAGCCCTGACTTCCACCTCCACACCCCCATGTACTTCTTCCTCTCCAACCTGTCCTTGCCTGACATCGGTTTCACCTCCACACGGTCCCCAAGATGATTGTGGACATCCAGTCTCACAGCAGAGTCATCTCCTATGCAGGCTGCCTGACTCAGATGTCTCTCTTTGCCATTTTTGGAGGCATGGAAGAGAGACATGCTCCTGAGCGTGATGGCCTACGACCAGTTTGTAGCCATCTGTCACCCTCCATATCGTTCAGCCATCTTGAACCCGTGTTTCTGTGGCTTCCAAGATTTGTTGTCCTTGTTTTTTTTTCTTTTTTTTTTTTTTTCCTCAGGCTTTTAGACTCCCAGCTGCATAACTTGATTGCCTTACAAATGACCTGCTTCAAGGATGTGGAAATTTCTAATGTCTTCTGGGAACCTTCTCAACTCCCCCATCTTGCATGTTGTGACACCTTCACCAGGAACATCAACCTGTATTTCCCTGCTGCCGTATTGGGTTTTCTTCCCATCTCGGGGACGCTTTTCTCTTACTGTAAAATTGTTTCCTCCATTCTGAGGGTTTCATCATCAGGTGGGAAGTATAAACCTTCTCCACCTGTGGGTCTCACCTGTCTGCTGTTTGCTGATTTTATGGAACAGGCGTTGGAGGGTATCTCGGTTCAGATGTGTCATCTTCCCCGAGAAAGAGTGCAGTGGCCTCAGTGATGTATACGGTGGTCACCCCCATGCTGAACCCCTTCATCTACAGCCTGAGAAACAGGGATATGAAAAGTGTCCTGCGGCGGCCGCACAGCAGCACGGTCTAATCTCAATATCTTCTTATCTGTTCCATTCCTTTTGTAGGGTGGGTTAAAAAAGGCAGCAAGGTCAAATAAGAATGACATCACAGGGTGAACACCCACTGCGACATTACGAGTAATAGCTCTCTAGGATATAGAATATACTGTCACAGAGTATACACACATGGGGTACACCCACTGTGATATTAGAAGCAATATCTCCCTAAGTATGATGAAAAATATCACAGGGTGTGCACACTGTGTGATATGAGGAGTCATATTTACCCTGGATATCACGACTCATATCAAGGGTGTACACACACCGTGTACACGCACTGTGATATCAGGAGTTGCATCTCCCCAGGATATTATGAATAATATTACAGGGTATACACTATGTGTGAACATCCACTGTGATATTTGAAGTCATATCTCTCTATGAGATTACAAATAATATCAAAGTGTGTACACCCCTGTGACATATTAGGAGTAACATCCTTCTAGGGTATTGCAGATAACATCACAAGGTGCACAACTTCTGTGACCTTTTGCGCACACTTTGTGCCATTCAAGGAAACATCCCCCTAGGATATTACGAATAATGACACAGGCGGTTGACACACATGGTGTACATGTCCTGTGCCATCAGGAGTAATATTCCCCTAAGATATTATGAATAATATCACAGCAGATGTACACATATGGTGTTCACCCCATGTGACATTAGGAGGAACATGCCCCTAGGATATTAGGAATAGTATCACAGGCGTTGAATACGCATGGTATACACCCCAGGTGACATTGAAAGTAACATCCCCCTAGAATTTTATGAATAATATCACAGGGAGTACACCCCGTGTGACATTAGGAGTAACAATCCCCGAGGATATAACGAATAATGTCAGGGGGCGTACAGACATTGTGACCTTAGTGGTAACATCTCTTTAGGATATTACCAATAATATCACAGGGTGTCCACTGACCGTCATATTAGGAGTCCCATTTTCCTAGGATATTATGGATAATATCACAGGAGGTGTTCACACACAATGTGTACACCATGGGTGTACACCCAATGTGATATTTGAAGTCATATGTCCCTAGGATCTTACGAATATTATCAAAGGGTGTACACCCTATGTGACATTAAAAGTAACATCCCTTTTGGATATTCCGAATGCTATCACAGGGTGTGATATTAGGAGTGTGATATTAGGAGTAAGCTCTTCCTAGGATAACCCATGTGATATTAGGAGTAGCCCCTTCCTAGGATATTACGAATAACATCACAGGGTGTACACCCCTTTGACTTTAAAAGTAACACCCCCCTAGAATATTGCAATAATATAACAGGGTGTACAACCCCTGTGACATTACGAGTAACATCTCTCTAGGATATTTCAAATGATGTCACTGGGGGCACACCCTCTGTGATATTAGCAGCAACATCTTTCTAGGAGATTACGAATGATATCACAGGATGTACACTCACTGTGATATTAGAAGGAATATCTCCCTAGGATATAAGCTATCACATCACAGAGTGTACACACATGGTGTACACCCACTGTTTTATTAGAAACAATATCTCCCTATGATAGCATGAAAAATATCACAGGGTGTACCCTCTGTGGGATACTACAAGTAATGTTTACAATGGATATTACAAATAATATCACAGGATGTACACACATGGGGTACACCCACTGTGATATTAGGAGTTATATCTCCCTAAGATATTACATATAATATCCCAGTGGGTGTAGTCCATGTGTGTACACCCACTGTGATCATTAAAGAAATATCTCTGTATAAGATTACAAATAATATCGAAGGCTGTACAGCCCCTGTGACATTAGGAGTAACATCCCCCTGCAATATTGGGAGCAATATCAGACGGAGTACACCCCTGTAACGTTAGGGGTAATATCCCCCCCAGAATATTACTCATAATATCACAAGGTGTACACACATTGTGACATTAGTAGTAATATCCACCTAGCATATTTTCAATAATATCACAGAAGGAACACACCTGTGACATTAAGAGCGACATCGCCCTAGAATAGAAAGAATACGATCACAGGATGTACACCCCCTGTGATATTAGAATCATCTCACCAGAATTTTACAAATAATGTCACAGACTGTTATCTTCTGTGACATTAGGAGTATAGACCCTTGGGAAATTATGAATACTATCAGAGGGTGTACACCCCTGTGACAGGAGTAACATCCTTCTAGAATATCATGAATAATATTACAATGTGTAGAAACCCTGTGTCATTAACAGTACAATTGCCCTAGGATATTATGAAATAGAACACAGGCAGTACACGCCGTGTGACATTAGAAGTCACATTACCGAAGGATATAACGAATAATATCAGAGAATGTACAAGCATTGGGACATCAGTAGTCACATCTCTTTAGGATAATATGAACAATATCAAAGGGTGTACACGCATTGTGAAATTAGTAGTGAACTCCCGCTGGGATATTACGAATTTTATGACAGGGTCTACACGCCCTGTTACGTTAGTAGTTACATTTTCCTAGAATATGACGAAGAATATGAAAGTGTGTACAGGACCTGTGATTTACGAGTAATATTTCTATAGAAGATTACACGTAATATAACTGTGTGTACACCCCGTGTGACGTTAGGAGGCACATCCCACAAAACTATAAAGAAAAATTTCACAAGGTGTGCAACATCTGTGACATTAAAAGTAACATGTCCCTAGAATATGAGGATAATATCGCAGAGTGTCCACCCTCGGTGATATGAGGAGTGACATCTTATAAGGGTAACACGAGCAATTTCACAAGGTGTACAAACCCTGTGACAAAAGGAGTGACATCCCTCCAGCACATTCCGAATCATACCAAAGGGAAAATACTCCGTGTGACAATAAAATCAACCTCCACTTAGGAGATTAAGAATAACAGCATAAGCTGTACAAACATTGTGACATTATTATTAACGTCCAGCTAGGGTATTGTGAATAATATCAGAGTGTGTAGAGAATTCTGACATCAGGATTCAAATTTCCGTACAATATCACGAATAATATCGAAGGGTGCATACCCCCTGGGAATTAAACAGTCACACCTTCCTAGAATATGGAAAATAATGTCCCAGGGTGTTAACCAAGAGTGGCAGTAGAGAAAACATACTAGGAGAAAGGGAATAATAATACCCCTCTCCACCCGCTGGACATTAAGAGCCACATCGCAGGGGGGCGAGGGTGTCCCCCGCGATGCAGGGAGTAATATCACCCTTCTCTCCCCTTCTGGATATTACCAGCCACATAGCAGGGGGGAGACGGTGACATCGCGTTGCAGGGAGAAATATCACCAGCCTCTCGCCTCGGGATATTCCGATTCACATCGCAAAGGGGCGCGTCGCCACCCTCGATGCGAGGAGTAAAGAGCCAGCCAGCCCCTCTTGCCCCCCTGGTTCTTGGGACCCCCATGGCAGAGGGGCAGGGCGCCACCCGCACTGCGGGGAGAAAAGAGCCAGCCAGCCCCGCTTGCCCCCCTGGCTCTTGGGACCCCCATGGCAGAGGGGCCGGGACCCCCCCGCGCTGCGGGGAGTAAAGAGCCAGCCAGACCCTCTTGCCTCCCTGACTCTTGGGACCCCCATGGCAGGGGGGCCGGGTGCCCCCCGTGCTGCGGAGAGTAAAGAGCCAGCCAGCCCCTCTTGGCCTCTGGCTCTTGGGAACCCCGTGGCATGGGGGCCGGGCGCCCCCCGCGCTGCGGGGAGTAAAGGGACAGCCAGCCCCTCTTGCACCCCTGGCTCTTGAGACCCCCATGGCAGGGGCGCGGGGCGCCCCCCGCGCTGCGGGGAGTAAAGAGCCAGCCTGCCCCTCTTGCCCCCTTGGCTCTTGGGAGCCCCATGTCGGGGGGGGGGGCGCCCCGCTTGCTGCGGGGAGTAAAGAGCCAGCCAGCCCCTCTTGCTCCCCTCGCTCTTGGGACCCCCATGGCAGGGGGCCCGTTCGCCGCTCGCGCTGCGGGGAGTAAAGAGCCAGCCAGCCCTTCTTGCCCCCCTGACTCTTGGGAACCCCATGGCAGGGGGGCGGGGCGCACCCTGCGCTACAGGGAGTAAAGAGCCAGCCAGCCCCTCTTGCCCCCCTGGCTCTTGGGACCCCCATGGCAGGGGGGCCGGGCGTCCCCCGCGGTACGGGGAGTAAAGAGCCAGCCAGCCCCTCTTGCCCCCCTGGCTCTTGGGACCCCCATGGCAGGGGGGTGGCGACCCCCCTCGCTGCGAGGAGTAAAGAGCAAGCCAGCCCCTCTTGCCATTCTGGCTCTTGAGACCCCCATGGCAGGGTGGCCGGGCGCCCCCCGCCCTGGGGAGAGAAAAGAGCCATCCAGCCCTTCTTGCCCACCTGGTTCTTCGGACCCCCATGTCAGGGGCGCGGGGCGACACCGCGCTGCGGGGAGGAAAGAGCCAGCCAGCCCCTCTTGCCCCCATGGCTCTTGGGACCCCCATGGCAGGGGTGCGCGGCGCCCCCCGCGCTGCGGGGTATAAAGAGCCAGCCTGACCCTCTTGACCCCTGGCTCTTGGGACCCCCATGACAGGGGGGCGGGGCGAACCCCGCGCTGCGGGGAGTAAAGAGCCAGCCAGCCCTTCTTGCCCCCCTGGATCTTGGGACCCCCATGGCACGGGGGCGGGGCGCCCCGTGCGATGCGAGGAGTAAAGAGCCAGCCAGCCCCTCTTGCCCCCCTGGCTCTTGGGACCCCCATGGCAGGGGGGCGGGGTTACCCCCGCGCTGCTGTGAGTAAAGAGCCAGCCAGACCCTCTGGCCACACTGGTTCTTGGGACCCCCATGGCAGTGGGGCGGGGCTCCCACCGCGCTGTGGGGAGTAAGAGCCAGCCAGCCCCTCTTGCCCCCCTGGCTCCTGGGACCCCCATGGCAGGGGGGCGGGGCGCACCCCGCGCTGCGAGGAGTAAACAGCCAGCCTGCGCCTCTTGCCCCCCTGGCTCTTGGGACCGCCATGGCAGGGGGGCGGGGCGGCCCCCGCGCTGTGGGGAGTAAAGAGCCAGCCAGCCCCACTTGCCCCCCTGGCTCTTGGGATCCCCATGTCAGGGGGGCGGGGCGCCCCCGGCGCTGCGTGGAATAAAGAGCCAGCCAGCCGCACTTGCCCCCCTGGCTCTGTGGACCCCCATGGCAGGGGGTCCGGGCGCCCTCCGCGCTGCCGGGAGTAAAGAGCCAGCCAGCCCCTCTTGCCCCTCTGGCTCTTGGACCAACCATGGCAGGGGGGCGGGGCGCCCCCCTCGCTGCGCGGAGTAAAGAGCCAGCCCCTCTTGCCCCCCTGGCTCTTAGGACCCGCGGTGGACTCGCAGCCTGTTTATCATGTTGTGAGTAATATCACCTCCCCCTCTGAAGATTTTGAGCCTTTTCACTGACCGGTGTACATCCTTTGTGTACAGAGGTTGTACACTCGTCTGTATTTGGTGTCATATCATTCTCTTCCTCCCTTAATATTAGGAACAGTATCACAGGGGTGTTTCTACTCCCTGCGATATCGGGTGTCATGTCCTTCTCTCCCACGTTGCAATTAGAAACAATATCATTGGGGTCGTGTCCACCTTCTGTGATATTGAAAGTAATATTATCCTCTTCTTTCCAGGATCATGGAAACGATATCCTTGGAGGTTTCCAATTTCTGCCATATATGTAGTCATATCACCTCCTCCTCCTTGGAATATTTTTAAGGACCATCTCACTCGAGTGTGTAGACTTCCTGCGATGTTGGGAGTAATACATTCTCTTCTTCCGTGAATATTAGGAGCAAAATAACCGGGTGGATGCACACCCAGTGCTATATTGGGAGTAACGTCATACTCCACCCCATGGAGATTATATTCGGATCAATATCACCGGCTGGGTGTTCTCCTACTGCGATATTGAACGTAATATCATGCTCTCTCCCTACCTGGACATTAGGAACAATATCACAGGTGGGTGTACAACCACTGAGGTAATAGGGCGTAATATTAGTATGAATTATTCCTCATTTATTATTAACATGAATATGAATGACCGATATTAATATTCATATTAATTAATAATTGCTAATAAAGGTTTTCCCATTATTTATATTAATATTAATTATTAGTGGCTAATATGACTGTTTTCTAATGAGTAAAGTCAATATCAGTTACTAATATCAGGCGTCATTAATCATTAATATTAATCATTTATTGTTATCCTTAGTGTAACTATTTAATATTAATTATCGTTATTATCGGTATTGATTTTGAAAATTATATTATCGGTTATTAATGTTGATAATTATTTTTGTGAATAATTGAGATTATTAATTGCGTTAATTCGCATTGCGCCATTGCACCCCTCCCCCGGCAGCTGGTTTGCGACGCCAAACCGGGACACAAATGCCCCTGAGAGCAGCGGTATGCTGTGATAGAGGAGGATGGTCACGTGGTGCAGACGCGTGTTTTTGGGAACCAGCCCTTCACCTGTGTCGACCTTCTCAACTGGAAAAACAATACACCGCCCTATACCGAAAAGCCAGAAGCCCTAATTGATTTGCTCCAAGCTGTTATCCAGACCCACAACCCCACCTGGGCTGATTGGCACAAGTTGCTCATGTTCCTCTTTAACAGCGAAGAAAGGCGGAGAGTCCTCCAAGCAGCAACTGAGTGGCTAGAGGAACATGCACCAGCTGATTATCAAAACCCCCACGAGTATGGAAGGACTCAGTTGCCAGGAACCGACCCCCAGTTGGACCCACATGAAAGAGAGGATATGCAAATGCTAAACCGAGACAGGGAAGCTCTCTTGGAAGGATTAGTGAGGGGAGCTCAGAAGGAAACAAACGTTAACAAGCTCTCTGAGGTCATTCAGGGAAAAGAAGAAAGTCCGGCACAATTCTACGAGAGACTGTGTGAGGCCTACGGTATGTATACTCCCTTTGATCCCGATAGCCCTGAAAATCAGCGCATGATTCACATGGCTTTAGTCCGTCAAAGTGCAGAAGACATGAGAAGAAAACTGCAGAAACAGGCTGGGCTTGCAGGGATGAATCCATCCCAATTACTAGAAAGAGCTAGCCAGGTGTTTGTAAACAGGGATGCAGTAAGCCATAAGGAAAACAGCAAAGAGAATGGAGGTCAGGCCCGGTGACAAGCCGACCTGTTTGTCAGCTCCAGCAATCACAGGGCCCCCCCAAAGAGGCAAGGGAAGGAGGGCCCTGGGAAAGAAAATCAGCTTGGCTGTCAGAGTTTGCAGTGTAACCAGTGTGCTTACTGTAAAGAAATAGGACAGTGGAGGAACAAATGCCTTCAGCTCAAAAGAAAACAAGGTGACTCAGAGCAGGAGGCCCCGGACAAGGAGGAAGGGGCCCTGCTCAACCTGGCAGAAGGGTTCTTGGACTGAGGGAGAGCGGGCTCAAGCGTCCCCAAAGAGCCTCTGGTCAGAATGACAGTCAGGGGTGGAGACATTGACTTTCTTGTAGATAGCAATGCTGAACATTCGCTGGTAACCGCCCCAGTCGCCCCCTTATCCAAAAAAACTATTGACGTCATCAGAGCCACAGGGGATTCAGCAAAGCAAGCTTTCTGCTTGTCTCGGACTTCTACTGTAGGAGGACATAGAGTCATTCATCAGTTTTGGTACATGCCTGACTGTCCCTTGATCTTTTTGGGAATGGACTTGCTCAGCAAGCTGAGAGCCACTATCTCTTTGACAGAGCATGGCTCTTTGCTGCTAAAGTTTCCCGCCACGGGAATCATTATGACCCTTATGGTCCCCGGAGAGGAGGAATGGAGACTTTTCTTAACTGAGCTGTGCCAAGAGAGAAGACCAGCTCTGGCTAAGCGGTGGCCAAGAGTACGGGCAGAAGACAACCCTCCGGGATTGGCCAGTTAAGACTGGGGCCCAGCCGGTGAGGCAGAAACAGGATCCGGTCCCCAGAGAAGCCCTTCAAGGTATCCAGGTCCGTCTCAAGCACCTAAGAACTTTTGGAATTATTGTTCTTTGTCAGTCTCCACGGAACACTCCCCTCCTGCCTGTTCCCAAGCCACGGACCAAGGACTACCGGACGGTACAGGATTTGCGCTTGCTTCATCAAGCTACGGAGACTTTCCATCCAACAGTACCTAACCCGTCCACATTGTTGGGGTTGCTGCCAGCTGAGGACAGCTGGTTCTCCTGCTTGGACCTGAAAGACGCTTTCTTTCCTATCAGATTAACCCCTGAGAGGAAGAAGCTGTTTGCCTTTCAGTGGGAAGATCCGGAGTCAGGTGTCTCTACTCAGTACACTTGGACCGGGCTTCCCAAAGGGTTCAAGAACTCCCCCACCATCTTCGGGGAGGCGTGGGCTCGAGACATCCAGAAGTTTCCCAGCGGAGACATAGGCTGCATGTTGCTCCAGTAGGTTGATGACCTTCTGCTGGGACACCCCACGGCAGTCGGGTGTGCCAAGGGAACAGATGCCCTACACCGGCACCTGGAGGACTGTGGATAGAAGGTGTCCAAGAAGAAAGCTCAGATCTTCTGGCAGCAGTTACGTTCCTTGGGATTGACTATCTGACAGGGGTCGGAACGCAGCCCGGGATCAGAATGAAAGCAGGTCATTTGCAATCTAGCGGAGCCTAAGAGCATAAGGCAAGTGAGGGAATTCTTAAGACTGTGGGGTTTTGTAGACTGTGGATCCCAAATTTTGCAGTATTAGCCAAGACTTTGTATGAGGTCACAAAGGGAGCGGGGACCGGGAAACTTTGGAATGAGGATCCCAACAACAGCAAGTCTTTCATGAGTTAAAGGAAAAACTTCTGGCAGCCCCAGCCCTGGGGCTACCCGATCTGACAAAGCCTTTTCCATTGTATGCATCAGAGAGAGAAAAGATGGCATCTGGACTTTGAACCCAAACTGTGGGGCCCAGGCCGAGGCCGGGGGCCTACCTCCCTAAACAACTGGACGGGGTTTCTAAAGGATGGCCCCCCTGTTGGAGGTCCTTGGCGCAACTGCCCTGCTAGTACAAGAAGCAAATAAGCTGACTCTTGGGCAGAACCTGAACATAAAGGCCTCCCATGCTGTGGTGACTTTAATGAATGCTAAAGGACATCACTGGCTAATGAATGCCAGACTCACCAAGTACCAAAGTTGGCTCTGTGAAAATCCCCATATAACCATTGAAGTTTGTAACAGCCTACACCCCGCCACCTTGCTCCCGCTATCAGAGAGCCCTGTCGAGCCTGATTGTGTAGAAGTGTTGGACTCAATTGACTCTAGCAGACCTGACCTCCGGGACCAGGCTTGGGCATCAGTAGACTGGGAACTATACGTGGATGGGAGCAGCTTCTTCAATCCCTAAGGAGAGAGAGGTGCAGGGTATGCAGTGATAACCCTGGACACTGTTGTTGAAGCCAGATCGTTGCCCCAGGCCACTTCAACCCAGAAAGCTGAACTCATTGCTTTCATTCGGGCCTTAGAACTCAGTGAGGGTGAGACTGTCAACATTTACACTGATTCTCGGTATGTCTTTTCAACCTTTCAAGTGCATGGAGCATGATAGAAAGAAAAGGGCCTATTGAACTCTGGGGGAAAAGACAGAAAATGTCAACAAGAAATCTTGCAATGATTAGAAGCAGTATGGAAACCCCACAAGGTGGCAGTTACGCATTGCAGAGGACACCAGCGAGCTTCCACCTTGCTGGGCTTGGGGAATTCCCGCGCTGACTCAGAGGCTCGAAAAGCAGCATCTGCCCCCTTCCGGGCATCAGTGCTCCCTCAAGCACCTGATCTTGAACCTACCTATTCTAAAGAAGAAAAGAACTTTCTCCAGGTAGAGGGAAGGACAAGTGATGGAGGAAGGATGGATTCGGTTACCAGATGGGAGAGTAGCTGCGCCACAGCTGCTGGGAGCTGCAGTTGTACTGGCTGTGCAAGAAACCACCCATCGAGGTCAGGAGTCACTGGAAAAGTTGTTAGGCCGGTATTTCTACATCTCGCCTTTGTCAGCCCTTGCCAAAACCGTGAGGCAGCGATGTGTTACCTGCTGACAGCATGATGCGAGGCAAGGTCCAGCCATTCCGCCCGGCATACGAGCTTATGGAGCAGCCCCCTTTGAAGGTCTAAAGGTGGACTTCACAGAGATGCCAAAGTGTGGAGGTGACAAGTATGTACTAGTTCTTGGGCGTAATTACTCTGGATGGGTGGAGGCCTATCCAACACGAACTGAGAAAGCTCGTGAAGTAACCCCTGTGCTTCTTTGAGATCTCATTCCTAGATTTCGACCGCCCTTAGGTATCGGCTCAGACAAGGGGCCTGCGTTTTTGGCTGCCTTGGTACAGAAGACAGCAAAGGTATTGGGGATCACACGGAAACTGCATGCTGCCTCCCAGCCTCAGCGTTCCGGAAAGGTGGAGCGGATGAATAGGACTATCAAAAATAGTACTATTGTCTTCCCCCCTGGGTATTGGAAACAACAACACAAGGTGCGTCAAACCACCTGCTACATTTGAGGGAATGTTATCCTCTCCCCCCATCCCCCGGCCCCGGATATTAGAGACAATAACACAGGGGTGATGTACACCCACTGCTTTATTGGGAGTAATATCCTCTCCCTTCCTGGATATTAGGAACAATATCACACTGTGCGTGTACGCTTGTCGCGAAATTCAGTGGAATGTCATCCTGCGCCTCCCTGGATATGACGAACAATATCACAGGGTATGTACAACTTCTGAGATATTGGGAGTGATATCATCCTCTCCCCTCTGGAAGTTAGGGACAATATCACAGGTGTAGTGTACACACTCTGGGATGTTGGGACTAATATCCTCCCGCCCACTGGATATTAAAAACCATATCACTAGGGGCGTGTACACACACTTCAATATTGGTATGAATATCATCCTCACCCTCTTTGGATATTCGGTGCCATATTTCAGGTGGAGTATACACCACCCGCAATATTGGAAGTAATATGATTTTCTCCCCCCCCCCCGGATATCAGAAACAATATCACAGGGGGTTGTGAACAACCTCTGCGATATTTGGAGTAATATCATCATCTCCCCTCATGATTATTAAGAACAATATCGTAGGGGTGGGGGATGTACATCCCCTTTCATATTAGATATCATCCTCTTCCCCCTGGATATTAGGAGCAATATCAGGAAGGGATGCACAGACCCTGCTACCTTTGCTGTCATATAATTGTCTCTCCCCCAGATATTAGGAAAAAATGTCACTGGGGATGTGAACAGCCCTGCGATATTGACAGTAGTATCCTCCTCTCCCCCGCTGCATACTGGGAACAACATCACAGGTGGGGTGTACTGCCTCTGTGATATTGAGAGTGAAATTTTCCTCTCTTCCCGTGGACATTAGGAAGGGTATCAGAAGGGGAGGGTGTACATTCCCTGTGATATTCAACGTAACCTTATCCTCTCCCTCCCAGGGTATTCAGAACAATATTACAGGAGGGGTGTACACCCTCTGGGATATTGAGAGTCATATCATCCTCTTTCGCTCTGGATATTAGGAACAATATCACAGGGTTTGTACCCCCCCCCTTGCGATATTGGGAGTCATACCATCCTCTCTCCCTATGGATATCAGTAAGAATATCAGAGGGCTGTGGAAACCCCTTGCGGTACTGGGAGTAATACCATCGTCTCTCCCTCTGAAAATAGGAGGATTTTCACAGGGATGTGTACACACCCTGCGATATTGGGAGTAAGATCATCCTCTTCACCCAGGAAATGACTAACAAGGTCAAGGGGGGGCGTACTCCCCCTGCGATATTGGGAGTCATGTCGTCCTCCCCAAACCTGGATGTTAACAACGAGATCACAGAGGGGGTGTACACACCCTGCGACATTGGAAGTAATATGATCCTCTCCCCACCTGGATACTGGGAAGGATACCACAGCACGGGTATACGTTTTCTATGCTGTTGGGAGTAATATCATTCTTTTCCTTTCTGGATATTAGCAAGAATATCACAGGGGTGCTGTACAATTACTTCGACATTGGGAGTAATATCATATCATACTCTATTTTCCTGGATATTGGGCACAAAAACACAAAAGGGTGTACAACCCCTGCGATACTGGGAGTAATAGCATACTCTTCTTCCCTAGATGTTAGAAAACAATATCATCAGGGCTGAACACTCCTCGCGATAATGGGAGTCATATTTACTCTTTCACAGGTCATTTGGAACAATATCACAGGGGGTGTTTACAAACAGAGGTGGTGTACACCCCCTGTGATATTGGAAGTAACATCATTCTCTCCACCTACTGACATTAAGAACAATACCCCAGCGGGAGGTGGTACACCCCCAGTGATATTGCGAATAATGTCATGCTCTCCTTCCCTGGATATTAGGAACAATATCACAGGGGGGTGTACACCTTCTGTGATATTGGAAGGAATATCATCCTCTCCCCCGCTAGATATTAGAAAAAAATATCACTCACGGTGTACACCCACTGTGATATGAGGAGTAATATCTTCCTAGGGTATTACGAATAATTTCACAGTCCGTACACACGTGCTGTACACTCACTGTGATATTAGGAGTAATATCTACCTAGTAGATAACAAATACCATAGCAGGGTGTACACCCACTTTGATATTAGCTGTAATATATTTCTAAGTTGTTACAAATATCACAGGGTGTACAAACATGGTGTACACTCACTGTGATATCAGGAGTCGTATCTCTGTAATATATTATGAATAATATCACAGGGTGTACACCCACTGTATTATTAGGAGTAATATCTCTGTAGGATATTACAATTAAGATCACAAGGTGTAGAGCCACCGTGATATTAGGAGCAATATCTTTCTAGGATATTACAAATAATATCACAGGGTGTACGCCCACTCTGCTGTCTGGAGCAATATCTCCCTAGCATATCAAAAATCCTATCACAGGGTGTCCAATCTCTGCCTTCCAGGTTCTAAGGGATTCTCCTGCTTCAGCCTCCCGAGTAGCTAGGGTTACCAGCCACCACGCCCGGCTAATTTTTTTTTTTTTTTTTTCACTGGAGATGGGGTTTCACCATGTTGGCCAGGCTGGTCTGGAATTCCTGACCTCAGGTGATCCATCAGCCTCGGCCGCCCAAAGTGCTGGGATTACGGGTGTGAGCCATGCCGCTGGGCCAAGAGTTATATATTCAATTCATTTGGAAACACAGCTCCCATCTTTGAGCGTGCATGTACTTTTATGAAGAAATGATGTCAGAAAACCGAAGGATGATAATAAATATGAAAAGTAACAGGCATGTGAAAAGGTCTCCCGATTGAGAACTATAAGGTTCGATGTCGTTTTCAGATAATGTGGTCCTAGCTCTTGTGTCGTCCTTTTACATATTCTACATCAATAGAAGTTGTAGCACGGTGTCAGAATAAAGTAGAGTGTATTTCACGGCTTCTTAATTTCTTTCAATTACACTGAGATCTTTTTCTTCAAGAGAGAAGGACATTGTCATGGCATTGTATTTTTTCTGAAAAGAGTAGGCTGTATTTTACTGAGATTACGGATTTGTTATATATGACGTTTTGGTCTTCTAATATTCTTCAGTGGATTTTCTCTAAAGTAGTATGTACAGAAAGCCTTGTATAGCAAAAAAGTAAATCACGTAATAATTCTGAGATTTTTGGAATTGTCACAACTGAGAAACATTGCTGGCGGTGTATGGACCGCAAGTGTGAAGATGTTCCTTGTGAATTGCTTGCATCCAGCATTAAGGGCTGGTTTTTATCTTTTATTTTTCCAATCCTCTTTCCTTCTCAAGGTGTCCAAGACACACAGAGCCACGGAATCTCACAGGTGTCTGAGAATTCCTCCTCCTGGGACTTTCAGAGGATCCAGAGCTGCAGTCGGTCCTCGCTTTGCTGTCCCTGTCCCTGTCCACGTATCTGGCCACGGTGCTGAGGAACGTGCTCAACATCCTGGCTGTCAGCTCTGACTCCCCCCTCCACACCCCCATGTACTTCTTCCTCTCCAACCTGTGCTGGGCTGACATCGGTTTCACCTCGGCCACGGTTCCCAAGATGATTGTGGACATGCAGTCGTATAGTAGAGTCATCTCTCATGAGGGCTGCCTCACACAGATGTCTTTCTTGGTCCTTTTTGCATGTATAGAAGGCATGATCCTGACTGTGATGGCCTATGACTGCTTTGTAGCCATCTGTCGCCCTCTGCATTACCCAGTCATCGTGAATCCTCACCTCTGTGTCTTTTTCGTTTTGGTGTCCTTTTTCCTTAGCCTGTTGGATTCCCAGCTGCACAGTTGAATTGTGTTACAATTCAACATCATCAAGAATGTGGAAATCTCTAATTTTGTCTGTGACCCCTCTCAATTTCTCAAACTTGCCTGTTCTGACAGCGTCATCAATAGCATATTCACGTATTTCCATAGTACTATGTTTGGTTTTCTTCCCATTTCAGGGATCCTTTTTTCTTAATTTAAAATCGTCACCTTCATTCTCTGGATTTCATCTTCAGATGGGAAGTATAAAGCCTTCTCCACCTGTGACTCTCACCTAGCAGTTGTTTGCTGATTTTATGGAACAGGCATTGGCATGTACCTGACTTCAGCTGTGTCACCACCCCCAGGAATGGTGTAGTGGCGTCAATGATGTACGCTGTGGTCACCCCCATGCTGAACCTTTTCATCTACAGCCTGAGAAACAGGGACATACAAAGTGCCCTGCGGAGGCTGCTCAGCAGAACAGTCGAATCTCATGATCTGTTCCATCGTTTTTCTTGTGTGGGTGAGAAAGAGCAACCACAGTAAATCTCTACATCTGCAAATCCTGCCCCTTAGTCACATTCTTTTTGTGGCTTGATGGCTTTTATTCCTTTCCGCATTTCCTTTGTGAATATTGCTTTCTTCGTTATGCCTTTCACTGGAATGGGTGAGGATTCTGGGACCCTTTGTTTAGCAGAAACCTTATCACAGAATCCTCTATACCTAAGCAGCCTCTTTTAGTTTCTGAGCAATAACCCTGTCATCCAGGTGGAATCACAACCATCTTTTTATATACACGAAGTCCTCACTTCGTTTTGCAATTCCCTGAAAACTGACTTAATGGAAACAATGTACAGGAGGTCCTCCAACACAATTGGTTGTTCAAAGTTGTGTAGTTATACTGTTGATGAAAAATAAGTGGTTTCACTATACATAATTTTGCTTCAAGGTGAAGTTTCCAAGAGAATTTCAAAGATGTTAAGTGAGGACATACTGTACATCAAATTCATATCCTCTTCCACAGTTCATGTGGAGTTTTTTTATGAACTGCTTCTAGAGAATCTATTTAGGCAGGTTAAGTGTAGAGATCCATGTTGCCGTTCTCAATCTTGGCTTTGAGTCAAATCACCTGGGGAGCTTACAAATGATGAGGCCTGGGTCTCAATACCTGAGATTCTGATTTCCTTGCACCTGTGTGAGTATGTGGATTTTTTTTTTTTCTTTTAAAGCACCACAGGTGGTTCCAATGACGAAGTTTTTAGAGGCATCAAGCTCCAATGAGTAAGAACAGAAATTAATTGTAATATGATTTCCTCAAATATTATCTTTAAATGCATTGTCCATCAACACCATACAAATGTTTATTATGCTGTTTTTTCTTACCATTTCGCATTTTCTATTTCTTTCTTTTCCTTATTTTTTGAGTCAGGGTTTCACTCTTGTTGCCCAGGCTGGAGTTCAATGTCACGGTCTCGGCTCACTGCAACCTCTGCCTCCCGTATTCAAGCAATTCTCCTGTCTCAGCCTTCCAAGTAGCTGGGATTACAGGCATGCGATACCATGCCTGGCTAATTTTTTCTTTTTTTTTTTTCGTATTGTTAATAGAGACAGTGTTTCTCCATTTTGGTCAGGCTGGTCTTGAACTCCCGACCTCAGGTGATCCGCCCGCTTCTGCCTCCCAAAGTGCTGGGATTGCAGGCATGAGCGACCGTGCCCAGCCACCACTTAGCATTTACATTTTACATTTCTTCAATATATAGATTTATACACACATTGATTGCTACTTTATTATACACTTGCATATACATAAGATGGGAAATAGAAAAGAATAAGATGGGCACAGTATCCCTGAAGTTTCACATTCCGAGACATTTTAAAAATATTTGCTCTTCAGAAATTTGTTTCAATGAAGAAACTGTGGTATACACACCCAGTGAAGTATTATTCAGCCTAAAAAGGAAGAAACTCCTCTCTGCTGCAGAGAAAATGGATGAGATTGCAGGTCTGTATATTAAATGAAATAAGCCAGGCACAGAATGACAAATTTTTCATGTCCTCACTTCTATGTAGGAAGAAAAAAGGAAACCTTGGCCAGGTGTGGTGGCTCAGGCCTGTAATCCCAGCACTCCGGGAGGCCGAGTCGCACGGATCACTTGAGTCCAGGAGTTCGAGACCAGCCTGGCCAACATGGTGAAACCCCATCTCTACGGAAAACACAAGCAATGAGCCGGGCTTCGTGATGCGTGCCTGTAGTCTCAGCTACTCAGAGGGCTGAGGCCCAAGAAGTGCTTGAACTCCGGAGGCGTAGCTTGCAGTGAACCCGGATTGTGCCTGCGTACTCCAACCTGGGCAACAGAAAGAGACTCCATCACACACCTACACACAAAAGGAATCTCAGGAAGGTGGAAAGTATAAAGGTGGTTGGCAGACGCTAGGAAGAAAACGGGTGGCATAGGGAATGAAGACAAGTGGATAATTGGGTCCCAAAATACAGAAAGATGGAATAAGTGAGTTCTAGTGTTTGATAGTACAGTATGAAAATTTTAGTTCACAAGAATTGCTTGCATATTTCCAGATGCTTTGGTAAGAAGCTTCCTAACTTTCTCATTATGCTGGTTTTTAAGCTCTTCTCTTTCTGCTCTTGAAATCATGCTGGGTTTTTTTTGTTTGTTTGTTTTGAGATGAAATTTCGCTCTTGTTGCCCAGGCTGGAGTGTCATGGTGCAAACTTTACTCACCGCAACCTCTGCCTCCTTGGTTCAAGCGATTCTCCTGCCTCCACCTCCCGAGTAGCTGGGATTACAGGCATGCATCAGAACGCCCAGCTAATGTTGTATTTGTAGTAGAGACAGGGGTTTCTCCCTGTCGGTCAGGCTGGTCTTCAACTCCTGACCTCAGGTGATCCGCCAGCCTCGGACTCCCAGAGGGCTGGGATTACAGGTGTGAGCAACCGCGCCCGGCCCATGCTGTATCCTTATCTGTTGTCTGTTGTTGTTTGTTTGTTTTGGAGACCAGAAATAACTTCTCACCTATATGTTCAAATGATTTTTCACATGAGTGCTAAGAAAGCTCATTGGTGGAAAAGCAGCCTTTTCAAGAAATGGTGTTGGAGAAACTTGATTTCCACATGCAGAAGAATGAAGGTGGACCCTATGTCACAACAGGTGCAAAAATTAACACAAACTGGATCAAAGACCTCACCCCAAGTGCTAAAAGTATCATACGCCTAAAAGAAAACATTGGCCCTACTTTCATGACATCAGATTGGACAATGTTCTCTGGGATATGATATCAAAAGCATAGGCAACAAAAGAAAATTAGATTCCTTGGATTACATCTAAATGACAGATACTTTTGTGCAGCAAAAAACACTGCGAACTGAGTGAAAAGATAACCCATGGATTAGGAAAAAGATTTGCAAAGCATATATCTGAAAAGAGGCTGATAGCCATCATATATAAAGAACAGCTAGAACTAAACAACAAGAAACCCAAAGCATCCCATCAACAATGGTCAGAAGACTCCAGTAGACGTGTTCCTAAAGAAGATATAGCAATGGCCAATAAGCATCTAAAATGATGTTCAAAATCACTCATCATAGGGAAGCACAAATCAAACCAAGAATGTGATACCACACATTAGGATGGATATGATAAACAAACAAGCATTGGTGAGACTAGAGGGAAGTAAGAATGCTCGAATATGATCGGAGGGAATGTAAAACCGTGAAGGAATGGGGAAAATAGTATGGCGTGTACTGGAAAAATTGGAAAAAGAATGATCAGATGTTCCCGCAGTTGCATTTGTGGGTACCTACCAAAAAGAATTAGAAGCCAGGAGTGGAAGACAGATTTGTGTACACCCATATTCATAGCAGCATTATTCACAACAGCCAAAATGTGGAAACAACCCAAGGGTTCGTGGACAGATGAATGAAAAAGCACACTGTAGTTCCTTCATACAATGGAGGATTATTCAGCCTTCAAAAGGCAGGCACTTCTGGCCGGTGCGGTGGCTCACGCCTGTAATCGCAACGTCTTGGAAGACCGAGGTGGGCGGATCACCTGAGGTCAGGAATTCAAGACCAGCCTGGCCATCTTGGTGAAACCCTGTCTCTACTGAAAATGCAAAAAATGAGACGAGCGTGGCGTCGTGTGCCTATAGTCCCAAGTACTCGGGAGGCTGAGGCACAAGAATGGCTGGAACCCGGGAAGCGGAGGTTGCAGTGAGCCCAGATTGTGGCGCTGAACTCCAGCCTGTGCGACAGAGTGAGACTCCATGGAAACACAAAACAAAACAAAGTCAAACGAACAAACAAAACAAACAAAAACAACAACAACAAAAAAAACAGAGAGGCACTTCTGACGCAGGCTGCAACATGGATGAACCTTGAAAACATTATCGTCACTGAAATAAATAAATCCCAAAAGGATAAACACGCCCAGTCTCAGTGGCTCGCACCTGTAACCCCAGCACTTGGGGAGGCTGAGCCAGGCGGATCACTTCAGGTCAGGATTTCGAGACAAGCCTGGCCAATATGGTCTCTATTAAAAATAAAAAATTATCTGGGCGTGGTGACGCACGCCTGTAATCCCAGCTACTCGGGAGACTGAGACACAGGAATCGCTTAAACCCACGATGTGGAGGTTTCAGTGAGGCGACATCATGCCACTGCACTCCAGCCGGGGTGACAGAGAAAGACTCTGTTTCCAAAACAAAAAAATTAAACACGGTATGATTCCACTTATCTATCACGTGTCTAGAGTAGTTAAACTCATAGAGTTGCACACTAGAAAGGTGGCCCGCAGGGGCGGGCGAGAGAGAGGAGTGGAGAGCTTGGTGAATGGGTGTAATTTCCATTTTGAAAGATAAAACTGTTCCGGAGACGATGACGGTGATGGTTGCTAAACAATGTGAACGTACTTAATGTCATGAAACTGTAAACTGAAAAAGCGTGGAAACAGTAAATGTTTATACTGGCCATTCTATATGAACTAATATATATTTATAATTTTTCATATTTATACGTGGTATATTTTCTCATAATAAAAGATGAAAATTAAAGCAGTTGGATGTTTAAAAAGAAAAGAAAGAAGCGAAGAATACACACCAGCTTTCTCCTGATTAGAGGAAGAACCCCAAAACTTCTATGGACACTCACTTTTCTCTTCTTCTTCTTGCATTATTATGAGGAAATCCTTAGAGGTTGGGGAACTTGGGTGACTTTGGCTAATAAGGAGCTCTATGCCTTGAGCCCCCCAGGACACAGAATAGTAAATAGTCTGTGCCTCCAGCCCTGCAGTGTGAGGTCCAGTCCTGTGGGCTCCACAGACATCACCTGTATCAGGAGGCTCACGTCTCACCCTGTCTTCTTGCCAGCCTTGAGGACGGAGCCTGAGCCTCCATGGTGCACCACACAGGGAAGACAGTGGACCTGTTCTCCGTGGTCATGGCCCAGCAGAGAGGAAGGACAGTTCAGTGAGTGTAGGCAAAAGAAAGAGAGATCAGACTCGTACTGTGTCTACGTAGAAAGGAAAGACATAAGAGACTCCATTTTGAGAAAGACCTGTACTTTCAACAATTGCTTTGCTGAGATGTTGTTAATGTGTAGCTTTGCCCCAGCCACTTTGACCCAACCTGAAGCTCACAAAAACATGAGTTGTATGAAATCAAGGTTTAAGGGATCTAGGGCTGTGCAGGACGTGCCTTGTTAACAAGATGTTTCCAAGCAGTATACTTGGTAAAAGTCATCGCCATTCTCTAGTCTCAATAAACCAGGGGCACAATACACTGTGGAAAGCCACAGGGAGCCCTGCCCTTGAAAGCAGCGTATTGTCCAGGGTTTCTCCCCATGTGATAGTCTGAACAGTGGCCTCGTGGGAGAAGAAAGACCTGAACGTCCCCGAGCCCGACACCAGTAAAGGGTCTGGCTGAGATGGATTAGTCAAAGAGGAAAGCCTCTTGCAGTTGAGAGAGAGGAAGTCCACTGTCTCCTGCCTGCACATGGGAACTGAATGTCTCGGTTTAACACCCGATTGTACATTTGTTCAATTCTGAGATGGGGGTAAAACCGCCCTATTGTGGGAGGTGAGACACGTTTTCAGCAATGCTGCCTTGTTATTCTTTACTCCACTGAGATGTTTGGGTGGAGAGAAACTTCAATCTGGCTTGCGTACGCGTCCAGTCATAGTACCTTCCCGTGAACTTCATTATGACATAGATTCTATTGCTCACATGTTCGTTGCTGACCTTCTCCTTATTATCACCCTGTCCTCCTACTACATTCCTTTTTGCTAAAATAATAAAAATAATAATCAATAAAAACTGAGGGAACTCAGAGGTCTGTGTCAGTGCAGGTCCTTGGTATGCTGAGCGCCGGTCCTCTAGGCTCACTGTTGTTTCTCCATACTTTGTCTCTGTGTCTTATTTCTTTTCTCAGTCTCTCGTCCCACCTAACTAGAAATACCCTCAGGTGTGGGGGGACGGGCCACACCTTCAAGTGAGTGTTGAGGGACCGTCGGGAGCCTTGTTTTGTTTCCTCCTCAGGACAAACAGCAGAGTGAGCTGGGCAGATCGGAGGAGACCAATGTGCAAACTATCCTCTCAGCAGTGTGGAGTTTCTGTTCCTGGTTGTGCTGGGGTCTCAGAAATCTACTTCAAAATTTTGCTACCCTCCCCCACTGGTTGTCCTTTTCATAGACATCTCACCCACGATAGCAGGGAATGAGTCCCTCTAAACTATTCCCTCAGGAATAGTGAGAGCCAGCCCCTCTTCCCACCCTGGATCTTAGGACCCCCATCGCAGGGTGGTGAGGGACCCCCCGCGATGCTTGGAGTAAGAGCCAGCCCCTCTTCCCCCTCTGGCTCTTAGGACCCCCATCGCAGGGGGGTGAGGCACCCCCCGCGATGCGGGGAGTAAGAGCCAGCCCCTCATACCCCCCGCCGGCTCTTAGGACCCACATCGCAGGGGGAGTGAGGCACCCCCCGCGATGCGGGGAGTAAGAGCCAGCCCCTCTTCCCCCCCTGGGTTTTAGGATCCGCAGTGGACTCACAGCCTGTTTATCACATTGTGAGTAATATCATCTCCCCTCTGGAAATTATGAACTATTTCACAGACGGGTGTACACCGTCTGTATTGGTAACAATATCATCCTCGTTCTCCCTGAATATTAAGAACAGTATCACAGGGGTGTTTCTACTCCCTGCGATATTGGGTGTCATATCCTCCTCTCCCAAGTGGCAATTAGAGACAATATCAGTGGGGTCGTGTCCACCTTCTGTGATATTTAAAGTAAGATCATCCTCTTCCCTCCAGGATCATGGGAACAATATCCCTAGGGGGTGTCCACTTTCTGCGATATATGTAGTCATATCACCCCCTCCGCCTTGGAATATTACGAAGGACCATCTCACACGGGGGTGTACACTTCCTGCGATATTGGAAGTAATATCAACCTCTCTTCCTCTTAATATGAGGAAGAATATCACAGGGTGGGTGTACACCTCCTGCTCTATTATGGGGAGGCATATCTATCTATTATGGGGAGTAATATCATCCTCTCCCTTTCAGGATATTAATAACAATATCCCAGGCTGGGTGAACACAGCCTACGATGCTGGAATTATTGTCACCCTCTCCCCTTCGGGATACTAGGAACAATATCACAGAAGAGGTGTACACTCCCTGCGATATTGGGAGTAATAGCATACGCTTCTTCCGTGAATATTAGGAGCAATATCACCGGGTGGCTGTACATTCATTGCTATGTTGGCAGTCATGTCATACTCCACCCTCTGGATATTAGGATCAGTGTCACAGGGTGAGTGTACACCTACTGCGATATTAAAACTAATATCAAGTTCTCCATCCCTGGATATTAGGAACAATATCACAGGTAGGTGTACACCCCCTGCGGTATTAGGAGTAATAATATTATGAATTATTAAACATCAGTCTCATTAATGATTATAAATGGTAATATTAATTTATAGTATAACTTTATTAGTCATTAATGATTATTTTAAAGATATGATTGTGCATGATTAAAATTAATTCTTACTATTAGTGCCATTTTTAATAATATTAGTTATTAATATTAACATTAATCATTGTTTTATTACCAACATCACTTATGATGGATTTAAGTAACATTAATTACTGATATTATTATTTTACTATTAATATTGATATTGCTATTATTAATTGTAATCATGAATATTTTTAATCCACATTAAGTTTTACTGTCTCCACTGTAGTTATTAATATCAATGATTACTATTAATTGTTATTATATTTATTAATATTAATAATTAATAAAACTGTTCCCGATATCCGTGGGGGAGAGGATATTACTCCCAATATCGCAGAAAGTGTACACCCCTCTATGATGTTACTCCTAATAGCCAGTGGGTAGAGGATGACATTATGGAAAATATCGCAGTGGGTGTACATCCCTTCGGTCATCTTGTTCCTAATATCCTGGGTGGGAGCGGATGTTACGACTCCCAAAATCGCAGTGGGCGGAGACCTCCCCCGTGATACTGTTCCGAACATCCAAAGGTGGAGAGGATGATATTTCTTCCAATTTCGCCGGGGGTGCCCACCACCCCTGTGATATTGATCCTAATATCCAGGGGGCGAGAGGATATTAGTCTGAATATTGCAGGAGGTGTACACTCCCTAGGGTTATTGTTCCTAATATCCAGGGACAGAGAGGATGATATCACTCCCAATATAGCAGGGGGTGCACACCCCTTGTGTGACATTGTTCCTAATAGGCAGCGGGGGAGAAGAAGATATCACCACGAATATCGCAGGGGGTGTACACCCCCTTGTGACATTGTTCCTTCTATCCTGGGAGGGAGAGGAAGATACTAGCGGCAATGTCGCAAGGGCTGTACACACCCACTGTGATATTGTTCCGAATATCTGGAGGGGGAGAAAATGATGTTACTTCCAATATCTCAGGGGGCTTACATGCTCCTGAGATATTGTTTCTCAGGTTCAGGGGGAGAGGA
The DNA here is from genome assembly GCF_000001405.40 of Homo sapiens. Taxonomy (NCBI): domain Eukaryota; kingdom Metazoa; phylum Chordata; class Mammalia; order Primates; family Hominidae; genus Homo; species Homo sapiens. Next base: position 9,493,223 of record NC_000004.12, read on the forward strand.
TGATATTACTGCCAATATCTCAGGGGTTGTACACACCTCCCGTGATGCGGGGAGTAAGAGCCAGCCCCTCTTCCCCCCCTGGCTCTTAGGACTCCCATCGCAGGGGGGTGAGGCACCCCCCGCGATGCGGGGAGTAAGAGCCAGCCCCTCTTCCACTCCTGGCTCTTAGGACCCCCATCGCAGGGGGCTGAGGCACCACCCACCATGCGGGGAGTAAGAGCCAGTTCCTCTTCCCCCACTGGCTCTTAGGACCCCCATCGCAGTGGGGTGAGGCACCCCCGCAATGCGGGGAGTAAGAGCCAGCCCCTCTTTCCCTCCCTGGCTCTTAGGACCCACATCGCAAAGGTGTGATTCACCCCCCGCGATGCGGGGAGTACAAGCCAGCCCCTCACCCCCCATGGCTCTTAGGACACCCATCGCAGGGGGGTGAGGCAACCCCCGCGATGCGGGGAGGGCTGAGACTGGGGTCCGGGCTGTTCCGGACTTCAACACTCACCCTTTGTCCCCACGCAGGGCTATGGCGTGTGCTCGGTGGGGCTGGAGCGGCTGGCTTACCTCCTCGTGGCTTACAGCCTGGACGCCTCAGTCGCCTCACTCCTGGGCCTGCTGGGCTTGTGGCTGCCACGCCCGGTTTCCCTCGTGGCTGGAGCAGGGGTGCACCTGCTGCTCACCTTCATCCTCTTTTTCTGGGCCCCTGTGTCTCGGGTCCTTCAACACAGCTGGATCCTCTGTGTGGCAGCCGCCCTTTGGGGTGTGGGCAGCACCCTGAACAAAACTGGACTCAGCAGTGAGTATAGCTGTGGGCACTGGGAGGGTGGGGCAGGGTTCTTTATGGCTATCTGTGGGTGGTTGGCTAGACATAGACATCCCAGGGACAGATATGGGGTCCTATGGTCACATAGCGTCCTGTGGACATGGCGGAGGCCGGTGGGGCTTCCTGTGGACACTCCAGGGGTGGAAGGGAAGTCTCATGGACACACTGGGGGCAGATGGGTAGGGCGTGGACACCCTGGAGACAGGTGTGGGGGTTCCACGTCATGGACATTCCGTTAATAACTCAGGGTGGGCACAGGGCCCCATCAACACTGGAGGGTCAGTGTGAAATCTCGTGGCTACACGGGGCAGGTGTGGGGCTCTGTGGACACCCCTTAGGGACAGTATGAAAAACACATCAGGGATTCTCCCTTTTCATACCAGGGGACAGAGCTTACCCTGTCATAGTTTTCGTGACACTTGGAGCATATGTTTTGGTCTCTGCCTCACGGAGCATGCGGTAGGAGCAAGTGGCCTGTTGTACATCCACGGCATAGATACAGACATGGGACTTTGTATAGAGAGGAGCAGGCCTGCAGCCCCAACCCAGTCTGCTCAGTACCAGAGTCCAGGCCCCAGGTCTGGGCTGCTGGGGAACAGGGCCCTGTTTGCAAAAGGCAGCGAGTGGGCCCATGTTCAGCTCCAGGATGCTCCCTGCCCACAGATGGGCACATGCAGTGACACACAGCTAACACACATGGGCACAGTCCTGCAGGGCATCCATGTCAGTGTCTGTTCTGATGGGCCGAAGCCATGAACAGATTTGAACGTCATCCTTGGGGGTGTGGAATGGCACAGGTCATGCCTGCTGCTGGTAGGACAGAGGCTGGCTGGGAGTCTCTGTCTGTAGCAGGGGCTGGAGCCTCATACTGCACCACAGTCTCTTGGCTGTTTTGCCCAAGGATAGCCAATTCTGGGCAGAGTCCAACCTGGGTATCTTGGACCCATGTTGTGCCCTGTCTGGTCATGGCATCCCCTTGCCCAGCTCCATATCCCATCTCCATAGGTGAACGCTGGGGGATCCTTGTCTCTTCATAGCAGCACTGTGGGGGTAAAGTCACCCTGCAGGGCCCCAAGACAGGAGTGTTCATGTCCTGAGTGTGTGGTGAAGGTGTTAATAGTGGCCCCTATGATTTGGCAGGTGCCATGCCCACTTTCTCACTTTAGAACTTCAGAACACAGCACACAATAGGCATAGGCTCATCTCACCATTGGGAAAAGCAGCTCTGGGGAGTTAAGTACCCAAATCACCCACAGAGCCAACGTTACAGTCCTGAGAACGAGTGTGCATCTTCTGACTCCCAATGCATTACTCTTGTTGCCCACCCTGGGAGGACTCACTGGAAAGGAAGCCCCCTCTCCATGCTTAGCTTCAGGTTTGATTTGCAGAGTTGGCAGCTGCAAACAGTTCGATCTCTCTAGTCCCGGCTGAGGAGGAGAAACAGCGCCTGCAAGCTTGGCACTGCACACCTGCGGTTGGGGACAGGACATGACTAAGCACAGAGCTTTCTTCTTTTGAGGCCACGCATGTGGTGCAGAGCGGGACCACCTGCATCCACACAGCCCGGCGCACCTGCTCCTACTTCTGCTTAGCGTGTGAGCAGCTTGGTGACCAGGGTCTCCACCAGGGGGCAGGCCAGGACCGGCTTACAGCACTTTCTAGGGGTTCTCTGGTCCCGGGCTGGGACACATACAGGGCTTAGTAAAGTTCATAGATGGTAGCTAGGCAGCCCCAGGCCCCAGGTGACACCTCTCCCCTGCCTGCCCTGTACTGCCTGCCTGCAGCACTCCTGGGAATCTTGTACGAAGACAAGGAGAGACAGGACTTCATCTTCACCATCTACCACTGGTGGCAGGCTGTGGCCATCTTCACCGTGTACCTGGGCTCGAGCCTGCACATGAAGGTGAGACTGGGCAGGGTTGGGGGCCCCATTCCCAATGACAGGTATTTCCTTAGCCCCTGCCCTGGCTTCACAGCTTCCTAAACGCCACCCCTTCCCAAGCCAGTCTCTGGGCCAAGGCCCCATTCCTGCAGCCCACTGGGTGGCCCCCAACTCAGCACCCCACTTACTGGACCACCTCCAGCCAGTCTCAGTTTGCCCATCTCTGAGGGGATTTGTGGGTGCATCACAGCCATCCTGTGGGCTGTTTGGTACCCGGTTGTCCAGATGTTGCGTCTGTCTCCCTTCATGGCCTGAACGGGAGCAAGCTACTCATGCTCTGCTCCCAAAAGATGGTGGCCGGTCTAGCAAGTCCCAGTTGCTAAACATTTTTTAAAAATAGAACTAAAGGCCGGGCACGGTGGCTCACTCCTGTAATCCCAGCACTTTGTGAGGCCGAGGCGAGTGGATTGCCTGAGGTAGGGAGTTTGAAACCAGCCTGACCGACATGCTGAAACCTCGTCTCTTCTAAAAATACAAAAATTAGCCGGGCGTGGTGGCAGGTGGCTGCTACTCGGGAGGCTGAGGCAGGAGAATCGCTTGAACTGGGAGGCGGAGGTTGCAGTTAGCCGAGACGGGGCCTTGGCACTCCATCCAGCCTAAGCAACAAGAGCGAAAATCTGTCTCAAAATAAAAATAAAAATAAAAATAGAACTAAAAATAGCAGGGAGTGGGCCGGGAGCAGTGGCTCATGCCTGTAATCCCAGCATTTTGAGACGCTGAGGTGGGGGTATCACCTGAGATCTGGAGTTTGAGACCGGCCTGGGTAACAGGCTGTGAAACCCTGTCTCTACTAAAAACACAAAAATTAGCTGGGCATGGTGGCACGTCCCTGTGATCCCAGCTTCTCTGGAGGCTGAGGCACAAGAATGGCTTGAACCTGGGAGATGGAGGTTGCAGTGAGCCAAGATTGTGCCACCGCACTTCAGCCTGGAGGACAGAGCGAGACTCTGTCTCCCAAAAAAAAAAGAAAAAAAGAAAAAAGAAAAGCAGTGAGTGGGCTGGGCATGGTGGCTCACGCCTGTAATCCCAACACTTTGGGAGGCTGAGGCAGGAGGATTGCTTGAGGCCAGGAGTTCAAGACCAGCCTGGGCAACATAGGAGACCCTGTCTCTACAAGAAATTTAAAAATTAGCTGGGTGTGGTGGCGCGTGCGTGTAGTTCCAGCTGCTTGGGAGACTGAGGTGGGAGGATGGCTTGAGCCTGGAAGATTGAGGCTGAAGTGAGCGTGCCACTGCGCTCCAGCAGTGGTTGGGGGAAGGGAGGGAGGGGGCGCAGTGGGGAAACGGAGCGACCGTGTCTGGAAAAAAGAAAAGAGCAGGAAGTATGCATACAGATATGTGTGTATGTACTGAGCTATGGTGTGAAATCATTCCTGACTGCGGGTTATAGTCAAATCCCCATGAAGAGAATCACTACAGCCCACGGGTGTGTCAGGGACACAGTGTTGTGAGCCCTGGGAAGGCAGGGCCTGTGGCCAGCACTTTATCAACACTGGCACATGCACCCTATGAGGCAAAGGGATTTGCATTGTCCCCGTACAGAGTGGGACACTGAGGTCGCCAGGGGCATGGCGACTGTAAGGGACAGTGCTGGATGTGAGCCTCGCCTGCAGGAGGCGGTCCAGGAAGCGTGGGTGGAGCGGCTGGAGAAGTTGAGGGTCGCGTGGCCCGGGAGGCTCCCGGAGGAGGGAAGGGCCTATCTCAGCGAGGGGCATAGGCGGGGAAGGTGCGGGGCGAGGCGGCCGCGGGTCCCTGGCATCCCTCTCCGTACACCCAGGCTAAGCTGGCGGTGCTGCTTGTGACGCTGGTGGCCGCCGCGGTCTCCTACCTGCGGATGCAGCAGAAGCTGCGGCGGGGCGTGGCCCCGCGCCAGCCCTGCATCCCGCGGCCCCAGCACAAGGTGCGCGGTTACCGCTACTTGGAGGAGGACAACTCGGACGAGAGCGACGCGGAGGGCGAGCATGGGGACGGCGCGGAGGAGGAGGCGCCGCCCCCGGTGCCCAGGCCTGGCCCCAAGCCCGCTGGACTCGGCCGCCGGCCCTGCCCCTACGAACAGGCGCAGGGGGGCGACGGGCCGGAGGAGCAGTGAGGGGCCGCCTGGTTCCCGGACTCAGCCTCCCTCCTCGCCGGCCTCAGTTTACCACGTCTTAGGTCGGGGGGACCCCCTCCGAGTCCCGTGCTGTCTTCAAAGGCCCCAGTCTCTCCTCCCCCACGTTGGGGACGCCCCTCCCAGAGCCCGGGTCACCTCCGGGCTTCCGAAGCCCCCTCTAAGGCGGAGTGGAGCCTTGGGAACCCCTCGGCCAAGCACAGTGGTTCGAAAATACAGCTGAAACCCTGCGGGCCCTTAGCAGGCGCCCCAGCGCCGGAGCAGGGTCAGGGTCTTCTTGCGACCCGGCCCCGCTCCAGATCCCCCCAGCTCTCGGCCTCGGACCCGGGCCGCGTGTGAGCGCGCTTTGCACCTCCTATCCCCAGGGTCCGCCGAGAGCCACGATTTTTTACAGAAAATGAGCAATAAAGAGATTTTGTACCGTCCTGACTGGGGAGTCCCAGGCCGCGTGGGACGGAGCGCCCCTCGGATGCAAGCCCGTCTGTCCCAGCCTCTGGGCGCGGTGGTGACAGGCCCTGACCTAGAGGGACCGCGGGGTGTGGGGAGTGCGGAGCCCTACTGGGGCGGGGCGAGGTGTCCGTAGGCCCCGCCCACCAGCCCTTCCTCCCTCCTGAGGCCCCGCCCCCCATACCTGCCTGCCTTTGCCAGCCCCAGCCAGGAGAAGGGAGTGGCGGAGCGGCTGGCAGAGACAGAGGAGGGTGTGACGGCGTTGCTGGCCCCCCATGGGTCCAGAGGGCGAGACAGACTCTGGATTCACACCCTCCACGTGCCTGTGTAGGCATCCTCGGCCCTCCAGCGACCACCCCCACGTCGGACAGGGTCCACTTCCAAGCCACGGTGGGGTCACCCTGTGCCCAGTAGGGGCCTTGGAAGTGGTGGTTGGAGGCCAGGTACGCTCGGTTACTACCCTTTCCCGGCTACAGCCTCAGCTGCGATGCCCACGAGAAACAGGCTGGTGGAGGGGCAGACCCCCTACAAGACCTGAAGGTGCCGTTCCTCCACCCGCTCTTCTTGTGGCCAGAGGAGAGGGACACCCCCGCCATGAAGAGCTCTGAACAGTTGGGTGAGGACAAGTGGGGGCCGTGGGAGGGCCATGGAGCCCCCAGCTGCACCCCAGCAGGCCCGGGGCTGGCCCACACCATTCCTCACTCCCCACAGCCTCTCTTCCCCTGACTTTGGCGAGACCCTCGTCCGTACCTCCAGGCTCCATGCCTGCCTCAGCATAGCTCTATGGATTCTCCCAGCCCTAAACTGGCCCCATCTCTCCTCTCTGCCCTCATGTGAGTTTGGTTCTTGAAGCCTCTAGTGGGCCCTGGGGCCAGACTCTGTGGCCTTGGACAGGGAGTCTCCCATATGAGCCACAGGTTCCTTCTCTGTTGAGTGTGTGAGGGAACATGTTGGAGCCCTTAGTGTGGTGGCTGCAAGCACCCCAGGCCCTGTAAGAAACACAAAAGGGTGCGGTGGGAGACTTGACATTTTCTAAATCTGGGAGGGAACGCTGCCTTCCTCACGCCGACCTTCAGTGAAAAGCAGACTCAGAAGCGGTCCCGAGGTGCCACCGTAAGCTGGGTGAAGGCCAGCACTGTGTGCTTCCAGTTCCCCCTCAGCATCTGTAGATTGAGTGTTCTCTGGAGGTGGCTGGCGACATCCTCCTGGCAGCTTCCAGCAAAACCAGTCGGAGTTGGGCAAACTGAAGCTCGGATGATTCACCTCTGAATGGAGGGCAAGGTGATATTTGGAAGGGTGTTGGCCCCTGGGATGCTGGGCAAACGGGGAGCGGGTGCCTGGATAGTGGGCCTACAGCTCTTCCCAGTTCTGAGTCAATTCCATTGTCCATGGTGCCAAGGAACAGAGGCTCTGATGTTGAGCAGACTTGAAGGTGATCCAGGCACATAGAGTGGCCACTCGGGGGTTTGGCTCCTGGCTGTGCTCTTCCTACCTGGGCATTTCCCATGAGAAGGCTTCACAGGCCACCTGGCTGCTCCTGGCACATGGAGAATGCCCAGATGGTGACATGTGCCAGACAACACATATTTGCACCTGATAGGCCACACACATGCAACATGCAAACACACGTGGCGGGTAACACCTGTGACAGACACTACATGACAACGCACGTGCACACATGATGGGAAACACATATCACAGGCCGTGCAACAGGAAACACACATCACAGGCTGTGCGACGGGAAACACAGCGCAGGCAGTGCGACGGGCCCTGGCAGCAAGCTCAGCAGGCTGGCTCTTTTCGAGCAGGAGAAGAGCTCATTGTAAGAGATGACACTGGCGTAGGTGGCACCTCCCCTGTCTCCATCACCCTCGGATAAGGTGACTGGGTGGAGGTTCTGGACCACTGAGTGGACGAGCAGGTTGTGTCATGGCCTCCGTGTCTGATTGCCACCCTCGCTCCCAAAGCAACTCTGTGATTTTGTCGATCTGCACTGTGGGGATGTTTCTTTTTCTTTTCTTTTTTTTTTTTTTTTTTCGCAACGGAGTTTCACTCTTGTTACCCAAGCTGGAGTGCAATGGCGTGAACTCAGCTCACTGCAACCTCCGTCCCCTGGGTTCAAGCGATTCTCCTACCTCAGCCTCCCGAGTAGTGGGGATTACAGGCGCCCACCACCAAGCCAGGCTAATTTTTTTGTATTTTTAGTAGAGACGAAGTTTCACCATGTTGGCCAAGCTGGTCTCAAACTCCTGACCTCAGGTGATCCACCTGCCTCGGCATCCCAAAGTGCTGGAATTACAGACGTGAGCCATCACGCCCGGCTGTGATTTTTCAATTATGTGATTCCAAGAATCTCCAGTCCAAGATTTTCCCTATCTTTAAGTTCTCAGTAGCAGGTTAGATAACCTGAGAAGTCTCCCTCTTCAAGACACCTAGAAATGCTGGGTAAGAAACAAATGTCCTTTTAACTATAGAGCTGAGGCTGGGCATGGTGGTTCACGCCTGTAATTCCAGCACATTGGGAGGCTGAGGCGGGTGGATCACCTGAGGCCAGGAGTTCGAGACCAGCCTGGCCAATGGTGAAACCCCATCTCTACTAAAAATACAAAAATCAGCCAGGAGTGGTGGCAGGCGCTTGTAGTCTCAGCTACTTAGGAGACTGAAGCAGGAGAATCGCTTGAAGCCGGAAGGCAGAAGTTGCAGTGAGCCAAGATCACGCCATTACACTCCAGCCTGGGCAAAAGAGCAAAACTCCATCTCAAAAAATATATAAATAAAATAAAATAAAATAAAATAAATATATAGCTGAGTTCTTCAGAAAATAAGTTAAGTCCCCTAAGGCCAGAAGTGAAGAGGGGAATGAGAACCAAGGTGGGGACAGAGGAGCTGGTGTTGCAACTGCCTGAGGGCAGGGCTGGGTTGAGCATTGGAAACCCTTACAAGGCAGGTGGTCAGGGTTACAGTCAAGCATGATGAATTTGGGACCACAGAAATGCAACACCTTTAGAGAAAGGGACAGAAACATTTCCACCCAGGGGAACAGAGAGAGGTGAGAAAATTTGAGCTTTAGGTGGTGAACAAGTTTCCCATGAGATCGTTGCATTTTCAGGCCTCTCTTATATAAATGTGGAACTCCTACAATGAAGTCATGCTACCTGTGTGGTCTAGGAATGCCAGAGTTGAGAAACTAACACTAAAAAGTTGCTTTGGGCCCGGTGTGGTGGCTCACGCCTTTAATCCCAGCACTTTGGAAGGCTGAGGCAGGTGAATCACCTGACGTCAGGAGTTCGAGACCAGCCTGGCCAACATGGTGAAACCTCGTCTCCACTAAAAATACAAAAAATTAACCACATCTTCTGTGCCTGTAATCCCAGCTACTCAGGAGGCTGAGGCAGGAGAATAGCTTGAACCTGGGAGGCAGAGGTTGCAGTGAGCTGAGATTGCACCGCTGCACTCCAGCCTGGGCAATAAGAGTGAAACTCTGTCTCAAAAAAAAAAGTTGCCTTGGCTTAGTGGTACCCTGGGGCCCCTGGAAAAGCCAAATAGAAAACCTCTCTAGGTGGCTCCCTCAAATCTGGCCACCCAGGATTCCCCACATAAAGCCCCTCTGAAGCTGAGCTCACGATCCAAAATTACAGAACACACAGGAAACACATCACCGCGAGAAAAGGCAACAGACATACAAAAGAGCAGGATTCGACACCCGCTCCAAATACCCCCAGCTAGGAGAGAGAAGCTGTCCAACAGGTATGTGAGATAGGCAGCTTCTATAAGGGCTGCCAGCGATCTCCCACCCTTGACTCTTCACAACTTTGTGTAATTTCCATCCCTTGATTGCGGGCTGGACCTAGTGATTTTCTTTTAACCAACTGAATTCTTATTTTACTTATTTTATTTTATTTTATTTTATTTTTATTTTATTTTATTTTATTTTATTTTATTTTACTTAGAGATAGAGTTGCACTGTACTGTCCATTCTAGGCTGAAACTCCTGGCCTTAAGCAGTCTTCCTGCCTCGGCCTCCCAAAGTGCCAAGATTATAAGCATGAGCCACTGCGCCCAGCAGCCTTCGCATTTATTTATTTTTGAGACTCGCTGTATCGCCCAGGCTGGAGTGCAATGGCACGATCTCGGCTCACTGCAACCTCCACCTCCCAGGTTCAAGCGATTCTCCTACCTCAGGCTTCCAAGTAGCTGAGATTACAGGCGCCTACCACCACGCCTGGCTAATTTTTGTATTTTTAGTAGAGACTGGGTTTCACCATGTTGGCCAGGCTGGTCTCGAACTCCTGGCCTCAGGTGATCTGCCCGCCTCGGCCTCCCAAAGTGCTGGGATTACAGGCGTGAGCCACTGAACCTGGCTAACCAACTGAATGCTAAACTGGCCTGAGAGATTCTCACTCCCTGGTGTCTACACCCCGCTAATGCCCTCCTGTGAGTGAATGTGATGGGCTACAGTACTTTTGAGCTAATCAAATGGGATGGTACCTAATGGACCTGAACCAGTCAGGCAAGTCTTTTAAAAGAAAGGGACATGGCAGAGAGGCGCTCTTCTGCAGGCTTGGAGTAGGGCAAGTGGCCATGGGCCACCTACAAGGGGGCCCCTGGGAGCCGAGAGTGGTCCCCGATGGCAGCTTGCAAGAAAACAAGGACTTCAGTGCCCCAACGTCGGGAACAGCCCTTCTCCCCCGCTGGCTCTTAGGACCCCCATCGCAGGGGGTGAGGCACCCCCCGCGATGCGGGGAGTAAGAGCCAGCCCCTCTTCCCCCCCTGGTTTTTAGGATCCGCGGTGGACTCAGCCTGTTTACCATATTGTGAGCAATATCATCTCCCCCTCTGGAGATTATGAACTGTTTCACAGACGGGTGTACACCCTCGGTGTACAGAGGGTGTACACCCGTCTGTATTGGGAGTAATATCATCCTCTTCCTCCCTGAATATTAAGAAGAGTATCACAGGGGTGTTTCCACTCCCTCGGTTATCGCGTGTCATAACCTCCTCTCCCACGTGGCAATTAGAAACATTATCGGTGGGGGCGTGTCCACCTTCTGTGATATTGAAAGTAATATCATCCTCTTCCCTCCAGGATCATGGGAAAAATATCCCTGGGGGGTGTCCACTTTCTGCCATATAGGTAGTCATATCACCCCCTCAGCCTTGGAATATTATGAAGGACCATCTCACACGGGGGTGTATACTTCCTGCGATATTGGGAGTAATATCAACCTCTCGGCCTCTGAATATTAGGAAGAATATCACAGGGTGGGTGTACACCTCGTGCTCTATTATGGGGAGTCATATCTATCTATTATGGGGAGTAATATCATCCTCTCCCTTTCAGGATATTAATAACAATATCCCAGGCTGGGTGAACACAGCCTGCGATGCTGGAATTATTATCACCCTCTCTCCCTCGGGATACTAGGAAGAATATCACAGAAGAGGTGTACACTCCCTGCGATATTGGGAGTAATTTCATACGCTTCTTCCGTGAATATTAGGAGCGATATCACCGCGTGGCTGTACCTTGATTGCTATGTTGGCAGTCATGTCATACTCTACCCGCTGGGTATTAGGATGGGTGTCACAGGGTGAGCGTAGACCTACTGCAGTATGAAAACTAATATCATGCTCTCCATCCCTGGATATTAGGAACAATATCACAGGTAGGTGTACACCCCCTGTGGTATTAGCAGTAATAATATTCTGAATTATTAAACATCAGTCTTATAAATAATCAATGGTAATATTAATTAACAGTATAACGTTATTAATCATTAGTGATTATTTTCTAGATATGATTATGCATATTAAAATTAATTATTAATATTAATGTCACTTTTAATATTAGTTATTAATCTTAATATTAATTATTGCTTTATTACCAACTTCACTTATGATTGATTGAAGTAACATTAGTGATACCACTATTTTATTATTAATAGTGATATTGCTATTATTAATAGTAACCATTAATATTTTTCATCCGTACTGTTTTAATGTCTCTACTGTAATTATTAATATTGATGATTACTATTAATTGTTATTATATCTATTAATATTAATAATTAATAGAACTGTTCCCGATATCCGTGGGGGAGAGAATATTACTCCCAATATCGCAGAAAGTGTATACCCCTCTATGATGTTACTCCTAATAGCCGGGGGGTAGAGGATGATATTATTGAAAATAGCGCAGTGGGTGTACATCCCTTCGGTTATCTTGTTCCTAATATCCTGGGTGGGAGCGGATGATATGACTCCCAATATCGCAGGGGGCGGAGACCTCCCCCGTGATACTGTCCCTAACATCCAAAGGTGGAGAGGATGATATTTCTTCCAATTTCGCCGGGGGTGCACACCAACCTTGTGATATTGATCCTAATATCCAGGGGGAGAGAGGATGGTATTAGTTTGAATATTGCAGGATGTGTACACTCCCTAGTGATATTGTTCCTAATATCCAGGGACGGAGAGGATGATATCACTCCCAATATAGCCGGGGTTGTACACCCCTTGTGTGACATTGCTCCTAAAGGGCAGCGGGGGAGAGGAAGATATTACAGCCAATATCGCAGGGGGTGTACACCCTCTTGTGACATTCCTCCTTCTATCCTGGGAAGGAGAGGAAGATACTAGCGGCAATGTTGCAGGGGCTGTACACACCCACTGTGATATTGTTCCGAATATCCGGAGGGGGAGAAAATGATGTTACTTCCAATATCGCAGGGGGTGTACATCCTCCTGTGATATTGTTTCTTATATTCAGGGGGAGAGGATGATATTACTCCCAATATCACAGGGGTTGTACACACCTCCTGCGATGCGGGGAGTAAGAGTCAGCCCCTCTCCCCCACTGGCTCTTAGGAGCCCCATCGCAGGGGGTTGAGGCCCCACCCCGGGTACGGGGAGTAAGAGCCAGCCCCTATCCCCCCTGGCTCTTAGGACCCCCATCGCAAGGGGGTGAGGCCCCCGCTATGCGGGCAGTCATATCACCCCCCTCTGGATATGACGATTCACGTCGCAGGGGGGCGGGCGCCCCCCGCGATGCGGGGAGTCATATCACTCCCCCCCTGGATATGAAGATCTACAGTGGTCACACAGCGTGTTCACGTTATTGTCAGTAATATCTTCTCCGCCTCTGGAAATTACCAACTATGTCACAGACGAGTGCACATCCTCTGCGCTCTTTGGAGTAATAGCATCCTCTTTCCCCTTGATATTAAGAACAATATCACAGGAGTGTTTTTACCCCTAGGGGCATTCCGTGTAGTATCATCCTCTCCCACGTTGAAATTAGGGACAATATTACTGGGAGCGTGTCCACCCCGTGCGATATTGAAAGTAACATCATCCTCTTCTCTCCTGGATCATGGGAACCATATCACTGGGGTTGTGTACACTTTCTGCGGTATTGGGAGTAAGATCATCCTCTCTGCCTTGGAATATTAAGAACCATATCACAGTGGGGTTGTACACACCCTGTGCTGTGAAGAAGAGTATTATCATCCCCTGCCCTGCACACTGGAAAAAATATCACAGAGTGGGTGTACACCTCCTGCGATGGGGGTGGTGATATCATCTTCTCTTCTTCTGGATAATAGCAACAATAGTACACGGGTTTGTACACTTTCTGTGATATTGGGAGTAATATCAACCTCTCCACCTTTGAATATTAAGAACAATATCACAGACTGGATGTACACCCCCTGCGATATTGGGAGTCATATCAGCCTCTCCTCTCCATGGATATTAGGAATAGTATCCCAGGATGGGTGTACACCTCCTGCTGTATGGGGAGTCATATCGTCCTGTCACTTCCTGGCTGCTAGGAACAATATCAGAGGGTGGGTGTACACAGCCTGCGATATTGCAAGTACTAGCACCCTCTCCCCCTCCGGATATTAGGAACAATGTCACGGAAGGGTTGTACACTTCCTGAGATACTGGGAGTAATAGCATTCTCTTCTTCCGGGAATATTAGGAGGAATATCACCGGGTGGATGCACACCCACTATCTTGGGAGTAACGTCATACGCCACCCCCTGGAGATGATATTCGGATCAATATCACCGGGTGGGGGTACACCTACTGCGATATTGAACGTCATGTCATGCTCTCTCCCTCCCTGGACTTTAGGAACAATATCACAGGTGGGTGTACACCCACTGAGGTATTAGGGATAATATTCTTATTAATTCTTCCTCATTTATTAGCATGAATATGTATTACCAATATTAATATTAATATTAAGAAATCATTGCTAAAAATAGTGTTCAGATTATTAAAATTAATGTTAATTATTAGGAGCTAATATGACAGTTTTCTAATGAATAAGATCAATATCACTCTTTAAGACCAGGAGTCATTAATCATTAATATTCATCATTTATTGTTAATGTGAGTATAACTCTTTAATATGAATTATCATTATTATCGGTATTGATTTTAAGAATTATATGATCAGTTATTAATATTGACAATTATCAGTATCAATTAATAATTGAGATTATTAATTGTGGTAAGTAACATTGCGCCATTCCACCCCTTCCTCGGCAGCTCGTTTACGACCCAAAACGGGGATCCAAATGCCCCTGAGAGAGCAGCGGCATACTGGGAGAGAGGAGGATGCTCACGTGGTGGAGAGGCGTGTTTTTGTGTAAAAGCGCTTCACCTCTGCCGACCTTCTCAACCGGGAAAACAATACGCCGTCCTAGAGCGAAAAGCCGCAAGCCCTAATTGATTTGCTCCAAACTGTTATCCAGACCCACAACCCCACCTGGGCTGATCGTCACCGGTTGCTCATGTTACTCTTTAAGAGAGATGAAAGGCGAAAGGCGGAGAGGGCTCCAAGCAGCAAGTAAGTGGCTAGAGGAACATGCACCAGCTGATTATCAAAACCCCCAAGAGTATGGAAGGACCCAGTTACCAGGAAACCACCCCCAGTTGGGCCCACATGAAAGAGAGGATATGCAAAGGCTAAACCGAGACAGGGAAGCGCTCTTGGAAGGATTCAAGAGGGGAGCTCAGAAGGCCACAAACGTTAACAAGGTCTCTGAGGTCATTCAGGGAAAAGAAGAAAGTCCAGCACAATTTTACCAGAGACTGTGAGGCCTATGATATGTATACTCCCCTTGATCCCAATAACCCTGAAAATCAGCGCATGATTCACATGGCTTTAGTCTGTCAAAGAGCGGAAGACGTTAGAAGAAAACTGCAGAAGCAGGCTGGGCTTGCAGGGATGAATACATAACCTTGATGAGAAATAGCTAAGCAGGTGTTTGTAAACAGGGATGCAGTAAGCCGCGAGGGAAAGCGCAAAGAGAATGAAGGTCAGGCCTGGTGAAACGCTGACCTGTTTGTTAGCTGCAGTAATCAGAGCTGTCCCCCCAAAGAAGCAAGGGAAGGGGGGCCTTGGGAAAGAAACTCAGCTTGGCTGTCCGAGTTTGCAGCGTAACCAGTGTGCTTATTGTAAAGAAATAGGACAGTGGAAGAACAAATGCCTTCAGCTCAAAAGAAAACAAGGTGACTTAGAGCAGGAGGCCCCGGACAAGGAGGAAGGGGCCCGGCTCAACATGGCAGAAGGGTTATTGGACTGAGGGAGACCGGGCTAAAGTGTCCCCAAAGAGCCTCTGGTCAGAATGACAGTCGAGGGTGGAGACATTGATTTTCTTGTAGATACCGGTGCTGAACATTCGCTAGTAACTGCCCTGGTCGCCCCCTTATCCAGAAAGACTATTAACGTCACCGGAGCCACGGGGGTTTCAGCAAAGCAAGCTTTCTGCTTGCCTGGGACTTGCAGTGTAGGAGGACATCAAGTGATTCATCAGTTTTTGTACATGCCTGACTGTCCCTTGCCCTTGTTGGGAAGGGACTTGCTTAGCAAGCTGAGAGCTGCTCTCTCTTTGACAGAACACAGCTCTTTGCTGCTAAAGTTACCCGCCACGGGAGTCATTATGACCCTTACCGTCCCCCGAGAGGAGGAATGAAGACTTTTGTGAACTGAGCCGGGCCAAGAGAGAAGACCAGCTCTGGCTAAGCGGTGGCCAAGAGTACGGGCAGAAGACAACCCTCCAGGATTGGCCAGTTAAGACTGGGGCCCAGCCGCTTAGGCAAAAACAGGACCCGGTCCCCAGAGAAGCTCTTCAAGGTATCCAGGTCCATCTTAAGCACCTAAGAACTTTTGGTATGATAGTTCCTTGTCAGTCTCCACGGTATACTCCCCTCCTGCCTGTTCCCAAGCCATGGACCAAGGACTACAGGCCGGGACAGGATTCGCGCTTGCTTAGTCAAGCTATCCTGACATTCCATCCAACAGTACCTAGCCCATCCACATTGTTGGGGTTGCTGCCAGCTGACGACAGCTGGTTCACCTGCTTGGACCTGAGAGACGCTTTCTTTCCTATCAGATTAGCCCCTGAGAGCCAGAAGCTGTTTGCCTTTCAGTGGAAAGATCCGGAGTCAGGTGTCACTACTCAGTACACTTGGACCGGGCTTCCCAAAGGGTTCAAGAACTCCCCCACCATCTTCGGTGAGGCGTTGGCTCGAGACCTCCAGAAGTTTCCCACCAGAGACATAGGCTGCGAGTTGCTCCGCTAGGTGGATGAGCTTTTGCTGGGACATCCCACGGAAGTCGGGTGCGCCAAGGGAACGGATTACCCTACGTCGACACCTGGAGGACTGTGGGTGTAAGGTGTCCAAGAAGAAAGCTCAGATCTGCCGACAGCAGGTGCGTTCCTTGGGATTTACTATCCGACAGGGGGAACGCAGCCCGGGATCAGAAAGAAAGCAGGTCATTTGCAATCTAGCAGAGACTAAGAGCAGAAGGCAGGTGAGAGAATTCTCAGGAGCTGTGGGGTTTTGTAGACTGCGGATCCCAAACTTTGCAGTATTAGCCAAGACTTTTTATGAGGTCACCAAGGGGGCGGGGACCGGGAACTTTTTGAATGGGGATCCCAACAACAGCAAGTCTTTCATGAGTTAAAGGAGAAACTTATGTCAGCCCCAGCCCTGGGGCTACCCGATCTGACAAAGCCTTCTCCATTGTATGCATCAGAGAGAGAAAAGATGGCAGCTGGACTTTGAACCCAAACTGTGGGGCCCTGGCCGAGGCCGGTGGCCTGCCTCTCTCTACAACTAGACGGGGTTTCTAAAGGATGGCCCCCCTGTTGGAAGGCCTTGGCAGCAACTGCCCTGCGAGTACAAGAAGCAAATAAGCTGACTCTTGGGCAGAACCTGAAGAGAAAGGCCGCCCATGCTGTGGTGACTTTAATGAATACTAAAGGACATCATTGGCTAACGAATGCCAGACTCACCAAGTACCAAATTTTGCTCTGTGAAAATCCCCGTATAACCATTGAAATTTGTAACAGCCTACATCCCGCCACCTTGCTCCCGGTATCAGAGAGCCCTGTCGAGTCTGGTTGTGTAGAAGTGTTGGACACAATTGACTCTAGCAGACCTGACCTCCAGGGCCAGCCTTGGCCATCAGTAGACTGGGAACTATACGTGGATGGGAGCAGCTTCTTCAACCCCCAAGGAGAGAGAGGTGCAGGGTATGCAGTGATAACCCTGGACACTGTTGTTGAAGGCAGATCATTGCCCCAGGCCACTTCAGCCCAGAAAGCTGAACTCATTGCTTTCATTCGGGCCTTAGAACTCAGTGAGTATGAGACTGTCAACATTTACGCTGACTCTCGGTATGTCTTTTGAACCCTTCAAGTACATGGAGCGTGATAGAAAGAAAAGGGCCTATTGAACTCTGGGGGAAAAGGCATAAAATATCAACAGGAAATCTTGCAATGATTAGAAACAGTATGGAAACCCCACAAGGTGGCAGTTATATATTGCAGAGGACACCAGCGAGCTTCCACCTTGCTGGGTTTGGGGAATTCCCGCGCTGACTCAGAGGCTCGAAAAGCAGCATCTGCCCCCTTCTGGGCATCAGTGCTCCCTCAAGCACCTGATCTTGGACCTACTTCTTCTAAAGAAGAAAAGGACTTTCTCCAAGTAGAGGGAAGGACAAGTGATGGAGGAAGGATGGATTCGGTTACCAGATGGGAGAGTAGCTGCGCCACAGCTGCTAGGAGCTGCAGTTGTACTGGCTGTGCAAGAAACCACCCATCGAGGTCAGGAGTCACTGGAAAAGTTGTTAGGCCGGTATTTCTACATCTCGCCTTTGTCAGCCCTTGCCAAAACCGTGAGGCAGCGATGTGTTACCTGCTGACAGCATGATGCGAGGCAAGGTCCAGCCATTCCGCCCGGCATACGAGCTTATGGAGCAGCCCCCTTTGAAGGTCTCCAGGTGGACTTCACAGAGATGCCAAAGTGTGGAGGTAACAAGTATGTACTAGTTCTTGGGCGTACCTACTCTGGGTGGGTGGAGGTCTGGGTCTTCCTCCCCAAATCTGGATGTTAGCAACGAGATCACAGTGGGGGTGTACACACCCTGCGACATTGGAAGTAATATGATCCTCTCCCCACCTGGATACTGGGAAAGATACCACAGCGCGGGTATACGTTTCCTACTCTGTTGCGAGTAATATCATTCTTTTCCTTTCTGGATATTAGGGAGAATATCACAGGGGTGCTGTACAATTACTTTGACATTGGGAGTAACATCATCCTCTATTTTCCTGGACATTGGGCACAAAAACACAAAAGGGTGTACAACCCCTGCGATATTGGGAGTAATAGCATACTCTCCATCCTTGGATGTTAGAAAACAATATCATCAGGGCTGAACACCCCCCGCGATAATGGGAGTCATGGTTACTCTTTCACAGGCCATTTGGAACAATATCAGAGGGGGTGTTTACACACAGGGGTGGTGTACACCCCCTGTGATATTGGGCGTAACATGATTCTCTCCACCTCCGGATATTAAGAACAATATCCCGGCGAGACGTGGTACACCCCTAGTGATATTGGGAATAATGTCATCCTCTCCTTCCCTGGATATTAGGAATAATATCACAGGGGGTTGTACACCTTCTGTGATATTAGAAGCAATATCATCCTCTCCCCCACTAGATATTAGAAAAAAAATCACTCACGGTGTACACCCACTGTGATATGAGGAGTAATATCTTCCTAGGGTATTACGAATAATTTCACTGTCTGTACACACATGGTGTACACTCACTGTGATATTAGGAGTAATGTCTACCTAGTAGATAACAAATAACATCGCAGTGTGTACACCCACTTTGATATTAGCTGTAATATTTTTCTAAGTTGTTACAAATAAGATCACAGGGTGTACCAACATGGTGTACACTCACCTTGATATTAGGAGTCTTATCTCTGTAATATATTATGAATAATATCACAGGGTGTACACCCACTGTATTATTAGGAGTAATATCTCTGTAGGATATTACAATTAAGTTCACAGGGTGTAGAGCCAGCGTGATATTAGGAGCAATATCTTTCTAGGATATTACAAATAATATCAGAGGGTGTACGCCCATTCTGCTGTCTGGAGCAATATCTCCCTAGGATATCAAAAATCCTATCACAGGGTGTCCAATCTCTGTCTTCCAGGTTCTAAGGGATTCTCCTGCTTCAGCCTCCCGAGTAGCTAGGGTTACCCGCCACCATGCCCGGCTAATGTTTTTTTATTTTCACTGGAGACGGGGTTTCACCACGTTGGCCAGGCTGGTCTGGAACTCCTGACCTCAGGTGATCCATCAGCCTCAGCCGCCCAAAGTGCTGGGTTTACAGGTGTGAGCCATGGTGCTGGGCCAAGAGTTATATATTCAATTCATTTGGAAACTCAGCTCCCGTCTTTGAGTGTGTATGTACTTTTATGAAGAAATGGTGTCAGAAAACCGAAGGATGATAATAAATACAAAAAGTAACAGGCATGTGAAAAGGTCTTCCGATTGATAACTATAAGGTTTGATTTCGTTTTCAGATAATGGGGTCCTAGCTCTTGTGTCGTCCTTTTACATATTCTACATCAATGGAAGTTGTAGCACGGTGTCAGAATAAAGTAGAGTGTATTTCATGGCTTCTTAATTTTTTCAATTAGACTGAGATGTTTTTCCTAAAGAGAGAAGGATATTGTCATGGCATTGTATTTTTTCTGAAAAGAGTAGGCCGTATTTTACTGAGATCACGGATTTGTTATATATGACGTTTTGGTCTTCTAATATTCTTCAGTGGATTTTCTCTAAAGTAGTATGTACAGAAAGCCTTGTATAGCAAAAAAGTAAATCACGTAATAATTCTGAGATTTTTTGGAATTGTCATAACTGAGAAACATTGCTGGCGATGTATGGTCCGCAAGTGTGAAACTGTTCCTTGTGAATTGCTTGCATCCAGCATTAAAGGCTGGTTTTTATCGTTTATTTTTCCAATCCTCTTTCCTTCTCAAGGTGTCCAAGACACACAGAGCCACGGAATCTCACAGATGTCTGAGAATTCCTCCTCCTGGGACTCTCAGAGGATCCAGAACTGCAACCGGTCCTCGCTTTGCTCTCCCTGTCCCTGTCCATGTATCTGGTCACGGTGATGAGGAACCTGCTCAGCATCCTGACTGTCAGCTCTGTCTCTCCCCTCCACACCCCCATGTACTTCTTCCTCTCCAACCTGTGCTGGGCTGACATCGGTTTCACCTCGGCCACGGTTCCCACGATGATTGTGGACATGCAGTCGCATAGCAGAGTCATCCCTCATGCGGGCTGCCTGACGCAGATGTATTTCTTGGTCTTTTTTGCATGTATAGAAGGCATGCTCCTGACTGTGATGGCCTATGACTGCTTTGTAGCCATCTGTCGCCCTCTGCACTACCCAGTCATCGTGAATCCTCACCTCTGTGTCTTCTTCGTTTTGGTGTCCTTTTTTCTTAGCCTGTTGGATTCCCAGCTGCACAGTTGAATTGTGTTACAATTCAACATCATCAAGAATGTGGAAATCTCTAATTTTGTCTGTGACCCCTCTCAACTTCTCAAACTTGCCTGTTCTGACAGCGTCATCAATATCATTTTCATATATTTCGATAGTACTATGTTTGCTTTTCTTCCCATTTCAGGGATCCTATGGCTTACTATAAAATCGTCCCCTCCATTCTAAGGATTTCATCGTCAGATGGGAAGTATAAATCCTTCTCCACCTGTGCCTCTCACCTAGCAGTTGTTTGCTGATTTGATGGAACAGGCATTGGCATGTACCTGACTTCAGCTGTGTCACCACCCCCCAGGAATGGTGTGGTGGCGTCAGTGATGTACGCTGTGGTCACCCCCATGCTGAACCTTTTCATCTATAGCCTGAGAAACAGGAACATACAAAGTGCCCTGCGGAGGCTGCGCAGCAGAACAGTCGAATCTCATGATCTGTTCCATCGTTTTTCTTGTGTGGGTGAGAAAGGGCAACCACATTAAATCTCTACATCTGCAAATCCTGCCTCTTAGTCACATTCTTTTTGTGGCTGATGGCTTTTATTCCTTTCCGCATTTCCTTTGTGAATATTGCTTTCTTCGTTATGCCTTTCACTGGAATGGGTGAAGATTCTGGGACCCTTTGTTTTGCAGAAACCTCATGACAGAATCCTCTATACCTAGGCGGCCTCCTTTAGTTTCTGAACAACAACCTTGTCATCCAGGTGGAATCACAACCATCTTTTTATATACACGAAGTCCTCACTTCGTTTTGGAATTCCCTGAAAACTGACTTTATGGAAAAAATGTACAGGAGGTCCTCCAACACAATTGGTTGTTCAAAGTTGTGTAGTTATACTGTTGGTGAAAAATAAGTGGTTTCACTATACATAATTTTGCTTCAAGGTGAAGTTTCCAAGAGACTTTCAAAGATGTTAAGTGAGGACATACTGTACATCAAATTCATATCCTCTTCCACAGTTCATGTGGAATTTCTTTATAAACTGCTTCTAGAGAATCTATTTAGGCAGGTTAAGTGTAGAGATCCATGTCGCCGTTCTCAATCTTGGTTTTGAGTCAACTCACCTGGGGAGCTTACAAATGATGAGGCCTGGGTCTCAATACCTGAGATTCAGATTTCCTTGCACCTGTGTGAGTATGTGGATTTTTTTTTTTTTTTTTCTTTTAAAGCACCACAGGTGGTTCCAATGATGAAGTTTTTAGAGGCATCAAGCTCCAATGAGTGAGAACAGAAATTAATTGTAATATGATTTCTTCAATTATTATCTTCAAATGCATTGTCCATCAACACCATACAAATGTTTATTATGCTGTTTTTTCTTACCATTTCGCATTTTCTATTTCTTTCTTTTCCTAATTTTTTGAGTCAGAGTTTCACTCTTGTTGCCCAGGCTGGAGTTCAATGTCACGGTCTCGGCTCACTGCAACCTCTGCCTCCCGTATTCAAGCAATTCTCCTGTCTCAGCCTTCTAAGTAGCTGGGATTACAGGCAAGCGCTAACATGCCTGGATAATTTTTTTTTTTTTTTTGTATTGTTAATAGAGACAGTGTTTCTCCATTTTGGTCAGGCTGGTCTTGAACTCCCGACCTCAGGTGATCCGCCCGCTTCCGCCCCCCAAAGTGCTGGGATGACAGGCATGAGCGACCGCGCCCAGCCACCACTCAGCATTTACATTTTACATTTGTTGAAGTTGTAGATTTATACACACATTGACTGCTGCTTTGTGGTACACTTGCATATACATAAGATGGGAAATAGAAAAGAATAAAATGGGCACAGTATCCCTGAAGTTTCACATTCTGAGACATTTAAAAAATATTTGCTCTTCAGAAATTTGTTTCAATGAAGAAACTGTGGTATACACACCCAGTGAAGTATTATTCAGCCTAAAAGGGAAGAAACTCCTCTCCGCTGCAGACAAAATGGATGAGATTGCAGGTATTTATATTAAATGAAATAAGCCAGGTACAGAATGACAAATATTTCATGTCCTCACTTCTATGTAGGAAGGAAAAAGGACACCTTGGCCAGGTGTGGTGGCTCAGGCCTGTAATCCCAGTACCCTGGGAGGCCGAGTTGCACGGATCACTTGAGTCCAGGAGTTCGAGACCCGCCTGGCCAACATGGTGAAACCCCGTCTCTACGGAAAACACAAGCAATGAGCCGGGCTTCGTGATGCGTGCCTGTAGTCTCAGCTACTCAGAGGGCTGAGGCCCAAGAAGCGCTTGAACTCGGGAGGTGTAGCTTGCAGTGAGCCCAGATTGTGCCTGCGTACTCCAACCTGGGCAACAGAAAGAGACTCCATCACACACCTACACACAAAAGGAATCTCAGGAAGATGGAAAGTATAAAGGTGATCAGAAGATGCTAGGAAGAAAAGGGGTGGGATAGGGAATGAAGACAAGTGGATAATTGGGTCCCAAAATACAGAAAGATGGAATAAGTGAGTTCTAGTGTTTGATAGTACAGTATGAAAATTTTAGTTCACAAGAACTGCTTGCATATTTCCAGATGCTTTGGTAAGAAGCTTCCTAACTTTCTCATTATGCTGGTTTTTAAGCTCTTCTCTTTCTGCTCTTGAAATCATGCTGGTTTTTTGTTTTTTGTTTTTTGTTTTGAGATGGAGTTTCGCTCTTGTTGCCCAGGCTGGAGTGTCATGGTGCAATCTTGGCTCACCGCAACCTCTGCCTCCTGGGTTCAAGCGATTCTCCTGCCTCCAGCTCCCGAGTAGCTGGGATTACAGGCATGTGCCAGAACGCCCAGCTAATGTTGTATTTGTAGTAGAGACGGGGGTTTCTCCCTGTCGGTCAGGCTGGTCTTCAACTCCTGATCTCAGGTGATCCGCCAGCCTCGGCTTCCCAAAGTGATGGGATTACAGGCATGAGCGCGCCCGGCCCATGCTGTATCCTTACCTGTTGTCTGTTGTTGTTTGTTTCTGTTGGAGCCCAGAAATAACTTCTCACCTATATGTTCAAATGATTTTCCACATGAGTGCTAAGAAAGCTCAATGGTGGAAAAGCAGCCTTTTCAATAAATGGTGTTGGAGAAACTTGATTTCCACATGCAGAAGAATGAAGGTGGACCCTATGTCACACCAGGTGCAAAAATTGACACAAACTGGATCAAAGACCTCACCCCAAGCGCTAAAAGTATCATACACCTAAAAGAAAACATTGGCCACACTTTCATGACATCAGATTGGGCAATGTTCTCTGGGATATGACACCAAAAGCATAGGCAACAAAAGAAAATTAGATTCCTTGGATTACATCTAAATGACAGATAGTTTTGTGCAGCAAAAAAACACTGTGAACTGAGTGAAAAGATAACCCATGGATTAGGAAAAAGATTTGCAAAACATATATCTGAAAAGAGGCTGATAGCCATCATATATAAAGAACAGCTAGAACTAAACAACAAGAAACCCAAAGCATCCCATCAACAATGGTCAGAAGACTCGAGTAGACGTGTTCCTAAAGAAGATATAGCAATGGCCAATAAGCATCTAAAATGATGTTCAAAGTCACTCATCATAGGGAAGCGCAAATCAAACCAAGAATGTGATACCACACATTAGGATGGATATGATAAACAAACAAGCATTGGTGAGACTAGAGGGAAGTAAGAATGCTCGAATATGATCGGAGGGAATGTAAAACCGTGAAGGAACGGGGAAAGTAGTATGGCGTCTACTGGAAAAATCGAAAAAGAATGATCAGATGTTCCCGCAGTTTCATTTGTGGGTACCTACCAAAAAGAATTAGAAGCCAGGAGTGGAAGACAGATTTGTGTACACCCATATTCATAGCAGCATTATTCACAACAGCCAAAATGTGGAAGCAACCCAAGGGTTCGTGGACAGATGAATGAAAAAGCACACTGCAGTTCCTTCATACAATGGAAGGCTATTCAGCCTTCAAAAGGCAGGCATTTCTGGCCGGTGCGGTGGCTCACGCCTGTAATCGCAGTGTCTTGGAAGACTGAGGTGGGCAGATCACCTGAGGTCAGGAATTCAAGACCAGCCTGGTCATCTTGGTGAAACCCTGTCTCTACTGAAAATGCAAAAAATGAGACGAGCGTGGTGGCGTGTACCTATAGTCCCAACTACTCGGGAGGCTGAGGCACAAAAATCGCTGGAACCCGGGAAGCGGAGGTTGCAGTGAGCCCAGATTGTGCCACTGCACTCCAGCCTGTGCGACAGAGTGAGACTCCATGGAAACACAAAACAAAACAAAGTCAAACGAACAAACAAACAAAAAACAAACCAAAAAAAAAAAAAAAACAGAGAGGCACTTCTGACGCAGGCCGCAATGTTGATGAACCTTACAAACATTATCGTCAGTGAAATACATGAATCCCAAAAGGATAAACTCGCCGAGGCTCAGTGGCTCGCACCTGTAACCCCAGCACTTTGGGAGGCTGAGCCAGGCGGATCACTTCAGGTCAGGATTTCGAGACAAGCCTGGCCAATATGGTCTCTATTTAAAATACAAAAATTAGCTGGGCGTGGTGGCGCACGCCTGTAATACCAGCTACTCGGGAGACTGAGACAGAAGAATCGCTTGAACCCACGATGTGGAGGTTACAGTGAGCCGAGATCACGCCACTTCACTCCAGCCTGGGTGACAGAGAAAGACTCTGTCTCCAAAACAAGAAAATTAAACACGGTATGATTCCACTTATCTATCAAGTGTCTAGAGTAGTTAAACTCATAGAGTTGCAAAGTAGAAACGTGGCCCCCAGGGGTGGGCGAGAGAGAGGAGTGGAGAGCTTGGTAAATGGGTGCAATTTCCATTTTGAAAGATAAAACTGTTCCAGAGACAATGACGGTGATGGTTGCTAAACAATGTGAACGTACTTAATGTCATGAAACTGTAAACTGAAAAAGAGGGGAAATTGTAAATGTTTATACTGGCCATTCTATATGAACTAATATATATTTATAATTTTTAATATTTACACGTGGTATATTTTCCCATAATAAGAGACTAAAATTAAAGCAGTTGGATGTTTCAAAAGAAAAGAAAGAAGTGAAGAATACACACCAGCTTTCTCCTGATTAGAGGAAGAGCCCCAAACTTCTATGGACACTCACTTTTCTCTTCTTCTTCTTGCATTGTTATGAGGAAATCCTTCTTGGTTGGGGAACTTGGGCGACTTTGGCTAATGAGGAGCTCTGTGCCTTAAGCCCCCAGGGCACAGAATAGTAAATAGTCAGTCTGTGCCTCCAGCCCTGCAGTGTGAAGTTTCAGTCCTGTGGGCTCCACAGACATCACCTGTATCAGGAGGCTCATGTCTTACCCTGTCTTCTTGCCAGCCTCAAGGATGGAGTCTGAGCCTCCATGGTGCTCCATGCAGGGAGGTCAGTGGACCTGTTCTGCTAGGTCACGGCCCAGTAGAGGGGAAGGGCAGTTCAGTGAGTGTAGGCAAAAGAAAGAGCGATCAGACTCTTACTGTGTCTATGTAGAAAGGAAAGACATAAGAGACTCCATTTTGAAAAAGACCTGTACTTTCAACAATTTCTTTGCTGAGATGTTGTTAATCTGTAGCTTTGCCCCAGTCACTTTGAACAAACCACTTTGACCCAACCTGAAGCTCACAAAAGCATGTGTTGTATGAAATCAAGGTTTAAGGGATCTAGGGCTGTGCAGGACGTGCCTTGTTAACAAGATGTTTCCAAGCAGTATACTTGGTAAAAGTCATCGCCATTCTCTAGTCTCAATAAACCAGGGGCACAATACACTGTGGAAAGCCTCAGGGAGCTCTGCCCTTGAAAGCTCCGTATTGTCCAAGGTTTCTCCCCATGTGATAGTCTGAAAAGTGGCCTCGTGGGAGGAGAAAGACCTGACTGTCCCCGAGCCCGACACCAGTAAAGGGTCTGTGCTGAGGTGGATTAGTCAAAGAGGAAAGCCTCTTGCAGTTGAGAGAGAGGAAGGCCCCTGTCTCCTGCCTGCCCCTGGGAACTGAATGTCTCGGTATAAAACCCGATTGTACATTTGCTCAATTCTGAGATGCGAGAAAAACCGCCCTATCGCGGGAGGTGAGACATGTTTGCATCAATGCTGCCTTGTTATTCTTTACTCCACTGAGATGTTTGGGTGGAGAGAAACATAAATCTTGCTTAGAGACACGTCCAGTCATAGTAACTTCCCTTGAACTTCCTTATGACTTAGATTGTATTGCTCACATGTTCGTTGCTGACCTTCTCCTTATTATCACCCTGCGCTCCTTCTACATTCCTTTTTGCTAAAATAATAAAAATCATAATCAATAAAAACTGAGGGAACTCAGAGGCCTGTGCCGGTTCAGATCCTTGGTATGCTGAGCGCCGGTCCCCTAGGTCTACTGTTGTTTCTCCATACTTTGTCTCTGTGTCTTATTTCTTTTCTCAGTCTCTCGTCCCACCAGACTAGAAATACCCACAAGTGTGGAGCGGCAGGCTACCCCTTCAAGTGAGTGCTGAGGGACGGTCGGGAGGCTTGTTTGTTTCCTCCTCCTCAGGACAAACAGGAGAATGCGCTGGGCAGATGTGAGGAGACCAATATGCAAACTCTGTGCTCAGCAGACTGTGGAGTTTCTGTTCTTGGTTGTGCTGGGGGGTCTCAGAAATCTTATTCAAAATTTTCCTTTCCTCCCCCACTGGTTGTCCTTTTCATAGACATCTCACCCATGATAGCAGGGAATCAGTCCCTCTAAATTATTCCCTAAAACAACAAAGAGATTATGAAGGTGATGATGAGGATAAAGAGGATGACGACAGACACCATGGCATCATGAACCCTTACTGAGGGCTTCCTAAAGGCCAGGCTCTGAGCTCTGTGCTCTATGCAGCTGGTTTCATTTCATCTGCATAGTCTCCACGTTATTAGTGCACATTTCATGATGATTTTACAGACCAGAAAAGGCGCAACAGATTTTCAAGTAGCTTGTACCAGATCACGAAGTCACAAAGGGTGAAGTCCAATTTGAACCAGGCAGTCTAAGTCCAGACACAAGGCATTTGGCCAGTCCTCTCCCTGCAGCCAACCTGACCTCTCAAATCCTCGTCACTCAGGCCGATGGCCCTGCTCACCGTGCCCTTCCCTTTGGGGGTTCCTTGTAGACCACAGCTAGACCAGTGGGTGCCACAATCACTGTGTCATGTATAGAAAGGGCAGCTGAGATCACATCAAGGATTCCAGAAAGAATTGGCACAGGATCATTCGGGACGCATCCCTCCCTTGCCCCTGTTCCTGGCTTTCGTTACAGCTCTCGACTTCCTCAAAGGAGTCATCAATTCGGAATTTGGCTTCCATTCCTATTGAGGAAGCTGGAAAGCATTTCAAAAATGCTCCTCTGATGTGCCTGTGCTTAAGACCTCTGAGCTCTGCTTAAAACTTTTGGAAGCTGGGCGCGGTGGCTCACGCATGTAATCGCAGTCCTTTGGGAGGCTGAGGCAGGCGAATCACAACGTCAGGAGTTCGAGACCAGCCTGGCCAACATGGTGAAACCCTGTCTCTAATAAAAATACAAAAAAAAAAAAAAAATTAGCCAGGCATGGGGGCGTATGGCTGTTAATCCTAGCTACTGGGGAGGCTGAGGCAGGAGACTCATTTGAAGCCGGGAGACAGAGGTTGCAGTGAACCGAGATCACGCCACTGCACTCCAGCCTGGGCAACAGAGCAAGACTCTGTCTTAAAAATAAAATAAATAAAAATTACGAAAAAATGTGCTTGGATGGGCTTGGCAAACTTTAGCCATTAGCTCACGTACCACTTTGGAAGGGCATACCTTTAGTCACTTCACCCTTTAATCCCTTTGCTCAAGACTAAAGTTCCGAGAGGAAGTCTAATTGACTGAGTTGTGTCCATGTGGGCAGTGCAGGAAAGGGTGCAATGGGAGGCGGCTCCAGGGACGTCTTTGGCTTCCATCATGGGGGAGCAAGCGCCTGGATTATCCACCCTAACAAATCTGGACAAAGGAAAACGAGGTTCTCTGAGGAAGGAGACATAGAGCCCAAGGAGCTAACCAAGAGACTAATAGTCATCCTGTCTTGTCATTTTCTTTTACACATGTGTGTGCATTATCTTACACTTATCACTTTGTTTTCTTTCTCTCCTTTAATTGCACCCTGTTGCCAAAAGTTAAAATAAAATGAAAGTATTGAGATAGCTCAGTAACTGACTTTTGGTCAATTGCCTTTTCATATAGTGAACAGCTGCCCAAACTATTGTCTCTGTCACTGTGCAAATTTGCAAGCGTTTGCATGATAACTCCCAATCCCCCAACACAGGGCTGTGTTACAGCACAATTTAATTCAGTGTTTTGCTCTCTGCAACAGGGAGGTTCTCATCCATTACAGGTTGCAGTAAAAACAGGGGTACCATAAGCAACCACCTCTTTCCTCAACGATGTGATGAAAGCAAAAGCCAAGTAGCTCCATATATCCAACTTAAAAATATAAAAAGTTACGCCCCTGGGCTGCAGTTGGAGCTATGGCGGCAGTAGCTGTCAGTGCGCCTAGCCCGGCGTGTGGACCTGGGGACCCACCAGAAGGGCCCGATGTGGAGTCTCACGGAGCGTCGGCGGAAGGCGCACAGGATGCTAAAGCTTTACAACGGCCTTTGGGAAGGGGAGGCTGTGGGACTCCCCACAGGGCCCGACCCCCTGGACCCCACTGATCTGAACGGGGCGCACTTCGACCCGGAAGTTTACCTAGACAAGCTGCCTAGAGAGTGCCCTCTGGCCCAGCTGATGGACAGTGAGACAGACATGGTGCAGCAGATCCGGGCTCTAGACAGCGACGTGCAAACCCTGGTATATGAGAACTACGATAAGTTCATCCCAGCCACAGAAATTGACAAACAACATAAAACTGTATGAGGAATTGCAGGAGACCCAGAATTTCCCAAATAACCTTGTAAAAGAAGAACAAAGTTGGAAGACTCACACACACAAATATATATATATATATATATATATATATATATAAAGTTGTGTTTTCGTTCAGTTGTAAATGTTTAGTAATTTCTATTGTGATTTTTCATTTAACTCATGAAAGGATGTTTTTAATTTTCCTAATGTATGCTTGTGTTTAGCTATCTTCTTGCTGTTGACTTCTAATTTTGTTGCATTATGGTCAGGAAAATGTGGTCTGGACAATGTCAATCGTATAGTGGATTTTGTTGAGACTTCTTTATGGCCTAATATGTGGCCAGTTTTTTTTTTTTTTTTTTTTTGCAAATTTGCCACGTTGTTAAAAGGAATGTGGATTTTTTTTTTAGGAGAGTTTTTATTTTTAAATAGATAAGTTTCTCAGTGTAATTGAAATCTAGCTTCAATTAACAATATGCTAGATCTCTCAAACCTTAAGATGTTAGTCAGTGTAACAGCAGACTGCTGCTGAGACCAATAAACCCTGAACTCTCAGTGGGTTGGCATTCATAGCATAGTCTGGTGCAGGGCAGGTGTTCTCCTTGGGGGCCCTTGTCCAACAGTGATTCAGAGATTCTGGAGGTTTCCATCTTTTAATTCTGCCATCTCAGAGTTTTTCACTTGTAGCCATATGGATAGGAAGAGAGGGAACATAGCTCACCCTTGCCTTTGATAACCTTGGCCTGAAGTTATTTCTTACATTCCTATTGGTGGAAATGCAGTCACATGGTTCCAAACTAACTGCAAGTAAGGCTGGGAAATGTAGTCTTTCTGCATATCCAGGAAGAGGAATGGTGTGAACACAGCATTGTCTTTGACACACTAAACATGTGCTGAAGAGTTCTTACTCTTAGAGGAGGTTTGTCTGTCCTGTGTAACTTTCTCAGTTTTTGTTTAGATAGTTTCAGGCAATGTTGTTTGGTGCGTTCAGCTTGATGATTATTATGTCCTATTGGCAAAGTAGTCAAGATTCCCATCAGTCTGAATGAAAGTGTTTTACAGATAGGTCAGGAAATGTTAATACTTTAAAAGGCCCTTCTATTCCTCCACTCTACAGATAAGAACAACAGAGTCCTAGAGAGAGGAGGTCATGGGTCTCACTCATGAGTGGCAGAATTGAAACCAACATGGTAGTAACTTTGCCTTTCCCCCATCATGTTGTTCTCACTCTATCTTCAATCTGCTGATTTCTTCACTTGCTCCATACAGACCTCCCAGTGCCAAGTGTATAAGTGTGTCTGGAATTGGTGGGTTCTTGGTCTCACTGACTTCAAGAATGAAGCCACGGACCCTCCTGGTGAGTGTTACAGTTCTTAAAGGTGGCGTGTCTGGAGTTTGTTCCTTCTGATGTTCAGATGTGTTTGAAGCTTCTTCCTTCTGGTGGGGTTCGTGGTCTCACTGGCTCAGGAGTGAAGCTGCAGAACTTCATGGTGAGTGTTACAGCTCTTAAGGCTGCACGTCTGGAGTTGTTCATTTCTCCCAGTGGGTTCATGGTCTCACTGGCTTCAGGAGTGAAGCTGCAGACCTTCTTGGTGAGTGTTACAACTCATAAAGGCAGTGTGGACCCAAACAGTGAGAAGCAACAAGATTTATTGCAAAGAGCGAAAGAACAAAGCTTCCACAGTGTGGAAGGGGACCCCAGCAGGTTGCCACTGCTGGCTCGGGCAGCCTGCTTTTATTCTCTTACCTGGCCCCACTCACATCCTGCTGATTGGTCCATTTTACAGAGAGCCTGAGTGGTCTGTTTTGACAGGGCACTGATTGGTGCGTTTACAATCCCTGAGCTAGACACAAAGGCTCACCACATCCCCACTAGATTAGCTAGATTCAGAGTGTCCACACAAAGGTTCTCCAAGTCCCCACCATAGTAGCTAGATATAGAGTGTCAATTGATGCATTCACAAACCCTGAGCTAGACACAGGTTGCTGATTGGTGTGTTTACAAACCTTGAGCTAGATACAGAGTGCCGACTGGTGTATTTACAATCTCTTAGCTAGACATAAATGTTCTACAAGTCCCCACCAGACTCAGGAGCCCAGCTGGCTTCATCCAGTGGATCCCGCACAGGAGCTGCAGGTGGAGCTGCCTGCCAGTCCCTCTCCATGCGCCCACACTCCTCAGCCCTTGGGTGGTCGATGGGACTGGGCACCATGGAGCAGGGGGTGGTGCTCATCAGAGAGGCTCGGGCCACGCAGGAGCCCACGGAGGGTGGAGGCTAAGGAATGGCGGGCTGCAGGTCCCGAGCCCTGCCCCACGGGGAGGCAGCTAAGGCCCGGCGAGAAGTCGAGCACAGCAGCTGCTGGCCCAGGTGTTAAGCCCCTCACTGCCCGGGCATGCAAGGCTGGTCGGCAGCTCCTAGTGCGGGGCCACCAAGCCCACGCCCACCCAGAACTCCAGCCGGCAGGCAAGCAGCATGCGTAGCCCCAGTTCCAGCTCATGCCTCTCCCTCCACACCTCCCTGCAAGCTGAGGGAGCCAGCTCTGACCTTGGCCAGCCCAGAAAGGGGCTCCCACCATGCAGCTGTGGGCTGAAGGGCTCCTCAAGTGCCGCCAAAGTGGGAGCCCAGGCAAAAGAGGCGCTGAAAGTGAGCGAGGGCTGTGAGGGCTGCCAGCATGCTGTCACCTCTCATAAGGAGTGATTAATCTGAGCTTCTCCAGAAAGTCCATTCCTGGTAGGCACTGGGAATAGGAAATCTCAGAGTATAGAAAACATCAAGTGGTAGCACTTTTGTGAATGGCTCCCAAATTAGATCCTTTACCTTTTTTTTCATGAAGCACAGTTGCACAAAACACGCTTAGCCTGAGATGAAGCACATATTAGAGAAAAGTTCTCTCTATAACATTATGTATTACTCAAATGAGCGTTAAAAAGAGGAGATGGGACACGCTCTCTCTAGCTATTATTACCTCCATCATACAGTTGATATACACAAGGTCATTATTGCATTATGCTTTATTCAACAAAATAACTTTAATGTTGAAGCTTAAATTGAATTTGTTAAAACATCTTTGTCTCCAGCATAATGTGCCTCAAGTGTCTTCTTGGTGCCTGAATTTTCTCCAGAATTATAGTGCTGAAGCTATGGAAATGGTGAAATTATATGCAATCTGCAAAACAATGTGGCTATAAAGTGGTAATTGGCCTTCCACATAATTAAAGGAACATTTCCTCATCAGAGCTGTTCCATCAGAGACCCAAATGCTATCGTTGTACAAATCGCCCACTTAGGAAAACCTTTATTCCCAGTAGCCTATAAAAATCTGGTTATGCAAACAGATTTGCTTACTCAGTAACATTAATGGCTTCTCATATTTAAAAAGTCATCAATGCAATTGACCTATAATCTGTTTCCTCTGTGACCAAGTGTCATTTTTATTTTGACAGTTAGGAGCCTTTTGACTCTTTCACAGCTGGCATGAAAGCACAGGGAGGGAAATCTCAAAAACCAACAACCTGTGTATTCCCAGCCTATTAATCAATAGAAAATCACTCAACTGGATTGGAGTCTTGTACCTGGCAGAAAGGCTCTTATGGACATTGGAATTGGATTTTTTCACTTGATATGACACCTCCTTGAGTCAGATCAGATTCATGTTTGATAGACTCTTGCCGAAAAATTGCTCCAGGGTCTGTGCAGTAGCTAAAGTCTTTTTGTTGCTGTTGTTGTTTTAAAAGCAGCATTAAATGTTTTCATGAAGACCTTCCCAGCAGTGATGTTATTGGGAATATGGTCTTTAGCTCTGGTCCTGAATAACTCACACTGAGGAAACCTCTCACAAGTGTTTTATTGGAAGATGTCTGATGGATGGTTGGTTTTAATAACAAATCTCTTCCCTTTTTCTGTCCCCTGTGTTCTATTCTCCTTTCTCTACACATTATTCTGGGAGGATTCACCTATTCCCAAAGTCCTTTCCTCTTTATTTCCATTCCAGAGCTCTCTGTATAACTCCAGGCTGATGAATCCAACTGCCCAGTTGTTATCTCCACTTGGCTGTCTGTCTTGCATTGACCTCATCTTACCTTTCCTCTCCTGATTTCCTCTTCTGCCTGGGCTCACCACGTCAGATTCACACCACCATCCACCCAGCTTCCAAAACACCTGGGCCTCATCCTTCATTCCTCCCTCTTTCTCAGTCAAGTTAGTCTACTGTCTCCTCTCCATCCTCACTGCCACAGCCTTGGTCCAGACAACCATCTTGTCTCACTTGGTGTATTGCAGCCTCCTACCTGGTCTACTCACCTCCCACTCTCCTCCAGCCAGACTTCTCTTTTCATAGCACAAAGTGGATCATTACTCCCCTGCCTGAAAACATCTACTGTCTCCCTTTGTCTACAGGATAAACACGACAAAGAGCCTTTAAGATTTGGCTCCAACTTACCTCTACATTAGTCACTTTTTACAATTATATGAACATCTCTCAGCTCCTCACTCTCTCATGTCTCGATTTTTGCACATGCTCTTCCCTCTGCTGGGAATGATCTTCCACACCTCTCCTATCGACCTGGCTAATCCCTACCATTTTCTAGTCTTCAACTGAGGAGTCCTGTGATGGATAAGGATTTCTGACCACCTGATATAGATTGCATGCCCACCCACCTCCGAGCTTTTTTTTTTTTTTTTTTTTTTTGACGGAGTCTCGCTCTGGCCATCCAGGCTGGAGTGCACTGGCACGATCTTGGCTCACTGCAATCTCCGCCTCCCGGGTTCAAGCAGTTCTCCCACCGCAGCCTTCTGAGTATCTGGAATTACAGGTGCCCGCCACCACATCCAGCTAATGTTTTTGTATTTTTAGTAAAGACAGGATTTCACCATGTTGGCCAGGCTGTTTTCGAACTCCTAGCCTCAAGTGATCCACTCACCTTGGCCTCTCAAAGTGCTGGGATTACAGGCATGAACAACTGCACCTGGTCGATTGGGTGCCCCTTCTATGTGCTCCCATTGCCCCAGGCATACTGTCACCATAACTCTTACCAGTCTGAATTGAAAATGATTTTTTTTTTTTTTGCTTTTCATTTCTCTCATTAAATGCAAAGCTCATTGAAAAGAGGACGGTGGGTTTTCACTGTTGTACTCCTAACCTTTGACTCAGTGCCCTGAGCTCGGCTCTAGAGCTGTGCACGCATGTTCAGACATTGGAGCACATCTTGTCTGACGCCTCTTTTAGGTGGCTTGGAGAAAACTCAGTAGGTACTTCCCCAAGGATGAAACAGAAGCTTCACCTAAGTCAGGAGTTCTTCAACTTCAGCCTGCATTGGAATCCTCTGAGAGCTTGTTAAAAATACAGTCTCCTAGAGCCCACTCTTCGAGAGTCAGTGAGTTGCTTCATCATCAAAATATATACAGAATCCAGCCGGTCTTCAGCACCAGCCTGGTCTGAGCCACTGTGGACTGCCACCTGCAGAATCTCCCTGCTGGTCTCCTTGCTTCTGCTCTTACCTTCATACCATCCATTCAGGTAGCCAGGGTGATCCTTTTTAAAATTTTTTTAAATTTTTTTGAGATGAAATCTCACTCTGTTGCCCAGGCCGGAGTGCTGTGGTGCTATCTTGGCTCACTGCAGCCTCTACCTCCTGGGCTCAAGCCATCCTCCCATCTCAGCCTTCTGGGTAGCTGGGAACACAGGCAAACACCACCACACCCGGCTGATTTTTGTATTTTTTGTAAAGAGAGGGTCTTGCTATGCTGCCCACGCTAGTCTTGAACATCTGTGTGCACCCACCTCAGCCTCCTGCATTTTTAGGAAGCCCCACTTGTAGGGATTTTGATGCAGAGGCCTGGGTGCCTCATGTTTCCTCCCATCTCTCTGTCTTTCTGTCTCTGTCTCTCTCTCTGTCTCTGTCTCTCTCTCTCTCTCTCTTTCTCTTTGCCTTATAGCTGCCCTGGGGACTAGACTCTGCCTTAGGCATCCCTCTGACTCCTGTTTGCTTTTACACTGAGGCTGCTTTAAGTTGCACCTTGATCTGAAGCCTTGGGATTCTGTTCCTATTGCTTGCTTTTGTTGGAAGGGCCCTGCAACTCCTTGACAAATTGCAAAGGTGCCCACTAGTTTCCAAGTCCCCGAGAACCAAACCAGATGACAAACAAGGATGCAGCCCACA
This sequence comes from Homo sapiens, assembly GCF_000001405.40. Lineage (NCBI taxonomy): Eukaryota > Metazoa > Chordata > Mammalia > Primates > Hominidae > Homo > Homo sapiens. Next base: position 9,528,449 of record NC_000004.12, read on the forward strand.
GCTGGGGAGACAGATTTCATGTCCACACAGAGACTCCAAGATGCTGAATGGAAATCCACCCCGAAACCTGTTTTCTCTCTCATTTAAGTTCAATGTCACCTGGGCGCTTGCAGGGCAGGGCTGGTGACCATTCACAGGGCAAAGATGCTTCGAAATGTCAACTGAGAATGGTGTGGTGGTTGACAGATGGCATGTCAGAACATAGATTAACATGGAAAGAGAAACTCATCCCTTGGGGGTAGTGTGTGAGGCTGGCAGCCACACAGAGGGCTTTTCCTGCGAGCTCTCGCACAGATGCAAACAGCCAGGAGGTTTTGCTTTCTGAGCCTGAGTGGAACCGTGTTCCTCCCTGCACATGGCCGCTCTGCAGCAAATGTTTATTCCTGTTGCATTGATTAAAAGTGCTTACCAGGCCGGGCGCGGTCGCTCACGCCTGTAATCCCAGCACTTTGGGAGTCCGAGACGGGTGGATCACAAAGTCAGGAGATTGAGACCATCCTGGCTAACACGGTGAAACCCCGTCTCTACTAAAAATACAAAAAATTAGCCGGGCATGGTGGCGGGCGCCTGTAGTCCCAGCTATTTGGGAGGCTGTGGCAGGAGAACGGCATAAGCCAGGGAGGCGGAGCTTTCAGTGAGCTGAGATTGCGCCACTGCACTCCAGCCTGGATGACAGAGCAAGACTCCGTCTCAAAAAAAAAAAAAAAAAAAAACTGCTTACTGAAGGGGTTTGAGGGGAGTGGTGACAGTGTGAGTTATGGCTCTGCCGGCTGCCAGTGGAGCCAGCCGCTCTGCACAGCTGTGCAAGGGTGTTTTGAAAAGTGGCTCAGCCTGCCAGGAATGACTGAGTGTAAATTTTGCTGCCACAACATCTTGTAGCCTGATTGGGGCCGTGTTTGCAGAACCCCTAAACCACTACACTTGTTCAGGCTTAAAAATAAGCTTACTTTTTTTCTTTGTTTGTTTTGTTTTGTTCTATGAGATGGAGTCTTTGTTCTGTCGCCGGGTTGGAATGCAGTGGCATGATCTCGGTCCACCGCAACCTCTGCCTCCTGGGTTCAAGTGATTCTCCTGCCTCAGCCTCCTGAGTAGCTGGGACTACAGGCGTGTGTCATCATGGCCAGCTAAGTTTTGAATTTTTAGTAGAGACGAGGCTTCACCATGTTGGCTAGGATGGTCCGATCTCTTGACCTCCTGATCTGCCCGCCTCAGCCTCCCTAAGTGCTAGGATTACAGGCGTGAGCCACCGTGCCTGGTCAAACATAAACTTATTTTCTTACCTCTTCTGTTGAACTCTATTTGCTTTTTTTCCCAAACGTCTTTATCCAGAAGAGCTTTTAGCAACAAAGTTACCCAATGACCTTCCCTAGTCTCTCCTTGCAACTGGCTCTCAGCGGTGGAGTGGGGTGGATAGGAGGAAATCCTTGACAGAACCAATTTACATGACTGTTTGGAGGACTCTCGCTAGCCCCAGGAGGTGTTTGCATTTTTAAATTGGTTACTAGTGTCAGACTGTTTCATGAGTAAGAGCACAGCTTCTAAGTTGGATGCCCTGAATTTGAATCTCAGCATTGCCTCTTTGTACATAACCAGAGGATGGATTTGGGGACCCAATGGATCTACTATGACATGAACTTGCACCAACATTCACCTGAACTCCAAAATGCCTATTCTGACTGGTAGACGCTAGTCTCGCCCTGGTGTCTCGCCCTGGTGCCAGTTCAGAGCCTGTGTCCAGTGATCCTGCACAGGTCCCATTAGTCCCTTTTCCCCTGTTCAGTCATCCTGGTAAAAGGCTGTGTATTCCTTTGGGGGCAGGCTGGGAGAAAGATTGACAGTATAAATTTTTGGCAGTGGAGCAGAGTCCTTTCTGGAGGGGACCTGGCTTCCCATTCAGACAAGGGCCTCCGGGTCTGTGAACTGGCTTATGTCTGGGAATTGTCTGGGGACTGTGACTCTGTTTTTATGATACAGATTAGACTTCTGCTCATCTGACCTAGAACTCTTCTGTAAACACAGATCAAGTACAAATGTGGCAGGCTTCTTATCTATTTTACCTCTAGGAATGGCACGATCAGCTGGCATCATAGTTCTCTGTGAGTCAGACTATCCCGGTTGTAGCTTTGACTCTGCTGTCTTTTATGGTAACTGCGACCACCTTGCCTTTGGGGATTGAGTGCTGCAATCACTTGGTCCTGGCCCCTGTAGTGTGCCTATGTCACTTACCCTCTTCATACCTCAGTCCCCTCCTCTGTAAAATGGGCATCCTAATAGCACCAAACCCCAGGGCTGCTGTGAGGTATACATGGATTAGCATATGGAAAGCAATAGAAGAGGGTCCAAAGCCCATGTGTCGTTATTAGAATTATTTCATGACAGGGGAGAGCTGGAGGAGAGAGGAAGGTGCTTAGCAGACCCATGTGCTCTCCCACCAGTGTTTCCTGAGCACCTACTATGTGCTGCCCCCTGTGAGAGCTGTTAGGGTTGAAATAGGGAGCACAGCAGGGTAGGGGCCGCCATTAGGAGCTTAGTGGGGAGACCATTGTGCAACATGGTTCCAGCGCTTGGGGTGGGGAAGCTCAGGGAGTAGAGGGGCCTAGGATCCCGGGCAGAATCATGGAAAGGACACAGCCTCCCCAGCCTCTCCTGCCTCCACTGCCTCCCTGGCCTCCTCTGCTTCCCTGGCCTCTCCTGCCTTCCTGGCTTCCCCTTCCTCCCTGGCCTCCCCGGTCTCCCCTGTCTCTCCTGCTTTTGAGGTAGGCCAGGAGCTGCTGGTGCTCACTTAGCCTGTCCTGGACTCTTGGTGTAGCACCTCGTTGTCCATAAAATACCCAAGGGTTCAGCTCATCACACAGCCAAGGAAGGAGCTCCACACTGACACTAAGGGTGCATCCTGGGCTCATTCATCAGGGCATGCCTCCAAAATATTTCTCCACGTCTCCTCCCTTTGCCCACCTGCACTGTCTCTGTGCCTGAGCCCCGGCTGGGGGCCTGCAAGGATCCCCTATCTCCTCTGTCCCTGCAGGGCTGGGTCCCAGGCAATCTGTCCGCCCACAACCCCTCTCTCCCCTTGCCCACCATGCTCCAGCCTCACAGTCTTCTTTCTGCTTCTTTCCCAGCCTCTGGGCTTTTGCACACGCTGAACCCTCTGCCTGAACACCCTCCACTGGGCTGAGAACAACTCTCTGAGACCTCTCTCAGCTGTTGCTTCCTTTGGAACAGCCGCTGCTGCTGTCCCTCTCCCAGCTCCAAGACCTGCTGAGCCTCCTGTCTTTCTCAGTTCCCATGCCCCCAGCACTTCTCCTTGGCCTCCTTTGGCCCAATTGACAATGTCCATTCTCAATGCCTTCTCACCCAGCGCTGAGTCCCACTGGGTGAAGGCCATGCCTTTCATGTTCACCACAATATCCCCTCCCCCATCACCACGCCCGGTCCACAGTGATGCTCAAAAAAGATCTGTTGGTAGGCAATGCGAAGGTGCATTCATGTCATCCTGCAGGCGGAATTCTCCAAGAGTTTTGAGCAGCCTCGGTTTTCCCACCACCTCCAAATCATGCAAGACACAGGGTAAGAGCAAAGACAAGATGGCTGTGGCCGATGTCCACCCTCTCGGGGCGTCCCTTCTCTTCTCTCCTCCTTGGGCAGGGAGACCTTCGGGGTGCAAACTGGCTGGGGCGGGGAGGAGGTGCAGGGCCTGGCCGGAGCGGGCCTGGCCACGGGCAGGGGACAGCGACCACCTGGGCCGGGGCAGGTGAGCGCGGAACAGGCCCCGGCCCGGCGTGTCCGCGGTGCGCGCGAGCGGCCAGCAGAGGGCGCCAGAGAGCCAGGAGCGGCCGGCGGAGGAGCCCGCGCCGACCCCGTTGCCCAGCTCCGCGCCGCGCGGACCCAACGAGCTCGCGCTCAGACGCCCCAGCTCCGCCCAGAGGCCGCTCGCGCCGGGTCCTTCCTCTAACCCAAGTGCAGGCAGAGCCCCCGGAGCCATGGCCAGCCCTTCCGGCAGCTCCAAAGCCACAGGCAAGCCCCGAGGCTGGGATGGCCGGCCCAGGAGGGAGGAGGACGACGTACCTCCCGAGGAGAAGAGGCTGCGGCTGGGGCTGGAAGGGGGAAGCGCACAGCCCGAGGACTGCGAGGACGGGGAGGACGCGCCGCGGCCAGGCAGGGAGGAGACCGGCACCCAGACAGGTGGCGACGGCAGAGGAGTAAGTGACGCGGGCGTGGGGGTCCGGGGGTGCGCGGTAGGGGCGGCGGGAGGCTCAGTGGCCGGCCCCGGGTTGAAGTTGGTAACTGAGCGGCAACTCCGGCGGGCGCGGAGTTACAGCTCGTGACGGCCTCCGAGACGCCAGCTGCCCCTTCTCGGATGTGTGGCTTCGACTTCCTGATTCTCCCACGACGTCCCTGGCTGGGAGACCCGCTGGACTCTGCGGCTGGCCAAAAGGGGAAGGGGAGCCCCGCGTCCTGGGTGCCCCCAGCAGGGGAAGGGGGGGGTCGTGCTGGGCATCCTGTCTGGGGCATCTGTCTGGGACTCTGTCGGTGCCTCTCACCTGGCGAGGGGCTTGTGGTGGGGGTAGGCGGGAAGTCCTTGGCGCCGGGCTTGGCCAAGCCCTGCTCTGCTGGGCTGCGGGCTGGTGGCGCTCACCCAGCTCCTCACCTGCCCCGCGTCCTCCTGTTTTTCTTCCTTTTCTGGTTGGACAACGAGAGTTGAGAGGAGGCAGATGGCTTCCATCCCAGAAATCGCTCTCCTCTTTCCATCCCTACAGAGAGGGACAGAAAGGCAAAGTTCCTTGCATCCCCTGGGGCGCTGTCCCTGTGAGCTCCCGGTGTCCTGCACACGTGGGCCCCTGAGTCACCGGGCCTGTGTGTGTGCGATGGGGCTCCGTGGCCAGCCTGGCCTCCTGGGGTTCACTTTCTGCTTTCCTACCCCAACTCTTCCTGTGTGGCTTTGCTGGCCTTCCATTGGGGAGGCACATGGGTTTGGAGGGCAGATGAGGGCCCGCTGGAGAGCTGTACCCCTCAGTGAGGGCCGCCACCTTGATGGTTTTTGATGGATAATGGGGTTGACCTCTTTGTTCCTTCCACATGTTTTTATGTTTGACCATTTAGTCAGCTGAGCTTGTCTTAATCATTTGATTCGTGGTGAATGAGCCCCACATGGGCGAGAGGGCGACCTTCATTCTGAACCCATTTAGGCAGCACGGGCAGCCCTCCTCGCCGTGGGCTGCATCAGAGCCCCCTGCCCAGTCTTGGGGTTGCTCCCGGATGCTGTCTGGGAGGCTTGCTCATGGTGACATCCTCATCTCCCCATGCACTTTACTGCATTCAGAGCTTGGGTCACCTGGACACTGAACTCAGGTGAATTTTCTCTGAGATCCCGGGAGAAGGAGGACAGTTCTCTGGAAGGGTTTCCACGGCCGATCACGGAAAGGGTGAGAAAGGAGAGGTCCTGGTCGGCGACACAATTACGGTGGCAGTGTAACGCCAGGAAACTTTATTGCGTGAAGTCCCTCTCACTCCCTCTCCCTCCCTCTTTTACGTGGACTCTGCCAAAGACCAGGATACCAGAATGCAGTGGAGTGACCAAGTGTAGTGGGACCTTGGGAACACGAGTCTGGAGCCAGGCGGCTGGGGTTTGCATCCTGGTTCTGCCCCTCCTTAGCTGGCTGGCATGGCACAAGCCACTTACCCTCTCTGAGCCTTACTGTCTTCAGTGGCAAATGGATCTGTCAACAGGCCCCATTGCCTGGGGTTGTTACTGCTGAGATTAAGGGAAGCTCGTCCATAGAAGCACTTAGCGTTGTGCCTGACACATAGTGTTTGGTGGATAAATGGGACTTAGGACTGAAACTCATGCATTGGTGTGTTTTTGCAGTGACGTTTTGTTCTGGAGTGCATCACAAGAGAAAAGATTCTTGGCCGGACGTGGTGGCTCAAGCCAATAATCCCAGCACTTTGAGAGGCCGAAGGCAGGGGATCGTTTGAGCCCAGGAGTTTAAGACTAGCCTGGGCAACGTGGCGAAGCCTCATATCTACCAAAAGAGAAAAAAAAAAGCCACGTATTGTGGTGTGTGCCTGTAGTCCCAAGTACTTGGGAGGCTGAGGTGGGAGGATTGCTAGAGCCTGGAAGGTCGGGCTGCAGTGTGCTGTGGTCATGCCACTGCACTCCAGCCTGGGTGACAAAGTGAGACCCTGTTTCAAGGAAAAAAGAGAGAGAGAGAGACAGACCCACAAGAGTCTTAAGCCAGAATCTCCATTAAAATGCTTTCTGGAGGCTAGAAGGATGGTATGTTGATAATGAAATATTTAAAAGGCAGAAACCCCACTGAATTGTTTGGTCCACAGAGGGAAATGGGAATCGCATGACCTGAAGGATGATGCAGGAACTGAACAGAAACCATCCTTGTTTCCTGAATCTGAATATGGCACCATCTTTTCACGGTGCCTGTATCTGCTCAGTCCGGCGGCCCCTCGAAAAGAGGGAATCTTGATTTTCAAACTTAAAATTTGGCCCAAAGCTCACTGCTGCCCACAATGCCCGCCAGACACATTCCTCTTCCCTTTTAGTTTCTATGGGAATACTCTCTTTGAAGAACCCATGAAGCAGTGTCAGGCTGGTTTGAGGATCAGCAGCGATTTGTTTGAGCAGGAGAGCCCGTTTCCTCACTCACAGGCCATATCTGAGTGGATCAAGAAGAACAGAGTGCACTTTTATGAGATTTTGTCTGCGTAGACCATTAGCTTGGTAAAAATGTCAAAACCATCCTCGTTCTTTAATAGCAGATTATTTTGGACTTTTCTCTGCAAGAAGCAGTATGGGCATTCAGATGCTTTTAAGGATAAAATGTTCTTCCTCATCACCAGGCCTGGTGCTCTGGATGGCTGAGGTTTTAATGTGACTTGGTGTTCCTTGGAGTGGCTCCTAGGCTGTGCTCTTGTGGTTGGGTGGCAAGGGGTTGCTTTATTCGGTGGTGGCTAGAGGATGTTTTAGCAGGTAAATCGGGCCCCCAGGAGCCCCTGAGTGCCAAGTCCTGCTGCAGGGCATGTGTTTATGGTGGGGATGTGGGGGGGTGCAGGGTAGGGGGCATTGATTTCCTGCCAATATCAGAAGTTTCACAGGCTTCTTGTGTATCCACAAACACCCACCCCATTGAGAAGGCCTAGAAAACCTGGCCCTCCCCAAGCCTTTATTGACTGCTTGTGAGTGATCCCAGGGTGTGTCTGACCCACAGCTCCTCCTGGAGGGAGAGAAAAGTCTCTCCTAGGTATTTGGTTATCAACCTCAACCACTTGCTGAGCCTTCCTCAAGACCAGGCACCTTGGCAGAGATTTCTGGGTTGTCAGGCGGAACCGAGCATTCAAGGGTAATTCATTGGTGTCCCTGAAATCCCTGATGGACGCACCAGGTAAAAGCATCCAGGGTTGAAACCAGATCAGGAAGGTTATTGTCAGCCTGGGGCTCCTGTAGAGGTGCATCCACGTTGCAGGGATTTTCCTTCTTGCTGAGGAGAAACCTGGGTTTCTCAGCTTTGGCACAGTCACAACACTTGGGGTCAGACCATTCGTGGTGCTGGTGGTGGGGCCATCCCGTGTATTGTAGGATGGTTAGCAGCATCTCTGGTCTCCATCCTCTAGGTGCCATTCTACCCTCCCAGCTATGGCTACCCCAGATGTCTCCAGACGGTTTCAAATGCCATGGAGCAAGGGAGTGGTATGTGAGCAAAACCACCCCAGTTGAGAGCCATTGGTCTACACTTGTGGAAATGTTTGAGGGTAAGAGTGTTGAGCTTGGGTCCCTGCTGTACCCTTTATGAGCAATGCTTTCTTGGAAAATTACTACTACTCCAGGGGCCTCAGTTTTCTCATCTATAAAATGGAGATAAATGAGATACACTTTCATAGGAAGACTATATGGGATTTACTGAGATAATAAGACAGTACATGGAAAATGCTGGGCATAACATTTATTTTTATTTATTTATTTTTTTAAGACAGAGTCTTACTCTGTTGCCCAGGCTGGAGTGCAGTGGCAAGATCTCCGCTCACTGCAACCTCCACCTCCTGGGCTCAAGTGATTCTCCTGCCTCAGCCTCCTGAGTAGCTGGGATTACAGGTGCCCACCACCACACCCAGCTAATTTTTGTATTCTTAGTAAAGATGGGTTTCACCACATTGGCCAGGATGATCTCAAACTCCTGACCTAAGGTGATCCGCCTGCCTCGGCCTCCCAAGGTGCTGAGAACACAGGTGTCAGCCACCACGCTGGGCTGGGCATAGCATTGTAACACAGACAAAGCACAAAATACTTGGGCAATATCTTTTTACATTTGGCTTGTCTAGACTGCATCCTCCATCCCCTCATGCGCTGGTGTGGTGCGGTCCAGAATATCGCCCACCTAGACTGCAGAGTGGATTTGGGTGGCATCTTGGCTTTCTGCACAAGACTTGCCTGTTCCCCACCACATCCCCCTGGTTCTCAGGGTCCAGGATTCCAGGAGTCTGGGATGTGGTCAGGCAGGGCAGGTGGCCCACCCAGTTCACTCCCACACTGGGGACCTGCAGAGCCGGCTGTCTGAGACAGGGTGTTTGGACCAACATCTGGGTTTCTGGATTTCCATTTGAGCACAGCTGGACTACACAGCTCTCTCTGCCGAGATATAGATATTTCCCTGTCGACAATGTTTCAAGCTGACATGAAGACATGGCCACCCACTGGAACGTGGTGTGTCTGCTGTGGCGCTCTTGTAATTTGTGAGGCAGGCTCCTGAGGAATGCAGTGAGTAAGTGGGAAATGGCGGGAAGTTCTCCCATTCCCCCCCACCCCTCCAAAAGTGCTGCTTGCGCAGGTTGGTGGACGGTCCTCTGAGCAGGAAGAAGACAAGGAGCACATTCCTGTTAGCTACCACAGAGAGGGGGAGGGTACGCACTGGACATTTCAAACCCCTGCAGAGAAGCAAGTCTTACTGTGCTGGGAGTACTTGTGGAGTGCGGGCTGTGTTGCCCTGGGCTTTAATTATTTCAGGAACATTTAACCACTGGGCTGGCCGGCTGGATCTTGATATGTGTTTCTCAGTTGGAAAGACTTTGGTCCATAGGGAAATGTCTTCTCAATTCTTTTAATTTCATTAAGGTGGTTATTTTTCTTCTTGTGGCCTCTGGAATGTGACACAGAACTCAAGGGACAGGAAGGAGATGAGTTGGAGGCTGGGTCAGGGGTCCCTGCCAGGGATGCTGGTGACTCACGTGACGGTGTTGATGTGTGGAGTCCGGTGCCTGGTTTGGGGAATGTTCATGGGATATGTTCCACAACACTGACGGATCTATCAGGTACTGGAGGTGAATGGTCAAGTCTGATCTCAGGGCTGACAGTGTCAGGCAAGGACAGGAAGTTGACATTGGACTCATTGGCTGAGGTTGCTGGGGACCCAGGGGGCAATGTGTGCCAGGACAGATGGGTCTGGGGCTAGGAAGGCAGGTTTGGGCTGGAGACTCGGTCTTGGGAGGCATCCCATTAGACAGTGGTTGAGGCTGTCAAAATGACTGTGATTGCCTGGGATGAGAGTGGAGACAGACAGGATGGGGGTTTTGCTCTAAGCCTGGGGAACCCACCTCCCAGGTTCAAGCAATTCTCCTGCCTCAGCCTCCCAAGTAGCTGGGAATGCAGGTGCGTGCCACCATGCCCTACTAACTTTCGTATTTTTAGTAGAGATGAGGTTTGGCCAGGCTGGTCTCAAACTCCTGACCTCAAGTGATCGGCCCACCTTGGCCTCCCAAAGTGCTGGGATTACAGGCATAAGCCACCATACCATGCCTGACCATTTTTAAATATTAATTTTTATGAAATATTTTCAAACACATTTTACTGTACATTGGAAAAGTCAATCATGATTTCAAAACTTTATCAAAATCCAATCAGAAGTCAATTAACCATTTAATTGTGGATAGGTAAGGAGACTATTTTGACCAAATATGTTAGAACAATTACCACTTATAGAAATAATCTATGTTTTAATGTTTTAGTTGAATTAAACAATCTTTTATATTCTGTCCAGACACAGTGGCTCACACCTGTAATCCCAGCACTTTGGCAGGTCGAGGCTGGCGGATCACCTAAGGTCAGGAGTTCGAGACCAGGCTGGCCAACATGGCGAAACTGTCTCTACTAAAAATACAGAAATTAGCCAGGAGTGATGGCACACACCTGTAATCCCAGCTACTTGGAAAGCTGAGGCAGGAGAATCGTTTGAAGCGGGGAAAGCGAGGTTGCAGTCAGCTGAGATCACACCACTGCACTTCAGCCAGCCTGGGTGACAGAGCGACACTCTGTTTCAAAAATAAACGAATAAATAAAATGGAATTCTGAATTTTATTTTTAATAATTATTTTTGTAAAGAGAATGTCTTGTTTTTTGGAGTTGTTGAATTTATTGAATTGACAAAAATTATGTACAAGAGGGTGTACAACATGATGTGATTGAAGTATGTATACATTACGAAATGGCTAAATCAAGCTAAATAACATATCACCTCCCAGACTTATTTTTTTGTGGTGAGAACACTTTAAAAATCTACTCTCTCAGTGATTTCCAAGTGTATGATATGTTGTTATTAACTGTAGGTAACATGTTGTCCCATGGATCTCCTGAACTTAGTCTTCTTCTCTAAAAATGACATTCTGTGTCCTTTGGCATCTGCCCACTTCCCCACCCTGGCAACCATCATGCTACTCTGCTTCTGTGAATTCAACTTTTTTCTTTTCTTTTTCTTTTTCTTTCTTTCTTTTTTTTTTTTTTTCGAGACAGTCTCATTCTGTTGCCCAGGCTGTAGTGCAGGGGTATGATCTTGGCTCACTGCAGCCTTGACCTCCCAAGCTCAATCAATCCTTCCACCTCGGCCTCCTGAGTATCTGGGATACAGGCATGCACCACCACGCTCCACTGATTTTTGTATTTTTATGTAGAGATGGGGTCTTGCTATGTTATGCAGGCTGGTCTCGAACTCCTGGGCTCAAGCAATCTGCCGGCCTCAGCCTCCCAAAGCGCTGGGATTGCAGGCATGAGCCACCATGCCTGGCCGAGTTCAACTTTTTAAGATTCCACATATAAGTGAGATCATGTGGTATTTGTCGTTCTGTGCTTGGCTTATTTCACTTAACATAATATCCTCCAGGCTCATCCATGTGGTCTCAAATGGCAGGATTTCCTTCGTTTTGAAGGCTGAATAGTATTCCATTGTGTACATACACCACATTGTTGCTGGAAGTGTAATGGAGGCCAGTTTGGGGAGGAGGGGGAAAAGATTCACTCTAAGTCTAGATGCTCCAGCACCCACCCAGGATGTGTGCAAGGAAGTGCAGGATGCTCCTGATTTTGCAAACTGTGGTTTGTGGGACTCCAAAGCCCCTATCCTTCCACGATGCTTTCTGTCTTGTTATCACATTTCCTTGGAGGAGAACCCTGCTCTGGCTTTGTCCCTGGGCATGAGATGGCAAAGGATGGTGCTGCTGGGAGACCCTCACGTCTGCACACTAAGGGCTGCTTTCCTTCTCCATTCCTCCTTCAAGTATCTGAGCAGCTCCTGTGTGCCAGCTGCTGGTCTAGGAGATGGATGGGTCCTTGGAGATCACGCTGTAGCAGAGGAGGCAGGCTGTAGCCCACAGGCCAGAACCAGCCCCCTGCCTGTTTATACAAATAAAGTTTTATTGGAACACAGCCACACCCATTTCAGTGCATATTGTCTGTGGCTGCTTTCCTGCTACAGTGGAGAGTTGAATAGTTGGGACAGAGACCCATGGCCTGCAAAGCTGAGCTATTTACCATCTGGCCCTCAAGAGAAAGGAAAAAAAATGCTGATCCTTGTACCCTGACAGTCTTAGTTTAAGAGGACTTTGTACCACCCTGACGTCCCAGGCGTCCATGAGTCCAGCTGCCCTTGAAATGTACATAAGTCTGGGCTAGGGTTTCAGCAGGTGAGTCCCAGTTTTGCAGGTCTTTGGCATCAGGGGCACAACCCAGGATTTTGAGTGGGGTTTCCTCACCACTATGGCTGGGCACTGGGCTAGCGTGCTTTCTGATTTTTGTATGGGGAAGAGAAAGGAGGGAGGAAATGGCCACTTGTTGCCCTGTTCTAACATTTTCCTAAGATGGGTCTCCAGGCAAGGGCTTGGGATCTCACCTTGCACAGCTTACAAAACCCAGTGAGACCAGCTGTCTTGGCGCTGCCACTCTGAGGGATGGAGACCCCAACTTACCAGGAAGGGAGATAAAAGAATGGTTTCTGCAAGCACGAGAACGGGCGTTATTGAAATTAACATTTCCCCCAAGTTTTATAAAGTCTAGGCATGCATATTTAAGTGTCTGTCTCAAAAGTTCATGCTAATAACCAGATGGTGCATTTAATTTCCTTTTTTTGTTCTCTGAGCAACATGCAGCTTCCTGCACAGCCCTCCTTGCAGGCAACTGCGCTGAGGTGACTGTCCTCCTGACTGCCAGCACAGATCTCCAGGGCCTCTGAGAGCCCTGTATTCTGGGGGCAGCCTTTCCCCTTCTATTCGGCCCCAGCTGGAAGGGGGCAGGTTACCCACAGCCCAGCACAGGGCTCCTGCCTTAGCTTCTCTAGGGAGTCTGGCTCCCTCTGACCCTCTAGACCTCACCAGCTGAGGATCATAGCCCCAGGGCAGGAGCCAGGGCCAGGTGGTTTTGTGGGGTGGTTTGAGAGTGCAGCACTGGAGGGGGGCAGGGCGGGCCCAGGGAAAGCTGCTCAGGGGAGACTGCAAAGAGATGGCAGAGTTAGGACAAGAGGGCTGGACATGGTGGCTCACACCTGTAATCCCAGCACTTTGGGAGGCCGAGGTGGGTGGATCGCCTGAGGCCAGGAGTTTGAGACTAGCCTGGCCAACATGGTGAAAACCTGTCTCTACTAAAAATACAATAATTAGCTGGACATGGTGACACCTATAATCCCAGCTACTTGGGAAGCTGAGCCACGAGAATTGCTTGAACACAGAAGGTGGAGGTTGCAATGAGCTGAGATTGTGCCACTGTACTCCAGCCTGGGCAACAGAGCAACATTCCAACTCAAAAAAAAAAAAAAAAAAAAAAAGAAAAAGAAAAAGTCAGAACAAGAGGAGGAGGGAAGAGAAGGGAGCTGTGGGGCAGCAGCCAGGACCTTAAAGGCACAGAAGAGGCAGCTTGGATTTCCAATTCCAAAGGACATGAAGACAAAGTCACACACCTTTATTTAACCTGCTCCAGGTGAGGCTGGGCTTTGTGTATTTTCCTTATCTTGATTTTCCTTGTGTTCAGGCTGTTGTAGAAACAGGTACACAGGGGCTTTGTGTAGCGCCGTGTTCTGGGGGCCTTCAGGAAGCATGGGCTGCCCTGGTTTCCTGGGCTTTGTGTCCCCCTTTCCTCCTGCCACCCCTGACTGTGCACCCCACCTTATCCCTCAGACCATCCTCCTGGAGGGGCTTGGCCAGGTCTTGTGTCCTTGCTAGTCTCTGGGGAGGAAGACTCTGTGGCTTGAAAGCCTGTCGGCTTAAGTTGCAAGGTATAGGTGCCTGGGAGGGCACGTGCACGGCCCTCTTGACTGATCCATTCATGTTTTTCTTTTTTGACTCTGTTCTATGTTGTCCTGATGGAAGGGTAAGTCCCTGCCTTCTTCCTTTCCTGCCTTGGACTCTTGCAATTGGGCCAGATGAGAGGGTCTATGTGGTCTGAGAATTCAAGCAATGCAGGCCAGGTGTGGTGGCTCACACCTGTAATCCCAGCACTTTTGGAGGCCAAGGCGGGTGGGTCAGGAGTTCGAGACCAGCTTGGCCAAAATAGTGAAACCGTGTCTCTACAAAAAATACAAAAGTTAGCCGTGCTTGGTGGTGCTTGCCTGTAATCCTAGTTATTTGGGAGGCTGAGGCAAGAGAATCACTGGAACCCAGAAGGAACATGTTGCAGTGAGGAGCAGGTTGCAGTGAGGAGGTTGCAGTGAGGAGGAGGTTGCAGTGAGGAGGGGGTTGCAGTGAGGAGGAGGTTGCAGTGAGGAGGAGGTTGCAGTGAGCCGAGATTGTGTCCCCGGACTCCAGCCTGCACAATAGAGCAAGACTATTGTTCAAAAAAAAAAATTATATAGAAAACAAAACACATAATTTCCTCTTGATTTGATTTTCTTGATCTTGCTTCTCAGAGGTAACACTGGGGAGGGTGGGGGTATACCTCTCCACACCTTTTTCTTTTATTTTTATTTTTTAAGTTCTGGGATACATGTGTAGAATGTGCAGGTTTGTTACATAGGTGTACATGTGCCATGGTGGTTTGCTGCACCTGTTAACCCGTCATCTAGGTTTTAAGCCCCGCATGCATTAGGTATTTGTCCTAACGCTCTCCCTCCCCTTGTCCCCCACCTCCGACGGGCCCTGGTATATGTTGTTCCCCTCCCTGTGTCCATGTGTTCTCATTATTCAACTCCCACTTATGAGTGAGAACACGCAGAGTTTGGTTTTCTGTTCCTGTCCACACCTTTTTCTTCTGTGCACACAAGCACATGTATTTGCACATAAGTGTTTATTGTAACCTTTTTTAAAAAAATGGAATAATGCTATATTTATTCTTTGGAAAGCCTGCTTTTCAGGCAGCATGTCTTTGACATTGTCTCACGTTGGAACCTGGGAACCACCTTCTTCTCCCAGCAGTTATTCTGACGTGTGGATGCACCACGCTTCGTTTAACCAGCCCTGCACCGATACGTCTTTGGATGGTTTCTGCCTTTTCCCAATCACAGACGGTGTTCTGATGAATTTCCTCGCACACATCACTTGGTGCTCTGTGCGTGCATTTCTGTGAGATGTTCCTGGAGGTGGGCTGTCTAGGTCAGAGGGGGATCTGCGCTTAATTTGCATCCTGTGCAAAATTCCATCCAGTCATCCTGCTTCCCAAGGGCTCACATGGTACTGTCCTCTGTAGACATCATCTTCTGCAGATGATGGCACGACCGCCTCTCTTTCTTTTACTCACACCAGTCTGCACCCTGATGTCCTGGGGGGGTCCAGCCCCTACCCGCTTGTCTGCCCCCAGTCCCCACAGCCCCTGCTAACAGGGACTCTGTCTTCTGAGCTCTGGCAGACTGCTTCACTCTGGAGAAGTTTCCTTTCTCAAACATTCCTGGCAATGTTACTGTAAATCCCGAGGCCTGTGTTTGCCTTCTTCAGGCCTCAGTTTTCTCATAAGTAAAATGGGGATAATGTGATGCTACTGTCTGCATCCTAGAGCTGCCATGAGGGTTCAGTGAGATCACTGTTGAGAGCACGTTCACAGCGCTGGCCTTGTGCACAGTCAGCACATGTTGGGCAGGGCTGTTGCTGATACGTGGTTGACTGTCATTGCTAGACTGTGGCTTTACCAGGGGCATTGTCTTTATTGCCGAGCCCAGAGCCACCCCTAGTACCTGCTGTGTTTATAGAGTGATTGAGTGGCAGGGTCAGAGACTGGGGCAATGGCAGCAGAAACAGAGGAAAGAAGTGGGGCTTCTAATAGGTCCTGAGCCAGTGGCCCTTGAGATGAAACCTTCTTGCCAAGGTCTGGGGCTGTGCTGTGTGTTCTAGGCCCGAGACTGGAAGCTAGGCCTGGCTGCAGCTCCCGCTGAGCTGGGGAAGTGCAGGTCAGCATCCTGCTTCATTAGGACACCTCCAAGCCCAGCTTAGACGTGGATGCCAGGTGACCCCCTGTTTACTCTGAGCCCAGACAGAGGACAGGGAAGTGTGCAAGGGTGGGGACCCCCATCACAGCCCTTGACTCTGTAAGGCATATGGGTTTGTGCACCTGTTTGAGCACGGCCGTGGCTTCTCTGAGTTTCAAGCTCGAGGTTGTGTTTATGCAGGGTTAGACTTCCCAGGTAAAATACAGGAGGTCCAATTAAACCTGAATTTCTTATTAACCTTTTTTTTTTTTTTTTTTTTTTTGGGTGCACATATATCCCATGCAATATTTGGGACCTGCTTACCCTAAAAAATGATTTGTTGTTTATCTGAAATTCAAGTTTAACTGGCATCCTGTCTTTTCACTTCCTACGTATGAGAGTTCCATGTGGGGGTTATCAGTGTGCATTTGTGAGTTCCCATGTGAAGGACTGTCTCCAAGTGTCTGTAGGTGCCAGGATGGAGATGGACAGAGAAGATCCTCTCGGGCTGCTTTAGTGACACCTAGAGGCTGTGGGGTTGGACACTTCAGCCCCAGGGGCCTGGGCAGCACTGTCCAGCACCTGCCTGCTCCTGTCTTCTTCACGGGGGCTGACTTCCCTGCCATCTTTCTCCAAATACGGTGGCAAGAGCTATCCCATCCACCCCCATCTGGAGCTCAGCTGCCCAGCCAGACAAGATGGCAAACAGTGTGCAGATGGCTTCAAAGCTTTCCCCAGCTCCTTCTGCAAGGGGCCTGCAGATGAAATGGAAGCCCTCATCCTCACCGCCTCCCCCTTCCAGAAAACCCAGGCAACAGCCACCTCTGAATGCTGCTTTAGAAGCTTCTCCCTCCTGGTGATTAAACCACTCCAGACAAATAAAAAACTGCATTTCCACCATAGGTTTGTTCACATGCATGCAGCCAATTGTCTTGGATCCGCCTGTGTGCCTGATTCATCAGGGGGAGGGGTTCTCCTCTGAGGTGCTTGCAAAGAGCTGCTTGCAAAGAGCTGCTTAATTTTCATCTGAAAAACTCTCTGTAGAAACCAGGTCCAGCTTTGGAAGGAAGCCCTTTCTCCCCCTTTAGCAAATTCTGTGTCATTCTTTTTTTCTTTCTTTCTTTTTTTGAGACAGAGTTTCACTTTTGTTGCCCAGGCTGGAGTGCAATAGTGCAATCTCAGTTCACTGCAGTCTCTGCCTCCCGGGTTCAAGCGATTCTCCTGCCTCAGCCTCCTGAGTAGCTGGGACTACAGGCACCCACAACCATACCCGGCTAATTTTTTTGTGTTTTTAGTAGAGAGGGAGTTTCACCATGTTGGCCAGGCTGGTCTGGAACTCCTGACCTCAGGTGATCCACCTAGGCCTCCCAAAGTGCTGGGGTTACAGATGTGAGCCACCATGCCCGGCTGGAATTCTGTGTCATTCTGGATACTTATCACGACTTCAAGCATCCAGAACTCTGTCCTGGGTATCCTGAGCCTGAGTGTGTATGTGTGTCCAGCTGGCTTGGAGGTTGTCTACAGGCAGGTGGAATTTGGCCTCTGAGTCCATGGCAGCCTCACATGGGAAATACCACCAAGGAGCCTCATGCTGCACTTTTAGGAGATAGTTTCTATTTAGTCATTGCTGAATCTGTTACAGACAGGTTCTCAATTTCTTGCAAGTCCTGTATGAGGTGGGTGCTGTGATTATCCACATGTTCACTTGTTCTCTCTGGCCTCTTTCAGGCTCTTGCATTTCCTTTGCTGTTTTCCTGCCACAGGGCCTTTGCACATCCTGCTCTTTCTGCCTGAAAGATTTTCCCTCTCCCTACCTCTTCACCTGGTCACAGTCTCATCTGACAGTGGAGTCACTACATCCTCAGGGATGCCTGGCCACACTGAGTCAGTCACAGCAACCCCCTGTTATCTGCTTTCATGACACCAGGTGCCTCTCTGTGGTAGACACTAGCTCAGCTACGGCTTCCTATTTCTGAGCATGTCATCCTTCCCCTTCAAGACTGTGGTCACCATGAGGGCCAGAGCCATGCCTGTTCCTGATTCTCATTTGTGTCTCTCGTGTTTAGTATATGCTCACCTAGAGTTTGATTAATGAATGACAGCATACCCATTTTACGGATGAGAAAGTTGAGGCTCAGGAACATTATGTAACTTGCTCAGTATTAGGTGGTGATGGTTTGAAGCCATCTGACTGGTCGCTGGGTGCACACTCTAAACCACTTCACTATGGTTCTTCTCTCATGGTAGCTCTCCAACAGCAGGAGTGAGAGACAACTTTAGGATAGGTGTAACCAGAATCTCAGGGCTTATCCTAGAAGGTGGTGTCAGGAACATGCTTGCCTATGGGCCTTCTTACTGTATTGCATAAAATACTCCGTTTTTCTGACTCGCCTTTAGTAAAGACCTTAGCAATATTTGAAGCACAGTTGTCAATAGGAAAGGGTTGGTGTTTACACTTTTTTAAAAAGGAGTCTATATCATATTTATCTTGTGGTCTGCCATGCCCCCCCGATCTTCTTCAGCTTCAGTTATGCAAAATTAACACTTCTTCTCTTGACAGCCTCTCTCTTACCTGTTCAGTTTCTTTTCTGTGTTCGAGATTGCTTAGAATTTTTCCCCATTACTACAGCCTGCTTCCCACCTGCATCCCCCACCCAGCTTGTTCTGGATTTTGTCAACAACAGTTCCAGCATTTAGTGAGGGCTGGATTGAAGGAAAACCTTGGAAAAGGATGTGTGATGAAAGATGAAGACACCTAATGGGCAGGCAGTCATCAGGGTTAATTCAAAGGCTGGAAGAAGGGCTGACCTGGAGGACTGGAAATGTCTTTGAGCTGAAGGTCATGTGCAGGTGGAGTGAAGAGTGTGAGCCTTTTGGGGTGAACTGCAAGTATTTGATAAGATCCCTGTCCCCATGGTTGGGGAAGTCTTGATAAGCATCCTTAATGTGATGCAGGGATTAAGGAACCCCTGGCTCTACCTGCCCAGCATGGCAGTAACATGACATGGCCAAATTATTAATTATTGGTTGTCCAGCTATCATCAGATCAACATCTTCTGTTAGTTATAGCTGTAATTTGCATTAGTTGTCAATGCCAGTTTTGACTTTCCTGGTCAATAAAGTGTTCTGAGAGTGGTGACTAAGGCTGAGCACTACCCATTATCATGAGTATTACAGAGGCAAGCCCCCTTGCCCACCCACCTGCAGGTGATGAGACACCCTAGGGAAATCACTCAGTTCTTTGAAGGACCCTGCATAAATGCTCAAGTTCATCTGTTCTTCTGTCCATCCATCCATCCACCCTTCCATCCATCCATCCATCCATCCATCCATCCATCCAGACATGTATACATCCATCCACCCCCTACCCATCTGTCCACCCACCCACCCATCTATCCATCCAACCCACTCTCTTACGCACCCAGCTATCATCCATCTACCCACCTACCAACCCATCTATCCATCCACTCACCCATGCATCTATCCACCCATTCACTCATCTACCCATCTATCCACCCACCCGTCCATCCATTTATCTATCCCTCCACCCATTCACCCACTCATCCATTTCTCCACCCACTCAGCCATCCCTTCACCGACTCAACCATCCATTCATTCGTCCACCTCCCTGCCCACCCATCTTTCCATCCACCCATCTATCCACCCACCCACCTATGTATCCGTCCATCTGTTTGTCCTTCTGTTCATTTATTCCACAAAGACTCATTAACCACCTACGAGATTCTGGGGAGGTATCTGCTCTAGTAATTGAGAACACGGTCTCTGGAATGTGATTCCCTGGGCTCAAACTGAGCTGCCTCCTAGCTAGCTGCTTGGGTAAGTTACAGAAACTGTGCTTTGATTTTCTTATCTGAAAATTGGCTATTAATAGCTTCTACTCTTGCAGATATAGTGAGGATTAAATAAGATGTCACATTAAAAGTGCATCATCGACACTCAATAGAGATTAGGTTTTACCATTCATTATTATTGGCAGATGCTGCAGATAACGTGGAGAGCATACGAAAGAAATATGTTTGAACCAATACTGACATACAGGTGCTAAGTTCTGCAGTAGGGGAAGGGCAGAGAGCCATGGAGAGGGTCTGGCCCAATCCTGGAGCCTCAGAAAAAAGTTCCCGTTGAATTGCTGTTTTAGCTGAGACTTGTGGGATGGGTAGTAGTTGGAGATCCCAGACAGGAGGTGACCGAGTTAGCCAGGGAAAAATTGGGTCCTGGCACCCCTGGCAGAGTTGAGCGATCCAGTCCTTCTGTCTCCTCTGGCTGGAAGTCCACCAGATCTGGGAATGTCCGGTTGGGGGAGGGGGCTGACAATGATCATGACCTTCACCTGTCCTCACATATCCTCGGTGTGTCTGTAAAGCCTCTTCCTCAGTCTCCTCTTCTGGAAAGTGGTATTGGAAACCACATCTGCTTCTCTCCCAGGACTGCTAGGAAGACAAGATTAGATGGCAGGTGAGAGCTCTTTGAAAATGAAAACATTCTGCTATTTGAATGCAAAGTGTTCTTCTTTGCCTGTGATGTTTCCTAATCAGTGAACTCATACTGGACCTCGAAGCTGTCTATTAACAAAAATAGCAAAGTGGCTGTTCAGGGTGGCTCATGCCTGTAGTCCTAGCACTTTGAGAAGCTGAGGGCGGTGGATCACTTGAGGCCAGGAGTTCGATACGAGCCTGGCCAATATGTGAAACCCCATCTCTACTAAAAATACAAAAATTAGCCAGGTGTGGTGGTGTCTGCCTGTAGTCCCAGCTACTTGGGAGGCTAAGGCACAAGAATCATTTGAGCTCAGGAGGCAGAGGTTGAAGTGAGCTGAGATGGCGCCACTGCACTCCAGCCTGGGCGACACAGCGAGGCTCTGTCTGAAAAAAGAAAGAAAAAAAAAGGCAAAGTGAACACTTCCTCCATCTCTCCCCCGGGGGAGGCAATTTGTCAAAGATTGTTGTTGGATTTTACACACAGGGAAATCTAAGGAAGGTGTGGAAACCAGACCAGGACTCCAGACTCTGGTCTCCCTGTTTACAGGTTCTTAAATGGGGGAGACACTTTGGATTCTTTCCACAAGATTGCTTTGTAAATAAAAACAAGAAACAAACAAACAAAAAAAAACTCAAAAAAGCAGCCCTGACCTAAATATTCACAAGGGACCTTAGGCAATATCTGCAAACAAAAGTGAGTGATGAGTGGAATCTGTCATCTTTACAACTAAGACAGCTCCAGAGTTGAAGCAAGTGGAAATATTTCTAGAGACAGAGATTTGGGCAGGTTTTGCCAGTAACAAAGTATGAGAACCTGGGCAGGTTTACCTCTCTGAGCTTCTGTGACCTTGTAAAATAGGCTGCATTGCACCAAACATGCAGGAGGAATCCCAGCATCCTCCTGTGCACAAGGCTGGTTTCTTCCCATCCTTTTCCTTGTTCTGCCTCTCTCCTCCTCTCCAAGAGATAAATACATGTGGACCCAGCAGGGGCCTATGTTTGCAAAAGCTCTCAGGTGATTCTCATGCAGCCAGCCTGGCTCTGGCACTGAGTTCTTTGACACTTCTGGGGGCGCATTTACTATTGAGGAAGGTCACTGTGTGTGAAAGGCATGATTCATCTTCCATTCCTTTCTTCCATGAAGCAAGGCGCATGGGTCGACTGAGCTGGGAGAGTCCACAGAGATAGCCTCCCCCATGCTTCCCTCCCTCCTTATTCCTTGTGTGCTGTACTTTGTCTTGATTTCCTGTACTCTGCACCAAGCCAGGAGATGGTAAGATCTCAAAAAAAATCATTTTTTGGGGAAATGGGATCAAGAGGGTTTTTGTTTGCTTGTTTGTTTGTTTGAGACAGGGTCTGTCACCCAGGCTGGAGTGCAGTGGCATGACCTTGGCTCACTGTAGCCTTGACTTTCTGGGCTCAGGTGATCCTCCCACCTCAGCCTCCTGGGTAGCTGGGACTGCAGGTGCACACCACCATGCCTGACTAATTTGTCTATTTTTTGTACAGAGGAGGTTTCACTATGTTGCCTAGGATGGTCTCAAACTCCTGGGCTCAAGCAGTCCTCCATCCACCTCGGCCTCCCAAAGTGCCGGAATTACAGGCATGAGCTGCTGTGCCTGGCTAAGGTTTTTATTATTATTATTATGAAAAATTTTCAATATACATAAAAGTAGACTAGTTTAATGAGCTATCATATACCCATCACATAGGTTTAAAAACTATTAACATTTGCAATATTTACTCCATTTGTTTTTCTGAACTATTTAAAAAAGTTTACAGTAGTTATGTAATTACATCATGATATTCACCCCTACGTAATTTACTTTCCCTCTAAAAACATGAGGGCATTTTTTATATGATCATTGTCATACCCAATCAAATTACCAGTAATTCCTTAATATCCTTTAAGATCAAGTTTACATTCAGATGTCTTGTCCTCAAAATGTCAATTGTGATAATTTTTTCTTTGAGCAAAGATAATAAGATCTAAATATTTAATGACAGAGATTCCATGTTAGCACTGATGTCTAAGCTCTGTGGTCCATTGTGGCTTTACTTGAAAGTCTCAGGCTAGGCGTGGTGGCTCACACCTGTAATCCCAGCACTTTGGGAAGCCAAGGTAGGTGGATCATGAGGTCAAGAGATCAAGACCATCCTGACCAACATGGTGAAACCCTGTCTCTATTAAAAATACAAAAATTAGCCAGGCGTGGTGGCGGGCGCCTATAGTCGCAGCTACTCAGGAGGCTGAGGCAGGAGAATTGCTTGAACCTGGGATGCGAAAGTTGCAGTGAGCTGAGATTGCACCACTGGATGCCAGCCTGGGTGGCAAGAACGAGACTCTGGAAAAAAAAAAAAAAAGTCTCTCACTGTGGTCTCATAATAAAAGGACACTCCATTTCCCATCTGGCCCCTGCTCCTTAATGTTAGCCCCCTCCTGTGGGGAGGAGGGGGTGACCTTCAGCGCAGGTTCAAGCATTCCCAGGGCTGGCTCTGTTCCCGATAAAGCCCATCGTCATGAATGAGTGTTTTCCTTGCAGGTTATTCTAAGTATTGTAAATAGTGCACATGGAGCATCCTCATGATGACTGGGATGGTAGTGAATATTTATAGGTTTCTTTTAGTACCTTTTTTTTTAGCGTTTTCCATAGTTCCATGTTTCTACAACCCCTGGGAACATCAGAATCATGTGTGTGTGGGTGCTTATTAAATACACCAATTCCTGGGCTCACTCCCAGTGACTCCCAGTTTGATGATTGGGGGCTCAGCTAGGACCTATGTTTTCAAAAGCTCCCAGGTGATCTCATGCAGCCAGACTGGCTCTGGCTCTGGCTCTGGGAGCTGGGTTGGGAACTAGTCTTTGGTGCTATTCTGCTGAAACTTCAAGTTGGGCTCTTTGACTCCATCTTGTATTGTCATCACTTGTATTCAGGTCTGTTCTTCCTCTGGATTGTAAACTCCTTGATGTCTGGGTCATCTCAGCTCATGAGCTGAGCTTTCAGTCGGTGCTCAGTGGAACAGGTGCTGGATGCAGTCAGGCTCTAGGGAGGCCAACGTGTGTTGGTAAGTGAGTGAAAAAAATCATTTTAAAAAGAAACTTTTTGCTCTTCAGTTTTGTTTGCCATGAGTCAATGTGATTTACTGTAGTGGAAGCCAGTGCAGCTTAAGTGGAGGTCTTGCCCTGAAATGGAGCCAGGTTATGGATCAGCAGAGCTGCCGAAAGCATTTTGGGGGAAATGTTTCTCTGTCACCCTCAGTTGACTGAACTCAAGTTTTCACTCCCGTTTAACACGACGTGGGGGCCATTCTGACTTCTGCGGAGTGAGTATGATCAGATCTTCTGTAAAAGTGTAAGTGAGGAGGCTGGGCACGGTGGCTCACATCTGTAATCTTAGCACTTGGAAGGCTGAGGTGGTCAGATCACTTGAGGCCAGGAGTTTCAGACCAGCGTGGCCAACGTAGTGAAACCCTGTCTGTACTAAAAATACAAAAATTAGCCAGGCATGATGATGCATGCCTGTAGTCCCAGCTACTAAGGAGGCTGACGCAGGAGAATCGCTTGAACCTGGGAGGTGGAGGTTGCAGTGAGCTGAGGTTGCACCATTGCACTGCACTCCAGCCTGGGTGACAGAGCGAGACTCTGTCTCAAAAAAAAAAAAGTGTATGTGAGGAAACTGGGATAGAGCTTGAGGATGTTGGGGGATGGAGGTACTTCATCTACTGAACAACAAAAACCATGGGATACCAATGCTGGAGGAAGAGGCATCATCCTCAGTTTCTACTAACTCAACCACGCATGAGATGGGGACTTGGTGTCCAAGAGAAGAGCCTCTTTTTAGGTCTTCAGCCTTGATCAAACCATTTCTGAATCCCTTACACACATATAATCAGGTGCTATGAGTGGTACCGATTGGATAATCTTTCTGTCTTTTCCTGTGCTAGGAAGGAAAATACATGTACAGCCAACTTCCTTGAGGGTTCATTCTTTTGCATCAGGGTGTCTCAAATTCCTGCCCTTAAAACACCTGTAAGAGAATCATCCAGGCGGCTTGCTCACTCTGCATGCAGGCCCTTTAGAATCAGTCAGAATCCCTGGGGCTGGAGCCACAAAATGAAATGACATTTCAACAAGTTTGTCATCACATAAGAGAGAATAGGTGAGTATTTGGATACCTATAATACAAAGTAGATTCAAAAAGAATGACTTGATTATTTTAAATGTTGTGTTTTAAAAAATTTAATACAGAAAAGGCTGGGCATGATGGCTCACACATGTAATCCTAGCACTTTGGGTGGCCAAGGCGGGTGGATCATTTGAGGTCAGGAGTTCAAGACCAGCCTGGCCAACAAGGTGAAACCCCATCTCTACTAAAAATATAAAAATTAGCCAGGCGGTAGTGGTGCACGCCTGTAATCCCAGCTACAGGGGAGGCTGAGGCAGGAGAATCGCTTAAGCCTGGGAGGCGGAGGTTTGGTGAGCTGAGATCATACCACCGCACTCCAATGTGGGTGACGATTGTTTAACCACCACCAAAATGGGTTCTGAGTCCAAATATTAATATGAAGGACATTGGTGACATTGTCTCAAAAAATTACTGAATACAGAAAAGTACAAAAAGGGAGAGAAATCACCCCAAATCTCACGACCCCAAGAAATAAACCTCCTAATATTAAGTGAACAGCATTCCTTGCTATGCACAAAGATGGCTAGAGACATGAACAGACACTTCTGATCACACAAAATGAGATTTTAAAAACAAGAAGTAGCAAATTGAATGCTGGGTAAATTTATCAGAAGAAAAAGAAATGGAAGTGAAACTGAAGGAACTGGTCAACTCAGATAAATGTAGTTTTTCCTCACTAAAAATCAGTTTCTAGAACATCTAAGAAATCAAAGATGATGAAAAATATTAAGATGTTTTATATATATGTAGAAGTCCTTACAGTTGAGTGATCATCTCATGAAAAATTTGTACAGTCACTGCAAATAAAGTCATTGCAAAATCTTTACTCCTTTTGCTTTTTGCCAGCACTGACATTGGCCTTTGCAGTCTCTTGACTTCATTCTGCCCTTGCATTCCTTTTGCTGTTTTCTTGAGGTCATCTTCTTCTCATGCCAGCCGTGTCTTGCAAGTCTATGTTTGAGTTCATTTTTCTTTGCATAATTCAAAGAACCAGATAGCATGCCAAAGACCATTGTTTAACCACCACCAAAACGGGTTCTAAGTCCAACTATTAATATGAAGATGACATCCATTGTGGTCTTGTACATTTTGTTGCCTTTCCGGGGTGAAGGACATTGGTGACCATTTGTTTCCTCTGGAGTGGTCCATTGGTCATGAACTTCCTGGTCCAGATAGTTACTGTGTCATTCATCATGGTGGTTGATCCTCAGGTAGTTAGGGAGGAAAATAAACAAGAAGTTACATATTTAAAACCATGTTTCAATTTTAGACCTGATTAATTGACTTAATAAAGGTCATTAGCACTTCTACTTCCTACAGTCCCTCCCTTTACCTCTGGAAACTAGTTATTTCTAGGTTGTTTTATATTGTTGAGGTTGACCACCTTTTCTTTCTGTTCTGCAATCATAGTCCTATTTTTAAATGGATTCACCTCTCATCACTAGCCTTTTGTCATGGTCATTCAATTCACAAGTTGCTTATTTTTTAATTTCCTGGCTGACTAAATTTTATTATGGAGACTTTTTTTAAAAAAAGAGCTCAGAAATACTGTATTCTTTAAGTTCTTGAACATGTGATAGTGTCTTTTGCCTATTTTGATTGGGCAAAAATTTAGCTGGCTATAAAATTCTTGGATTATACTCTATTTCCCTTAGAAATTATAGGCACCCATCCACTGACATTTCATTGTGTTTTCTTTCTTTTTCTTTTCTTTTTTTTTTTTTTTTTTGAGATGGAGTCTTTCTCTGTCACCCAGGCTTGAGTGCAGTGGTGTGATCTCGGCCCACTGCAAGCTCTGCTTCCCGGGTTCACACCATTCTCCTGCCTCAGCCTCCTGAGTAGCTGGGACTACAGGTGCCCACCTCCATGCCTCGCTAACTTTTTTGTATTTTCAGTAGAGACGGGGTTTCACCGTGTTAGCCAGGATGGTCTCGATCTCCTGACCTCGTGATCCACTGGCCTTGGCCTCCCAAAGTGCTGGGATTACAGGTGTGAGCCACTGTATGAGCCCAGCCTCATTGTGCTTTGTACTAACCCCCTTTCCCTGTCCTCTTCCAGCTTGTCTTCTTCTATCACAGTAGTTTCTTCATGAAGAGGCCATGTGCTATATTCCATGAGATATTTCACACTCAAAGAAGACTTCTTTTATACTCTTTTGATAATTTGTCTGGGAATCACTCTCTTGATTTATAAGGGAGTTTGTAGTAAATACAGTAAAAGGGAAACACACAACGTATTTTGAGACATCAGAGAAGGGAGAAACCAATTCTATTAATATTTGGGGTTAGCAGGGAAGGCTTAGTTAAGAGGTAACATTTGAACTAAGCCTTGAGATAAGGGAAGGATTTGACCATGCAGTAATGGCGAGAGAGTAGAAGCAAGACATTATGGTTAGTGTTATGTAACAATTTGACTGGGTTGTGGGGTGCCCAGATATTTGGCTACACATTATTCTGGGTGTGTCTCTGTGGTATTCTGGATGAGGATAACATTTAATTGCTAGACTGAATAAAGCAGATTTTCCTCCCCAGTGTGGGTGAGCCTCATCCAATCCACTGAAGGCCTGAACAAAACAAAAAGGTAGAGTCACAGAGAATTTGCTCTTTTTACCTGATTATATTTGAGCTGGGACATCAATCTTCTCCTGAGTGTAGATGTGGACTCGAGTTGGAACTATATCATTGACTGTCCTGGGTCCCCAGCTTGCTGGCTGCAGACTCCAGGACTCCTTAGCCTCCATAACCATGTGAGCCATCCCTTACAACTAATCAATCTGTCTCTCTCTATGTGTATAGCTCTACCTCTATCTCTCTGCTCTTTCTCTGGAGAACCTAGAGTAATACACAAGGTTATATTAGAGAAGAGGATGACCCAAGGAAAAGCATGCAGGCAGAAAAATGCAAAGAGGGTTTGGGAAGACTGGGGTCCTGATGGGGAGTTTGGATTTCACTGTGTGTAGCATGGAGAATCCTTGAAAATATTCAAGAGGTGAAAATTGTATATGTGGAAGAACACCAGGAGTATGTGAAAAGAAAAACACTCACACAATTTTAACTCCACTGAAGGGGACATCAAAGGGATGTACTGGGGACATGGGTTGGAGGGTAATTGAGGCCATATCTGGAGGATCTTTACTTCTAGGTTGAGTCTGAAGTTATCTTTCTGGGAAGTGGGAGATTACAAATCTTTGAGCTCCACTCAAGAGAAGGTTTTGCTAACAATGGCAGGGCAACAGTGGTGGTGGTGGTGGTGGGAAACTGGTAGCATGAATTCTAATTGGGCTTCTGTTATTCTAGCTGAGAAAGTTGGGGAATGGACTTTCAGTAGAATAATACAGATCTGGGAATCAACTGCATGGAGGAGGTAGTTATAGGTGATGAGATGGATCAGGGACGAACTTTGTTAGAAGGAGAAAAGATACTAGGCTGGTACAAAAATAATTGCTATTTTTGCCATTACTTTTAATGGCAAAATCCGCAATTACTTTTGCACCAAACTAATAGGATGCAAACTTCGGAGCCATCTACATCAGAGGGATTGATGAAGATCAACGAAGTTTGGGAACACAGGAAAGGAGCGGGGAGGATAATGACTTGAGGGCATAGCAGGGTAATCAAGGTTTTTCTTGTTAGCATGTGGAGACTTAAGCATGATTATATGTTAAACGCCTGGCACATACAGGGTGAAAATATTTATAAGTGAAATGAGGAGTGTGAAGGTGGTGAGTCATGGGAGTTCCAAGGGAATGGGTGATAAAGGGAGGTCTCAAATGAGGCACAAGTGGAGAAGGTAGCTTGGGAAAGGAGAAGGATGCTTCTCCTTATAAGATGGGAAAGGCAGAGGAAGAGGGTCAAGATACAGTGATCTAGGGGTGATATGGAAGTGAGTTGAGAGAACTCAACTCTGGGTTCTGAAACCCCTAGGTTTGGGGGGCTTTGAGATAGGGAAGAGGTTTAAAGTCAGTTGTTCTAGCAAATATGGTTTGGAATTTATTTGTGATGCTTAAAAATATTGCTGAAGAGAAGTGAAGTCTACCCTAGAGTTGGATGGTGAGATTATTTAGCGGAACTACCAGATCCATGTTGTGATTCTTTCCAGTATCATTCAGCTGCCCTTGGGCAGTTGCGAGGCAAGTCATCAGTGGGGTATGGAGATTTTCCAGGTGGGTGTGGTTGAAGGAAGGGAAGAATGAGTTCAGGAGCACATTACAAAAAGAAGGTGACTGTAAGGTCTAGGCTGAACAGGAAGGTAAAGCAAGAAAGAAACATGAGGTTGTGAAGAGAAGTTTAGAGGGATGAGGAGGCAGGAGAGTTGAAGAGTTGCAGGATGTAGCTAGAGTGGCGATGTTAAATCTTGGGGCCAGAGAGCTTTACAGTGATGATGAAGATCAAGTGGCATTAGAATCAAGCTATAAAGAGCCACTGTTTGATGTTGGGATGTGAGGATGCTGCAGGTGGATGTCTGCACATTGATGGTGAGAACGTGGTCACCCTGGCCCTGCTGGGTCTTTGCTAAAGAGACTGTACTCTGTTCTTGGGGCCGTTTTCATCACCTGATTAGAGCAGTGGTCCCCACATGGTGTTCTTTGGACCATCTGTATAAAATGTTCATAGGTCAAGGATAAAATGGAAAAACAGAGAAAATATCAGAGAAGTGTGCCCATTGGTGAGAGACCACCAGCTGTCCTTTTTGGAGGATTGTTCTTTATTCTAAAAATGTATATATTCTATTCTATTAAAACATATTTGTATTTGCATGTTTTCTCTTTTATGAAATGCCATGGGGTAGAAATTTGTAATGTATCCATTTCTCCTGACTTCATGCATTGCCCTGTGGTGGGGAAGGGGATGTGGCTAGAATTGGCCAAGAGGCTGGGGGCAGAGGTGCAGTGTGAGACTTCTAGCCTGGAGCATTTAATTCCTAGTACAGGGCTCTCTAGCATTCTTCTCCCTCTGTTCCCTGCTTGGTGATACTCGAGGTAATGCAACCCCCATTAGCCTTAGTCTTAGGGCAAGTTTGATGGAAAACAGAGCACCCCACACCTCCCTGCAGATGTAGCATGAGTGAGGAAAACAACTTCTGATGTTTGAAGTTGCCAAGATTTAGGAATTATTTGTTATTGCAGCAAAACCTAACCTATTCTGACCAATCATGGTGTAATTTCTGTGTGTATGTGTGTGTCGTGTTTGTGTGTGTGTGTGTGTGTGTGCGTGGTACAAAACTGGTAGTTTAAAAAATTTCCTTCTTACAAAAACAAAAATAGCAACTTTATGTTGGTTCTCAAATTAAAAAAAATATTTTTACTGGTTTATGAAATAGAAAAATCTGAGAATCTGTAGCTTAGAGACCTACAGCGTGGGATGTCTGTAAAGACTAGGTTATTTATCAGCTCCTAACACCTCTTGATAGAAGCTTAGCCAAGACTTGCACTATTTCAGTCTTTCCCATTCCACATTCCATGGAATCTTGAAGAGACATTGATAAAACGGTGCAGCCATGAACCACCCTAACTCAATCCTAGTGTCAGAATCCCCCTTTTACTGCAGAATGAGCTGCTTGCTGCAGTGATACTTGAACCCCTTAGATATATTCTCTACTAATTATATTAAAACACCACCAATGCTTTTGCTTTGTTTTCCCCCAAATTAAAAACCTTAGTCATGAGAACCCAGAGAATTGGATTTAGTGTGACTGATTCCCAACTGTCAGTAAGAACATAATTAGATTATATTTTTCTCCAGTCCAAATAAAAGAAAATTGACAATAAAATGCTGATCAATATGTGTAGCTGAGGAGGTAGAGCCTGCTTTTGAGATGCAGAAGTGTTTGGTTTTTTTAGATGTATATTCTTGAGTAAAGAAAAATTTCATCTCTCTTTCCTAGAGGGGAAGACTTTCAGAGCGGGCTTGGCAACAGCTTATCAGAGGCTGAATTAAACCAATAGGTACCTCCCTGGAGTGAATGGTGCATTTCTCCTGTTTGGGGGACTGTGCTTTTATGGTGGAGTTTGCTTTCTGTCTTGGTCTCCGGATGTGTGTATCTGTGGGTGGATGTCTGCATGTAAATGGCAGTGTATACCTGTGTGGGTGCGTACAAAATTCCCATGTGAATCTCAGCTTTGTGGGAATCTCTGGGTGTTGAGCCCAGCAGATGCCATTTGAAGAAAAATCACTTGAAAATGAGACAGAAGGAATGGAAACCAAATCCTAGCTCTAAAGGCACCAGGCTGATTAAAAAAAAAAAAAAAAAAAACTCTGGATTTTCTTTGTTTTGGGCTCTACCTGCCTGCAAATGACATTTCTGTTTCCTATGAAATGATTAGAATGAAAGAGATCTTGAGCACGAAAGAGCAGATACTGTGTGATTCTGTGTATGTCAGGGTGTCAGCTGTGACGCTGCTGACATTTCGGCTCAGCAATTTCTCTGTTCTATGTGTGGGGGTTCCCTGTGCATTTTAGGATGTTGAGCGGCATCCCTGGATCCCTGGACTCACTGGACGCAGTAACACAACTCCCCCCAAGTAGACACAACCCCCAGTGTCTCCAGATATTGCCTAATGTCCCCAGGGGGCAGAATAGCCCCCATCTGAGAACTGCTGCTTTCATAAAGTACAATGGTCAGGTGAAATAGGTGGAGGCTGTTTGTAGTCAGGGGTTTGTAGAGATGGAGGAGATCCCAGGAATATCCTGGAAGGGGCTGTAATATTTTGTTTCTTGAATTGGTTCTCGGTAATATGGAGATGTGTTTTTTTGTTGTTGTTTGTTTGTTTGTTTGTTTGTTTTTTGAGGCAGGATCTTGCTCTGTCACCCAGCCTGGAGCACTGTGGCACCGTCATGGCTCACTGCAGCCTCTGCCTCCTGGGCTCAAGCTGTCCTCCCACCTCAGCCCTCCTGAGTAGCTGGAACTACAAGCATGTGCCACCACTGCTGCCTAATTTTTGTATTTATTTATTTTTTGTAGAGGGGGGGTTCTCACTATGTTGCCCAGGCTGGTCTTGAGCTCCTGGGCTCAAGTAATCTGCTCACCTCAGCCTCCCAAAATGCTGGGATGACAGGCATGAGCCACTGCGCCTGGCCAGTATGTTCAGTTTGTAAGAAAAGTACTGTGTTGACCTCTTCTATGTGCACATTTCTTTAAGTAATAATTCAATAAATCATTTAGAAAAATTGGTCATAATAGGAGTGATTTGTAGAGTGATTGGCATGAAAGCTGATCATCTTATTTTGAACTACTCTGAAATGAGCACCAGGGGCCACCAAGAGGACCCTTTCAAGGTATCATAGCCAAGGAGAGGGGTGTGTTGTGTACATCTCTGCCTAAAGGATTTGCTGTTTACATGGAAGGATGAAGCCTCCTGAGGACAGAGGCAGCAAAGCAAGTGGAAGCCCAAAGCATTGAGCTTTCTAAATGGACTTTGCTAAAATCTTGTGGATGACTCATGCTTTTAACATACACCCATGTACATATTGTCCATATAAACATTAATTCTGTAACAAGGCCCACACATAAGGGTTTTCTTTTTCTTTTGAGACAGTCTTGCTTTATTGCCCAGGCTAGAGTACAGTGGCATAATCGTGACTCACTGCAACCTCCGCCTCCTGGGTTCAAACAATGCTTGTGCCTCAGCCACCCAAGTAGCTGGGACTACAGGTGCACACCACCATGCCTGGCTAATTTTTGTATTTTTAGTAGAGATGGGGTTTCACCATGTTGGCCAGGCTGGTCTTGAACTCCTGGTCTCAAGTGATCTGCCCACCTCAGCCTCCTAAAGTGTTGGGATTACAGGTGTGAGCCACTGCGCCTGGCCCCACACGTAAGGTTTCAGTTGAGATAGAGAAACTCTGGCAGGACTGAGGAATTTGGCCACAGTCTCTGGGAAATATGCACAATTTCTGGAATCTTCTCTACTTCCAGATTTCCCACCTTCTATCTGTCTCCTATTTATTCAACAAACTTGTATGGAACCACAGTGTGTCTAGAACTTGCCAGGTGTGGAGGATAAAAAGATGACTAAGGTCGGGCATGGTGGCTCATGCCTGTAATCCCAGCACTTTGGGAGGCCAAGGCAGGTGGATCACTTGAGGTCAGGAGTTTGAGTACAGCCGGGCCAACATGATGAAACGTCTCTACTAAAAATACAAAAATTAGCCGGGCATGGTGACATGCACATGTAGTCCCAGCTACTTGTGAAGCTGAGGCAGGAGAATCGCTTAAACCCAGGAGGCAGATGTTGCAGTGAGCTGAGATCACACCGCTGCATTGCAGCCTGGGAGACAGAGCGAGATTCCATGTCAAAAAAAAAAGATGACTGAGATACAGACTCCATCAGAGTTGACTCTAACACAAATTTGGTAAGAGCCCAAGGTCTGGCTGGGCAAGCACCTTGATCGGCTTCATCCTGCAGCGTCTACTAGAATGAAGAACACTTTTTTCTTTACCCATGAAAATGTTTTGTGCTTTGTACCTGCAAGTGCAATTTGTGTTAATTCTGCAAAATTTGCCGAATAACTGTGCCTGTATTCTTAGCATTTTTCCTTTGAGAGGTTTCTCAGCACATCATCTCTGGACTATGTGGAATTGGAAGTTTACTTAGAGTCAAAAACAAGTACAGGAAAGTCAGTTCTTACTCAAGAGTTAGGTTTTCAAAGACAGTGGATAAAATAAAAATCTAGTACAGTCAAGATTATACGTGCAAATCCCCTCATCACTCATACAGTTTAGCAGTCAGTCTTACCGTGGCTCACCAGGTCCAATCCACACTTCTTCCTCCACGATTGGAGCAGAGGGTGATTTTTTTTTATGAGCAACTGATGAAGTCACTTAGAGGCCATTTGCGGTAGGAGCCCTGTGTACTAGAGACCAATCAATGCGCCCTCATGGCAGCATTTCCACCTCTCTCCCTCTTTGTTCTTGCCAAGTACCCATAGTTCATTTTCCATAGATTGAAAGAGCCCAAGTTGGGCCTATACCTAGGAGTACAATTGCTGGGTCATTTGGTAACTCTATGTAGAATTGTTTGGGAAGTTGTTAAAGTGTTTCTCACAGTGGCTGCACCATTTTAATTCCCACCAGCAGTGTATGAAGGTTCTAGTTTCTCTGCATCCTCACCAACACTTGTTATTTTATGTTTTTTTTTTTGAAATGAAGTCTTGCTCTGTCACCCAGGCTGGAGTGCAGTGGCACAATCTCGGCTCACTGCAACCTCTGCCTCCCAGATTCAACTTACTCTCCTGCCTCAGCCTCCCGAGTAGCTGGGATTATAGGCACCTGCCACCAGGCCTGGCTAATTTTTTTATTTTTTTATTAGAGACAGGGTTTCACCATGTTGGCCAGGCTGGTCTCAAACTCCTGGCCTCAGGTGATCCACCCTCCTTGGTCTCCCAAAGTTCTGGGATTACAGGCATGAGCCACCGCACCAGGCCAATTTTCTGTATCTTCGATTCTAGCCAACCTTATGGGTATGATGTGATATCTCATTGTGGTTTTGATTTCTGTTTCCCTGATGATGTATTTCATTGAGCATCTTTTCATGTGCTTATTGGCCACTTGTATGTCTTCCTTGGAAATGTGCCAGATTTTCATATTCAAAAATGAAAGCACAGGTCCACACAAAAACTTGTACATGAATAATTACAGTAGCATCCTCCTAATAACCCAAAGAGGGAATTAATCCAAATGCCCATCACCAGATGTAGAGATACACTGAATGTTGTCTACCCACATGGTGGAATATTATTTGATCACAAAAAGTAGCAAAGCACATATGCTACAGCGTGGATGAACCTTCAAAACAGATGAAAGATCACATTCTACATGATTTCATTCAGATGGAACTCTATAGAAATAGGAAGTCGATTAGTGGTTGCTTAGGGCTGGTAGGAGCATGGGAGGATAGGGGGTGTGAGCTAAAGGGTATGAGGTTTCTTTTTGAGGTCATGAAATGTTCTAAAATTGAGTGGTAATGTTTGTGTATATCTCTGAATATATTAAAAACCATTGAAATGTAAAAAATGCAAAGATAAAACAGCCCAAGTTGCAATTTTATTCAACACTCGATTGGCTTTAAAAATAGACTTCAGGCTGGGCATGGTGGCTCACACCTGAAATCCCAGTCCTTTGGAAGGCTGTGGTGGGAGGATTGCTTGAGGCCTGGAGTTCCAGGCCAGCCTTGGCAACATGGCAAGACCCTGTCTCTACAAAAAAAGAAAAAATAAATAGCAGCTGGGTGCAGTGGCTCACACCTGTAATCCCAGCACTTTGGGAGGCTGAGGCGGGCAGATCACCTGATGTCAGGAGTTGAAGACCAGCCTGGCCAACATGGTGAAGCCCTGTCTCTACCAAAAATACAAAATTTAGCCTTTTGGTACTCTGAGCAGCACCATGGCGGTTGTTAAGAACAAGTGCCTTATGAAAGGTGGCAAAAAGGGAGTTAAGAAGAAATTCGTTGGTCCATTCTCTAAGAAAGATCAGTATGATGTGAAAGTACCTGCTATGTTCAATATAAGAAATATTGGAAACACTTGGTCACCAGGACCCAAGGAACCCAAATTGCATCTGATGGTCTCAAGGGTCTTGCGTTTGAAGTGAGTCTTGCTGATTCGCAGAATGATGAAGTTGCATTTAGAAAATTCAAGCTGATTACTGAAGATGTTCAGGGCAAAAACTGCCTGACTAACTTCTATGGCATGGGTCTTACCTGTGACAAAATATGTTCCATGGTTGAAAAATGTTCAACAATGACTGAAGCTCATGTTGATGTCAAGACTACCGATGGTTATTTCTTTCATCTGTTTTGTGTTGGTTTTACTAAAAAACACAACAATCAGATACTGAAGACCTCTTATGCTCAGCACCAACAGTCCCCCAAATCCAGAAGAAGATGATGGAAATCATGACCTGAGAGGTGCGGCAAATGACTTGAAAGAAGTGGTCAATAAAATGATTCCAGACAATATTGGAAAAGAAGTAGAAAAGGCTTGCCAATCTATCCTCTCCATGATGTCTTCATTAGAAAAGTAAAAATGCTGGAGAACCCTGGGTTTGAAAGGCATGGAGCTTCGTGGTGACGGTAGTAGTTCTGGAAAACCCCCTAGGGACGAGATACATGCTAAAGTTGAATGAGCTGATGGATATGAACCACCTGTCCAAGAATCTGTTTAAAGTTCAGACTTAAAACAGTGGCAAATAAAAAGTCCTATTTGTGAAAAACAAACAAGAAACAACAATGAAAAATGCAAAATTAGCCTGGTGTGGTGGCACATGCCTGTAATCCTAGCTACTCAGGAGGCTGAGGCACGAGAATCACTTGAACCCGGGAGACAGAGGTTGCAGTGAGCCAAGAATGCACCATTGCACTCCAGCCTGGGCAACAGAGTGAGACTCTCTCCAAAAAGAAAAAAGAAAAAAGAAAAGTACCGGGGCTTGGTGGCATGCGTCTGTAGTCTCAGCTACTCTGAAGGCTGAGGTGGGAGGATGGCTTGAGGCCAGGAGTAATTTGAGGCTGCAGTGAAGTATGATTGTGACACTGCACTCCAGCCTGGACTGCAGAGCAAGACCCTGTCTCTTATACATACATACCTACATACATGCACACACACACACACACACACACACACACACACACATACACATACATACATACCCAGGCTCTACCTCTGGTGATTCTGACCCAGTAGGGCTGGGTATCCCCTAGGGATCCTGCTGTTCAGCCTGATCTGGGATCCACTTTTCACTGGGAACTCAGACACTGGCTGTGAGCCTTTCTGCCCTGTGATGTAGAGGTCATGGCGATGCAGGTTCAAGCTTAAGGAGACCTGACTGTGCGTTAGGTATTGTGCTGTACATCATCTCTTACTCTCACAGCAACATCCTTAGAAGGTTAATGATGTGTCCCTGCTCTACAGATGAGGAACTGAGCTTTCAGAGGAGTTTAGCTTGTTCAAAACTTATTCTTCCTATTGGAAACTTTGTACCCTTTGACCAGTGTCTCCTATCCCCTACCTTTCCTCCACCCCAGCCCCTGATAACCACTGTCCTACTCTCTATTTCTGTGAGTTCAACTTCTTTAGATTCCACATATAAGTAAAATCATGCAGTATTTGTCTTTCTGTGCCTGGCTTATTTCACTTAACACAAATGTCTTTCAAGTTCATCTATGTTGTTGAAAATGACAGGATTTCTTCCTTTTCTGAGGTTTAATAGTATTCCGTTGTGTGTATATAGTACATTTGCTTTATCCTTTCATCCACTGATGGACACTTAGGTTGATTCTATATCTTGGGTATTGTGAATAGAGCTGCAGTGAACATAGGAATGTAGGGATCCCTTCGACATATTGACTTCGATTTTTTTTGGTCTATACCCAGAAGTTGGGTTGCTGGATTATATGCTTTGAAATCTATAGCACAGCAGCATGACTATAGTCAATAATAATGTGTCTTTCAAAATAACTAAGTGGGTACATTTCAAATGTCTCATCATAAAAATTGTCAGTAAATTAGGGGATGGACGTGTTAATTAGTTTGATCTAATCATTCCATATTGTATACACATATCAAAACATCACATAAATGTGTACAATTATGATTTGTCAATTAAAATAATGTTAGTTAAAAAAATAAGTAACTTGTTCAAAGCCGCAGTTGGGATTGATGGAGCTGGGACATGCACCAAGGCTGTTGCTTTCAGGCCCGCAGAGTCCTTGGTCCATGAATGTTGAAGCCCTACCTGAGATTTCTACTGAGATCAGTGTAGGGATTCAATGTCTCAGAATCATCCCATCCTCCAGGGCCCACAAGTCCATGACCGCTGCCTCTACCCCTGACCCTACTGACCTGAAATATGGCCCCTGCTTTCTTTTCCAGGAGCATACAACACTTACACCAAGCATTGATGGGATTTGTTGACTTCATTTGAGATGTGGGGCCGTGGAGAGGGTCCCATGATCCTTGCTTGGTGTTGGCCAACTCATTGACTTCTCTCCTTTGACTTCACCCTTCCCTTTTCTACTCACCTCCTCTGTCATGGATTGCTCTGGGAATTCTGAGCCCTGGTTCCTTTATTTTGCAGATAACCTTCACTCTTCTCTGCAACGAATCCCAAAAGTGTGTAGTTGAGCTGACTGCAAGGTGCTTGACACGCAAGAGAATTTATAAATGGGATTCGGCCTCTGGAAAGTGGTGGTAGTTCCAGATTTATGTGGATGTTACTTTGTTTTTCCCTATAAAATCTATTCTTTAAACTGTCAAGGCTCCTGGCTGCAGTCCTTTGCTGGTGGCAGTGGGCTGGGTACTGCCACTGGGGAGAAATGCTCCCCACTTAGGGAAAGGGAAACTGGTTCTCTTTAAGAGGCAGAGGGAGGTTTCCAGTGCCAGTTTGTTTGGAGGCAAAATGGCTGTTGTATTAAAATTGCCCAAACTTGGGCTGGTGCCTAGTGTGTTTAGAGCTCAAAGCCATGATTGTTTTCATTTTTTTTTTTTTGGTTGTTGGTTTTCCATCCTTTTGCATGGCAGGTTTCTGCTAATAGCTTCAACCTCAAGAGTCCCATTATACAGACACTAATAGCACCTACTGTGTGTCAGTCTGTAGTGCCTACTATGTGCCAGGCATTGGAGATAATATAATGATGAACAAGATAAACATGGCACTTGGAAAAGAGAGTCTAGTTCCCACTCTCAGCCCACCCCAAAGAGAGGCCAGAATTGGGCTTCCAAAGATCTCAGATGCCCTTGCAGCACCTCCCTGAAGAGGGCGGGTGAAGCTTTGGTGTCTGAAGAGAATTTGGCTGGAAAATCCCCAAGGTTTGGAACGATGGGAAGGAGCTGCCATCTGTGTTTAAGGTGAGAAGTGGGGCACTGGCTGGATATCAGAGGAAGCCAAGAAGAAGAGAAAGTTTTTGTGAGTTCCTATGCATAGTGGAGACCTGTTCTAGTGACGGTCCCTGGGGCTGAGCCTGTGGGTCAGTGGAATGATGCTGTGAGGAGGGTCTTGTTATAGCAGATGGCCCAAAAAAGGCTGATGGATCATGAGCAGCTGGAAGAATGGAGAGTTTGGGGGACGTAGTTCCTACCTGGCTTTCCAACAATGTGTAAGCCCGGAATTCTTACATAAGTCCATGGAGAAGGGAAAGGAATGCTGGTAACGACAAGATTGAATTCTCCACCTGCCAGGCATCCAGGGACTCAGAGCAGATTTAACTGAAGTTACAGAAATAGGAATGTGACATTTCTTACATCCGGGTGTGCTGGAGCAAATGTATTCCCTCTCAGGTTTGTGGGGAAGGAGAATGCTAACAGACAAGACTCCAGGTTTTTGCTGTTAAACCTGGTGCCTAGAAATGCATTTTCTACTGGATGCAGATAGAAGCTCCATATAGACATATCCATCGCTGCATCTCTCCTGCCTTGTGTTCTCCCTAATTTTCCCTTTTTAACCCACAGAGGAAGGAAGTTCCAGCATCACTTCTGGCCTCTCAAGAGTGAGGTAGGTGGTCAGGTGGAGTTATTCATGCCTGTAATCTCATACTGAAGGGGTGGCCTGCCCTTCCACACCTGTGGGTATTTCTAGCCAGGTAGGCTGAGAGACAGAAAAGAAATAAGACACAGAGATAAAGTATAGAGAAACAACAGTGGGCCCAGGGGACCGGCGCATAGCATATCAAGGACCTGCATTGGCACCGGTCTCTGAGTTCCCTCAGTTTTTATTGATTATTATCTTCATTATTTCAGCAAAAGGGAATGTAGTAGGAGGGCAGGGTGATAATAAGGAGAAGGTCAGCAACAAAAATGTGAGCAATAGAATCTATGTCATAATGAAGTTCAAGGGAAGGTACTATGACTGGACGTGCACATAAGCCAGATTTATGTTTCTCTCCACCCAAACATCTCAGTGGAGTAAAGAATAACAAGGCAGCATTGCTGTAAACATGTCTCGCCTCCCACCATAGGGCGGTTCTTCTCCCATCTCAGAATTGAACAAATGTACAATTGGGTTTTATACCAAGACATTCAGTTCCCAGGGACAGGCAGGAGACAGTGGCCTTCCTCTATCTCAACTGCAAGAGGCTTTCCTCTTTGACTAATCCACCTCAGCACAGACCTTTTACGGGTGTCAGGCTGGGGGACCGTCAGGTCTTTCTCCTCCCATGAGGCCACTTTTCAGACTATCACATGGGTAGAAACCTTAGACAATATGCCGCTTTCAAGGGCAGGGCTCCCTGCCGCTTTCCACAGTGTATTGTGCCCCTGGTTTATTGAGACTAGAGAATGGCAATGACTTACCAAGTATACTGCTTGGAAACATTTTGTTAACAAGGCAAGTCCTGCACAGCCCTACATCCCTTAAACCTTGATTTCATACAACACATGTTTTTGTGAGCTCCAGGTTGGGTCGAAGTGGTTGGGTCAAACTGGCTGGGGCAAAGCTACAGGTTAAGAACATCTCAGCAAAGCAATTGTTTAAAGTACAGGTCTTTTACAAAATGGAGTCTCTTATGTCTTCCCTTTCTATATAGACACAGTAACTGTCTGATCTCTCTTTCTTTTCCCTGCATATCCCCCTTTTCTTTTTGACAAAACCACCACCATCATCATGACCCCTTCTCGCTGGTTGCTGTCTCTCTGGAGCTGCTGGATACACCTGTAGACTAACAATAGAAAGGACAGACATACAAGGATTAATACAAAATTTGCAACAGTGGAATTTCCTGTGGTTTTAACCCAAGTGACAGGGGGCAAGAGGACGGTGTGGGTGCTGTGGCACCCAGGCGGTCTGCCACCTCCTTTGTGTCTTAGTTGCTGTTTCTCATAGTTTTCGGTCTTTCTCCTCACCTGTTCTCTCACACCTTTTATCTCTTTGTCTCCCTTTTCTTACAGTCTCTCTCTTTTATACTATCTCTCTCCCCAGGCTCACTTTCTGTGTCTCTCTCTGATCTCTGTCTCTTTTTCTTTCTCTTCCTCTCCCTGGCTCTCCACATGTGTCGTTTTCTTGGTGGTTGGCAACTTCATCTGTTCTTCTGATATCACCATTTTGTTCACCCTGCGAGTCGATGATGCTCGATTGCGGGTTTTCTGTCTCTGCGGAGGCACTTTCATTTGCATCTCTGATGGGTTCATTATAGAACTTCAAATGTCTAGTGGGTATCCAAACAGGAAGCTGATTTTCTCCTGGTGAAACACAAGCAAAACCTCTCCCCCATATTATCACCTTACCTATTTCCCATGTTTTGTTTTTGTTGTCTTTCCACCAAATCAGTTTTCCTCATGTGGGCTGTTCTTTTTACCAGTAAAATGTTCTGCAGAAGTAGTGGTCTGATTTCTATGTATGTTTAGAAAATTTAAAGTGTAGAGTGTTAGATCAAGTTGCATCTGGGGAGTGTTATACTCCTTACTGTCTTTTTCCTTTTTTTGTTTAGCCATTTGAGCTTTGAGTGTTCTAAGCAGGACAGGTAAGATCTGCATCTGGCACAGCCAGCCATGTCTTCTTACCCTCTGCTTCCCTTTCTGCCTGTGACTGAATGGGCATGTCAGGGTCTAGTAGGGGATCCAGGAGGAGGAAGCCTCATTAACTTCTATTCTGCAGCAATTGATGGCCACCCAACTTGAACAGTGGGGGCTTATCACCTCATGTACTAAGACCAGAGATAGCTGATGCCAAGTTTGGCTAAATTAGTAGCTTGAGATGTTAGGTTTTTCATTTGAGGTTTCTATGCTGCTATTGTCTTCTGCTCTTGGACACAGAGGCTGCCACAATCCGCATGTCAAGTCCTCATGTGACAATATCCAGAGACAGCAAGGAAGAGGTACAGGGTATTCCTGCATGTTTCTTAAAAAAATGTTTTTGATAGAGAATAATTATACACATTTATGGGGTCCATGTGAGATTCTGGTACATGCATGCAATGTGTAATGATCAAATCAGGGTCTTTAGGATATTAATCACCTCAAACATTGATCATTTCTTTGTGTTGGGAATATTTCAAATCTTATTGCTATTTAGAAATATACAATAAATCCATTTATCAGGATACAAAATCTATGTACACAAATCAGTAGCAGTGCTATACACCAACATCTTCCAGGCTGAGAATCAAATCAAACCCTTTTATAATAGCTTTAAAAATAAAATACTTAAGAATATACCTAACCAAGGAGGTGAAAGACCCCTACAAGGGAAACTACAAAACACTGTTGAAAGAAATCATAGATGACAAAAACAAATGGAAACACATTCCATGCTCATGGATGGGTAGACTCAATATTGTGAAAATGACCATACTGCCAAAAGCAGTCTACAAATTCAATGCAATTCCTATCAATGTACCATCATCATTCTTTATAGAACTAGAAAAAACAATGCTAAAATTCATTTGGAACTAAAAATGAATCTGCATAGGCAAAGCAAAACTAAGCAAAAAGAACCAATCTAGAGGCATCATATTACCCAACTTCAAACTATGTTACAAGGCTATAGTCACCAAAACAGCATGGTGCTGGTATAAAAATAGGCACATGACCAATGGGACAGAGTAGAGAAGCTAGAAATAAAGCCAAATACTTAACAGCCAACTGATCTTCAACAAAGTAAACAAAAACAAAGTAGGGAAAGTACACACTATACAACAAATAGTGCTGGGATAATTGGCAAGCCACATGTAAAAGAATAAAACTGGATCCTTATCTCTCACCTTATACAAAAATCAACACAAGATGGATCAAAGACTTAAATCTAAGGTCTGAAACCATAAAAATTCTAGAAGATAACATTGGAAAATGCTTCTACACATTGGCTTAGGCAAACAGTTCATGACCAAGAACCCAAAAGCAAATGCAACAGAAACAAGGATAAATAGATGGGACTTAATTAAACTAAAAGCCTCCTGCACAGCATAGGAAATAATCAGCAGAGTAAACAGATCACCCATAGAGTAGGAGAAAATTTTCAAAAACTGCATCTGACAAAAGACTAATGTCCAGAATCTACAGGGAACTCTAATGAGCAAGAAAAAAATAATCCCATCAAAAAGTGTGCCATGGACATGAATAGACAACTCTGAAAAGAACATATACAAATGGCCGACAAACATATGAAAAAATGTTCAACATCACTAATTACCAGGGAAATGCAAATCAAAACCACAACGCAATACCACGTGTAAAATAAACAAAAAGAGGGCCAGGCGCGGTGGCTCATGCTTGTAATCCCAGCACTTTGGGAGGCCAAGGTCGGTGGATCACGAAGTCAGCAGTTTGAGACCAGCCTGACCAACATGGTGAAACCCAGTCTCTACTGAAAATACAAAAATTAGCCGGGCATGGTGGCGGTTGCATGTAATCCCAGCTACTCCGGGGTCTGAGGCAGGAGAATTGCTTGAACCCGGGAGGCAGAGGTTGCAGTGAGCTGATATGGCACCACTGTACTCCAGCCGGAGCAAAAGAGTGAGACTCCATCTCAAAAAAAAAAAAAAAAAAAAAAAAGCAAAAATTGATGTTGGCACAGATGTGGTGAAAGACAACGCTTTTACACTGATGGTGGGAATGTAAGCTAGTACCACCACTATGGAAAGCAGTATGGAGATTCCTTAAAGAACTAGAAACACATCTACCATTTGATCCAGCAATCCCATTGCTAGGTATCTACCCAGAGGAAAAGAAGACACTATTTGAAAAGGATACTTTTGCACACATGTTTACAGCAGCAAACTTCACAGTTGCAAAACTATAGAACCAGCCCATATGCCCATCAATCAATTAGTGGATAAAGAAAATGTGTTATATATATATACCACAGAATACTACTTAGCCTTAAAAAGGAATGAAATAATGGCAGTCATGGCAACCTGGATGGAGTTGGAGATCATTATTCTAAATGAATTAACTCAGGAATGGAAAACCAAACATTGCGTGTTCTCACTCGTAAGTGGGAGCTAAGCTATGATGATGCGAAGGCACAAGAATGAAACAGTGGACTTTGGGGGCTCAGGGGGAAGGTGGGAGGGGGTAAGAGATAAAAGACTATACATTGGGCAAACTGCTTTGGTGATGGGTACACCAAAATTTCAGAGATCACCACGAAGGAACTTATCCATGTAACAAAATACCACCTGTTCCCTAAAAACTATTGAAATTAAAAAAAAAGAAATATACAATAAATTGTTGTAGTCACTTTCTGTGATAATAAACACTAGATCTTATTCCTTCTGTTATATATTTTTATACACATCAATCAACCTCTTTTCAAACCCCTCCTATTCCCAGCCTCTGGTAACTATCATTCTACTCTTTATCTCCATGATATCAATTTTATATAGCTCCAGAGCACACAAGTACGTAACTGCGGTCTCTATCCCTGACCTACTGACCTGAAACCTGGCCCCCACTTTGATTTCCAGGAGCATAAACCGCTCATATAAGTGAGAACATGCAATAGTTTTCTTTCTGTGCATGGCCTAGTTCACCTAACATTATGACCTTTAATTCCATCCATTTAGCTGAAAATGACAGGATTTCATTCTTCTTTATGGCTGAATACTATTC
Organism: Homo sapiens; assembly: GCF_000001405.40. Classification (NCBI taxonomy): domain Eukaryota; kingdom Metazoa; phylum Chordata; class Mammalia; order Primates; family Hominidae; genus Homo; species Homo sapiens. The sequence goes on from NC_000004.12 coordinate 9,572,323, forward strand.
TATTGTGAGTATATTCCCATTTTCTTTATCCATTCATCCATTGATTGACATTTAGATTGATTCCATATCTTGGCTATTGTAAATAGTGCTGCAGTAAATATGGGGGTACAGATATCCCGTTGATACACTGATTTTTTTTTGGATATATACCCAGGAGTGGGATTGCTGGATCATATGGTAGATCTGTTCTTAGTTTTTTGAGAAATCTGTGTACTTTTTTTCATAATAGCTGTACTAATTTACATTCCCACCAACAATATACAATAATTTTCTTTTCTTCACATGCTTGCCAGCATTTGTTGTGCTTTGTCTTTTTCATAATAGCCATTCTAACAAGTGTGAGATGATATCTCATTGTGGTTTTGATTTGCATTTCCGTGATGATTAGTGATGTTGAATGTTTTTTCATAAACTTGGTGATTTGTATATCTTCTTTTGAGAAATGTCTGTTTATTTTTTGATAGTTTCTTTTGCTGTGCAGAAGCTCTTTCATTTAATTAGATCCCATTTGTCAATTTTTTCTTTTGTGGCAATTGCGTTTGGCATCTTCACCATGAACTCTTTGCCCATCACTATGTACCGGATGGTATTGCCTAGGTTGTCTTCCAGCGTGTTTATAGTTATGGGTTTTACATTTAAGACTTTAGGCCATCTTGAGTTAATTTTTGTGTATGGTGTAAGGGTAGGGTGTTGTCTTTTCACTCTGTTGATTGCTTTCTTTGATATGCGGAAGGTATTTAGTTTAATATAATCCCATTTGTCTGTTTTTGTTGCTTGTACTTTTTAAGTGTTAACCGTACAATCTTTGTTCTCAAGAGTTTCTCCTGTGTTTACTTCTAGTAGTTTTATAGTTGTGGCTGTTACATTTAAGTCTTTAATTGATTTTGAATTTATTTTTGTAAGTGATGAGAGATAAGGGTCTAGTTTTATTCTTCTGTGTTTGGATATCTAGTTTTCCTGGCACCATTTAATGAAGAGGGTGTCCTTTATTCAATGTATGTTCTTGACTGCTTTCTTGAAAATCAGTTAGCTGTAAATATGTGGATTCATTTCTGGATTCTTTAGTCTGTTTCCTTTGTTTTTGTGTCTGTTTTAATACCAATACACGCTGTTTTGGTTACTATGGCTTTGCAGTGTATATATATATATATATATATATATATTTTTTTTTTTTTTTTTTTTGAGACGGAGTCTTGCTCTGTCACCCAGTCTGGAGTGCAGTGGCACGATCTTGGCTCACTCTAAGCTCTGCCTCCCAGGTTCATGCCATTCTCCTGCCTCAGCCTCCTGAGTAGCTGGGACTACAGGTGCCCACCACCACACCTGACTAATTTTTTTTTTTTTTTTTTTTTTTTTTTTTGGTGGACACGGGGCTTCACCGTGTTAGCCAGGATGGTCTCGATCTCCTGACTTTGTGATCCACCCGCCTCGGCCTCTCAAAGTGCTGGGATTACAGGCATGAGCCACCACACCCGGCCGCTTTGCAGTATATTTTTAAATCAGGTAGTGTGAGGCTTCTAGCTTTCTTCTTTTTGCACAGTATTGCTTTGGCTATTTGGAGTCTTCTATGCTTCCATATGAATTTCAGGGTTTTTTTTTTCCTGTTTCTGTGAAGAATATAATTGATAGGGATTGTACTGAATCTCTAGATTGCTTCGGGTAGCATGGTCATTTTAACAGTATTAGTTATTCCAAGCCACGAGCATGAGATGCCTTTCCATTTGTTCACGTCCTTCTCAATTTATTTTATCAGTGTCTTGTGCTTGTCATTGTAGATGTTTTTTGGGTTTTTTTCCCCATCCTTGGTTAAGTTTATTCCTAGGTATTTTATTTTTGTAGCTATTGTAAATAGAATTTCTTCCTTGATTTCTATTTTAGCTAGTTTGTTACTGGTATATAGAAATATTACTGATTTTTGTATGTTGATTTTGTGTTCTGAAGCTTTACTGAATTATACATCCGTTTTTAAATTTTTTTTTTCTTTTTTCTTTTTTGAGATAGAGTCTCACTCTGTTGCCCAGGCTAGAGTGCAGTGGTGCTGGGATTATAGGCACCTACCACCATGCCTGGCTAACTGTATTTTTAGTAGAGACAGGGTTTCACCATGTTGGCCAGGCTGGTCTCAAACTCCCAACCTCAGGATCTGCCCACCTTGGCCTCCCAAAGTGCTGGGATTACAGGCATGAACTACCATGTCCAGCCTAATTTATCCATTGTCAGAGGTTTTTGGTGGAGTCTTTAGGTTTTCCTGTTTACAAATATAAGATTATGTCATCTGCAAAGTGAGACAATTTGACTTCCTCTTGTCCATTTTGGATGCCTTTTATTTCTTTATCTTGTCTGATCACTCTGGCTTGGATGTCCCATACTGTGTTGAATAAGAGTGGTGAAAGCGGGCACCCTTGTCTTGTTCCAGTTCTTAGAGGAAAGGCTTTTCAATTTTTCCCAGTGAGTAGGATGTTAGCAGTAGATTTGTCATGTATGCCTTTTCTTATGTTGAAGTGTTCCTTCTATGCATAATTTGTTGAGAGTTTTCATCATGAAGGAATGGTAAGTTTTACTGAGTGATTTTTCTGCATCTGCTGAGATGATCAGATAGTTTTTGCCTTTCATCTTGTTGATGTGATGTATCACATGTATTGATTTGTGTAGGTTGAGCCATCTTTGCATTCCTGGGATAAATCCCACTTGATCATGGTATATTATCTTTTTCATTCACCATTAGATTTGGCTTGGTAGTATTATGCTGAGAATTTTTCCATCTGTGTTCATTAGGAATATTGGCCTGTAGTTTTCTCTTTGTGTTGTGTCTTTGTCTTGATTGGATATCAGGGTAATGCTGGCCTTATACAATGAGTTAGGAAGAATTCCCTCCTCTTCAATTTTTGGGAATAATTTGAGAAGAACTGTTGTTTGTTGTTCTTTATAAATTGGGTAGAAATCAGCATAAAAGACTAGCCTAGGGCTTTTCTCTTTTGGGAGACTTTTTGTTACTGATTCAAACCTGCTATTCATTTTGGGTCAGTTCAGGTTTTCTGTTTCTTCCTAGTTCAATCTTGGTAGGCTCTGTATGTCTGGGAATTTATCCCTTTCCTCTAGGTTTTCCAATTTGTTAGCATATGGTTGTTCATGATACCCTCTAATGATCCTTTTTATTTCTTTGGTAACAGTTGTAATGTCTCCTTTTTCATTTCTGATTGTATTTATTTGGGTCTCCTTTTTTTTTTTTTTTTTTTTTTTTTGGTTGTCCTCACTACTGGTTTATCAATTTTGTTTAACTTTACAAAAAACCAAATTTGTCTTGTTGATTCTTTGCATTTCTTTTTTGACTCTGTTGCATTTCGTTCTGCTACGTTATTTATTATTTTTTCTTTCTACTAATTGTGTGCTTGGTTTGTTCTTGCTTTTTGAGTTCCTTGAGGTGCATCATTAGGTTGTTTATTTGAAATCTTTCTACTTTTTTGGTGTAGGCATTTATTGCTATAAACGTTCTTCCTAGTGCTGCTTTTGCTGTATCTCATAGGTTTTGCATGATGTGTTTCCATTTTCTGTTTAAAAAAATTTTTGATGTCCATCTTAATTTCTTCATTGATCCAATGATCATTCAATAGCATGTTTAATGTCCATGTATTTGTACAGTTTCCAAATTTCCTCGTCTTATTGATTTCAAGTTTTATTCCATTGTGTTCTGAGAAGATACTTGATATGATTTTAATTTTTAAAATTTTATTGAGCCTTGTTTTGTGTCCTAACATATGGTCTATCCTGGAGAATGTTCCATGTGTTGATGAGATGATTGTATATTCTGCTGCTGCTGGATGAAATATTCTGAAAATATCTGTTAGGTCCATTGGTCTAAAGTGCAGCTTAAATCTAATGTTTCTTTGTTGATTTTATGTCTAGATGAACTGTCCAATGCTGAAAGTAGGATATTGAAGTTCTCAACTATCATTGTATTGGACTCTATCTCTTCCTGTAGATTTAATAATATTTGCTATGTGTGTCTGGATGTGCTTGTGTTTGTTGTGTGCATATTTAGAATTGTTATACTTTGTTGCCGAATTGATCCCTTTATTACCATATAATGACCTTCTTTGTCCTTTTTACAGTTTTTGACTTAAAGTCTGTTTTATCTGATGTAAGTTTAGCTACTCCTGATTACTTTTGATTTCTGTCTGTGTGGTATATCTTTTTCAATCCCTTCACTTTCAGTCTGTGTGTCTTTACAAGTGAAGTGAGTTTCTTGCAGACGTTGTTGGGTCATTTTTTATCCATTAAGCCTGTCTCTATCTTTTAGGTAGGTAATTTAACCCATATTTGAAGTTATTATTGATAGGTGAGGACTTATTCCTGTCATTTTGTTCATTGTTTTCTGGTTATTTTGTATATCCTTTTGATATGGTTTGGCTGTGTCCCCACTCAGATCTCATCTTGAATTCCCATGTTTTGTGGGAGGGACCCAGTGGGAAGTAGTTGAATCATGGAGGCAGGTATTTCCCATGCTATTCTTTTGATCGTGAATAAGTCTCATGAGAGCTGATGGTTTTAAAAGGAGGAGTTTCCCTGCTCAAGCTCTCTCTTTGCCTGCTGCCATCCTTGTAAGATGTGACTTGCCTCTCCTTGACTTCCGCAACGATTTGAAGCCTCCCCAGCAATGTAGAACTGTAAGTCCATTAAACCTCTTTCTTTTGTAAATTTCCCAGTCTTGAATGTGTCTTTATCAGCTGTGTGAAAATGGACTAATACAGTAAATTAGTACCAGAGTGGGGTGTTGCTAAAAGATAACTGAATATGTGGAAGTGACTTTGGAACTGGGAAACAGGCAGAGGTTGGAACAGTTTGGAGGGCTCAGAAGGAGACAGGAAAATGTGGGAAAATTTGGAAGAGATTTCCTAGAGGCTTGCCCAAAATGCTGATGGTTATATGGACAATAAAGTCTAGGCTTAGGTTGTCTCAGATGGAAATGAGGAACTTGTCAGGAACTGGCACAAAGGTGACTCCTGTTATGTTTTAGCAAAGAGACTGGTGGCATTTTGCCCCTGCTGTAGAGATTTGTAGAATTTTGAACGGGAGAGAGATGATTTAGGGTGTCTGGTAGAAGAAATTTCTAAGCAGCAAAGCATTCAGGAGATGACTTGGGTGCTGTTAAAGGCCCTCAGTTTTATACGGGAAGCAGAGCATGAAAGTTTGGAAAATTTGCAGCCTGACAATGCAATAGAAAAGAAAATCCCATTTTCTCAAGAAAAATTTGATCTGGCTGCAGAAGTTTGTGTAAGTAACGAGGAGTCAAATGTGAATCCCTAAGACAATGGGGAAAATGTCTCCAGGGCATGTCACAGATCTTCATGGCAGCCCCACCCATCAAAGGCCCAGAGGCCTAGGAAGAACAGATGGTTTTGTGGGCTGGACCAAGGGTACCCCTGCTGTGAGCAGCCTAGGGTGCCTGAGTCCTAGCCACTCCAGCTGCAGCTAAAAGGAGCCAAGGTACAACGTGGGCTGTGGCTTCAGAGGGTGCAAGCCCCAAGCCTTAGCAGCTTCCACATAGTGTTGAGCCTATGGGTGCACAGAAGTCAAAAATTGAGGTTTGGGAACCACTGCATAGATATCAGAAGATGTATGGAAATGCCTAGATGTCCAGGCAGGAGTTTGCTGCAGGGGCAGGGCACTCATGGAGAACTTCTACTAGGGTAGTGCGGAAGGGAAATGTGGGGTGAGAGCCTCCACATAGAGTCCCTACTGCAGCGCCACCTAGTGGAGATGTGAGAAAAGGGCCACCATCCTCCAGACCCCAGAATGGTGGATTCACTGACAGCTTGCACTGTGTGCCTGGAAAAGCTGCAGACACTCAATGCCAACCCATGAAAGGAGCCAGGAGGGGATTTATACCCTACAAAGCCACAGGAGTGGAGCTGTGGCTTTTTTTCTCCCAAGGCCGTGGGAGCCCACCTCTTACATCACCATGACCTGCATGTGAGACATGGAGTCAAAAGAGATCATTTTGGACCTTTGAGATTTGACTGCCCCACTGGATTTTGGGCTTCATGGGGCCTGTAGCTCCTTTGTTTTGGCAATTTTCTCCCATTTGGAATGACTGTGTTTACCCAATGCCTATACCTTCATTGTATCTAGGAAGTAACTAACTTGTTTTTGATTTTCCATGCTCATAGGTGGAAGGGATTTGCCTTGTCTCACATGAGACTTTGGACAGTGGACTTGTGAGTTAATGCTGAACTTAGTTAAGACTTTGGGGGATAGTTGGGAAGGCATGATTGGTTTTGAAATGTGAGGATATGAGATTTGGGAAGGGCCAAGGGCAGAATGATATGGTTTGGTTGTGTCCACACCCAAATGTCATCTTGAATTCCCACATGTTGTGGGAGGGACCTAGTGGGAAGTAATTGCATCATTGGGGCAGGTCTTTCCCATGCTGTTCTCATGATAGTGAATACGTCTCACAAGGTCTGATGATTTTAAAAAGGGTAGTTTCCCTGCAGAAGCTCTCTCTTTGCCTTCTGCCATCCATGTGAGACATAACTTGCTTCTTCTTGCCTTCCAACGTGATTGTGAGGCTTCCTCAGCTATGTGGAAGTGTAAGTCCATTAAACCTCTTTCTCTTGTAAATTGCCCAGCCTCAGTCAGGTATGTCTTTATCAGCAGTGTGAAAACAGACTAATACATATTTGTTCCTTTTTTTTCTCATTATTTATGGTTGCAGTTTGGTGGTTTTCTTTAGTGATGTTGTTTGAATCCTTTCTTCTTTGTGTGTCTGCTCTACCAGTGAGTTTTATATTTTCATACATTTTCATGATGGTAGATATTGTTCTTTTGCTTCCCAATGTAGGACTCCCTTAAGCATTTCTTGTAGGACCACAACAAACAAGACCCAAACAAACAGTCTTTTGCTTATCTGGGAAATACTTTTTTCCCTTTTATTTATTTATTTATTTTTTTAGCAATGGAGTCTCACTCTTTCACCCAGGCTGGAGTACAGTGGTGTGATCATAGCTCAGTGCAGCCTTGAACTCCTGGGCTCAAATGATCCTCCTGCCTCAGCCTTCTGAGTCTCTGGAATTACAGATGTGAGCCACTGTTCCAGGCTCCTTCATTTGTGAAGGATAGCTTTGCTGGGTATAGTATTTTTGGCTTTTTTTTTTTTTTTTTTTTTTTTTTTTTTAACTTGTAGTATACATCTCCTTTTCTCCTAGCCTGTAAGGTTTCTGCTGAGAAATCCTGTCAGCCTGATGGAGATTCTCTTATAAATGACTTGATGTTTTCCCCTTGCTGTTTTCAGCATTTTCTCTTTGTCTTTCGACAATTTTACCATAATGTGCCTTGGAGAAGACCTTTTTGAGTTGTATTTATTTGGTAATCTTTGAGCTTCCTGTATTTGGAAGCTTTCAGGAAGTTTTCAGTTATTATTTTATTAAATAGGTTTTCTATGCCTTTACCCATCTCATCTCCATCCAGAACTCCCAGAATTTCAGTTTTTGGTCACATATGTGTCCCATATGTCATGTAGCCTTGCTTCATTCTTTTTTCTTTCTTTTTGTCTGACTGGATTATTTTAAAAGACTATTCTTCAGGTTCAGAAATTCTTTGTTTTGCTTGATCTATTCTATTGTTAAAGCTGTCAATTATCTTTTGCATTTCTTTCAATCATTTATTCCTTCCAGGGTTTGTGTTTGGTTCTTTGTTATGCTGCCTATCTCTGTTGAATTTCTCATTCAGATTATGTATTGTTTTCCTGATTTTTTTGTATTCATTATGTGTGTTCTCTTGTATCTCCCTGAGTTTCTTTAATAACATTATTCTGAATTTTTTTCAGGCATTTCATAGATTTTCTTTTCATTGGAATCTGTTGCTGGAGAATTATTGTGCTTCTTTGGAGATGTTATGCTTCCTTTTTCATATTTCTTGCATCCTTATGTGACTATCTGTGCCTCTGACATAACAGTCACTTCTTCCAATTTTATGGATTGGCTTTTATATGGGAAAGACCTTTTCTTATAGCTATATCTACAATGCTCATTGGATATCACACTTTGGCTTTGATTCTGGGTGTGTAGTGGTATAGTCTGCATATGATTTCTTCAGCTGTAATTGGCATGAGTGATGTCTGTGAGTCATTCAGTGGCTTAGACTGTAGTGGGTTTTTGTTGTTGTTGTTGTTTTTGTGGTTGAGATGGAGTCTAGCTCTGTCACCAGGTTGGAGTGCAGTGACACAATCTCAGCTCACTGCAACCTCTGCCTCCCAGGTTCAAGTGATTCTCCTACCTCAGCCTCCTGAGTAGCTGGGACTTCAGGCACGTGCAACCATGCCCAGCTAATTTTTGTATTTTTAGTAGAGACGGGGTTTCACCATGTTGGTCAGGCTGGTCTCAAACTCCTGATCTCGTGATCTACCCATGTCGGCCTCTCAAAGTGCTGGGATTACAGGTCTGAGTCACCATGTCCGGCCACACAGCAGTTGTCATTAGAGGCTGTGATGAGGCTTTGCTGAGGATGGGGATGCCAGGAAGTCTTGTCCTTCAGCATCAGTGGTAGTGGTGGTGGACCAGGTTTGTCAATACTAGGGACCATGTGCAGTGTATATGGGCACTGATGATAGGCTGTCTGCGTGGGCCAAACCCTGGGCCTCCAGGTGGCTTCTTTGGTTGCTGGCAGTGGCAGCACTGGACCAGGTGGGCAGGTGCACCACTGGGCTCCTGGGTGGTGTGTGTGGCAGTCTGATCTCTAGTTCTCCAGGTGATGTGTGCAGGTTCTGGTGGTGGGTAGGCAGGTGTTTCCTCAGGCCTCTCAGTAGTAAGTGTGAGCACTAGCTCTGGAGGCAGTGTGAGTCAATCTCCAGGCCCCCAGATGGTACATTCAGGCACCAGCATATTCCTATGCATTTCTAGATAAAAGTATTTTTCAGAAAACCTGAGCATATGTCCTATTAATACAACTTACCCTCATCAGCTCTGCATGAGAAGAAGGGGGAATTCCCTCAGTAAAACAGTCAGAATGGAATCACAGACTTGTTTTGAGCCAGTCACTGGTAAGGGGGGGTAGGCTAAAATGATAAGCTCAGAATCTAAACCTTAGACTAGGGAATGGCAAACTTTTTCCATAAAGAGGCAAACGGTAATATTTTAGGCATTTGCTCTAGATAACCTCTGTTGCAGTGATGCAGTGCTGCTATCATAGCCTAAAAGCATATGTAGGCAATGCATAAATGAATGGACCTGGTTTTATTCCAGTAAAACTTAATTTATACAAACAGTCAGAGGGCCAGATTTGGCCCTTGGTCTATAGTTTGCCAACCCTGTTTAGAACAGTCACAATTTATTCCCTGGGGCTGGGTCAACTTTTTCTTAAAAAAAAAAAGTTAGCAACCCATCGTCAGAATAAAATAGGGTTACTATTTAAAAACAAGAAGAGGCTGGGTGTGGTGGCTCATGCCTATAATCCTAGCACTTTAGGAGGATGAGGCAGGAGGCCTGCTTGGGGCCAGGAGTTTGAAACCAACTTGGGCAATATAGTGAGACCCTGTCTCTGCAAAGAATAAAAAAATTAGCCAGGCATGGGGGCATATGTCTGTAGCCTTAGCTACATAGGAGGCTGAAGGGGAAGATCACTTGAGCCCTGGATTTTGAGGTTACAGTGAGCTCTGACTGTACCACTTGTACTCTAGTCTAGGCAAAGAGGGAGAACCACCCACCACCCCCCCACAAAATAAAAGGTTGGTTGGGGCGGGTTGGAGAAGAAAGCATTTCTGAATTTCTGGGTAGGTTACTGGTAGTGTCAGGCCAAAAAAGCTCTACAGTCTTATTCATTATATGTAAAGGCAACTAGAAGATCTCCATCTAGCTATTAAAAATTGGTTAAAATCTACAGAGACAAAGGACAGTGACCCTTGTATCAGTTAGTTGTTGTCACAAAATGCTGCATAACAAGTCACTCCAAATCTCAGTGGCTTAATACAACAATCGTTTATTTTCATGGATCTATGGGTCAGCTGAGGATTGGTTAATCTAGCATGAGCATGTCTGGGAAGCTCGACTTTGCTCTTGGTGTCTCTTATCTTCTGCTGGAAGCAGCAGTCTGGCCTGGGCTTGTTCTCATGGTGATAGCAGGAGTGAGACAGCACAAATGAATGCACACTTTCCAAATTTTTGGTCATGCAGATTAATATTCCAGTGGCCAAAGCTAGACACATGACTAAACCCAACATTAGGGGCTGGAGAAATATACTCCGATTCTTCAGTGGGAGGAACTGCAGAGACAAATGACAGAGTCTTGGATACAGGGAGGACATGGATCCATTAATGTACCTTAATCAACCACAACCCTCCAACCACCAATACAATTAAATAAGTATTTGTTGAATGCACTAGTGCCTGAATCCTTCTGGCTGCAGCCCAGGCAATGGGGGGCCTGATGGGGAGGGACCATAGCAGGGACTCGATGTCCTGCAGGTCTGCATGTAATTGTGTACGGCCGACTCCACGTTGGTCATGGCTGACTTGCTTTGTCCTGCGTCCCCAAGGGGCAACGATTGGCTGATTTTATTTCTGAACAATTTTGACAAAGTTGTTTTCAGGAGCCCAGGAAGCAAATCAGTTGTAGATTTGAATTTTGTAGGGGCTCAGAATTGTTGAATATATATATAGTCTTTTACATGCTGATAATTATTTCCATACCACAAAGAAGGCCGGCTATTAGGAGGCTGCTGTTCAATTCCTTTGCCCCGTGAACTCGTGAGCTGTGTCTTTGTGGGGGGGGCACTCACTTGTTAGAGGCGTTTCCCTTCATAATAACGTCAGCCAACATTCTAAATAGATGCAAGAAATTAAATAGTCTTCCCCAGACAGGTACTTTGGCCTTCTAAAGTGAATTACACATTGTAAAATAAAACACAGTCACATTAAAAAAACAAAAGGTCTTTGTGTCAGGTTGGTCTGGCTTCAGCAAAGATAATATTTGCCTCCAGAGTAGAAGATCCTTGGAATCCACAGTATTGCATACGGCAGCCCCACATCTTGTTTCCTTTTCTTTTCTTTTTTTTTTTTTTTGTTTTTAACTAAAAGAGTTGACAATTTTATTTTCACATTTCCCAATACAAATGAAAACTGCATCTTTTTTCGTCCCACTTCTCCCCTCCAAAACTATTCTCTTCGATAGGGCAAGGGGGTAAGTCTTCCTTATGCAGTTAAGAAAAGCCAGCATCACAGGGGCATGATCTCCTGGTGAAGGGAACAGGTAAATATAAAACTCATATAGGCCGGGAACAGTGGCTCACGCCTGTAATCCCAGCACTCTGGGAGGCTGAGGCAAGCGAGTCACAAGGTCAGAGATTGAGACCATCCTGGCCAACATGGTGAAACCCTATCTCTACTAAAATAAATAAAATTAGCCGGGCATGGTGTGCACGCCTGTAGTCCCAGCTACTCAGGAGGCTGAGGCAGGGGAATCACTTGAACCCAGGAAATGGAGGTTTCAGTGAGCTGAGATCGTGTCACTGCCCTCCAGCCTGGGCAGCAGAGGAAGACTCTGTCTCAAAAACAAAACAAAACAAAAAAACCCACAACAATAACAACAAAAAAACAACACTGATGTAATGAGGCCTCCCATCTATCCTTATCTGTCTGGTTGAGTCATTCTGGGCTGACTGGGCACCATCATGAGATGGGCAGGAGGTCTCATCATTGGGCACCCAGGCATCACGGGCATGTGGCCTCCCATGGGCGGCCTCATTCCAGGAGCAGGTCCCACTGGCATCATCCCAGGAGGAGGAGGGCCCATCACTGGCATCATGGGAGGGCTCCCATATGGGGTGCTGCCATCATGCAGAGATGTGCGAGAAGTGTCAAATACACATTAGATTGTGAAGCCTTAATATTAAAAGAAAACAAAGTATTTTGTCAAAGTTAAAATATTTTATACTAGTAGACCTGGTATTTTGGATAGATTTGTTTAAATGTGTGATATTATTCCAATTACCTTCACTTCTTTTGTTTTACTTTTTAAAATGTTGTTACTACAAAATGCAAAAGTAAATATGTGGCTTGCATCATATTTCATCACATTTAGTGTGGACCCTGAGGATCTAGGGGAGTTATGAGCCTTAAGCTGAGGGTGACCCAGGTCAACGTGCATTGCTCTGAAAGAGAAGCAAGGGCATAAAGAGAACGTATAAATGGAGAGAGGGAGCTCAGTCTCTCAGGGTGAGGAAAGGCTTTCTGTCTTACACAGTCTGGCACTTCTTCAAAAGCTTAAACAGAGTTCTGTGACCCAGCACTTCCACTCCAGTTTATGAAAGAAATGAAAATATATGTCCGTGCAGAAACTTGTACACAAATACTCATAGCAGCATTATACATAACAGTGCCAAAGTGAGAACAACACAAATGCTTGTCTACTGATGAGTGGAGAAATAGAACATGGTTTGACCATGCAATGGACTATTATTCAGTCATCAAAAGGAATGAAGTACTAACACGTGCTACAACACGGATGAACCATGAGAATATTATGCTAAGTGGAAGAAACCAGTCACAAAAGGTCACATAAGATTTCATTTATATGAAATGTCCAGAACACGCAAATCTATGAAGACAGAAACCCTGTCTCTACTAAAAATACAAAATTAGATGGGCGTGGTGGCACATGCCTGTAATCCCAGCTACTCGGGAGGCAGGAGAATTGCTTGAACCCAGGAGGTGGAGGTTGCATTGAGCCAAGATTGTGACACTGCACTCCAGCCTGTGACAGAAACTCTATCTCAAAAAAAGTAGATTGTCAGGGCTTAGTGGGAGGAGGAAATGGCACATACCTGCTAATGGATACGGGGTTTCTTTTTGGGGTGATGAAAATGTTTTAAAATTGATCATGATGGTGGTTGCCGAGCTCTGTGAATGCACTGAAACCATTGATTTGTTCACTTTAAATGGGCAAATCATACGGTACCTGAATTATATTGTAATAGTTATATTAAAAAAGTAAAATCTTCCTTGAAGAGATGACACTTAAGGAGAGGCCTAGGGGGTGGGATGAGTTCACTAGGTGGAGAAATGAGGAACAGCATTTCAGGGTGAGGAACAGCATAGTGAAGTCCCTGAGGTTGATAGGCATAGAGCAGATTTAAGGGGCTTTTTTTGTGTGTGTGTGATGGAGTTTCACTCTTGACCCCCAGGCTGGAGTGGAGTGGTGTGATCTTGGCTCATTGCAACCTCTGCCTCCTGAGTTCAAGCGATTTTCCTGCCTCAGTCTCCTGAGTAGCTGGGATTACAGGCGCCCTCCACCACACCTAGCTAATTTTTGGATATTTAGTAGAGATGGGGTTTCACCATGTTGACCAGTATGGTCTCGAACTCCTGATTTCAAGTGATCCACCCGCCTCAGCTTCCCAAAGTGCGGGGATTACAGGCATGAGCCACTGCGCTCAGCCAGATTTAAGGGACTTTCAAGAAGTTTGTGTGGCTGAAGTCTGCAGGGCAAGCGAGAGAATCAGAAAATGAGGCTGGAGAAAGAGAGGGGCTAGGTCATGGAGGGTCTCACATTAGGGTGTTGAAACTTCATAGGAGTGGTCCCACCTTGGGCATCCCACGTAACTACTCTGTCCCCCAGCTTCCCCACTGGTGAAATAAAGGGCTGATGTAGGGATGGAGTGAGATAGTGTGTGCTCAGTAAAGGTGACCTTTTATCATTGTTGTTTCTTTTTTTTTTTTTTTGAGATGGAGTCTCTGTCGCCCAGGGTGGAGCTCAGTGGCACGATCTCGGCTCACTGCAACCTCCGCCTCCCGCGTTCACGCCATTCTCCTGCCTCAGCCTCCCGAGTAGCTGGAACTACAGGCGCCCGCCACCACGCCCGGCTAATTTTTTTGTATTTTTAGTAGAGACGGGGTTTCACCGTGTTAGCGAGAATGGTCTGGATCTCCTAACGTCGTGATCCACCCGCCTCGGCCTCCCAAAGTGCTGGGATTACAGGCGTGATGCCCTGCGCCCGGCCGAGCTTTTATCATTGTTAACCCACACAGCAGTGGGAGCCATTGAAAATGAGTGATCTCTTTGAATGCACCTTCTGAAGTGATTGCTTTGGTCCCTGTGAGGAGTGCAGATTGTCACAGGGCCAGGGGAAAACAGAGGCCAGTCAGTAGGCATTTGCAGTCAAACAGCTGGAGGTGATGGTGGCTTGGTTTATGGTGGTGTCAGGAGAGTGGCTGAGCAGTGAACGGATCTGAGAAAGATTTAGGAGGTAAAACCCACGTGACTTGGTCACTGAATGTGGGTTGGGTGGGCTGGAGGGAAGGTAAGAAAGAATGAGAAGAAAAGCATACGCAGGTGGGCCCTCCAGCCTAAGCTTACTTGAGGTCCCTTTGTGAAGAGGAATGTTTGTGTTGATGATGAAGATGTCTAGACTTTGAAACGCCATTTGCGGTACTTTTTTTTGTTCTTTTTTTTAACAGCCAACAACTCCTCCTTCCCTATGCCCTAAACATATGAATTTTTTTGCCCTAATTTATCAGAGAGGGATGGACGTTCATTTGCTTTAATGAGAAATGCGGAATGCCGTTAAGAAAGCATATTAAATTAATCTGGATTGCTGGGAGGGAGTTAAATCTGTTTAGATGTGCACCAGTGTTACTATAATAGTTTGGTCTAAACCCATTTCTGGCCTGCGGCTGCAGGAGGTTGACTCCCAGCTTGCTTTCATTTGAAAGATCCCAGCAACAAGCACATTTGGCATTTCCAGCCAAACCCACTTTGTGCAGCGAAGGAAAAAGTTGAGGAGTGCCTCTGTTGTTTTCCCCCAAATCATTTGGCAGAAATGTGGCTGGGAGCTTCATTGCTGATGTTTTCAGTTTTAATATTGCTGTGGAAAGCCTGTACCAACACTCAGCCATGTTATTCATCCACATCTCCAGTCTGGGCTGTGATTTGTTTTTCCTTTGAGTGACACAACCTTATTTTCCATTAAGACTCAATGCAAATAGACACTCATGCACCATCACCATCACTCCCCCTGCTTGGCTGAGGGAAGTCAATGGAGTGATTCTAGTTTGGTGTTCATATTGGAGGGTTTTATTTGTTTATTTATTTTGAGATGGAATCTGTCTCTGTCACCAGGCTGGAGTGCAGTGGCACCATCTCGACTCACTGCAACCTCTGACTCCCTGGTTCAAGCGATTCTCCTGCCTCAGCCTCCCGAGTAGCTGGGCTTACAGGCATGTGCCACCATGCCAGGCTAATTTTTTGTATTTTTAATAGAGACGGGGTTTCACCACGTTAGCCAAGATGGTCTTGATCTCCTGACCTCGTGATCTGTCCGCCTCGGCCTCCCAAAATGCTAGGATTATAGACGTGAGCCACTGCGACTGGCCTGGAGTTGTTTTTAAAAGCACGTTTCTCTCAAATTAAAGCCAGGGTGTCCCACTGTGACTTGGGCAAAGGTTTGGATTTTCTGGAGGTGGAAAGTCAAACTTCAAATAGAATTTGGATGCTGGGCACTGTGGCTCATGCCTGTAATCCCAGTACTTTGGGAGGCTGAGGTGGGTGGATCATTTGAGGCCAGAAGTTCGAGACCAACCTGGGCAACATGACGAGACCTCGTTTCTACTAAACATACAATAGTTAGGCGTGGTGGTACATGCCTGTAATCCCAGCTACTTAGGAGGCTGAGGCAGGAGTTATCGCTTGAACCTGGGAGGCAGAGGTGTCCTGTGTCCAAACCCCATGAGGCGTATCAGATGGCTGAAGATAAAATCGGTCACGCTGTGTTGGGATTGGGGTTGCTGTTATCATACCTCATCCCCACCCCTGCTTGGCATCCACAAATAGTCATCTTCAATGAGACATCCCTCCTGCCCCTGGCTGCCTTATTTCATCTGCACCCAACCATATCCATTGCTTGTCAGTGGGTCTCAACCTTGGCTGCACCTTGGAATGTCCTGGGGAGATGAGACAATACCAAGGGTCTCTCTCACTTAGCGTGATGTTTCCAAGGTCCATCCACATGTAGTAGGCACCAGTATTTCCATTGTATGGATACAGCACATTTTGTTTATTCATTCATCAACCAAATGGCCAGCTTGGTTGTTGCTACCTTTTGGTTATTATATATATTACATGATTCCATTTATGTCAAAGGTCCAGAATAGGCAAATCTGTAGAGGCAGAGAGCAGGTAAGTGATTGCCAGGAGCTGGGGGAAAGGGGAGGGGATTGAGAGTGCTCGATGGACACAGGGTTTTTTTGGGGGGGGGCAGGGGGTGTTAATGAAAATGTTTTAGAACTAGACAGAGATGATGATTGCTTAACATTGTGAATGTATTTAATGATACTGAAGTGTACGGTTTCACACAGGGACTGGTATGTTATGTGAATTTTGTCTCATTAAAAAATACTGCTAGGAGCAATGGCTCATGCCTGTAATCCCAGAACTTTGGGAGGCCAAGGCAGGCGGATCACAAGAGGCTGGGAGTTCAAGACCTGCCTTGCCAACATGGTGAAACCCTATCTCTATTAAAAATACAAAAATTAGCTAGTCATGGCGGTGCACGCCGGTAATCCCAGCTACTCAGAAGGCTGAGGTAGGAAAATGGGTTGAACTCAGGAGGCAGAGGTTGCAGTGAGCTGAGATCGCACCACTGCACTCCAACCTGGGTGACAGAACAAGATTCCATCTCAAAAAAAAAAAAAAAAAAAGACACACACACACACAAAATACTGATGCCCATGTTTCATCCCCAAGAGATTCCGTATTAATTGATCTGGGTTGCAGAGCCTGGGCACTGGGGTTTTAAAATCTCCCCAGCTGATTCTGACGTGCAGCTGTGTTTGAGAATCTCCTTCTGGAATGAACTTATTCATGTTTTACTTGTGTTGTTTTCTAGCCTGCCTTTGACTTTCAATTTCCCTTCACGTCTTTGGGGGGTAATTTTTACAATGCAGTCTAACAACCAGCTGCCTCAAAATGCACTGGGATCCCTGGTAACCAGGTAGCTCCCCATCTCCAACTCTGACCTGCCAAGTCAGAATCTTGTGGGTGGGGCCGAGGACTGTACATATTGAAACAGGCAGTCACCTGGGAACTATTTCTGAACACCCCTATGTTTCCCCTGTGTTTGTTTGCCCTTTCCTTTCACATTTGGACCCCTTTGTGTGCTGACCACAGGGCTGTTTCATGGGGACATAGCATAAAAAAGACAGGCCAGGTGCAGTGGCTCACGCCTGTAATCCCAGCACTTTGGGAGGCCGAGGTAGGCAGATCACTTGAGGCCAGGAGTTCAAGATCTGCCTGTCCAACATGACAAAACCCCGTCTCTACCAAAAATACAAAATTAGCTGGGTGTGGTGATGCACGCCTTTGATCCCAGCTACTCAGGAGGCTGAGGCTGGAGAATCCCTTGAGCCCAGGAGGCAGAGACTGCAGTGAGCCGAGATCGCACCATTACACTCCAGCCTGGGTGACAGAGTGAGACTCTTAAAAAAAAAAAAAAAAAAAAAAAAAAACACGGAGATGCTCCTTCCTTTATGGAGCTCTCAGTAAAACAAGAAAGTTCACGATGTCCTGGCATTTGTCAGAAATACATTTGGTATATGTAGCTGGGGTCACATGCTTGACATGCCTATTGAAAGCTTCTGGGTAGGAAGAGAACAATCATCACAGCATCACGGCCTGGTATAACTGTCTCCCAGGACAGGTCTCCCTGGGGAGACTGAGACCACAACTCTGAAATCAGAGCTCAAATCCACGTTCTACATTTCCCTCAGTAATGTACATGATGTAAGACAGTTTTTATATTAGTTATCTGTTGCTGTGCAACAATATTACTGCAAACTTTGTGACTTGAGACAGCACACAGTTATCACTGCACAGTTTCTGTGGGTCAGGAATCCAGGAGTGACTCAGCTGGGTTCAGTGCAAGGCTGCAGCCATAGTGTCAGCCAGGGTTCGGTACTCATCTGGAGGCTTGACTGGTGATTGATCTGCTTCCCATCTCATCTGATTGTTGGCAGCATTCAGTTCCTTGCAGGCTGTTGGACACAGGGCCCCAGTTTCGTGCTGCCCTCAGCTTCTTGCCATATGGGCCTCTCCATCTGGCCGCTCATGACATGGCAGCTCACATCTTCAAAGCCAGCAAGACAGACAGCCTCCTAGCAAGACAACTTAACGTCCTATCTGACGTAATCACTACATCCCGTCACCTCTGCCATGTTCTCTTGGTTATAAGAAAGTCATATAGATCCCTTTGTCAGATGAATAGATTGCAAAAATTTTCTCCCATTCTGTAGGTTTCCTGTTCACTCTCATGGTAGTTTCTTTTGCTGTGCAGAAGCTCTTTAGTTTAATTAGATCCCATTAGTCAATTTTGGCTTTTGTTGCCATTGCTTTTGGTGTTTTAGACATGAAGTCCTTTCCCATGCCTATGTCCTGAATGGTATTGCCTGGGTTTTCTTCCAGGGTTTTTGTGGTTTTAGGTCTAACATATAAGTCTTTAATCCATCTTGAATTAATTTTAGTATAAGGTGTAAGGAAGGGATCCAGTTTCAGCTTTCTCCATGTGGGTAGCCAGTTTTCCCAGCACCATTTATTAAATAGGGAATCCTTTCCCTATTTCTTGTTTTTGTCAGGTTTGTCAAAGATCAGATAGTTGTAGATGTGTGGCATTATTTCTGAGGGCTCTGTACTGTTCCATTGGTCTATATCTCTGTTTTGGTACAAGTATCATGCTGTTTTGGTTACTGTAGCCTTGTAGTATAGTTTGAAGTCAGGTAGTGTGATGCCTCCAGCTTTGTTCTTTTGGCTTAGGATTGACTTGGCAATGTGGGCTCTTTTTTGGTTCTGCATGAACTTTAAAGTAGTTTTTTCCAATTCTGTGGAGGAAGTCATTGGTAGCTTGATGGGGATGGCATTGAATCTATAAATTACCTTGGGCAGTATGGCAATTTTCATGATATTAGTTCTTCCTACCCATGAGCATGGAATGTTTTTCCATTTGTTTGTATACTCTTTTATTTCCTTGAGCAGTGGTTTGTAGTTCTCCTTGAAGAGGTCCTTCACATCCCTTGTAAGTTGGATTCCTAGGTATTTTATTCCCTTTGAAGCAATTGTGAATGGGAGTTCACTCATGATTTGGCTCTCTGTTTGTCTGTTATTGGTGTATAAGAATGCTTGTGATTTTTGCACATTGATTTTGTATCCTGAGACTCTGCTGAATTTTGGTATTTTTAGTAGAGATGGGGTTTGCTGAATGAAGCCCCCAGTCACATACTCTCTGCTTGATCAATCGATCACGACCCTCTCACAGAGACCCCCTTAGAGTTGTGAGCCCTTAAAAGGGACAGGAATTGCTCACTTGGGGAGCTGGATTGTTGGAGATGTGCACCACCATGCCCAGCTAATTTTTGTATTTTTAGTAGAGACGGGGTTTCATCATGTTGGTTGGCTAGGATAGTCTCGCTCTCTTGACCTCGTGATCCACCCACCTTGGCCTCCCAAAGTGCTGGCATTACAGGCATGAGCCACTGCACCCAGCCCAGAGAAGGCTTTTCATACTTGCTTCGCAGCCTCCTGCATGCTACCCCAGCACCAGGCGCTCACCACCTGTGTGCTGGGCTCATCCGTGATCTTCTCTCCCCAGGCCTGCTGTTCCTCGAGAAAGGAAGTTGTGAGAAAGGAAGTTGTTATGGGCAGAATTCTAGGACAGCCCCCAAGAGACCCACTCTCTTATATCTGCTCCCTGTATCACCTCTTCTTCTTGAGTGTGTGCAGAGCTTGTGATTTGGACAAGGGGAAGGAATTTTGCAAATGTGATTATGGTCACACTTGCTTTGTTAAGCACATTTGCTCAGCTGACTTTGAGTTCATCCAAAGCAGGATGACCTTAGGTGGGCCAGACCTAATCAGGTGAGCCTTTTAAAGGTGAACTTTCACAGATTCAACCCTTAGCCTCCAAGGAGACACAAATGGCCATGTTGTGAGCTGTCTTTGGAGGTGGCAGCTCTAGGAGCTAAGGGCCTTCGTTCAACAGTTGCAAGAAATTGAATTCAATCCACAAACTGAATAAGCTTAGAAGAGGACCCTGAGCATCTGAGGAGACCCCAGCTCCAGCTGACACTCTGGTTGCAGTATTGTGACCCTGAATAGAAGACCCAGTTAAACCCTGTCCAGGAAAAAAGATAATAACTGGGTGATGTTTTAAGCTGCTCAGTTTGCACTGGTAAATCCACCAACAGGAAAGTAATATACAAGTTAAGTGGGCCGGGCGTGGTGGCTCATGCCTGTAATCCCAACACTTTGGGAGGCTAAGGAGGGTGGATCACGAGGTCAAGAGATCAACACCATCCTGGCCAACATGATGAAACCCTGTCTCTACTAAAAATACAAAAATTAGCCAGGCGTGGTGGCACGCACCTGTAGTCCCAGCTACTCAGGAGACTGAAGCAGGAGAATCACTTGAACCCAGGAGGTGGAGGTTGCAGTGACCTGGGACCATGGCACTGCACTCCAACCTGGGCAACAGAGAGAGACTCCATCTATCTCAAAAAAAAAATAAATAAATAAATAGAAGTAGTTAAACGAATACTTTTGACCATTGATGGAAGTTGCTTTCATTCCCTCTTACTTAATCATCTTTATCTTAGCCCTGAAAGAGGGATGCTTTAACCCCATTTGTAACAAGTGAGTCTGAGGCCCAGGAAAGTGATAGAATTTAGCAAAATCCACCTTGCTACCTGGTGGCCCCAGCTAGAACTCAGCCCCAGGTCCATATACCTAAAGTCATTACAATATCCACTAAAATTTTGCCCCTCTCTCCATGCCTTTCTCTTTAGAAGCCTGTTCCTTCAAGGATAGATCCCAACCCAGTGTTACAAGGTACTGAACTCTGATTTTCACAAAATAGAGTAACTACCCCCCAAAATTAATAACAGTATTTTTGAGCCGGGCACGGTGGCTCACGCCTGTAATCCCAACACTTTGGGAGGCTGAGGTGGGCAGATCATGAGGTCAAGAGATCGAGAGCATCCTGGCCAACATGGCGAAACCCGATCTCTACTACAAATACAAAAATTAGCTGGGAGTGGTGGTGGGTGTCTGTAATCCCAGCTACTAAGGAGGCTGAGGCAGGAGAATCGCTTGAACCCAGGAGGCAGAGGTTGCAGTGAGCCGAGATTTCACCACTGCACTCCAGCCTAGCAACAGAGCAAGACTCCATCTCAAAAATTAAATCTATTTTTGAGTCCTTATGTGTCAACAACTGGGCTATCCCAACACCAATAGATATTATGATTATGATTATTTTTTCCATTTTATTGATGAGGAAACCAACACATAGAAAGGTAAAGGAACTTGCCAAAGGTGACGGTCACACAGCCAAAGAGCTGTAGAAGCAGTACAGGAATCCCAGCAAACTCACAGCCAAGCTCTGCTTTTCACCTTCACATCATACTGTCCTCAGACTAAAACCCTAACTCTGGCCTTCCGAATCAAAAATCATACTCAAGGCTGGGTGCGGCAGCTCACGCCTGTCATCTCAGCACTTTGGGAGGCCAAGGCAGGTGGATCACCTGAGGTCAGGAGTTCCAGATCAGCCAGGCCAACATGGTGAAACCCCATCTCTACTAAAACTACAAAACTTAGCCAGTCGCGGTGGTGGGTGTCTGTAATCCCAGTACTTTGGGAGACTGGGGCACGAAAATCACTTGAACCCAGGAGGCAGAAGTTGCAGTGATCCATGATCATGCCACTGCACTCCAGCCTGAGCAACAGAGTGAGACTCTATCTCAAAAAAAAAAATAATAATAATAGCTTGGAAGTGCACATATCTTCTCTGAAGGTTGATGGACTACAGTTAGCTTCAAAACACAAATAAGTAACTGCGCTTAAATGAGGCCTTCTGTGTAATAGCTAGGGAAAATCAATGTAGCTATTCATATTTTGGTTCCCTTTCCAGGCACAGAGAAGTTGTCCATGACTCTGTGATCCGTTTTTTCCAATGAACCATGAGCAGGGGCAACTTGAGTCACCTCCAGGTGGAAGTGTTTAGAGGCTCTGTGATCCACCACATTCCCTTTCCCCTGAAGTGGTGATCAAGGACACATGCAGAGATGGGGCTTTTGTCAGCCTGGATCCCTGAGTGAACACAATGAACAGACCACCCCACAATGCCCTAACACAGCCCAGACATTCAACGTGACCAAGAACAAGCCTCACTGTGGCCAGGCATGGTGGCTCATGCCTGTCATCCCAGCACTTTGGGAGGCCAAGGCAGGTGGATCATTTGAGGTCAGGAGTTCAAGACCAGCCTGGCTAACATGGTGAAATCCTGTCTCTACTAAAGTACAAAAATTAGGCAGACAGTAGTGACATGGGCCTGTAATCCCAGCTACTCAGGAAGCAGGAGAATCGCTTGAGTCTGGGAGGCAGAGGTGGCAGTGAGCTGAGATTGTGCCACTGCACTCTAGCCTGGGTGACAGAGTGAGACCCTTTCTCAAAAACAAACAAACAAATACGTCACTGCATGGTGCCACTGAGATTTGGGGATTGTTGTTACTGCACCAGAACCCAAATCATCCTGACCACTAGACTGTCTTAACTAGGGTTTCTTACCAAAAGCAAAGGCATTTTTAAAGTTCGTGACATGTAAACAAAAGAGCACATACCAATATCTGTCACTTTGTCAGGCTAAGAAACCCAAACAAAGCCAACAGTCAGAAGTTAAAAGAAACAGATCATTAGGTTGAAAACAGAACTGTGAAAACAGGCACAATTGACTTCATTTAGTGACTGCAAAGAACATCAGGCAAGACACAGGTGTGGTATATGACACACAGGTGTGGTCATATCATTATGCTTAATTGCACATGTTTGACTAAGAAAAGCACAAAGTATTTAAGCTCATCTGTAGTTCAAACTGCCTATCCGTGTATTTGTCCATTCATCCTGATTCATTTATTGAGCAATTCTTTTGTGCCAGGCACTGTGCTGGGTGCTGGTAATGCAATGATGAAGATGGCAGGCATGACTCTGCCCTCCAGGAGTTTCTAGGATGCTGAGGGAGACAAACAAAAAATAAGTAAATCCATGAAAGAAGTATTGGTGGGACCTGCCCCCAATATTTCAACATAGGTTCTTTCTATTTTCCATAAATGTCAGCCAGCTGAGAAATAAAGAGACAGTACAAAGAGAGGCATTTTACAGCTGAACCACTGGGGGTGACATTACATATTGGTAGGACCATGATGCCCCCTGAGTCTCAGACCAGCAAGTTTTTATTAAGGGTTTCAAAAGGGGAAGGGGTGTAAGAAGAGGGAGTAGGTACAAAGATCACATGCTTCAAAGGGCAAAAAGCAGAACTACTAGTAAGGGTCTAACAAAGATCACATGCTTCTGAGGGAACAGGACAAAGGCAAAAGCAGAACTACTAATAAGGGTCCAGCAAAGATCACAAAGCAAAAGCCAAAAGCAGAACCACTGATAAGGGTCTATGTTCAGCAGTGCACGTATTGTCTTGATAAACATCTTAAACAATAGAAAATGGAGTTCAAGTGCAGAGAACTAGTCTGACCACAAATTTACCAGGGTGGAGTTTTTCCCCACCCTAGTAAGCCTTTGGGTACTGCAGGAGACCAGGGCGTATCTCAGTCCTTATCTCAACAGCATAAGACAGACATTCCCAGAGCGGCCATTTATTGACCTCACCCCAGGAATGCATTCAGTTCCCAGCGTATTAATATTAATATTCCTTGCTAGGAGAAGAATTTAGTTGTATCTCTCCTACTTGCATGTCCGTTTATAGACTCTTTGCAAGAAGAAACATATGGCTCTTATTGCCCAACCCTGCAGGCAGTCAGACCTTATGGTTGTCTTCCCTTGTTCCCTAAGAATCGCTGTTATTCTCTTCTTTTTCAAGGTGCACTGATTTCATATTGTTGAAACACACGTTTTACAATCAATTTGTACAGTTAACAAAATTTTCACAATGGTCCTGAGGTGATGTACATCCTCAGCTTATGAATATAACAGGATTAAGAGATTAAAGTAAAGACAGGCATAAGAAATTACAAAAGCATTATTTGGGAACTGATAAATGTCCATGAAATCTTCACAATTTATGTTCCTCTGCCGTGGCTCCAGCCAGTCCCTCCATTTGGGGTCCCTGACTTCCCACAACAAGAAATAATAAGAGGTTAAGGTGGAGAAGAGCAAGGAAGTCCACTTTATAAAGGGGTCAGGAAAAAGCTCTCTGTGGAAGCACCATCTTAGCTGAGACCTAAAGGATGGTCTAATTTGGGGAGGTGCAGAGGAAAATCATTCCAGGCTGAAGCAGCAAGTGCAAAGGCCCTGTTGTGGAGAAAGGTTTGAAAGTCCAAGGAAACAAAGGAGGCCAGAGTGTCCGAAATAGAGTAGGCCAAGGGGAGGAGACAGGAGAGGGCTGGAGAGGCAGCAGGAACAGGCAGAAGACTCGGGGTCTCGATTTTATTATATGTGCCATGGGCAGGAAAGGCAGAGATGAGACTCAATGGACACCTTAAGATCACTGAAGCTGCCAGGTGGGAAATGGATTGCTGAGCATGGAGAGCAGGTGCAGAGGACCAGTTAAGACCAGTTAGGAGGCTGCTGCTGTAACCCAGCTGGGATAGCTGTGTCCTAGGCAAAGATAACAACAATGAGGATAGAGAGAGTGGACACGTTGGATAAAGTTTAGAATCACGGAACTTGCTGACTGGAGAAGAGGGCAAAAGCAGAGTTAGCACAACACATGAGTTATGACCAGCTTGAGCAGCTCAGCAGGGGGTGGTGCCATTTACAGAACAGAGATGGCATGGACAGAGCCCATGGAGAAGGAGGAGGAAAAAGAGAGTTTGGCTTTGGGTTTTTTTTTTAAGACAGGGTCTCTGGCTCTGTCACCCAGGCTGGAGTGCATTGGTGCAATCATAGCTCTTTGCAGCCTCAAACTCCTGGGCTCAAGTGATCCTCCTGCCTCAGCCTCCCAAGTAGCAGGATTACAGATCCTACAGATGCACATCACCATGCCTAGCTAATTTTTTTTTTTTTTTTTTTTTGTAGATAGGGAGTCCCACTGTGTTTTCCAGGCTGGCTTCAAACTCCTGGCCTCAAGTAATCCTCCCACCTCGGCCTCCCATAGCACTGAGATTACAGCCATCACCTACCACTCCAAGCCATGAGTTTGGCTTTGGATGTAACAAGGTTGAGGTGTTCATGAGTTGACAAGTGGAAAAAACAAGAAAGAAGTTGCGTGTTTAAGACTGCTGTTTGAAGGAGAAGTTTAGCCTCCAGACAAAAGTTCAGGACTCATCAGCTGAGAAATGGCACCGAAAATTATGCAAATGGATGAGCTCAGCTAGCAAACAAGTCCAGAGAGAGCAAAAAGTCCAGAGAGAGCAGCACTGGGCCATGCACCTGGCCTAATGCCACCCCACTCCTCCCAATCCCTGTGTTATGCTGGAGAGGGTTCAGCCTCTGGTGAGTTTCACCAAACCCTCACATCTCTTTCTTCTGAGACCTTCTCTAAGATCCCCTCTTTTATACTTAGTGAAATGGGATTCTCTTTTTCCCATCCAGCTTAAGCAAAAACTTTTGATTATGAGAAGAATGAGGATGCATTTAGTATCTGTTCTGCACAGCTAAGTCCATCAAAGATTTCTCATTATTCACGCCTGGCAGTCTCATTTTCTCCTTTCACCTCTCAGAGCACAGTCGTAGCCTTAATTACTGAGTTTTTCACCCCTCTAACACTAGCGATTTCCCTTATCTCAGTTCTCAGGAAGTTCTGTTCACAGATTTATCTCCTGAATCCTCACCTGGGGATAGAAATTGTTCTCTGTGGCCATGTCTTTCCCTCTAATTCTTATCAAAAAACACAGTGATCTCTGTGCATCAAATATTAAGCTCAAGCTTAACAGATCATGCTTCTGGCTTCTCTCTGTCTCTGGCTTGTGGGTTAACAGGTTTGCAACCTTTGCAGAGAAGCCACCAAATTCTCAGTAGGCCAGAGTTTCCAAGGGTGCTGGTCACTCTTGCTCTTTTTCTCCTGCTGGAAATTCAGCACTAGAGAGTGTTACACCATTGCACCTGCAGAGGAGTTCATCTGACTCCAGGGACTACAGAGGAGGGAGGCGGGTAAACTAACAGGCATTCAGAAAATGGCTACCACAATGGGGAAGAAAATGAAAGTCAAACCAAATAAGCAATGGTCAAAAAAAAAAAAAAATCTAGAGGGCAGCTGCAGTGGCTCACACGTGTAATCCAAGCACTTTGGGAGGCCGAGGCAGGTGGATCACTTGACATCAGGAGTTTGAGACCAGCCTGGGCAACACAGTGAAATCACATCTCTACTAAAAATACAAAAATTAGCCAGGTGTCGTGGTGGGCACCTGTAATCTCAGCATTTTGGGAGGCTGAGGTGGGTGGATCACCTGATGTCAGGAGTTTGAGACCAGCCTGGCCAACATGGTAAAACCCTATTTCTATTAAAAAATACAAAAATTAGCCAGGTGTCATGGTAGGCGCCTGTAATCCCAGCTACTTGGGAGGCTGAGGCAGGAGAATTGCTTGAACCCAGGAGACAGAGGTTGCAGTGAGCAAAGATTGCACCACTGCACTCCAGCCTGGGCAACAGTGAGAATTTGTCTCAAAAAAAAAAAAAAAAAAAAAACCTAGAGATGTCCATCCAGGCTGAAGAGAATATTCCAGAGCAGGGGTTGGGACACTATGGCCCATGGGCCAAATCTGACCTGCCTGCACATGTTTTTCTCAATAAAGTTTTATCGAAACACAGCCATGCCCATTTGCTACATATTGTCTATGATTGCTGGATTAGGCTGTTCTCTCATGCTATAAAGAAATACCTGACACTGGGTTTACTTGGCTCACAGTTGTGTAGGCTGTTCAGGGAACATGACAATGACATCTGCTGAGCTTCTGTGGAGGCCTCAGGAAACTTACAATCATGGCCGAAGTTGAAGTGGGAGCAAGAGAGTGAGGAGGGAGGTGTTACACACTCATAAACAACCAGATCTTGCAAGAACTCACTCACCATTGCAAGGACAGGACCAAAAGCATGATGCTAAATCATTCATGAGAAATGCACCCCCATGATCCAATCTCTTCCCACCAGGCCCCACCTCTAACACTGTTGATTACATTGTAACATGAGATTTGGGTGGGGACACATAATCAACCTATATCAGCTGCTTTCATGCTATGGGTGGCAGAGTTGAGTAACTACTACAGGAGACTGTATGGCCCATGAATTCTAAAATATTTACTATCTGATGCTTTCAAGAAAAAGTTTGCAAACCCTGCTCTTGAAAAGGAAGGGAGGGAAGAGGAGAGGAGGAAGGCAGGAAGGAGCAGAGAGGGACACGGGGCTGTATTCAAACATCTGTTGTTAAGAAAGAGAAATTCAAAGCATCTGGCATGGCCCAAGTTATCAAACTAGGAGCACTCCATTGAAGTTTCAGGACAAACACTGTGCTGAATATAAGGATGACCCCATCTGTAATGCCTAACTTTGTTTTTATTAACTTTGTTCTTAGACTTTCCTTTTCTTTTAATCACTTAGCCTTGTTTCTACCTGAATTGACTGTCTTTTAGCTAAGAGAGCTAGACAGACTTTATCTTGGCTCTTTCACCGGCAGCCCCTTCCCTCAAGGACTTAACCTGTGCAAGCTGACTCTTAGCACATCTAAGAATGCAATTAACTGATAAGATACTGTGGCGAGCAATATCCGCAGTTCCCAGGAATTCGTCCGATTGATAATGCCTAAAGCCCCGCATCTATCACTTTGTAATAGTCTTAAACCCCTTAGACCTAGAACTGTTTACTTTCCTGTAATAATTTATCCTTTTAACTTTTTTGCCTACTTTACTTCTGTAAAATTCTTTTAACTAGACCCCCTTCCCCTTTCTAAACTAAAGTATAAAAGAAAATCTAGCCCCTTCTTCGGGGCCAAGAGAACTTTAAGCATTAGCCGTCTCTTGGCCGCCGGCTAAAGAAACAGACTCTTAATTCACCTCAAAGTGTGGCATTTTCTCTAACTCGCTCAAGTACAACATTTGGAGGCCCGAGCAAGAAACGCCACCAGGCGAGAGCCGGGTTAGCTCCGGGCCTGCTGCGGGCTCCCCCGGAAGGACGGCCGGCTTGTAGCGGGGGCGCCACCTGAAAAAAAATTTTCAGGTCCCCGAAAGGTGACCATCTTCCAAAGGAGAGCGGATCGACTACTGTGTGGGTGCCCACAAAAATTCCACCTCTGAGTCCTCAACTTCTGACCCCAAGGTCAGGTAGGTCAGATCTGACTTCAGTTCTAGTAAGAGGGAAGCGGCCCTGATGAGGGCGTCCCTCTTTTGACTCTGCCCGTTTCTTTAGGACGCTAGAAGGTAGAGCTCTGGTTTTCTGTTAGGCACCTCTGTGTCTCTGTCTAGGAGGGAACTGGCCCTGACAGGGACCCTCTCTTGACTCAGTCCACATCCCAGGATGCTGGAGGACTGAGTCCTGGTTTCTGGCAGGCCAGTCACTCTCTCTCTCTCTTTTCCTATCTCTAGTCTTTCTCTTGTTCAAGTTTCTTGAAGAATCTCCAAGAAAGAAAAAAAAAAACTGTTATAAACTCTGTGTGAATAATGAATGAATGAGGGAGGACAAGGGCTTGCGCTTGTCCTCCAGTTTGTAGCTACACGGTGAAAGCTACGGAGTTCAAGTGGGCCCTCACCTGCGGTTCCGTGGCGACCTCATAAGGCTTAAGGCAGCATCAGGCACAGCTCGATCCGAGGTGGAAGTTTATACCGGCCTGCCAATGCTAAGAGGAGCCCAAGTCCCCTCAGCGGGAGTGGCCAGACAGGCATCTGACTGATACCATCACAGGACCCCCTCCCCTTGTCTGTCTAAAAAAAAAAAAAAAAAAAAAAGGGACAAACTGTCATAACTGTTTACATGCCCTAAAGTCAATTGATTATGTTGCTTGTTCTGTTCAGTGTCTATTGTCTTGTTAGTAGTTGTGAAAGTTTTCATGTCAAGACGGTGATATTGCCCAAGACGTCTAAGTAAAAACTTCTTCAAAGTCCTTAGTGCTGATTTTTTGTCACAGGATGTTAAATTTCTCATCAATCATTTAGGCTGACCACCACAGTCCTGTCTTTTCTGCCAGAAGGAAGTCAAGTGTTGTTACAAGAACAAGTGTGAAAAACATTTTCCTGATTAAGATTTCTAGCACCATGAAAGTTGTAAGTATTTAGATTGTCGTACCCCACGTCCAAGTGATTAGACCTCCTCTAAAGTAAACCAGTAGTAAGTTCAAAACAGCCACCCTGCAGATTTCCTTGCTCACCTCTTTTGTCATTCTGTAACTTTTCCTGTGCCCTTAAATAGAACACTGTGTAAAGAAACGTAAGCCCGTACTGCTTTACTTCGCTTAGATTCTTACTCTGTTCCTCTGTGGCTACTCTCCCATCTTGAAAATGATCTGAGTAGTCCTTTTCTGCCTCATCCCTGCCCCCTACCCCACTCATCTCATTTTCCAGTGCGACAAGAAGTTCAGCATCTCCAGGACTTGGCTCTGCTCTCACTCCTTAAACCCTTAAAAGAAAAAGCTACGTTTAAGCTATTTGCCTTTAAGTCATAAAGACACCAAAAGTATTTAAGGTACAGATCTAGAAGAAGAAGAAGAAGAACGCCTAGATCAAACTGACCTAGAAGATCTCAGGCTGTCTCTAGTCCTCCTCCCTCAATATTAAAGCTACAGTAGTGTAGCAAGTAGTATTAGCTGTTGTAGTTTTTCTGCTCTTTCTAGTGATGTTGATTCTGTTCTTTCAATACTCCATTCCGCCAAGAAATAAGTTTCTCTGTCCATGCTAAGTTTAATATCTATGCTCAAATCTTATTAAATTGCCTTCAAAAAAAAATAAACACTTCCTCCCAGCCTTGTAAAATTTAAAGCCCTCTCCAATGTGTGCTGCAGAATTTTCCTTTCAGTTTCTCAGAGGATTATAAAGACCGCCTTAAAAAAGGCAAGCTCCAGACACTCTGCAAAATAAAATGGCCAAAGTGTAAAGTCAAGTGGCCCCCTGAAGGGTCATTGAACCTCACAAGCTGTGTGGCAGGTTGTTACTAAAAATCCTAGCTACCCTGATCAGTTTCCCTACATTGATCAATAGCTAAGTTTGGTCAGGAGCCCCCTCCATGGCTCCGCTCATGCGCCATTCATAATTCTACCTCCAAGTTCCGCCTGAGCCAGACCGCGTTTTTGCCTCGATCCTCAGCCGGTTCGGCTTCCCCCGTACTGCCTCCCTCTGAAGAAGAGGAGAGTCTCCCTCACCCAGTCCCACTGCCTTACAACCATCCTGCTCCCTTAATGTTATCCCATGTCTCCTCGGGGACGTCCCCTGTAGGCTCGCCACCCATTGCCTCTCAATCGCGACCGCGGCAGGAAGAAGTAGCCCCTCTACTACCACTGAGAGAGTCACAAGTCCCTCCAGGTGACGAGCGCTCAGCCCCCTTCTTAGTTTATGACCCTTTTTCTTCTTCTGTCTTATATAATTAGAAAACCCATAATCCTCCCTTCTCTGAAAAGCCCCAGGCTTTGACCTCTCTGATAGAGTCCGTACTCCGGACTCACCCGCCCACGTAAGATGATTGTCAACAGCTCCTTTTAACCCTTTTCACCTCTGAAAAGAAAGAACGTATCCGAAAAGAAGCCAAAAAGTACTTCCTCACATCAGCCAATAGACTGGAAGAAGAAGCTAGAGACCTCCTTGAGGAGGTCTTTCCGTCTACCCGGCCCAACTGGTACCCAAATTCCTCAAGTAGAAAGAGAGCTTCAGACGATTTTCACCGGTATCTCCTCGCGAGTATTAAAAGAGCCGCTCAGAAACCCATAAACTTGTCTAAGATGACCGAAGTTGTCCAAAGGCCCGATAAGTCACCAAGAACGTTTTTAGAGCGCCTCCAGGAGGCTTATCGGATTTACACCCCTTTTGATCCGGCAGCTCTAGAAAATAGCCGTGCTCTTAATTTAGCATTTGTGGCTCAGGCAGCCCCGGATATTAAAAAGAAACTCCAAAAACTAGAAAGATTTGCTAGAATAAATATCTGTCAGCTTTTAGAAATAGCCCAAAAAGCTTTTGACAATCACAAGGTTAAAAAAACAAAAACAAGCAACACAGGCAGCTGAAAAGGCCGCTGATAAAGCATTCAAAAGACAAACAAAAATCTTAGTGGCGGCTATCCAAGAAGTACAGAATGAAATAGCCCGTTAATTTAGCATTAACTGAAGCCCCTGCTTTAGCCCTCCCTAATATCTCCATAAAAGCCAAGGAGTTGCTAAAGACGTGTTTACTCAGACTCTAAGACCCTAAAGACGCCCAGTGGCCTATTTATCTAAGAGGCTAGATCCTGTGGCCTCTAGATGGCCAAGTTGTCTGCGAGCCATAGCGGCTACAGCAAGCCTAGTCCAAGAAGATGGTAAGTTAACTGTAAGCCAAAATTTAACCCTTACAGCTCTTCAAGCCATAAAGACCTTACTACGAAGTGCTTCTGGCAAATAGATGTCAAATGCTCGCATCTTACAGTATCAAAGTTTACTGTTAGATCAGCCTCGTTTGACTTTCTCTCCCACAAAGTGTTTCAATCCAGCTACACTACTTCCCGACTCAGACTGCACTATTCCTGCTCATGACTGTCAAGAACTGTTAGAAACTATCGAAACTGGCCAATCTGATCTTCAAGCTGTGCCCCTAGAAAAGGCAGATGCCGCCGTGTTCACAGAAGTAGCAGCTTCCTCAAGCAGGAAGTAGGAAAAGCCAGTGCAGTTGTTACCATGGAGACAGATGTGTTGTAAGCTCAAGCTTTACCAGCGAACACCTCAGCACAAAAGGCTGAATTGATCGCCCTCACTCAGGCTCTCCGATAAAGAGTAAACGTATTAACATTTACACTGACAGCAAGTACGCCTTTGCTACTGTGCATGTACATAAAGCCATCTACCAGGAAAGCAGGCTACTCACCTCAGCAGCTAGCTGTGATCCACTGCAAAGGACATCAAAAAGAAAACACGGCCGTAGCCCATAGTAACCAGAAAGCTGATTCAGCAGCTCAGGTCGCAGCAAGACTTTCAGTCACGCCTCTAAACTTGCTGCCCACAGTCTCCTTTCCACAGCCAGATCTGCCTGACAATCCCGTATACTCAACAACAACAAAAAAACTGGCTTCAGATCTCAGAGCCAATACAAATCAGGAAAGTTAGTAGATTCTTCCTGACTCTAGAATCTTCACACCCTGAACTCTTAAAGAAACTTTAATCAGCCACCTACAGTCTACCACCCACTTAAAAAGAGCAAAGCTACCTCAGCTCCTCCGGAGCCATTTTAAGATCCCCCGTCTTCAAAGCCTAACAGATTAAGCAGCTCTCAAGTGCACAACCTGCGCCCACGTAAAAGCCAAACAAAGTCCTAAACCCAGCCCAGGCCACTGTCTCTGAAAAAACTCGTCAAGAAAAAAGTAAGAAATTGACTTTACAGAAGTCAAACCATACCAGGTTAAGGACAAATACCTTCTAGTACTAGTAGACACCTTCTCCAGATCGACTAAGGCATTTGCTACCGAAAACGAAACCACCAACACAGTAGTTAAGTTTTTACTCAATGAAATCATCCCTCAATATAGGCTGCCTGCTGCCATAAAGTCTGATAATAGAGCAGCCTTCACCTCACCTATAGCTCAGTCAGTCAGTAAGGCGTTAAACATTCAATAGAAACTCCATTGTGCCTATCAACCTCAGAGCTCCAGGCAAGTAGAACGCATGAACCACACATTAAAAACACTCTTACAATATTGATCTTAAAAACCAGTGTAAATTAAGTAAGTCTCCTTCCTTTAGCCCTACTTAAAGTAAAGTGCACCCCTTATCAGGCTAAGTTCTCACCCTTTGAAATCATGTATAAGAAGGCGCTGCCTATCTTGTCTAAGCTAAGAGATGCCAAATTAGCAGAAATATCACAAATTAATTTATTACAGTACCTATAGTCTCTCCAACAGGTACAAGAGATCATCCTGCCACTTGTTTGAGGAGCCCATCCCAATCCAATTCCTGACCTGACAAAGTCCTACCATTCGTTCCAGCCAGGAGACCTAGTGTTTGTTTAAAAGTTCCAAAAAGAAAGACTCACTCCTGCTTAGAAAAGACTTCATGACTCCAACTGCTCTGAAAGTAGACGGCATTCCTGCTTAATCACTCCCACATCAAAAAGGCCAACAGAGCCCAGCTAAAAACATAAGTCCCCAGGCCTAAGTCAGGCCCCTTAAAACTGTGCCTAAGTCAGGTGAAGCCATTAGATTCATTCTTTTTATCTACCTCACTTATTTGTTTTTGCCAGTTAGGTCCTCTGTGCCTTCCTACTCCTTTCTCCTCACCTCTTTCATGACAGGATGTGTATTTGCAAACACCACTTAGAAGGCCAGTACCTCCAAGGAAGTCTCCTTTGCAGCTGATTTATGTGTACTGTTCCCAAAGCCAGCCCATACCCACGAAAAGCAACACAATCTGCCAGTCCCAGGAGCAGGAAGTGTCGGCCTTGCAGCAAGATTCAGACACTCCAAGAGCCAAACTAAATGTAGAAGTTCCAAAAGTGTAGAAAAAAGTCTCCAAAATATTGACTTTTACCTCTGTCCTAGAAATCACCCTGACGCTAGCTGTCAAGATGCTCATCAGTTTTTCTGCCCTGGTTAGACATGTGTAACTTTAGCCAGCTACTCTAAAAGATCAACCAGATCTTCAACTGTTTCCATAAGTCCTGCTGCTCATCCTAAATTATGTACTAGAAAAAATTGTAATCCTCTTACTGTAACTGTCCATGACCTTAATTCAACTCAATAGTATCATGGTATGTCACGAAATTAAGATTTTATATCCCAGGATTTAATGTTAAGTCTATGTTCACTGTCCAAAAAACCCTAGTCTCATAAAGTCCACCCAAGCCAATCAGGCCTTTAACTGAACTAAGTAATCCTATGTTCCAGAAATACCCTGAAAAAGTTGATTTAACTGTTCCTCCACCATTCTTAGTCATAAAACATACACTCCAAAATGTGCAAGAAAATCTAGACAAGCGCCAACAAGAACAAGAAAATAACATCTAGTATCAAAGCATGTTCAACTGGAACCCATAGCTAACTACTCTAATTACTAAGTTAGCCGGACCCCCTCCCCATCCTACTATTAAGTCTAATTTTTGGGCCTTGTATATTAAATTAGTGTCTTAATTTTGTAAAACAACGCATAGCTTCTGTCAAACTTATGTATCTGAAGACTCAATATAACCCCTTGTTATAAATGAAGAATCAATGATTTGATTCCCCAAAAAAACAAGTGAGGAATGTAATGCCCAACCTTGTTTTTATTAACCCTGTCCTTAGACTCTCCCTTTCTTTTAATGACCTAGCCTTGTTTCCACCTGAATTGACTCTCCCTTAGCTAAGAGAGCCAGACAGACTCCATCTTGGCTCTTTCACTGGTAGCCCGTTCCTCAAGGACTTAACTTGTGCAAGCTGACTCCCAGCACATCGAAGAATGCAATTAACTGATAAGATACTGTGGCGAGCAATATCCGCAGTTCCCAGGAATTCATCCGATTGATAACGCCCAAAGCCCCACGTCTATCACCTTGTAAGAGTCTTAAAGCCTCTAGACCTAGAACTGTTTACTTTACTGTAACAATACATCCTTTTAACTTTTTTGCCTACTTCTGTAAAATTGTTTTAACTAGACCCCCCTCACCTTTCTAAACCGAAGTATAAAAGAAAATCTAGCCCCTTCGAGGCCGAGAGAACTTTAAACGTTAGCCATTTCTTAGGCGCCGGCTAAATAAACAGACTCTTAATTCGTCTCAAAGTGTAGCGTTTTCTCTAACTCGCTTAAGTACAACACATCCAGCAGGCACGTAATCCACTCTAAAATGCTGTCCTGGGGAAGTGAAGATGATGTTGCCGTAAATATCCTTAAACGGCATGTGGATGAGTTCCCCAGAGGCATACATGTTGAGCTAAATACTTTGTTGATGAAGGGTACAAGTTGAAGGGGTTTTGAAAGGCAGAGTGAGGTTCCTCAGAAGGCTGTTGCTACAGAAAGCCAGGAGGAGAAATTACATGGCCAGATAGAGTGGCATGACCATTGGATAAGAGTTTTTTGTTTGTTTTTGAGATGGAGTTTTGCTCTTGTTGCCCAGCTGGAGTGCAATGGCATGATCTCAGCTCACCGCAACCTACGCCTCCCAGGTTCAAGCGATTCTCCTGCCTCAGCCTCCCTAGTAGCTGGGATTACAGGCATGTGCCACCACGCCCGGCTAATTTTGAATTTTTCCTAGGGACGGGGTTTCTCCATCTTGGTCAAGCTGGTCTTGAACTCCCGACCTCAGGTGATCTGCCCGCCTTGGCCTCCCAAAGTGCTGGGATTACAGGCATGAGCCACAGTGCCTTGGATGAGGGTCTTTAGCAAAGATGGAAGTTTTGGTACCTTGCAGTTTAATCTCTTCATTTATGTCCTCCTGAAATCTTCAGGAATAGCACTATTTTGTCAGTGCTTCTGGGGTCGTACTTGGGGGACTTAAAGGAGATGTGATGTGGCAACCTTTGACTCAAGGGAGTATCATACTAGCTCAAAGAGATCTGGGTACATGCCAGTTGAACCAACTCTTCTGAGGATGTGATAGATCCTGGGAGGCCACTCTGATCCTGCCAACCTTGAGGCCAGATAAGTCCTCGAAAAACACGGTTTGGCTTATCACCAGCACTCAGTCTAACACCCACCATGAATCTTGCTGAAGTGAAGCTATATAAATACCTTTTCAAAAGATTTTTTTCATTCCAGATCCTTCTTAGAAATTCCTAAGGCTCAATGCTGTGTGGAAGATTCTAAGAAAGAAAATAATTTCCGATCTTTGGGATTCCCCTGAGATGGTCCAATACGCAAAAAGTTCATTGCCATTTCCATCAAGGACACTGAGAACAGGAGTCTTATCCGGATTGGATCTTGGGAATTGAGAAGCTTCAGCAGGTGGGAAATGCACCCTCCACCGGCTCAGCCCTTGTGGGCTATTTCAGTTACCTACTGCACCCTAAGATTAGAAACTTTAAACCACCACAAGGCATTATTGCTCATGACCCTGTGAGTTGCATGGGGACTTCCTGTCTGGTTTAACCTGGGCTCATTTATGTGGCTACCTGCAGCTGGAGGGCCAGCTGGGCGGAACATCCAGGAAGGCCTCACGAATGTGCCTGGCAGTTGGTGCTGGCTGTCAGCAGGGGAACATTGTTTTCCTTCATGTGGCCCCCTCACCCTCCAGAGCCCCTCTCCAAATGGCCCTTTAAGCAGGATAGCCAAGGCTTGCTTGGTGCCAGCATCCAAGAGGGCAAAAATATGGAAACTACGAGAGACCTGTCAAGGCCTAAGACTATATGCATCCCAAAAATCTGAGGTCTCAGTTAATTCAGAAAGTTTATTTTGCCAAGGTTGAGGACACACGCCTGTGACACAGCCTCAGGAGGTCCTGACAACATGTGCCTAAGGTGGTAGGGACAGAGCTTGGTTTCATACATTTTAGAGAGACAAGAGACATCAATCAATATGTGTAAGATGTACATTGGTTCAGTCAGGAAAGGTGGGACAACTCCAGGTGAAGGTGAGACAACTCAAAGCGGGGGAGGGGCTTCCAGGTCATAGGTAGTTAAGAGACAAATAGTTGCATTCTTTTGAGTTCCTGATTAGCCTCTCCAAATGAGGCAATCAGATATACTTTTATCTCAGTGAGCAAAGGGGTGACTGAATAGAATGGGAGACAGGTTTGCCCTAAGCAGTTCCCAGCTTGACTTTTCTCTTTAGCTTAGTAACTTTTTTTTGGGAGGGGGGACAGAGTCTCTCTCTGTTGCCCAGGCTGGAGTGCAGTGGTGCGATCTCAGCTCAGTACAACCTCCAACTCCAGGGTTCAAGCAATTTTCCCTGCCTCAGCCTCCCGAGTAGCTGGGGGTACAGGCACCTGCCACCACTCCTGGCTAATTTTCATATTTTTTAGTAGAGATGGGGTTTTGTGAATTTGGCCAGGCTGGCCTTGAACTCCTGACCTCAGGTGATCTGCCCGCCTCAGCTTCCCAAAGTGCTGGGAACTCCTGACCTCAGGTGATCCGCCTGCCTCAGCTTCCCAAAGTGTTGGGATTACAGGCGTGAGCCACCGAGCCCGACCTAGCTTAGTGATCTTGGGGCCCCAAGGTTTATTTTCCTTTCACGGCTAGAAGTTGGTCACCATCACTTTGGCAGCATTCCACTGGCCAAAACAACTCATAGGCAGCCCAGATTCATGTAGAGGAATATAAGCTCTACCTCTTAAAGGAAAGATTGGTTCAGTTACACTGCACGAGCATTTGCAGAAAGTTGTACCCATCTTTGGAAACCACCACACACACACACACACACACACACACACACCTTTACATGCAACCCTCCCTTGAGGTGCATCTATTTCCAGGCAGAAACAAAACTTGACAGTACTTGACAGAAGAAAAGTAGTGTCCTAAATGCCAGTTCTCTTCTTACTCAACTTCAGCCTCATTATATGCAGATTCTTACACAGTTTATCTTCAGAAACATTGTAAATAATCTTTGGAATTTAAGAATTTGAATTCATAGCAGTAGCCTGTGCATAGGAAATATGCATATGGTAAGCTTTTCCTTTCTGATAAATCATGCTGAGGGAACCACAATGTAACTTTTTTTTTTTTTTTGAGACGGAGTCTCACTCTGTTGCCCAGGCTGGAGGGCAGTGGCATGATCTCAGCTCACTGCAACCTCCGCCTCCTGGGTTCAAGCGATTCTCCTGCCTCAGCCTCCTGAGTAGCTGGGATTACAAGCACACAAGATGGGGTTTCACCATGTTGGTCAGGTTGGTCTCGAACTCCTGACCTCTGATCTGCCCACCTCGGCCTCCCAAAGTGCTGGGATAATAGGCTTGAGTCACTGGCCCACGTATACTGTAACTGTATATTGAAAGTTTCTTTTTTTAATAATTAACAGGTTTAACAGAATGTATCTCCTAATCTATTCCTTTCACTGCAGACATCTATTGCCTTTTCAGCCTAGCAGCCCTCCCTTCTATAGAAACTCACACTTCCTACTCCAGTCACTTGGCTCTCATGGGGGCTGCCATGTTCTCACATGACTCTATCCCTCTGGCCTCAGTTGATTTGTCCAGGGATGAGCATCTGGCCTAAATTGGCCAATCAGAATTCTTCCCTTGAATATTTTTCCAAACTGGAACTAGACCAAGTTAATCATTCTCTGTGATGACAGGAACTGTGTGTAGTGAGAAATACAGGAGCTTTTGTGGCCACATTTCTCGCCTTATGGAGAAAAGGCTTGAGTAAGAAGAAATTAAGCCAGGATGCAGATAAAGCTAAAGACAGAGATGGAGAGAGAGATCTTGTGGTAAGCCCCTTGGTTTTTATCATTCTAGTACATGCTTGCTACTGCATACTACCAAGACTTTCACCTGAGGGCTTTCTCAAAATTAGGCATGGAGTATGTCAGAAAAGCCACAGAAGCAGGGCGCAGTGGCTCATGCCTGTAATCCCAACACTGGGAGACCGAGGCAGGTGGATCACGAGGTCAGGAGTTCGAGGCCAGCCTGACCAACATGGCAAAACCCCGTCTCTACAAAAAAATTAGCAGGGCATGGTGGCAGGCACTTGTAATCCCAGCTACTCAGGAAGCTGAGGCAAGAGAATTGTTAGAACCTGGGAAACAGATGTTGCAGTGAGCCCAGATCACACCATTGCAGTCCAGCCTAGGTGACGGGGCAAGACTATGTGTCAAAAAAAAAAAAAAAAAAGAAAAAAAAGAAAAGCCAGAGAGTTAATGCCCTGGGACCAGTCCTCAGCCAGTGATGGACGGGAACCAGGCTATAAATCCTTCAATATCTTTGCGCCCTGGATGGAACAACTTTGAAATGTATTCCACATCACCTCCCAGAGGTCCCCAGTGGGGTCAAATCCTGGTTGCCTGGAGTGGTAAACTGCTCACTGAAGC
This sequence comes from Homo sapiens, assembly GCF_000001405.40. Taxonomy (NCBI): domain Eukaryota; kingdom Metazoa; phylum Chordata; class Mammalia; order Primates; family Hominidae; genus Homo; species Homo sapiens. Next base: position 9,611,391 of record NC_000004.12, read on the forward strand.
CCCCTGTGTGGCCTCCTGCCTTTCCATGAATCATTTCCTCACTCCCCTATTGGTGTTCCCTGGAATCATCTCCTAAATAAACAACTTGCAATCCTGTCCCTCTTTGAGCATCTGCTTGGGGTTGGGGTTGGGGAGTGCAGACCAAAACATGATCTCTTTTCCACTCCACACTAGTAAGATGAGTTTCTGTCACTGGCAAACGAGTTCTGACTATTACCTCCTTCTGAGATGATAATTCCTAAAATGTATTTGGGAATTTCCCCACCTCCACCCCACTGCCTATGTCATCAATATGTAGATTTCTTAAAGTTTAATGGTATTCTCTTATCAACCTCAAGTTTCACAAAACACTGCACTTTCATAAGGTATCCCCATGACTGACAGATCGGCCGTTCAAAAGAAGAGAAGTGTCAGAGATGGCTCTGCTAGACTCACTTATTTTTCAATAGAATCTGGGTTAGGATGGTGTGGTTGGGAGATGCTTCTGGAACTCTGGGACCCACAAGCCTGCGTGTTGCATGGTGGAGTATTAGGACAACTTTAAAACAGTGGCAGGTGGAGGCTTCCTCCCTCCCTGCAGTTCATCCTCCACCACACCCAACGTGCTTAATAGATATTAAATGAATAATGGGGCTGGGCATGGTGGCTCACGCCTGTAATCCCAGCACTTTGGGAGGCTGAGGCAGGTAGATCACCTGAGGTCGGGAGTTCAAGACCAGCCTGGCCATAGAGGCAGGAGAAGCACTTGAACCTGGGAGGCAGAGTTTACAGCACGCTGAGATGGCACCACTGCACTCCAGCCTGGGGGACAGAGTGAGACTCAAAAAATAATAATAATAATGATGATGGATTTATTCCTTCCAAACTGCAACTCACCAAAAGAAGACCAAGACGCATCACAATGTTGTGGCCACAATCACCACAGTGACGATAATGAATATAATCTACTCTTGAGCCAGCCACCTCCACTAAACCCAGCGGATCGCATCTGGTGTTTCACTTCGGGGATGTTTTAGTGGTCGTGGTAGATGGTTGCCTGACTGCTGGCTGTTTCTACTGTGTTTCAGGAATATAGAGATGTATACGGATGACCTCTAAATTAATTAGTGTGCAATTCTCAAAGAGCCAAACTCTACCCCAAAAGCTATTGGAATGAAAAAAAAAAAGTTTTAATTCTCAAAGAGACAAACTAGATAGTAAAAGCATTTATGTTCCCTTGGAGAATCTTCCCACCAAGGACTCAAAGTTGTCTCCAGACCAAGGAATGCCTGGGGCCTTGGACATTTCCAATTCTGGTATCACCTCCCATTCTCCTTTAGGTCCAGTTTTCTCAGAGGAGCATACGTTGTTCATTGCCACCAAGGGTATCCAAGGACACAAACTGAAGATAATAGTGCTTTCTTCTCTCTCAGTCATCTGTCTCTCCCACATGCTGGAAGGAGAGCCAAGTCCAATTTATCCAATTACAAAATAGGAATATTGGCATCATGAGATCAGCTAACAAAACTTTCAGAGGCAATCTATTTTCCTACCAAAAGTAACCAACATCTGTGGAGCACTTAGCAGGACTAAGGGTCAACATAAGTGGTTTGCATGCTGCATGTGTCAGGATGGACTAGGTTATGCTGCAGTAACAAATTAACCCCAGAGTCTCAGCAGCTTAGCAACCAAGGTTGATTTCTTACATTCCATGTCCACAATGGGTTGGCTGGGTATGGTGTGCTCCATATGGACACTCAATGATGGAAATTCTACCATTTAATGCAAGGATTCTCCCATAGTTACTGCATCAGGAGATGAGAGAATGAGATAGTTATTCTCAAGCCCTCAAAAGCTGTAGGCTAGAGGTGATGTCAGTGACTTCCACTTATAGAGCACTGGACCCTGGCATGGATCCATCTAACTATTGGGGGAATGGGGAATATGGGGAGCACATGGAAATCCCATGAGCAGTAACCATTCCTGCCAGCATGTATTATTTCATCTGAACCTCATAACCCCATGGAATATAGAACAGAGGCTTGGAGAGTGATGGGAGCTGCCCCAAGGCGTCACAGAAAATGAGTTGCAGAGCTGAGATGTGACCCTCGGCCTGGCAGGATTCAAACCACTATGCTGCATACTCATCACAAAATTCTATGAAATTCCTCATACAGCAAAACAGCACACCAAGTGAAAAGAAAGCCAAGTTGTGCAAATACACAACAGAACTCCCCTGACACTTCACCTCCTCACCCAGCCCACCCCCACCGAAAGAATCAACCTACGCAAATAACTGGAACGAAATTCTCAGGCAATTTCAGCAGGGGAAATAGGGTTATCTCATCTGGGTGTCACATCCGACCTCGTCAAGACAAGACCTTCCCTAAACTTCACCTGAACACCCGGACACACCGTCATGTCTTGCCGCTTCTTGTTACTGGAAATCCAATGATGACGTCTTTATACAACTTCCAGGTCTTTCTATAAGTGCCAAGATAAATGTCATCCCTGTACCTGCATATCATTCAGAGGTAGGCAAGCTTCTATGTAAAGTGCTAGATAGTAAATACTATCAGCTTTGCAGGACTCATCTGATCTCCATCGTATATATTTTTTTGTTTTTGTTTTACAATGTTTTTTTCTGTTTAGATAGGGTCTAAAAAGAAAATAAAACTTATCCATGCTGTGATATGGATGAACGTTAAAAACATGCTGAGTGAAAGAAGCAGACATGAAAGGTCATATATTGTACAATTCCATTTATATGCAATGTTCAGACTAAGCCAATCAACAGAGATAGAAAGTAGATGAGAGGTTTCCAGGGGCTGCAGGAGGGGGTATGCAGAGTGACGGCTGAATGGATATGAGGCTTCCAATTGAAGTGTTGAAAAAGCTCTGAAACTAGGTAGTGGTGATAATTGCACAACATGATAAATGTACAATATGTCACTGAATTGTACACTTTCAGATGCACAAAATGGTAAATGTTGCATATATTATACCACAATTTTATTCTTTTATTTTATAGATAGAGTCTCACTCCATCACCCAGGCTGCAGTACAATGGCACAATCATAGCTCACTGCTGCCTTTACCTCCTGGGCTCAAGCAATCCTCCCACCTAGTCTTCCAAGTAGCTGGGACTACAGGTGAACGCTACCACACCCAGGGTTTTTAATTTTTTTATAGAGTCACATTCTCACTATATTGCCCAGACTGGCCCAAACTCCTGTCTTGAAGCGATTCTCTCATCTCAGCCTCCCAAAGTGCTGGTATAACAGGTGTAAGACATCACGCCAGGCAATTTTTAATTCTTATGTGAAATTTTCAACTAATAAATTCCTAGGATGAAGAAAATGTTGATTCACATGGGGATTAGAGGAAAAAATAATTTTAAACAAGAGAAAAATTAAATGAGATGATGTATATGTGTACAGTGCCTGGCCTCATGATCACTGAGTCCACTACAGCTTTTTTTTTTTTTTTTTTTGAGACAGGGTCTCACTCTGTCACCCAGGCTTAGTACAGTGGCGTAATCACAGCTTACTGCAGCCTCAACCTCCTGGGCACAAGTGATCCTCCCACCTCAGCCTCTCAAGAAGCTGGGACTACAGGTGCACACAACCACACCCAGCTATTTTTGTTGTTGTTGTTGTATTTTTGGTAGTGGCAGGGTCTCACCATGTTGCCCAGGCTGGCATCTTGAACTCCTGGGCTCAAGCGATCCTCTCACCCCAGCTTCCCAAAGTGCTGGGATTACAGGTGTGAGCCCCTATGCCCATCCTGTTGTAGCTATTTTAATAGTGCTGGTGAACAATAATTTGCTCTCCCTATAAAAACAGGACATACTAAGCCAAGGAAAGCACCAATCTAGTTTGTTCTCCCCAGATCTTCAAAATGTTGGAATTAGTATGAGTCGAAAATATTTCACATGGTTTGATTTATTTATTTATTTATTTATTTATTTTTATTTATTTATTTTTTTTTTTTGGAGACAGAGTCTCATTCCATCGTCCAGGTTGGAGTGCAGTGGCACAATCTCAGATCACCACAACCTCCGCCTCCCGGGTTCAAGCAATTCTCCTGCCTCAGCCTCCCAAGTAGCTGGGATTACAGACATATACCACCACGCCCTGCTAATTTTTGCATTTTTAGTAGACATGGGGTTTCTCCATGTTGGCCAGGCTGGTCTCGAACTCCTGACCTCAAATGATCTACCCGCCTCGGCCTCCCAAAGTGCTGGGATTACAGGTGTAAGCCACCATGTCCGGCCAGTTTGATTTTTTATTGTGGTAAAATACATACAAAATCTATTATTTTAGCCATTTTCAAAGGAAAAATTCAGTGGTGTTAAGTGCATCCACCACATTGTACAGCCATGTCCCCCATCCATCTCCAGAACGCTTTCATCCTGTCCTGCAAATATGCGGCACCTTGCTACACTCCGGGTTGTTTGTCCCACAACAGAGTTGGGCCGAATTATTAACGTGGACTTTGTTCAACAACGGACTAAAGACGGAGAAGCCCATGAACTCTGTGAGGAGTGCATAACAGGTGCTCGTGGGATGACAGGGCTCAGGGCCCTCCAGCTGCTGCTGCTGCTGCTGCCGCCTGTCCTACTGGGCGGCCACCCCGTCCCAGGGAGGAAGAGCACACACAGCTGCTGCTGATCTCCTTCCAGGGCTTCCGCTGGGACTAGGATCAGGAATATGCACACCCCCAACCTGGACCGTCTGGCCAGGGAGGGTGTCAAGGCCCAGTACCTCATGCCGCCCCTTGTCACGATGACCTCCCCGTCCCACTTCACCGCCATCCCGGGTAAGCGCCACTCTGCCCATTTCACCCAATACCCATCAAAGCCCCAGTGCCCGTCATTCCCGGAATAAGAAGCAGAGCTCGGTCAGCTCTAGGGAGGCTGAGGCGGCTCCGGGGTCTCACTCTGTTGCCCAGGCTGTAGCTCAATGGCATAGTCACAGCTCAGTGGAGCCTCAAACACCTGGTCTCAAGCAGTCCTGCCTACCTCAGGCTCCCCAGTAGCTGGGGATACAGACCAACCACCGTGCCTAATTTTCTCACTTTTTTAGAGATTGGGGCAGGGGTGTCTCACTATGTTGCCTAGGCTGATTGTGAACTCCTGGCCTCAAGCGATCATCCCGCCTCAGCCTCCCAAATTGCTGAGATTAGAGAAGTGAGCTACCGTGCCTGGCCTGATCTTTTTTAAAAAAGTAAATAAGGTCAGGCATGGTGGCTCACCCCTGTAATGCCAGCATTTTGGAAGGCTGAGGTGGGTGGATCACCTGAGGTCAGGAGTTCAAGACCAGCCTGGCCGACATGGTGAAACGTCATATCTCCTAAAAATACAAAAATAAGCTGGGCGTGGTGGCAGACGCCTATAACTCCAGCTACTCGGGAGTCTGATACGGGAGAATCACTTGAACCCAGGAGGTGGAAGTTGAAGTGAGCTGAGATCATGCCATTGCACTCCAGTTTGGGCAGCAGCACAAGATTTTGTCTCAGAAAAACTAATAAAAGTAATAAAAATAAAAAGGTAAATAATTAAAATCACTTTTAAAGAACTGTATAAAAATAATAAAACATTGACATTTACAGAGCTCAGTTAGATGAGGTGACTCATACACTCCAATGGTGTCCTGGTTCTCTTACATGAGAATTCAAATGTCTTTCTGTGGCCCAAAAGATCCCACACAGCCTGGCCTCTAGCCCATCTTCTGCCAGCCTCTCTCATCTCTCTCCCTCTCCTTCACTTCCCCCCAGATCACAAAGGCCTTTTGCCTGTGCCTTCTGCCCTGCTCCCTCCAGCCCCAGGGACTTGGCCTGTGCTAGTCCAGTCCCTCCAGCTCACCAGGAGCATGCAGTCCAGTCGGGGAGACAGACACCAGACACCCTAACAGGCACATACATCCTATGACAGCTCGGGAGGTACCAAGGAGGAAAATGAGTTTTCCAGGCACAGACTACAGGGGTAAACTGGCTTCAACCTAGAGAGGGAGAAAGGGGCTCTCACAGCATGAGGCAGTTGAGCTGAAAGAGATCTCAGGGGACCAGAGCAAGGAAAAGTGTTCCAGGCAGAGGGAACAGCATGTGTGAGGTCTCTGAGACAAAGACCTGGTCATTTCAGATTCCCAGTGGCCACTAAAATAGAGGGATTCCGACCTAAAAAGGAGGGAGAGGAGGCTGCTGGAAAGCAAAGGACTCTGTGTAGGAATCATAATAGTGGGGGTGGAGCCAAGATGGCCAAATAGGAAGAGCTCCAGTCTACAGCTCCCAGCATGAGTGACGCAGAAGACAGGTGATTTCTGCATTTCCAAATGAGGTACTGGGTTCATCTCAGTGGGGAGTGTCAGAAAGTGGGTGCAGGACAGTGGGTGCAGCACACTGAGTGTGAGCCCAAGCAGGGTGAGGCATTGCCTCACCCAGGAAGCACAAGGCATCAGAGAATTCCCTTTCCTAGTCAAAGAAACAGGTGACAGACGGCACCCAGAAAATCGGGTCACTCCCACCCTAATGCTGCACTTTTCCAATGGACTTTGCAAACAGCACACCAGGAGATTATATCCCGTGCCTGGCTCAGAGGGTCCTAAACCCATGGAGCCTCACTCATTGCTAGCACAGCAGTCTGAGATCAAACTGCAAGGCAGGAGCAAGGCTGGGGGAGGGGTACCCGCCATTGCCTAGGCTTCAGTAGGTAAACAAAGCAGCTGGGAAGCTCGAACTGGGTGGAGCCCACTGCAGCTCAAGGAGGCCTGCCTGCCTCTGTAGACTCCACCTCTGGGGGCAGGGCATTGCCAAACAAAAGGCAGCAGAATCCTCTGCAGACTTAAATATCCCTGTCTGACAGCTTTGAAGAGAGTCGTGGTTCTCCCAGCATGCAGCTGGAGATCTGAGAATGGACAGACTGCCTCCTTAAGTGGGTCCCTGACCCCCAAGTATCCTAACTTGGAGGCACCCCCTAGTAGGGGCAGACTGACACCTCACATGGCCGGGTACTCCTCTGAGACAAAACTTCCATAAGAACGATCAGACAGCAACATTTGCTGCTCACCAATATCCACTGTTCTGCAGCCTCCACTGCTGATACACAGGCAAACAGGGTCTGGAGTGGACCTCCAGCAAACTCCAGCAGACTTGCAGCTGAGGGTCCTGAGTGTTAGAAGGAAAACTAACAAACAGAAAGGACATCCACACTAAAACCCCATCTGTACATCGCCATCAAAAAAGACCAAAGGTAGATAAAACCACAAAGATGGGGAAAAAACAGAGTAGAAAACTGGAAACTCTAAAAATCAGAGTGTCTCTCCTCCTCCAAAGGAACGCAGCTCCTCACCAACAATGGAACAAAGCTGGACACAGAATGACTTTGAAGAGTTGAGAGAAGAAGGTTTCAGACGATCAAACTACTCTGAGCTAAAGGATTAAGTTCAAACCCAGGGCAAAGAAGTTAAAAACCTTGAAAAAAAATTAGATGAATGGCTAATTAGAATAACCCTTGCACAGAAGTCCTTAAAGGACCTGATGGAGCTGAAAACCATGGCACAAGAAATAAGTGACGAATGCACAAGCCTCAGTGGCCGATTCAATCAACTGGAAGAAAGGGTATCAGTGATGGAAGATGAAATGAATGAAATGAAGCAAGAAGAGAAGTTAAGAGAAAAAAGAATAAAAATAAATGAACAAAGCCTCCAAGAAATATGGGACTATGCGAAAAGACCAAATCTACATCTGATTGGTGTACCTGAAAGTGACAGGGATAATGGAACCAAGTTGGAAAACACTCTGTAGGATATTATGCAAGAGAACTTCCCCATTCCAGCAAGGTAGGCCAACATTCAAATTCAGGAAATACAAAGAATGCCACAAAGATACTCCTCGAGAAGAGCAACTCGAAGACACATAATTGTCAGCTTCACCAAAGTTAAAATGAAGGAAAAAGGTCGGGTGCAGTGGCTCATGCCTGTAATCCCAGCACTTTGGGAGGCTGAGGCATGTGGATCACAAGGTCAGGAGATTGAGACCATCTGGTTAACACGGTGAAACCCCATCTTTACTAAAAATACAAAAAATTAGCCAGGCATGGTGGTGGGTGCCTGTAGTCCCAGCTACTCATGATGCTGAGACAGGAGAATGGCGTGAACCCAGGAGGAGGAGCTTCCAGTGAGCTGAGATCGTGCCACTGCACTCCTGCCTGGGTGAAAGAGAGAGACTCCATCTTAAAGAAAAAAAAAAAAAAATGAAGGAAAAAATGTTAAGGGCAGCCAGAGAGAAAGGTTGGGTTACCCACAAAGGGAAGCCCAACAGACTAACAGTTGATCTCTCGGGAGAAATTTTACAACCCAGAAGAGAGTGGGGGCCATTATTCAACATTCTTAAAGAAAGAATTTTCAACCCAGAATCTCATATCCAGCCAAAGTAAGCTTCATAAGTGAAGGAGAAATAAAATACTTTACAGACAAGCAAATGCTGAGAGATTTTGTCATCACCAGTCCTGCCCTACAAGAGCTCCTGAAGGAAGCACTAAACATGGAAAGGAACAACTGGTACCAGCCACTGCAAAAACATGCCAAATTGTAAAGACCATTGAGGCTAGGAAGAAACTGCATCAACTAGCGAGCAAAATAACCAGCTAAAATCATAATGACAGGATCAAATTCACACATAACAATATTAACCTTAAATGTCAATGGGTTAAATTCTCTGATTAAAAGACACAGACTGGCAAATTGGATAAAGAGTCAAGATCCATCAGTGTGCTGTATTCAGGAAACCCATCTCATGTGCAGGGACACACATAGGCTCAAAATAAAGGGATGGAGGAAGATCTACCAAGCAAATGGAAAACAAACAAAAAAAAGGCAGGGGTTGCAATCCTAGTCTCTGATAAAGCAGACTTTAAGCCGACAAAGATCAAAAGAGACAAAGAAGGCCATTACATAATGGTAAAGGGATCAATTCAACAAGAAGAGCTAACTATCCTAAATATATATACACCCAATACAGGAGCACCCAGATTCATAAAGCAAGTCCTTAGAGACCTACAAAGAGACTTAGACTCCCACACAATAATAATAGGAGACTTTAACACCCCACTGTCAACATTAGACAGATCAATGAGACAGAAGGTTAACAAGGATATCCAGGAATTGACTCAGCCCTTCACCAAGCAGACCTAATAGACATCTACAGAACTCTCCACCCCAAATCAACAGAATATACATTCTTCTCAGCACCACAACACACTTATTCCAAAATTGACCACATATTTGGAAGTGAGGCACTCCTCAGCAAATGTAAAAGAACAGAAATTATAACAAACTGTCTCTCAGACCACAGTGCAATCAAACTAGAACTCAGGATTAGGAAACTCACTCAAAACCACTTAACTACATGGAAACTGAACAACCTGCTCCTGAATGACTACTGGGTACATAACAAAATGAAGGCAGAAATAAAGATGTTCTTTGAAACAAATGAGAACAAAGACACAACATACTAGAATGTCTGGGACACATTCAAAGCAGTGTGTAGAGGGAAATTTATAGCACTAAATGCCCACAAGAGAAAGCAGGAAAGATCTAAAATTGACACCCTAACATCACAATTAAAAGAACTAGAGAAGCAAGAGCAAACACATTCAAAAGCTAGCAGAAGGCAAGAAATAACTAAGATCAGAGCAGAACTGAAGGAAATAGAGACACAAAAACCCTTCAAAAAATCAGTAAATCCAGGAGCTGGTTTTTTGAAAGATCACCAAATTGATAGACCACTAACAAGACTAATAAAGAAGAAAAGAGAGAAGAATCAAATAGACGCAATAAAAAATGATAAAGGGGATATCACCACCAATCCCACAGAAATACAAACTACCATCAGAGAATACTACAAACACCTCTACACAAATAAACTAGAAAATCTAGAAGAAATGGATAAATTCCTCGACACATACACTCTCTCAAGACTAAACCAGGAAGAAGTTGAATCTCTGAATAGACCAATAACAGGCTCTGAAATTGAGGCAATAATAGCTTACCAACCAAAAAAAGTCCAGGAACAGATGGATTCGCAGCCTAATTCTACCATAGGTACAAGGAGGAGCTGGTACCATTCCTTCTGAAACTATTCCAGACAATAGAAAAAGAGGGAATCCTCCCTAACTCATTTTATGAGGCCAGCATCATCCTGATACCAAAGCCTGGCAGAGACAAAACACAAAAAGAGAATTTTAGACCAATATCCCTGATGAACATCAATGCAAAAATCCTCAATATAATACTGGCAAACCGAATCCAGCAGCACATTAAAAACTTATCGACGATAATCAAGTGGCCTTCATCCCTGGGATGCAAGGCTGGTTCAACATACACAAATCAATAAACATAATCCAGCATATAAACAGAACCAATGACAAAAACCATATGATTATCTCATTAGATGCAGAAAAGTCCTGTGACAAAATTCAACAACCTTCATGCTAAAATCTCTCAATAAAGTAGGTATTGATGGGACGCATCTCAAAATAATAAGAGCTTTCTATGACAAACCCACAGCCAATATCATACAGAATGGGCAAAAACTGGAAGCATTCCCTTTGAAAACTGGCACAGGACAGGGATGCCCTCTCTCACCACTCCTATTCAACATAGTGTTGGAAGTTCTGGCCAGGGCAATTAGGCAGGAGAAGGAAATAAAGGGTATTCAGTTAGGAAAAGAGAAGTTAAATTGTCCCTGTTTGCAGATAACATGATTGTATATCTAGAAAACCCCATCATGTCAGCCCAAAATCTCCTTAGGCTGATAAGCAACTTCAGCAAAGTCTCAGGATACAAAATCAATCTGCAAAAATCACAAGCATTCTAATACACCAATAACAGACAAACAGAGAGTGAAATCGTGAGTGAACTCCCATTCACAATTGCTTCAAAGAGAATAAAATACCTAGGAATCCAACTTACAAGGGATGTGAAGGACCTTTTCAAGGAGAACTATAAACCACTGCTTAATGAAATAAAAGAGGATGCAAACACATGGAAGAACATTCCATGCTCATGGGGAGGAAGAAGCAATATCGTGAAAATGGCCATACTGCCCAAGGTAATATAGATTCAATGCCATACCCATCAAGCTACAAATCACTTTCTTCACAGAATTGGAAAAAACTACTTTAAAGTTCATATGGAACCAAAAAAAGAGCCTACATTGCCAAGCCAATCCTAAGCCAAAGGAACAAAGCTGGAGGCATCATGCTACCTGACTTCAAACTATACAACAAGGCTACAGTAACCAAAACAGCATGGTACTCATACAAAAAAAGAGATATAGACTAATGGAACAGAACAGAGCCCTCAGAAATAATTCCACACATCTACAACTATCTGATCTTTGACAAACCTGACAAAAACAAGAAATGGGGAAAGGATTCCCTATTTAATAAATGGTGCTGGGAAAACTGGCTACCATATGGAGAAAGCTGAAACTGGATCCCTTCCTTACACCTTATACTAAAATTAATTCAAGATGGATTAAAGACTTAAATGGTAGACCTAAAACCATAAAAACCCTAGAAGAAAACCTAGGCAATACCATTCAGGACATAGGCATGGGCAAGGACTTCATGCCTAAAACACCAAAAGCAATGGCAACCAAAGCCAAAATTGACAAATGGGATCTAATTAAACTCCAGAGCTTCTGCACAGCAAAACAAACTACCATGAGAGTGAACAGGCAACCTACAGAATGGGAGAAAATTTTTGCAATCTACTCATCTGACAAAGGACTAATATCCAGAATCTACAGTGAACTCAAACAAATTTACAAAAAAAAAAAAAAAAAAAAAAAAAAAAAAAAAAAAAACAAACAACCCCATCAACAAGTGGGCAAAGGATATGAACAGACACTTCTCAAAAGAAGACATTTAAGCAGCCAAAAGACACATGAAAAAATGCTCATCATCACTGGCCATCAGAGAAATGCAAATCCAAACCACAATGAGATACCATCTCACACCAGTTAGAATGGCAATCATTTAAAAGTCAGGAAAAAACAGGTGCTGGAGAGGATGTGGAGAAATAGGAACACTTTTACACTGTTGGTGGGACTGTAAACTAGTTCAACCTTTGTGGAAGTCACTGTGGTGATTCCTCAGGGATCTAGAACTAGAAACACCATTTGACCCAGCAATCCCATTGCTGGGTATATACCCAAAGGATTATATATCATGCTGCTATAAAGACACATACACACGTATGTTTATTGCGGCACTATTCACAATAGCAAAGACTTGGAACCAACCCAAATGTCCAACAATGATAGACTGGATTAAGAAAATGTGGCACATATATACCATGGAATACTATGCAGCCATAAAAAATGATGGGTTCATGTCCTTTGTAGGGACATGGATGAAGCTGGAAACCATCATTCTCAGCAAACTATTCCAAGGACAGAAAACCAAACACCACATGTTCTCACTCATAGCTGGGAATTAAACAATGAGAACACATGGACACAGGAAGGGGAACATCACACACGGGGGCCTCTTGTGGGGTGGGGGGAGGGGGAGGGATAGCATTAGGAGATATACCTAATGCTAAATGACGAGTTACTGGGTGCAGCACAACAACATGGCACATGTATACATATGTAACTAATATACATGTTGTACACACGTACCCTAAAACTTAAAAGTGTAATAAAAAAAATCATAATAGCTTCCATTCCTCAAACACAGGCTTGGTGCTGGCACTGTGTGAAGTCCTTCACTTTCGTGATCTCTGATACAAGGCGATAGCAGAGTCAGTGTCCCATTCTACAGATCAGAAAACTAAGGTTCAGAGATGCTGAACAGGCTGGGTGCAGTGGCTCATGCCCGTAATCCCAGCGTTTTGGGAGGCCGAGGTGGGCGGATCATCTGGAGTCAGGAGCTCGAGACCAGCCTGGCCAACATGGCAAAACCCTGTCTCTACTAAAAATACAAAAAGTAGCTGGTTGTGGTAGTTCATGCCTGTAATCCCAGTTACTTGGGAGGCTGAGACAGGATAGTCGCTTGAACCCGGGAGGTGGAGGTTGCAGTGAGCCGAGATCATGTCACTGCACTCCAGCCTGGGTGACAGAGCAAGACTCTGTATCAAAAACAAAAAAAAAAAACAAAAACATGCTGAATAACTGACCAGTTGCTCTGCTAGAAAGTAGGGAAGACAGACTTGGAATTGGGGCGTCCCTGGCCACACGGAACTGGTTCTACCTGCTTTTCTGAGCCTGGAAGTCCCCCTTAGGCAGTGCACCTCAGAGAAAGGTGAGGCAAGACAGAGTGCCTGATGGCATGAGCCTCACTCCTATCCAGACAGCCGCTTCTTCAGGGGCCCAGGAAATCTTCTGGAACCTTGGAGATTCCAGGCAAATTGCAGGTGCGTTCTTCTGGGGAGAGGGTTTATCACTTTCATCAGACTCTCAAAGGCGTCCTCGAATCAGAAACTTTAAAAATAGGCTGGGTGCGGTGGTTCGCACATGTAATCTCAGCACTCTGGGAGGCCAAGGCGGGCCGATCACCTGAGGTCAGGAGTTCAAGATCAGCCTGGCCAACATGGTGAAACTCCATCTCTACTAAAAGAAATACAAAAATTAGCCAAGTGTGGTGGCCCACGCCTGTAGTTCCAGCTTCTCAGGAGGCTGAGGCATGAGAATCGCTTAAACCTAGGAGGCGAAGGCTGCAGTAAGCCGAGATTGCGCCACTGCACTGCAGCCTGGGCAACAGAGTGAGACTCTATCTTAAATTTTTTTTTTTAAAAAAAAGAATAGAAATTGAAAAAACAAAGCTGAACAACCATTCAAAGGAAGATTTGCTGAGGTAGATTTTTCTACATGCAAACTCTGAGAGGCAAGTCATTTGTGGGCTCTTAGTGTCAGGAAGCAGGAGCCAAATATCCCTTTTCTAGAGAAAGGGGAAGCCAATTCCCGGTGGTGTTAACTTCATTACACTTAAAAGATCTCCCGTGGGCAGATCCTGGATGGATCCCTGAGTGCTGAGAATATGATGGGCACCAACCATCATACAGCGTGTCCACCTTTTATTTATTCCCAGATTTTGATGAGAAGATATAAACAGAGAGAGCACATTTTTAAAATTACCGAATCACCCCACTGCTCTTCTACATTCAGGCTGGGCGCGGTTGCTTATGCCCATAATCCCAGCAGTTTGGGAGGCCGAGGCGGGCGGATCACCTGAGGGTCAGGAGTCCATGACAAGCCTGGCCAAGATGGCAAAACCCCGTCTCTACTAAAAATAGAAAATTAGCTGGGCATGATGGCATACACCTGTAATCCCAGCTACTTGGGAGGCTGAGGCAGGAGATTTACTTGAACCCAGGAAGCGGAGGTTGCAGTGGGCCAAGATTGTGCCATGAGAATCCAGCCTGGGCAACAAGAGCAAAACTCCAACTCAAAAAAAAAAAAAAAAAAAGGAAAAGAAAGAAAAGAAATGTGTATGGCTTCAGTGAAGTGTAATTTGGCAAAATCAGATAGTGCACTGAACACTGGGACTCACACCTATAATCTCAGTGCTTTGGGAGGCCAAGGGGTGAGGATCACTTCACCCAGGAGTTTGAGACCAGACTGGGCAATATGATGAGACCCCATCTCTACAAAAAATACAAAAATTAGCCAGGCATAGTGGTGAACATCTTTAGTCCCAGCTACTCTGGAGGCTGAGGTGGGAGAACTGTTTGAGCCTGGGAGGTTGAGGCTGCAGTGAGCTGTGATCACACCACTGCACTCTAGCCTGGGTGACAGTGCAAGATCCTTTCTCAAAAAAAAATTTTTTTTAATGCATGAACTTTCTTATTTGGCGATTCCACTTGTAGGACTTTGTCCTGCTGACATATTTGCTTGGTGGTAAGGGATGTACATGCAAAGCTATTCATTGCCTACAAACAACAAACTGTTGTAACATAAAGTATTTTTCGTTCACTCATTGTGGAAACAACATGTTCCTGTGTGCCTCTTATTTATAACCAAATAGACCATGTATTGAACTGGGGAATATTTACTCTGCTTCAACATTAAAACCGCTTTTTGGCCACACGTGATGGCTCATGCCTATAATCCCAGCACTTTGGGAGACCAAGGCAGGAGGACTGCTTGAGCCTAGGAGTTCAAGCCCAGCCTGGGCAACATAGCAAGATCCCGTCTCTACAAGAAATTAAAATAAAAAGTTAGCCAGGTTTGGTGGTGCACACCCATGGTTCCAGCTACTCAGGAGGCTGAGGTGGGAGAATTGCTTGAGCCCAGGAGGTCAAGGCTGCAGTGGGTTATGACTGTGCCACTGCACTCCAACCTGGGCAATGCAGTGAGACCCTGCCCCCACCTCCAAACCAAGAAATAGGTTTGTTGACCTCAGCACTATTGACATTTGGGGCAGGATCATTCTCTGTTGCATGGGGCTGTTCTGGGCACTGTGGGATGTTACTAGCTTTCCTGCGCTCTACTGACCAGATGGATGCCATTGGCACCCCTGTTCCCATCGTGACAACCAGAAGTATCTCCAGACACTGCCAAGTACCTGCTGGGGGTGCAAATTCACCCTCAACTAAGAACCAGTGCCTGGAGATAACTATATACCATGTTGAACCCAGTACCTGGCTTCAGAAAATGTCCAGCAGATTCCACAATCATCAGCTCCTTTTCAATTCTCTAAACAGTGATAGCAAGTCAGGCAGGTTCCTTCCTTAAAGGTGAGAAATCAGAGGCTGAGGTCACACAGGTGGGGAGAGGCAGGGCAGGATTCCATCTCAGCCCTGGATGGTTCAAGGAACTGGGTGGCCCATCCCTGCCTCTGCCACCCCCCACCGCCCTCCTCCAGCCTCAGCCCTCATGTGTCTTTAGTTCTAATTAAGTCCTCATTACAAACCCCTATGAATTTCACCCACCCCCAAGCTTCCAGGCAACAGATATATATCCCGAATATGTTGCTTTAATGAAACAGAGGGCACCCGGGACCCGGCAAAATCACTGGCATTTGTCTTCATGTGGCTGGGCTCAAGCCGACTTCTGGGTGACTCCAATGCAGAAAGGAATTATCCGTAATAGAAAAAATAATGGATAAAAATTGGTACTGCCAGCACCCAAAGACTTCATCAGATTCCAGGGGGTAGGCTGCACATAAACTATGATAAAGGGGGCTCCCTCAGCCCAGCCAGTTATTAACTGCAGTTTAAAACAAGGGGGATTGCTGGTGAGGTGGGGTGATCCCTGTTTCACATCTGAGCTGCAAGACCATGCACAGGTCCAGTTAGGTTTCAGGTCCAAGAAGCCACGTAGACAGCCCTCCAAGCTACCTAGACAGAGTCCTGGGGGTACCAGGAGCTTGGTGGTCCCAAGCAGGAAACAAAGCCAGCAGAGTCCAATCCCCCTGGCACAAGATCCCTTCTGGGAGAGACTCCCTAAGAGAGCTGACTTGACTACCCAGATTCTCCCTGGGGCACATGGTATCTCTGCAAAGCCAAGCCGATGGTACCCGCCATGTGTCTGTGGAGGTGCACAGTGCAGACATCTCAGACCTCACCTGGGAGGCAGGGTCACATGACCCTCATTAGCTTTCCCTGCTGCTGATGAAGGAAAGTCTTACTGGAGAGTTCTTTGAGAAGGCTGATGCTGTATTCCTTCTTTCACTTGGGGAATACTTTGAGCATCTACTTTAGTCCAGGCAGTGGGAATGGTGGCAAACGATAGAACTCATGTATCTTGGGAATGGTGCCATCTTCCCAGGGCTTGTCCCATGACATGGGGCTCAGGTCCCCTCCACTCTGTGATCCCATAGACCTTTCTGTGAGAATGGCTTCCTTTTCGCTGTAGAGTTCAGCTCAGGGAGAAGGATTTAAAAGTCCCTTTTGGGAGGATGCTTTCACTGCTTCATGTCCTTTCTCTGACAGCTCAGGGAATCAGAAGACAAGGGAGATGGCATTTGTTGTTTTGTTGTTGTTGTTGTTGTTGTTTTGGAGACAGGGTCTTGCTCTATTGCACAGGCAGGAGTGCTGTGATGCAATCCCAGCTCACCACAGCCTTAAACATCTGGGCTCAAGCAATCCTCCTGCCTCAGCCTCCTGAATAGCTGAGACTACAACTATGCACCACCACGCCCAACTAGTTTTATATATATATATATATATATATATATATATATATATATAAAAATGGGATCACGCTGTGTTGCTCACGCTTTCTCAAACCCCCTGGGCTCAAGTGATCCTTCTGCCTTGGCTTCCCAAAGTGTTAGGATTACAAGTGTGAGCCCCCACACCCAGCCAAGACTGTGTTCTTACTCACCTTGTATCCTCCAAGACTTTCCCGATGCCCCAACTCCTCTGTGGCTCCTGGAAGGGGCTAAGCTTGTGAAGCTCTAGGCCAGAGGGAGTCTCTGTTTTTCTCCAGCACATTCTTTCCTAGAAGCAAGGAGGCCGAAGGTGCCAGCTGTTTGAGTGAGGGAAAGTCTCAGGGAGAGAGGATTTTTAAAAACATTGGCTGTTCAATAAACGTAATCCAGCATATAAACAGAACCAAAGACAAAAACCACATGATTATCTCAATAGATGCAGAAAAGACCCTTGACAAAATTCAACAATGCTTCATGCTAAAAACTCTCAATAAATTAGGTACTGATGGGATGTATCTCAAAATAGTAAGAGCTGTCTATGACAAACCCACAGCCAATATCATACTGAACTGGCAAAAACTGGAATCACTCCCTTTGAAAACTGGCACGAGACAGGGATGCCCTCTCTCACCACTCCTATTCAACATAGTGTTGGAAGTTCTGGCCAGGGCAATTAGGCAGGAGAAGGAAATAAAGGGTATTCAGTTAGGAAAAGAGGAAGCCAAATTGTCCCTGTTTGCACATGACATGATTGTATATCTAGAAAACCCCATCGTCTCAGCCCAAAATCTCCTGAAGCTGATAGGCAACTTCAGCAAAGTCTCAGGATACAAAATCAATCTGCAAAAATCACAAGCATTCTTATACATCAATAACAGACAGAGAGCCAAATCACGAGTGAACTCCCATTCACAATTGCTTCAAAGAGAATAAAATACCTAGGAATCCAACTCACAAGGGACATGAAGGACCTCTTCAAGGAGAACTACAAACCACTGCTCAACGAAATAAAAGAGGATACAAACAAATGGAAGAACATTCCATGCTCATGGGTAGGAGGAATCTATATCGTGAAAATGGCCATACTGCCCAAGGTAATTTATAGATTCAATGCCATACCCATCAAGCTACCAATGCCTTTCTTCACAGAATTGGAAAAAACTACTTTAAAGTTCATATGGAACCAAAAAGACCCCACATTGCCAAGTCAATCCTAAGCCAAAAGAACAAAGCTGGAGGCATCATGCTACCTGACTTCAAACTATACTACAAGGCTACAGTAACCAAAACAGCATGGTACTGGTACCAAAACAGAGATATAGACCAATGGAACAGAAGAGAGCCCTCAGAAATAATACTGCATATCTACAACGATCTGATCTTTGACAAACCTGACAAAAACAAGAAATGGGGAAAGGATTCCCTATTTAATAAATGGTGCTGGGAAAACTGGCTAGCCATATGTAGAAAGCTGAAACTGGATCCCTTCCTTACACCTTATACTAAAATTAATTCAAGATGGATTAAAGACTTAAATGGTAGACCTAAAACCATAAAAACCCTAGAAGAAAACCTAGGCAATACCATTCAGGACATAGGCATGGACAAGGACTTCATGTCTAAAACACCAAAAGCAATGGCAACCAAAACCAAAATTGACAAATGGGATCTAATTAAACTCAAGAGCTTCTGCACAGCAAAAGAAACTACCATGAGAGTGAACAGGCAACCTACAGAATGGGAGAAAATTTTTGCAATCTACTCATCTGACAAAGAGCTGATATCCAGAATCTACAATGAACACCAACAAATTTACAGGAAAAAAACAAACAACCCCATCAACAAGTGGGCAAAGGATCTGAACAGACACTTCTCAAAAGAAGACATTTATGCAGCCAAAAGACACATGAAAAAAATGCTCATCATCACTGGCCATCAGAAAAATGCAAATCAGAACCACAATAAGATACCATATCACACCAGTTAGAACGGCGATCATTAACAGTCAGAAAACAACAGGTGCTGCAGAGGATGTGGAGAAATAGGAACACTTTTACACTGTTGGTGGGACTGTAAACTAGTTCAACCATTATGGAAGTCAGTGTGGCGATTCCTCAGGGATCTAGAACAAGAGATACCATTTGACCCAGCCATCCCATTACTGGATATATACCCAAAGATTACAAATCATGCTGCTATAAAGACACATGCACACGTATGTTTATTGCAGCACTGTTCACAATAGCAAAGACTTGGAACCAACCCAAATGTCCAACAATGATAGACTGCATCAACAAAATTTGGCACATATACACCATGAAATACTATGCAGCCATAAAAGATGATGAGTTCATGTCCTTTGTAGGGACATGGATGAAGCTGGAAACCATAATTCTCAGCAAACTATCGCAAGGACAAAAAACCAAACACCACATGTTCTCACTCATAGCTGGGAATTGAACAATGAGAACACATGGACACAGGAAGGGGAACATCACATACAGGGGCCTTTTGTGGGGTGGGGGGAGGCGGGAGGGATAACATTAGGAGACATACCTAATGTTAAATGATGAATTAATGGGTGCAGCAAACCAACATGGCACATGTATACATATGTAACAAACCTGCACGTTGTGCACATGTACCCTAAAACTTAAAGTGTAATAATAAAATAAAAACATTGGCTATTGACTCCAAATATCCTGCTTCATCATCTCTCCATTCCAGAAACTTTTCACATGCTTACAAAGGGTGTTCGTTTCTCCTCTAAGTATTTGCCCCCCAGCCCCACCTGCAAGAAGGTGGAAGTAGGCCCTCTGCCTGGGATGGTAACTCTCAAATACAAGGCAAGACCTGTCTCTCCTCCAATAACCCCAGGACTGAAGGGCTGTGAAAGTCTGCATATTGATCAAGCTTCTCCCTCCCTTTTCTGAAGGGACTTACTTCCTTCAAGACACTTTTCCTCTTCCCATCTAGCTCCATGTCCCCATCCAGTCATCTTCCAACCCATCTCTCCCCACCTCCATGCCACACAAGAGGGGCTTGACAACAGCACCTGGAATTTCCTTAAAATTGAATGGTGTGTCAGGCTGGGCGCAGTGGCTTATGTCAGTAACCTCAGCACTTTGGGAGGCTGAGGCAGGCAGGTCACTTGAGGTCAGGAGATCGAGACCAGCCTGACCAACATGGTGAAACTCTATCTCTACTAAAAATACAAAAATTAGCTGGGTGTGGTGGTGCATGCCTGTAGTCACACATACTTGGGGGGCTGAGGAAAGGGAATCACTTGAACCCAGGAAGCAGAGGTTACAGTGAGCTGAGATTGTGCCATTGCACTCCAGCCTGGGCAATAGAGTGAGACTCTGTCTCAAAAAAAAAAAAAAAAAAATTGAATGGTGTGATTAGCTTATGATTTTTCAAAAATGGAATGATGTATTCATTTTCTAAGCTGCATAACAAATCAACACAAATTTAGCAGCTTAAAACACCCATCTATTACCTCTCCTTTCCTGTGGGTCAGGAGCCTGGGGGTGCGCCTTTAGCTGGGTCCTCTGCTAAGGTTCTTACAAGGTTATGATCAAGGTGTCGGCTGGAATTAAGTGTCTCATATGAGGCTTGGGGTCTTCTCCCAACCTCACATGGTTGTTGGCAGAATTTATTTCCATGCAACTGTGGAACTCATGTGGCTGGCTTCTTCAAAACCAGCCAGGCGTGGTGGCTCACGCCTGTAGTCCCAGCACTTTCGGAGGCTGAGGCAGGTGGATCACCTGAGGTCAGGAGTTCGAGACCAGCCTGGCAATATGGTGAAACCGCGTCTCTACTAAAAATACAATACTTAGCAGGGCATGATGGCACATGCCTGTAATCCCAGCTACTTGGGAGGCTGAGGCAGGAGAATCACTTGAACCCGGGAGGCAGAGGTTGCAGTAAGCCGAGATCGTGCCACTCCACTCCAGCCTGGGCAACAGAGTGAGACTCCATCTCAAAACAAACAAACAAACAAACAAACAAAAACCAAAAACCAGGAGGAAGGAGTCTCTCTCCTCCAGAACCTCACTGAAGATCTCACCTGAAGACGTCAGGCCCACCCTGAATAATCTCCCTTTTGATTAACTCAAAGTGAACGGATTAGGGGCTCAGTTACATCTGCAAAATCCCTTCAACTTTTCCATAGGTATAGACTAGAAGCAAGCCACGGGTCCTGCCTACACTCCAGGGGAGAGGAGATTACACTTGACATTTATCCAGAGCAGGAACCTAAGGGGTCATCTCAGAATTCTGCCTTCCAAATAGATCTTCGGTGGAGCTCACATTCCTGGGCAAGCACCAGCCTTTGTTTAAAGGCAACAGAGAATGCTGCCCTGTCTCAGATCTCCAGCAAGCCCCCAAAATGATGGTCCAGTCTCTGAGCCCTGGGCCAAGGCAGCAGGAGCTTTCGGCGCACATGGGAACTGGCTTCCCCCACTTTGAAGTGAGTCATCACATCCGTATTAGACCCTAGCTGTTGCTTAGGCAAAAATGATGATTTAGAAGAAGATGGAGAGAAAAGGAGGATTAATTTAAAAACACTTATATTTGGCCGGGCGCAGTGGTTCACGCCTGTAATCCCAGCACTTTGGGAGACTGAGGCAGGTGGATCACGAGGTCAGGAGATGGAGACCGTCCTGGCTAACACGGTGAAACCCCGTCTCTATTAAAAATACAAAAAATTAGCTGGGCTTGGTGGCAGGTGCCTGTAGTCCCAGCTACTCATGAGGCTGAGGCAGGAGAATGGCATGAACCCTGGAGGCGGAGCTTGCAGTGAGCTGAGATCGTGCCACTGCACTCCAGCCTGAGTGACAGAGTGAGACTCCATCTCAAAAAAAGAAAAAAAAAAGAAACTACTTATATTCATTCCCTAGGGCTGCCACAACCAAGTACCACAAGCTGGGTGATTTGAAACAAGAGTAATTGATTGTCTTGTGGCTCTGGTGGCCAGCAGTCTGAAATGGAGGTGCCAGCAGGGCCACACTCCCTCCTGCACTTGTTGGGGAGTCCTGCCTTGCCTCGTCCTAGCTTCCTGTGGTCTCCTGGCAGTCTTCGGTGTTCCTTGGTTTGCAGACGCATCAGTCCAATCTTCCGTCCGATCCATAGCCTTCTTCCCTGTGTCTCTGTGACTCAGCCTGTCCTCTCCTGTTTTATAAGGACACCAGTCATTGACTTAGGGCCCTCCCTGCTCCAGGATGTCTTCATTCTAATCAATAGCATCTGCAATAACTCTGTTTCTTTCTTTCTTTCTTTCTTTTTTTTTTTTTTTTTTTGAGACGGAGTTTCACTATTGTTGCCCAGGCTGGAGTGCAATGGCGTGATCTCAGCTCAATGCCACCTTCGCCTCCTGGGTTCAAGCGATTCTTCTGCCTCAGCCTCCCAAGTAGCTGGGATTACAGGTATGCGCCACCACACCCAGCTAATTTTGTATTTTTAGTAGAGACAGAGTTTCTCCATGTTGGTTAGGCTTGTCTCAAATTCCTGACCTCAGGTTATCCACCTGCCTCGGCCTCCCAAAGTGCTGGGATTACAGGCATGAGCCACCACGCCCGACCCGCAATAACTCTATTGCTAAATAAGGTCACATTCTGAGCTACTAGAATTTAGGATTTCAACATCTTTTGAGGAGGACTCAATTTAACCCATAAGAATACTATGTGGGCCACACATGGTGCTTCACATCTGTTATCCCAGCACTTTGGGAGGTTGAAGCAGGAGGATCATTGCTCAGGGCCTAGGGGGACACCAGGTGCATAAGACCACGGTGTTGACTGGTGTTGGGGGCTCACACCTGTAAGTTTGGCAAGCTAAGGCAGGGCGATCACTTGAGCCCAGGAGTATGTAGCCAGCCTGGGTGACATAGTGAGATCTCATTAAAAAAAAAAATTAATTAGCTAGGCATGGTGCTACTCGCCTACAGTCCCAGCTACTCAGGAGGCTGAAGCAGGAGGGTCGCTTGAGTCCAGAAGATCAAGGCTGTGGCGAGCTGTGATTGCACCACTGCACTCCAGCCTGGGCAATAGAGCAAGCCCTGTCTCAAAAAAAAAAAAAAAAAAAAAAAAAAAAAATCATCTCCCTTGTCTTCTGATTCCAGGAGCTGTCATAGAAAGGAAGTGAAGCAGTAAAAGCATCCCCCCGAAAGGGACATTTCAAAACCAGCCTAAGAAACATAGTAAGACCTTGCCTCTAGGAAGTATTTAAATTTGAAGGAAAAAAAAAAAAAGCAGTACTATGGCACAGAGTTGACAGCTACAGGTGTGGCTACATCCAGGTCCTCAAACTATATCATCAGAATGACCCCTCACCCTCCCCCCGCTTTCCATTTTACTTTCTTAAGCATGAACATGAAATTTCCAAGATTGTCTTTCCTTTGGCTAATCTGCTTCTCAGGCCCAATCACTGTGGCCAGGGTGGTGGAAGGATATTGACATCCAGGCTGGGACCACATGCCCCAGCCCCAGATCAGGGTGGGGAGTGGCTAGTCACACACATGCCGTGGGGTACTAGTGACTCCTCGGTGGAAAATCGGGAACTGTCATTGGAGAGGAGCGATGGAAGAAAGACTGACACACTGCAATGTATCTCCGGCACCAGCCTGGGCCTCGATGTCTTGAGAATGGCGGTTTGCAATCTGATGAGCCAGTACTCAGTCCAGGGCAATCCCTACTCCATCTGTGGGGCTGCCCACAGTACATGGACCCCCTCACTGGATTTGCTGACCACACGTGCAAACAGCCACCTCCCAGCCCCACTTCCCGCAGTCCCACTGAACCCTGTCGAAATTCCCCTCAGTTCTCACCAAGAATAAAAGCAATTCTGAGGGTGAGCGGCTCATTCTGCTAGTTTAAATCTCTCGATTCCTTCCCTCTGCAGAACTCTGTACTTACTGCTCCATCACTGGTAATGACAATGAACATTTTCACAAGCTCAGTTTTTATTGCAAAGTGATTGAGGACCAGTTAGAATAAGTTATGCTACAGAAACTAAAGAAATCCCGTCAAGCAAATGGTGTGTAACAGAAAGTCTTAGGGCAGCCGTGTATATTTTCTCCCCCAATGAATCAGTTGAAAATGAGAGGATCTTACAGCCATGTTCCGGGAAGAAGCTATCAAAAGTGAAAGCCATGATGTTATAATTTGGCCATTTTACATCCGTCAAATGGACATGGCCCAGGGGTGAAAAGTGGATGCTCCGTAACTAGATGATGATCAAGAGTTATAAAAATGAGGTCCTCTCTGTTCAACATTTCTCCTTTCTTGAAAGGATACTCAATGTCATGCTCAGGGCCTCTAATGGCCAAAAATAAAGTTCCTCCCAGTTTCAGAGCACCCCAGGGTAACCCCAAAACCAGAGCAACTGCTTATAGCCATGTAGACTATGTACTGTGCAATTCCTGGGGTGGCATTTTCATAAATATGTGGGTGGCACCCCCTGGAGTTGTGCAATGCACAACTTGCACAAATGGTAAGTCATCGTATCCCAAAGTCCACCAAGAAGAGGTAAACAAAATTCCCATCGATGTTGCCATCAGTCATGAGTCTGCCTTTTCTTCATGGGACAGTAGCAAAAACAATTTGGCCAAATGTGCTTAGATGATCTCTAAGATGGAATCAGGGTGTCTCACTTTCAGCACTATTGACATTTGGGGCTGGATCATTACTCTGTCTTAGTGGGAGTTGTCGGGGCATTGTAGGACACTTAGCAGCATCCCTGGCCTCTACCCATTAGCTGCCAGTAGCACCACCTCCTCCAGCCGCAACCACCAAAACTGTCTCCAGACATGGCCACATGTTCTCTGGGGGGCAAAATCACCCCCTGGCTGAGAAGCCCTGAAGTAAAGACACAATATGTAGATCACATGTAAGTAAGAGAGCCTAAGGGTCACACAGGTGATGCTGTACCCATGACAAAGACAGAGTCTTAAAGAGGTTAGAGAGGTGGAGAAAGAGAAAGGAAATGAAGTCCCAGCTGTCAAGAGCAACAGATGCTGACTAGATGTTGTTGATAGTCATCTTTAAACTGAGTTAAAAGATGCTGAGAAGCCGTCAGCTCCCATCCTGCCCTACAGGGACAACGCTGCTGAAAAAGGCCTGGAGATCAACAAAGTGCCAAACACAGGTGCACTGAGCAAAGAAACCAGAGATTGAGACAAAAAAAGACATTCCCTAGAAGACTAGTCATTTCCAAGAGGGGAGAAAAAGTGAAGTCACGAAAAACAGTTGAGGCTGGGTAGAGTGACTCACATCTGTAATCCCAGAACTTTGGGATTACTCCCAGGCTGAGACGGGAAGATTGCTTGAGCTCAGGAGTTCAAGACCAGCCTGGGCAACACAGCAAGACCTTGCCTCTAGAAAAAGGGAAAAAATTAACCAGGTGTGGTGATACAGGCCTGTGGTCTCAGTTACTCGGGAGGCTGAGGTGGGAAGATCGCTTGAACCCAGGAGGTAGAGGCTGCAGTGATCCGTGATCACACCACTGCACTCCAGCCTGGGCTACAGAATGAGATCCCGTCTCAACAAATAAAAAAATTAAACAACATTAAGGCTGGGCACGATGGCTCATGCCTGTAATCCCAGCACTTTGGGAGGCCAAGGTGGGTAGATCATGAGGTCAGGAGATCAAGACCATCCAGACACAGTGAAGCCCCATCTGTACTAAAAATACAAACAATTAGCCGGACATGGTGGTGGGTGCCTGTAGTCCCAGCTACTCTGGACGCTGAGGCAGAAGAATGGAGTGAACTGGGGAGGTGGAGCTTGCAGTGAGCCAACATCATGCCACTGCACTCCAGCCTGGGCAAAAGAGCAAGACTCCATCTCAAAAAAAAAAAAAGAAAATTAAAAAATTTTTTGAGACCAAGTCTCACTCTGTCGCCCAGGCTGGAGTGTAATGGTGCGATCTCGGCTCACTGCAACCTCCACCTCCTGGGTTCAAGTGATTCTCATGCCTCAACCTCGTGCCTCAACATGACTACAGGCATGTTGTCACCATGCCTGGCTAATTTTTGCATTTTTAGTAGAGATGGGGTTTTGCCATGTTGTCCAGGATGGTCTTGAAGTCCTAGGTTCAAGCAATCTACCCACCTCAGCCTCCCAAAATGCTGAAATTACAGGCATGAGCCACCGTGCCCGACCTCTAACTTTTCATTATGGAAATTTCCCATACGCACAAAAGGCAGGGAGAGAATTGCACCATGAACCCCCAAGCACCCATCATCCCACTGCGAGAATTTGTCAACAGGTCGCCATTCTCATTCCAGTTCCCGCTTTTCTTTTCCTTCTTGCTATTTTACAACATTTTAAAGCAAATTCCACATATTTCATTTCACCCACATCCATAACACACCAGGGTGCATTCTTGATGTAAGGATTTTGTTTTGTTTTATAACCCCCATGCCATTGCCACAGTTAATAGATTTAACATGAAGAAACTAAGATTCTTGCAGGTGGAGAAAAGATCTAATTACCACCTTAAAGCCTCTCCTACCAGCACTTCTCAGATCTGAAGGTGTACACAAATTACCTGGGTATCTTGTTAAAATGCAGATTCTGGCCCAGCAGGTCCTCCCGGGTGAGCCCTGAGAGTCTTCAATTCCAAAAGCTCACGGGTGATGCAATGCTGCGGGTCCATGAATCACACAAGAGGAAGGGTCGTCCAAACACCCAAAACAACTGGGTGCAAAGTCCTGACTGTTCCCGACTGCAGGGCCTTCAGTGAACGGGGAAGCTGGGGACCATTTGGGAAAGAAGGGAGGTTTTTCGTATCAGCTCCAGGCCCTGTAGAACTGCCAGGGAATAACAGACACAAGGTCAGCAAAGTCCAACCAACAACATGAGTGCATTCATATTCCACAACCACTGCAGCAAAGAACCATGAAATTGGTGGCTTCAAACAATGTCTGGGCCTGGTGCTGTGGCTCACACCTAAATAATCTCAGCACTTGGGGAGGCTGAGGTGGGTGGATCACTTGAGGCCAGGAATTCGAGACCAGCCTGGCCAATATGGCAAAACCTCATCTCTACTAAAAATACAAAAATTAGCCATGCATGGTGGCATGCACCTGTAGCCCAGCTACTTGGGAGGCAGAGGCTAGAGAATGGCTTGAGCCCGGGAGGTGGAGGTTGCAGTGAACCGAGATCGTGCAACTGCACTACAGACTGGGCAACAGATCAAGGCTCTGTCTAAAAAAAAAAGAAAAAAAAATGTCTGGAGGCCAGAAGTCCAAAATCAATCAAATGTCAGCAGGACCATGCTCCTTCAGAGGTTCTAGGGGAGAATCCATTCCTTGCCTCTTCCAGCTTATAGAGGCTATTAGAATTCCTCAACTTGTGGCTGCATGATCCAATCTCTGCCTCTGTGATCACCTTGCCTCCTCCTCTTCTCTTCTGTCTGGGTCTCCTCCTCTGGAGGAAGAGTGCCAGGCCTCTGAGCCCAAGCTAAGCCATCATATCCCCTGTGACCTGCATGTACACATCCAGATGGCCAGTTCCTGCCTTAACTGATGACATTATCTTGTGAAATTCCTTCTCCTTGCTCATCCTGGCTCAAAAGCTCCCCTTCTGAGCACCTTGTGACCCCCCACTCCTGCCTGCCAGAGAACAACCTCCCCTTTTCCTTTACCTACCCAAATCCTATAAAATGGCCCCACCCCTATCTCCCTTTGCTCACTCTTTTCGGACTCAGCCCGCATGCACCCAGGTGAAATAAACAGCTTTATTGCTCAAACAAACCCTGTTTGGTGGTCTCTTCACACACACCCATGTGAAATTTGGTGCTGTGACTCGGATGCGGGGGGGGGACCTCCCTTGGGAGATCAATCCCCTGTTCTCCTGCTCTTTGCTCTGTGAGAAAGATCCACCTACGACCTCAGGTCCTCAGACTGACCAGCCCAAGAAACATCTCACCAATTTCAAATCTGGGAAGCAGCTTCTTTTTACTCTCTTCTCCAACCTCCCTCACTATCCCTCAACCTCTTTCTCCTTTCAATCTTGGCGCCACACTTCAATCTCTCCCTTCTCTTAATTTCAATTCCTTTCATTTTCTGGTAGAGACAAAGGAGACACGTTTTATCCGTGGAGCCAAAATTCCGGTGCCTGTCACAGACTAGGGAAGGCAGCCTTTCCTTGGTGTTTAATCATTGCAGGGACACCTCTCTGATTATTCAGCCAGGCTTCAGAGGTGTCAGACCACGCAGGGACGCCTGACTTGGTCCTTCACCCTTAGTGGCAAGTCCCGCTTTTCTGGGGGAAGGGGCAAGAACCCCTCAACCCCTTCTCCTTCACCCTTAGCAGCAAGTCCCGCTTTTCTGGGGGAGGGGCAGGAACCCCCTCTTATCTCTGTGCCCCGATCCTTTATTTCCATGCCCCAAACTCTTATCTCTGTGACCCTATCCCTTATTTCCGTGACCTGACCTCTTAGCTCTGCACCCCAACCCCTTATTTCTGTGCTCTGACCTCTTAGCTCTGCACCACAACCCTTTATTTCTACACCCCAACCCCTTTCTCGCTTTTCTGGAAGGCAAGAACCCCCCACCCCTTATCTCTGTGTCTCTACTCTCTCTTTTCCCTAGGCTTACCTCCTTCACTATGGGCAAGTTTCTGCCCTCCATTCCCCCTTCTTCTCCCTTAGCCTGTGTTCTTAAAAACCTAAAACCTCTTCAACTCACACCTGACCTAAAACCTAAATGCCTTATTTTCTTCCACAATGCCTCTTGACCCCAATACAAACTCGACAGTATTTCCAAATATCTAGAAAATGACACTTTCAATTTTTCCATCCTACAAGATCTAGATATTTCTTGTCGTAAAATGGGCAAACGGTCTGAGGTGACTGACGTCCAGGCATTCTTTTACACATTGGTCCCTCCCTAGTCTGTTCCTAGTGCAACTCATCCCAAATATTCCTTCTTTCCGTCCCACCTGTCCCCTCAGTCCCAACCACAAGCGTCACTGAGTCTTTCTAATCTTCCTTTTCTGCAGACTAACCTGACATCTCCCCTCCTCACCAGGCTGAGCTAGGCCCCAATTCTTCCTCAGCCTCCGCTCCTCCACCCTATAATCCTTTTATCACCTCCCCTCCTCACACCAGCTCCAGCTTACAGTTTCATTCCATGACTAGCCCTCCTCCACCTGCCCAGCCATTTCCTCTTAATAAGGTGTCTGGAGCTAAAGGCACAGTCAAGGTTAATGTTCCTTTTTCTTTATCCCAAATCAGATAGGGTTTAGGCTCTTTTTCATCAAATATGAAAATCCAGCCCAGTTCGTGGCTCATTTGGCAGCAACCCTGAGATGCTTTACAGCCCTAGACCCTAAAAGGTCAACAGGCCGTCTTATTCTCAATCTACATTGTATTACCCAATCTGCTCCCGACATTAAATAAAGCTCTGAAAATTAAATTCTGGCCCTCAAACCCCACAACAGGACTTAATTAACCTCGCCTTCAAGGTGTACAATAATAGAGTAGAGGCAGCCAAGAAGCAACATATTTCTGAGTTGTAATTCTTTTCCTCCACAGTGAGACAAACCCCAGCCACATCTCCAGCACACAAGAACTTCCAAACGTCTAAAGCGCAGTGGCCAGGTGTTCCTCCAGAACCGCCTCCCCCAGGAGCTTGCTACAAGTGCCAG
Source organism: Homo sapiens (assembly GCF_000001405.40). NCBI lineage: Eukaryota > Metazoa > Chordata > Mammalia > Primates > Hominidae > Homo > Homo sapiens. The sequence goes on from NC_000004.12 coordinate 9,641,184, forward strand.
AAAGCTGGCCACCAGGCCAAGGAATGCCCACAGCCCGGGATTCCTCCTAAGCCATGTCCCATCTTTGCAGGACCCCACTAGAAATTGGACTGTTCCATTCACCTGGCAGCCACTCCCAGAGCCCCTGAAACTCTGGCCCAAGGCTCTCTGACTGACTCCTTCCCAGATCTTCTTGGCTTAGCAGCTGAAGACTGACAATGCCTGATCGATCACTTCGGAAGCCTACAGGACCATCACAGACGCTCTAGGTAACTCTCACAGTGGAGGGTAAGTCCGTCCCCTTCTTAATCAATATGGAGGCTACCCACTCCACATTACCTTCTCTTCAAGGACCTGTTTCCCTTGCCTCCATAACTGTTGTGGGTATTGACGGCCAGGCTTCTAAACCTCTTAAAACTCCCCAAATCTGGTGCCAACTTAGACAATACTCTTTTAAGCACTCCTTTTTAGTTATCCCCACCTGCCCAGTTCCCTTATTAGGCTGAGACACTTTAACTAAATTATCTGCTTCCCTGAGTATTCCTGGACTATAGCTACATCTCATTGCCACCCACCTTAACCCACAAGTAGGAGATACCTCTACTCCCTCCTTGGCGACCGATCATGCACCCCTTACCATCTCATTAAAACCTAATCACCCTTACCCCTCTCAATGCCAATATCACATCCCACAGCATGCTTTGAAAGGATTAAAGCCTGTTATCACTCGCCTGCTACAGCATGGCCTTTTAAAGCCTATAAACTCTCTTTACAATGCCCCCATTTTACCTGTCCTAAAAGCAGACAAGCCTTACAAGTTAGTTCAGGATCTTTGCCTTATCAACCAAATTGTTTTGCCTCTCCACCCCATGGTGCCAAACGCATATACTCTCCTATCCTCAATTCCTCCCTCCACAACCCATTATTCTGTTCTGGATCTCAAGTATGCTTTCTTTACTATTCCTTTGCACCCTTCATCCCAGCCTCTCTTCGCTTTCACTTGGACTGACCCTGACACCCATCAGGCTCAGCAAATTACCTGGGCTGTACTGACGCAAAGCTTCACAGACAGCCCCCATTACTTCAGTCAAGCTCAAATTTCTCCCTTATCTGTTACCTATCTCAGCATAATTCTCATAAGAACACATGTGCTCTCCCTGCCGATCGTGTCCGACTAATCTCTCAAACCCCAACCCCAGCTACAAAACAACTCCTTTCCTTCCTGGGCATGGTTGGATACTTTTGCCTTTAGATACCTGGTTTTGCCATCCTAACAAAACCATTATATAAACTCAAAAAAGGAAACCTAGCTGACCCCATAGATCTTAAATCCTTTCCCCACCCCTCTTTCTGTTCCTTGAAGACAGCTTTAAAGACTGCCCCCACCCTAGCTCTCCCTGACTCATCCCCACCCTTTTCATTACACACAACCGAAATGCAGCGCTGTGCAGTCGAAATTCTTACACAAGGACCACGATTGCCTCCTGTAGGCTTTTTGTCCAAACAACTTGACCTTACTGTTTTAGGCTGGCCATTATATCTCCGTGCAGTGGCTGCTGCTGCCCTAATACTTTTAGAGGCCCTTAAAATCACAAACCATGCTCAACTCACTCTCTACAGTTCTCATAATTTCCAAAATCTATTTTCTTCCTCACACCTGATGCATATACTTTCTGCTCCCCGGCTCCTTCAGCTGTACTCACTCTTTGTTAAGTCTCCCGTAAGTACCATTGTTCCTGGCCCGGACTTCAATCCGGCCTCCCACATTATTCCTGATACCACACCTGACCCTCATGACTGTATCTCTCTGATCCACCTGACATTCTCGCCATTTCCCCACATTTCCTTCTACCCTGTTTCTCACCCTGATCACACTTAGTTTATTGATGGCAGTTCCACCAGGCCTACTCGCCACACACCAGCAAAGGCAGGCTATGCTATAGTACAAGCCACTAGCCCGCCTCTTAGAAACTCTTATTTCCTTTCCATTGTGGAAATCTATCCTCAAAGAAATAACTTCTCAGTGTTCCATCTGCTATTCTACTACTCCTCAGGGATTATTCAGGCCCCCTCCCTTCCCTACACATCAAGCTCAGGGATTTGCCCCCACCCAGGACTGACATAATAGCTTTACTCAACGTGCCCCGATTCAGGAAACTAAAACACCTTTTGGTCTAGGTAGACACTTTCACTGGATAGGTAGAGTCCTTTCCCACAGGGTCTAAGAAGGCCACCACGGTCATTTCTTCCCTTCTGTCAGACATAATTCCTCAGTTTGGCCTTCCCACCTCTATACAGTCCAATAGTAGACTGGCCTTTATTAGTCAAATCAGCCAAACATTGTTTCAGGCTCTTAGTATTCAGTGAAACCTTTATATCCTTTACAGTCCTCAGTCTTCAGGAAAGGTAGAACAGACTAATGGTCTTTTAAAAGCACACCTCACCAAGCTCAGCCACCAACTAAAAAAGGACTGGACAATACTTTTAGCACTTTCCCTTCTCAGAAGTCAGGCCTGTCCTTGGAATGCTACAAGGTACAGCCCATTTGAGCTCCTGTATAGACGCTCCTTTTTATTAGGCCCCAGTCTCATTCCAGACACCAGACCAACTTGGACTGTGCCCCAAAAAACTTGTCATCCCTACTATCTTCTGTCTAGTCATACTCCTATTCATCGTTCTCAACAACTCATACATGTCCTGCTCTTGTTTACACTGGTGGTTTACACTGTTTCTCCAAGCCATCACAGCTGATATCTACTGTTACTATCCCCAAACCACCACTCTTAACTCTTAAATACATAATCTTTGCTGGCAAGGCTATGCTGAACCTCATTAGGCACTCTCTAATTAGATGTCCTAGGTCCTCCCAATTCTTAGTCCTTTAATACCTGTTTTTCTCCTTCTCTTATTCTGTTTAGTTTTTCAATTCATACAAAACTGTATCCAAGCCATCACCAATAATTCTAAATGACAAATGTTTCTTCTAACAACCCAACAATATCACCCCTTACCACAAAATCTTCCTTCAGCTTAATCTCTCCCACTCTAGGTTCCCATGCTGCCCCTAATCCCGCTCAAAGCAGCCCTGAGAAACATCGCCCATTACCTCTCCATACCATCCCCAAAAATTTTTGCCGTCCCAACACTTTACCACTATTTCGTTTTATTTTTCTTATTAATATAAGAAGACAGGAACGTCAAGCCTCTGAGACCAAGCTAAGCCATCATATCCCTTGTGACCTGCACGTACACATCCAGATGACCGGTTCCTGCCTTAACTGATGACATTCTACCACAAAATAAATGAAAATGGCCTGTTCCTGCCTTAACTGATGACATTATCTTGTGAAATTCCTTCTCCTGGCTCATCCTGGCTCAAAAGCTCCCCTACTGAGTACCTTGTGACCCCCACTCCTGCCTGCCAGAGAACAACCCCTTTTTCCTTCCCTACCCAAATCCGATAAAGCAGCCCCACCCCATCTCCCTTCGCTGACTCTTTTTGGGCTCAGCCTGCCTGCACCCAGGTGAAATACACAGCTTTATTGCTCACACTAAGCCTGTTTGGTGGTCTCTTCACACGGATGCGCGTGAAAAAGTGTCCTTCTTTTTTTTTTTTTTTGAGATGGAGTTTCACTCTTGTTGCCCAGGCTGGAGTGCAATGGCATGATCTCAGCTCACTGCCACCTCCTCCTCCTGGGTTCAAGCAACTCTCCTGCCTCAGCCTCCCCAGTAGCTGGGATTGCAGGCACGCGCCACCATGCCCGGCTAATTTTGTATTTTTAGTAGAGATTGGGTTTCTCCATGTTGGTCAGGCTGGTCTCAAAGTCCTGACCTCAGATGATCCACCCGCCTCAGCCTACCAAAGTGCTGGGATTACTGGCATGAGCCACTGTGCCCTGATAAAAGTGTCCTCTTATAAGGACATTTGTCATTAGATGTACAGCCTACCTAAAATACTCCAGGATAATCTCATCTCAAGATCCTTAACTTAATTACATCTGCAAAAACGCTTTTTCCAAATAATGCCACCTCCACGGATTCTAGGCACAAGGATCTGGATATATCTTGTGCAAAGCCACCATTCAGCTCACTACACTAGAAAGAGGAAAAACAACGAAGTAACAAAAGGTGCAGAAGAAAGAACAGATGCAGCTTGTGTGGCAGTGGCCATCAAGGCAGGCTGGGGTAAAACTGTATCAACAGAACCCCCGATGGAACTCAAGTGCGGCCGTCTGCTCCCAGCTACTCACAGAGAACCTTTCTGTTTCTGACAGCAGAGTAAGAGAAGAGGTGGGAAGAGAGAGAGCCCATTCTCTGTTGGCCTAATTCCTAACGAATCATGCCTCTGTCTTCGGGCCATTCTCAAGTCTTGTTCAAGGATAAAATGATTTATTGATGGCCGTAATTATAAAGCAATGCCAACAGAAGCAGCGTCAGCATTTTTCATTTGTACTTACACATGAGCGAGAGCAGTTTAGGGAAACGGGTGCCTTCAGGTTCTGTTTTCTCCATCTAGAAAAGGGCTGCCTTCATGGAATGCTGGTCCTGGGGAGAAGCCTCATTTCTGTAGCAGGAATTGACAGTTTTAAATTCCGATTGGTACATGGAGCTACCCGTCCTCATTTCAAGCACTTCTGGTTTGTTCTGGGTTCAGTGGGTGAGCAATGAGGAGAACTCTGGGGAGGAGGATTTGGGGTGAGCGTGGTTTTGATACCCAGAGAGAGCTGTTTTTCCATCAATGTCTTGAATGTGATTCAGAATGGGCTTCTCCGCTCAAGATGGGAGTACTCGGCTGATTTAAGGCGGGTGATTGATTTGTTTTGGTGGCTCTTTTTATACTAGCTGGTTAACGAGCTATTTTCTTCATTAGTTTCAGGCATGTGAGCTTAATGAAGCATTGGACCTCCCAAATTACAAGGAAAATAAAGATTTAGCTTATATGGTAGGTTCGAAGGAGTTAGTGAACAAACACAGTAGGGCCACAAATTATTGTTAAAGACATGAATGCATGAAAGTGTATCTATGTCCAAATGGACTCTCTGCAACCATACTGTTCCACCTGAAAATTAGTAGATAGAAATTCAGCAAATGCTTGGACAGGGGATACTCTCAGAAGTATTCTGACTAAATAGCATGGTTTCTTTTCATATTACTAAAGTAATTTCTTCCCAAATTGACTCTGGACTAAATCTTATGATACCTACTTGTTCTGATTATACTTAGTCACCTGCAAATAAGGTGGGGGCAGTGGTAAGAGGAGCTGTTGAATGAAATTAAACATTTGTTGGATGCCTACTGAGGATAAAGCCCTGTGCTTTGTGCCAGGAAGATTCCAGAATAAATGAGGCACAGCCCTACTCTCAGGAAGCTTTTGCAAACTAATGGAGAAAACACATTTGCAGGCAATGACTTATGGTATAAGAGGAAATGGGGCCAGGTACGGTGACTCACACCTGTAATCCCAGCACTTTGGGAGGCCAAGGTAGGTGGATCATTTGAGGTCAGCAGTTCAAGACCAACCTGGCCAACATGGCGAAACCCTGTTTCTACTAAAAATACAAAAAAAAAAAAAAATGAGCCAGGCTTGATGGTGTGTACCCACAATCCCAGCTACTTGGGAGGCTGAGGCAAAAGAATCACTTAAACCTGGGAGGTGGAGACTGTAGTGAGCCGAGATCCCACCACTGCACTTCAGCCTAGGAGAGAGAGTGAGACTCTGTCAAAAAAAAAAAAAAAAAAAAGGAAATAAGATTGGTGTTGAATGGGAAATCTAAGCAGGATGGAATGGCAGGAGAGCGCCCACTTGCCCAGCTCCAATAACACTTTTGACAGCCATGACAATATTGCAGGGACGCCCATTCCTCATGGTATCTGAAGCCCCATGAAGGCTTGTGTCTGGAGGCTGCTTCAGTCTTGACTTTAAGATCAGGGGATACAAGGAATGATTTTCATCCATCCCAAGCCAATAGTCCAGCCAAAAATCCAGCTCTGAGATGATGAGAAACAGCAAGTCATGAACCATGTCAGCCACTTCATCATCATCATCATCATCATCATCATCATCAAAAACAAAAAACAGACCTGTAACCGTCTTGTGTGCCTGGCTCTTGTCTTAATTCAAAATATAGAAGTAAATTCTATGGCCAGTGAACAATGACCAAAATAGCTCTCATCACACTTGTCTGTCACCATGTAAGATGTGCCTTTTGCCTTCCACCATGATTTTGAGGCTTCTTCAGCCACATGGAACTGTGAGCCCATTAAACCTCTTTTTCTTTATAAATTACCCAGTCTTGAGTAATAAAAGAGTGGTTTGTCCACAACATCAATGAACAATGCTATCACCTGTTCCAAACACGTATCATTTAAGAGGTTTGGAAAAACAACAACCTAAAATAAATAAGCACTAACCAAACTCATGGCTACATAATCCCTGTGGTGAGGTAACTGACAATGGATACAACTGGGACAGTTTAATATTAAATCACCTCTATCTACATGTGCCCAAGCAGTGAGATACTTGGTTTTAATCCTAAAAAATCACAGTGCACATTTACTCCTGCCTTCCAACTGGGCTCTAACGTCACCTCCTCAGAGAAGCCCTCTTTTCTGTGCTTCCATTCTGCTTTTTTTCAGTATTTAGTAGAGCATCAGTCACCACCCATATCTGGGAACAATGATTGTAAGTAACAGAAACCCATTTGCATGAGCTGGAGGGAAAGGAGCACACCTTATCTCTAACAGGCAAACTCATGGGCACAAGAAACAAATGAGAGGCCATGAGAGAATGGAAACTGCAGTTACAGAAACCAAAATGCCTCTTTCTGGCTCTCAGAAGCCCATGGTCTCTTTTTTTTTTTTTTTTTTTTTTTTGAGACACAGTCTTGCTCTGTCGCCCAGGCTGGAGTGCAGTCGTGCTATCTCAGCTCACTGCAAGCTCCACCTCCCAGGGTTCACGCCATTCTCCCGCCTCAGCCTACCAATTAGCTGGGACTAGAGGCACCAGCCACCACACCTGGCTAATTTTTTGTATTTTTAGTAGAGATGGGGTTTCACCGTGTGAGCCAGGATGGTCTCGGTCTCCTGACCTCCTGATCCACCCGTCTTGGCCTCCCAAAGTGCTGGGATTACAGGCATGAGCCACCGCTCCCGGCAGCCCTTGGTCTTTCTTATCAGCCCTGTGGACTTTCTTATCTCTGCTTCTCTCACTCACAACCAATTTTCCCTTTTTGCTGGTGGCCCATCATGGCAGCCAGCAGAACCCACCACCAGCTGATCAGTCTGTTACTGGATATCTTGGAGAGGGAGGGAGGGAGAGAGGGAGAGGGAGAGAGAGAGAGAGACAGAGAGAGAATGATAATTGGGCTTCTGGCCAACCAATTGAGTATAGGGAGGGGAAGCACCATAGTACAAATATGGCGCCAAGACCTGCTTTCTAGCATGGCCAATGAGTAGGGAAATTGAGGGAAGGTAACTGCAAACACAGCAGACATCTCAGAACATGCTCTCTCTTCTTAGTTCTCTCTCCTGCCTTCTCCTAGATTGTAAATATCACAAGACAATCTAGAATAGTACCTGGCTCAAAATATTTGAGAAAGAGAAAAAGGAAGGGATTCGATCAAACTCTGGACTTCATGGTTTCCTGAATTCACTCTGGAAGTTTTTGGGTTGTTTTTTGAGACGGAATCTCACTCTGCTGCCCAGACTGGAGTGCAATGGCATAATCTTGGCTCACTGCAACCTCCACCTCCCAGGTTCAAGCAAATCCCCTGCCTCAGCCTCCTGAGCAGCTGGGATTACAGGCACGCACTGCTACATCAGTTAATTTTTGTATTTTTAGTAGAGATGGGGTTTCACCATGTTGGCCAGGCTGGTCTCGAACTCTTGACCTCGTGATCCACCCACCTTGGCCTCCCAAAGTGCTGGGATTACAGGTGTGAGCCACCACACCTGGCTGACTCTGCAAGTATTTAAGTGAATGAACGTCAGTCCCTGAGAATCAGAAGAAAGGCATTAAATCTCCGTTAGGTTTAATCATGGTCAACAGCTGTGGGGTGTCCTGGGTTTGGGATCAGTGGGATGAGGAACAAGCAGGTTCTCCAAACCACCACTCAGGGAGGGGAGGTGTTAACTAGGCCAAAGATGACAGGTGGGTACGTGCCTGGGTTTCAAACAGCTTATGCCAGGCCTAAAAACTGACGCTGAGGCAGAAACTGTATTAAGCAAATTTATGACACAATGGAGGGGGTCAAAAAGTTTAATATTGATCAGAAGAATACAAATATTAATCATGCAATATGTTATGGCTATCACGCCATCTCCTGCTACATGCCAGGTTTCCTTTACCATGAGATAGAAGAGATTTGTGGATCTGACCTAACCCTCCAAATTGTAAGGTCCCTGAGAGTGGACTCATGACATTCATGTTTTATAAATGTGGCATAAAGGCTCACGCTGGCTGCCATGTGGCCCAATGCCAGTTTGATGCTGCATTCAAAGAACCATCATTCCAGCATCCAAGCATACTTAAAGGCAATTGAAATGTTTACCGACGTCCCTCAAGACAAACACCAAAGAAAAATTATTTTCAAAAGGCATAGCAACACTTCTTAAAATCTTATTTTCCCGCTTCTTTCTGTCTCTCTACCACATTCCCAAGAGTTTCCCAGGAGTAAAACTATCATAAAGACCCAGGAGCAAAATGATTAATGACTTCACTATATCTGATTCTGATTTAGTTGGTTTAGAGTGGTGTCCGGGCATACGTATTTTTTAAAATCTTGCTGGGCACAGTGGCACACACCTGTAGTCTCAGCTACTCAGGAGGCTGAGGCAGAAGAATCACTTGAGCCCAGGAGTTTGAGTCCAGCCTGGGCAACATAGCAAGACCCTGTCTCTGAAAAAAAAAAAAAAAAAAGCGAAAACAAATCTCTCTCAGCTGCAGTCAGGGTTGATAATTAGTTGATCTAATAATTGTGGTAGCCATCCTTCACAATAGACCTTAATATTCCCACCTCCTGGTGTTATTCATTGTGGAATCTCTCTTAGCTAGTCCTCAATTGGGTCTGGTATCCTGGCCGCACCTTGAGAGTCTAGTCCCACCTCCTACCCCACACATGGTTTTACACTAACTTTCAAGACTGGCCTAAAAATGTAAAATGTACTTGTTTTGACCTTGTTTCCAATAAAACAACTATTCTAAACATTCATTTAGGATGGTTAGGGAAATTTGAACGCCGGCTAAATATTAGAAGATATTTGCTTCAAAATAACCCAGCTTGGTAATGAGATGATGGCGGCTGAGGCTGGTGATAGGCACAGAGGGCTTCATTATCAAATAGAAACAAGTGGAAAAAACAGAATTTTTCCATAATAAAAATGTAAGGTAAACACGAAAATGTATTGAGTGCATAAAAAGAATCTATGGTCTCACAGGCATTAGCTTATAATTTGAACATCAAAAATAAAAGTGACGGCCAGGTTCAGTGGCTGGTGCCTGTAATCCCAGCACTTTGGGAGACCGACTTGGGTGGATCACTTGAGCCCAGGAGTTTGAGACCAGCCTGAGCAACATAGTGAGACCCCCATCTCTAAAATAAATAAATATAAATAAAAGTGACTAGAATTGATTATAGAACATCAACTCAATTTGAGTCTATAAAGATTCCTGGTGGAGGGGGGCAATGGGGAGAAGGAGAAAGAGAATATATTTGTGACCTAGATTATTTTCCTTAGTTTTGAGAGAATCTTCGGGTCTCCTGGGTCTTCTAGCCCAGTATTTATTTTTATTTTTTATTTATTTATTTATTTTTTATTTTTTATTTTTTTAGATGGAGTCTCACTCTGCCACCAGACTGGAGTGCAGTGGTGCGATCTCGGGCCACTGCAACTTCCGTCTCCCAGGATCAATCTATTCTCCTGTCTCGGCCCCCCAAGTGGCTGGGACTACAGGTACTTGGCACTTCACCCAGATAATTTTTTTTTTTTTTGAGACCGAGTCTGGCTCTGTTGCCCAGGCTGCGGTGCAGTGGTGCAATCTCGGCTCACTGCAAGCTCCACCTCCCAGGTTCATGCCATTCTCCTCCCTCAGCCTCCCGAGTAGTTGGGACTACAGGCACTGTCACCACGCCCGGTTAATTTTTTTGTATTTTTAGTAGAGGCAGGGTTTCATCGTGTTAGCCAGGATGGTCTCGATCTCCTAACCTCATGATCTGCCCGCCTCGGCCTACCAAAGGAGGCATTACTGTAATCAAGGATTACAGGCATGAGCCACTGTGCCCGGCCGCACCCAGCTAATTTTTGTATTTTTTGTAGAGATGGTGTTTCACCATGTTGATCAAGGCTGATCTCGAACTCCTGATCTCAGGTGATCCGCCCGCCTTGGCATCCCAAAATACAAGGATTACAGGCATGAGCCACCACACCCTGCCTATTTTCCTTAGTTTTCAGAGAACCTTTGTGTCCCCTGGGTGTTCTAGCCCAGTATATCTCAAACTTTGCTGCACTGAGGACCTTGTTGAAATGCAGGTTCTCATCTGCGAGGCTCAGTGGGCCAGCAAATCGGCATTGGTTTAGGAAGCTCACCCTGAGTATCAAGCTTCAGTGAGGACCAGGCAGGCCCCTGCCTGCCAACCCAGCTGGGCTTAACTCTGGCTCTCTCCTGCCAGGGTTCCTCCCCTCAAAATAGGAGCTATTTTCAAAAAGTCTCTTGGAAAAAAAGCCCTGTTTTAAAATTGGGGCGTTCAGGATTGGCCATCTGCTCACCATGGGGTTTTAAGACCTTTGCCCAGACCCCTGCAACCAACTTAGAACTGACATCTTTACTCTTGAAGGCCCCACTCCACACCATATTAAATTCATTAAAATCCACCCCCATTACAGGCATATCTCAGGCATCACGCCCTCAGAACGGAGTTGCAGCTGACCACTTGACAGTGTTGTAAAGCATTAAACATGCATTCATTTCAGCCTTGCAGTTTGCACATTTAGGAGCCAATTGTCTTAGGTCTAAAGCATTCATGTCAAAGCATTGTTATGGGCCCCAGACACTATGCTTCCCAGCCTTCATGGCCTCTGCAATGCTGGTTCCTACTGCCCCACCCCTGGGTTCTGGCCGGCTAGCTCATGCCACCTCACTGCTCCCCCATTCAAGTGTGCCTTCGATGTGTGGTTTCCAAACTCATCTACACTTTAAGGTCACATGCGATTTTTTTTTAAATCTTCCAAAACCCAGGCCACACCCAAGAACAATTGAACCCTAACCTCTGGAATGGGACAGAGCATCTGTTTTTTGTTTTGTTTTGTTTTTGAGACAGGGCCTCACTCTGTTACCCAGGCTGGAGTGCAGTGGCACAATCATAGCTCACTACAGCCTCCAACTCCTGGACTCAAGAAACCCTCCCACTTCAACCTCCACGGTAGCTGGGATCACAGGCGGGCACCACCACGCCTGGCTAATTTTTAAATTTTTTACAGAGGCAGTATGTCCCTATGTTCTCCAGGCTTGTCTCAAACTCCTGGGCTCAAGCAATACTCCCGCCTCAGCCTCCCAAACTGCTGGGATTATAGGCATGAGCCACCATGCCTGGACATCAGCATCTGTATTTTTTGAAGCACAGATGAGTTTGGGAACTACCGCCCTAGACTGAGCTCGGTTTCCTAGCCCTGTCTGACCGTAGGATTCGGCTGGGCTGCTTCTGAAAACAGAGCTCCCCAGGCTCCTTCCCAGGTAATTCTGATTCATTAGGTCTGGGGTGGGCCCCGGAATGTGCATTTTTTATGAGATCCCTCTGGATGAATCAAGCTAAAGCCAGTATGGGATCTGAGACCTTGGAGATCATTCCCCAACCTCCCTCCTAACCCAGTTCCCAGCTTGACCCACCTCACCCAGGCTGTGTCACGTCTGACTTTGCAGATTACACCTGAGAGGGAAGCCCCAGCCATCACAATGTGAGAACATTTTACAATGACGAGGATATGCCAAACACATTTTAAATCATTCAGGATTAGCGTTCACCTTAAACTTGACAGACTCTGAGAACGGGCTGGCCACGTGCTGTGCACAACCCTTAGTGCTCTTCTGTGACTAATATTTGGATAATTGATAGTTGGAAGCTCAGGAAGCCTCTCTCTCTCAGAGGGGTCGAGGTTAACTTCTTTATTTCTGAGGTAGGGAAGAAAGTGAGGATGTTCTGCCTTTTGCCAGACTGAATACTGTCCTCCAAAAATTCACATTCACCAGGAATCCCAGAATGTGGCCTTATTAGAAAATAGGGGCAGGGCATGGTGGCTCATGCTTGTAGTCTTAACACTTTGGGAGGGTGAGGCAGGAGGATCACTTGATGTCAGGAGTTCAAGACCAGCCTGGCTAGCATGGCAAAACCCTGTCTCTACTAAAAACACAAAAATTAGCTAGACATGGTGGCATGCACCTGTAATCCCAGCTACTTTGGAGGCCGAGGCTGAAGAATCACTTGAACCCAGGAGGCAGAGTTGCAGCGAGCTGAGGTTGTGTCACTGAACTCCAGCCTGGGCAACAGAGCAAGACTCCATCTCAAAAAAAAAAGAAAAGAAAATAGGGTCACTGCAGATCTAATTACAAAGAGGTCATATTGGAATAGCGTGGACCTTAAATCGAATAATAATGGCATCCTCATGGGAAGAGAAGAAGAGACAGAGACATACAGGAGAGAAGGCCACATGAGAATGAAGGAAGAAAATAGAATGATGTGGCCACAAGCCAAGGATTGCCAGCAACTACCAGAAGCCAGAAGAGGCAAGGAAGTATTCATCCCTAGAAACTTCAGAGGGAGCACGGCCCTGCCCGTTTCAGACATCAAGCTTCTGGAACGGGAGAGAATGACTTTCTGTTGTCTTGAGCCACCCATTTGGGGAACTTTGTTAGAACAGTCACAGCCAGGTCATGTGCTCCTGGATGCATCTCAGGCATTAATAAGCACTGTCTTGGTCAGTCAGGGTGGCTCACCCCTGTAATCCCAGCACTTTGGGAGGCTGATATGGGTAGATCACCTGAGGTCAGGAGTTAGAGACCAGCCTGACCAACATGGAGAAACCCCATCTCTACTAAAAATACAAAAATTAGATGGGCGTGGTGTTGTGCACCTGTAATCCCAGCTACCTGGGAGGCTGAGGCAAGAGAATCACTTGGACACTGGAGGCAGAAGTTGCAGTGAGCCGAGATTGCACCATTGTACTCCAGCCTGGGCAACAAGAGCAAAACTCCGTCTCAAAAAAAAATAATAAGTACTGTCTTGACTGTGGTAATCAAAAATATTTGATTAAGGGTTAGCTAGAAAGCCTGACCCTTTCACAGATGGACGGAAGGGCCAAAAGAAAATAGATTGTTTGCAGTGGGGCAAGAAGGATAAGAATCCTATGGAAAGAAAAACAGAGGGATTTGTTTAGTGAGCGCTGGGGAGAGACATTTGTTTTCTTGCTTAAAAAAGAAACACAGGTGGGGTGCGGTGGCTCAAGCCTTAATCCCAGCACTCTGGGAGGCCAAGGTGGGTGAATCACCTAAGGTCAGGGGTTCGAGACCAGCCTGGCCGACACTGTGAAACCACATCTCTACTAAAAAGACAAAAACAAAAGAAAGAAAGAAATTAGCCAGGCATGGTGGCGAGTGTCTGTAATCCCAGCTACTCCGGTGGCTGAGGCAGAGAACCACTTGAACCTGGGAGGCAGAGGTTGCAGTAAGCCAAGATGGCATCGTGGCACTCCAGCCTAGGAAACAAGAGTGAAACTCTGTCTCAAACAAAAAAAAAGAAAGAAAGAAAAAAATAAAACATAGTTTTAAGTCCACTCAGTGGAGTTTAAAAATACATTCCCATTGCACAGTGCTTTAGGAAACCTTTCTAAACTTCTGTTGCACATGATCTAATTTGATCTTCATAGCAACTCCTTGAGGTGGATAGGGCAGGCCTTTCTGAACACCTATTTTCTAGTTTGCATTAAAAGAACGGAATTGGCTGGGACCAGTGGCTCATGCCTATAATCCCAGCACTTTGTGATACAGAAGGGAAGTGCTCGGAAGGGAAGAATGTGGTCCTTTTAAATGATATGGAAGTGAGGAAGGGAAGTACTGGGTAGAGGAGGGTGTGGTCCCTGGCTAGGGCTCCACCCCAGGGCCTGTGCCCACGGACCTAGGTGAGGACAGGCATTTTTGTTTTCCTGCCCAAATGTTGCATTTCCCAAGACCACCCTGGCTGCCACACTCCCATTCTGTGCCTATAAAAACCCTGAGACCCTAGCAGGCAGACACACAGGCAGCTGGACTTCGAGAGGAGCACATCAGCGGAGGAACACAAGGGCGCTGGACATCAAGAGGAAGGCACCAATGGGCACCGGCACACCGCAGGCCACTGACTGGCAGAACAACGCACAGTTTGGCTGGGACATTCGGAGAAGAGTCAGGCCACTCGCCCGACTCCAGGGGTAAACCACCTCCCTTCTGGCTCCCCCATCTGCTGAGAGATACTTCCACTCAATAAAACCTTGCACTCTCATGCCTGTAATCCCAGCACTTTGGGAGGCCGAGGTGGGCAGATCACGAGGTCAGGAGATCCAAACCATCCTGGCTAACACAGTGAAACCTCATCTCTACTAAAAATACAAAAAAATTAGCCGGGCTTGGTGGTGGGCACCTGTAGTCCCAGCTACTCGGGAGGCTGAGGCAGGAGAATGGCATGAACCCTGGAGGTGGAGCTTGCAGTGAGCTGAGATCGCACCACTTCCGGTACACCATGGCAAGAACCCCAGGACAAAGAGAGTCCTCTGTCCTTGCAATAAGGCGGAGCTCTAATTGAGCCGACTAACACAAGCTACCTACAGATGGCTAAACTAAAAGAGCACTCTGTAACACACGCCCACTGGTGCTTCAACTATAAACATTCACCCCTGGACACTGCCATGGGGCTCGCTGCCTGTCTGCGTGCTCCCCTAGAGGTTTGAGCAATGGGGCACTGAAGACCCCATCTCTACAAAAAAAAAAGTAAACAAAAAAAAAAAACCATTAAAAATTAGCCAGCTGTGGTGGCACACACCTGTAGTCTCAGCTACTCAGGAGGCTGATGTGGAAGGATTGCTTGAGCCCAGGAGGTTGAGGCTGCAGTGAGCCAAGATTGAACCACTGCACTCCAGCCTGGGCGACAGAATGACACCCTGTTTCGACAACAACAAAAAGAATGGAACAAAATCACTTCTCAAATAGCTAGCAGAGGCAGATCTGGTTCTCAAATGCAGGTTTTCCAGGTTTCAATTCTTGTTTCTAGCAGTATTATGGAGAAACACGATCACTAATACATAAAGGAGAGGAGGATTCAAGTTCTGATGAAAAGATGGTAAAGAGAGGAGTTAGTTGACTAGGAGTGACTAGGAATGGGAAGAAAACGCATGACACTACTTACGGGAAAGAAGAAAAATAAGCATAGAGGTGACTGAGCGGACAGAAAGGACTTGGAAGAAGCGTGTTTGTCCCCGTCTCTGCATTTTTTCCCTTGCTTTAGTAACTTCCCTGATGACTTGGATGAATCTTCTCTTCCAGGGCACCTAGTGTTCCCTTTCTGTCCACTTCTCCCTTCCCAGGGCCCATACAGTCTGGGAAAGCATGCTCTGCAGGCTTCTCATATCTTTCCTTCCTTAATCAGCCCCTAGCGTCTCTACATAACCCATATACACCTGGAGTTCCACATGTCCCAGTCTTTGCACTGCAATGAATTCAAAGAAAGGTAGACTCTAGCTGGGTGCAGGGGCTCACAGCTGTAATCCCAGCACTTTGGGATGCTGAGGCAGGTGGATCACTTGAGCCCAGGAGTTCAAGACCAGGCCTGGCCAACATGGTGAAACCCCATCTCTACTAAAAATACAAAAATTAGCTGGGCTTGGTGGTACATGCCCAGTAGTCCCAGCTTCTGGGGAGGCTGAGGCAGAAGAATTGCTTGAACCCAGGAGTCAGAGGTTGCAGTGAGCTGAGATCGTGCCACCGCACTCCAGCAGCCTGGGCAACAGAGCAAGGCCCAGTCTCAAAAAAACACAAAGACAAAACTAAACCAAAAAAAAACCAAAAAAAAAAACAAAAAAGCTCACACACACACACACACACACACACACACACACACACACACACAAAGGTAGACTCCAATAGGAAAAATTCACTCAAAAGCAATTCAAATAATTATTCAGTCAACCCAGTTCTATCTCAGTTCTTTATTATATATATAAACTTATTCTGTCCAGATTCCCTAGTTTTCTTTTTCTTATCTTTTTTGTTTTCTTTTGAGCCAGGGCCTCACTCTGTCACCAAGGCTGGAGTATAGTGGCACAATCATGGCTCACTGCAGCCTCAACCTCCTGGGCTGAAGTAGTTCTCCCACCTCAGCCTCCCAAGTAACTGGGACTACAGGTGCATGCCACCATGCTCAGCAACTTTTTGTATTTTTTGTAGAAACGGGGTCTCACTATGTGGGCCAGGCTGGTCTTGAACTCCTGGACTCAAGAAGTCCACCTGCCTCAGCCTCCCAAAGTGCCAAGATTACAAGCATGAGCCACTGCATCTGGCTGATTCCTTAGTTTTCTTTTTCTCTTTGCCCATTCCCTGGATTCCATAAGCAGAAGGAAAACCCAGGGGCTGACTTTGTAGGCAAGACTCTTTCCTCTTCAAAACATAAATTGGTTCAAGTGGTAACAAAACTGAAACATGTTTATAACCTAACATCTTTTCTTCCTACCCCTTCAATCTCCTGAGCAATGAGAAAAGTTACTGGGTTCTTTATTTGTGTAGGGAAAAGAGAGATCAGACTGTCACTGTGTCTATGTAGAAAGGGAAGACATAAGAGACTCCATTTTGAAAAGGACCTGTACTTTAAATAATTGCTTTGCTTAGATGTTGTTAATTTGTTGCTTTGCCCCAGCCACTTTGCCCCAGCTACTTTGACCCAACCTGGAGCTCACAAAAACATGTGTTGTATGAAATCAAGGTTTAAGGGATCTAGGTCTGTGCAGGACGTGCCTTGTTAACAAAATGTTTACAAGCAGTATACTTGGTAAAAGTCATCACCATTCTCTAGTCTCAACAAACCAGGGGCATAATACACTGTGGAAAGCCGCAGCGACCTCTGCCCTTGAGAGCAAGGTATTGTCCAAGGTTTCTCCCCATGTGATAGTCTGAAATATGGCCTCATGGGATGCGAAAGACCTGACTGTCCCCCAGCCCGATACCCGTAAAGGGTCTGTGCTGAGGTGGATTAGTAAAAGAGGAAAGCCTCTTGCAGTTGAGATGGAGGAAGGCCACTGTCTCCTGCTTGCCCCTGGGAACTGAATGTCTCGGTGTAAAACCCGATTGTACATTTGTTCAACTCTGAGATAGGAGAAAAGCTGCCCTGTGGCAGGAGGCGAGACATGTTTGCAGCAATGCTGCCTTGTTATTCTTTACTCCACTGAGACGTTTGGGTGGAGAGACACATAAATCTGGCCTACGTGCACATCCAGGCATAGTACCTTCCCTTGAACTTAATTATGATATAGATTATTTTGCTCACGTTTTTTGTTGACTTTCTCCTTATTATCACCCTGCTCTCCTACTACATTTCTTTTTGCTGAAATAATGAAAATCATAATCAATAAAAACTGAGGGAACTCAGAGGCCGGTGCCTGTGCAGGTCCTTGGTGTGCTGAGTGCCGGTCCTCTGGGCCCACTGTTGTTTCTCTATACTTTGTGTCTTATTTATTTTCTCCGTCTCTCATCCCACCCGACTTGAAATACCCACAGGTGTGGAGGGGCAGGCCATCCCTTCATCTGGTGCCCAACATGGGGCCCTTCTCTAGGGTGAAGGTACCCTAAGAACGTGAGCATTGAGGACAGCCGACGAGAGATTCCCGAGTACGTCCACAGTCAGCCTTGAGGTAAGCTTGTGCGCTCGGAGGAATCCAGGGTAACAATGGGGCAAACTGAAAGTAAATATGCTTCTTATCTCAGCTTCATTAAAATTCTCTTAAGAAGAGGGGGAGTTAAAGCTTCTACAGAAAATCTAGTTACGCTATTTCAAGCAATAGAACAATTCCGCCCATGGTTTCCAGAACAGGGAATTTTAGATTTAAATGATGGGGAAAAAATTGGCAAAGAACTACAACAAGCAACTAGGGAAGGTAAGATCATCCCACTTACAGCATGGAATGATTGGGCCATTATTAAAGCAATTTTAGAACAATTTCAAATAGAAGAAGATGGCGTTTCAGTCTTTGATGCCCCTGAAAGCTGTGTAATAGATTGTGAAGAAGAGGCAGGAACAGACTTTAAGAAAGGAATGGAAAGTACACATTGTAAAAATGCAGTAGAGCCTGTAATGGTTCGGTCAATGCAAAATGTTGACTATAATCAATTACAGGAGGTAATGTATCCTGAATCATCAAAATTGGGAGAAGGAGTTCCAGAATTATTTGGGCCATCAGAGTTTAGACCAAGATGGCCACCAACCCCTTCTCCCGCGGTTCAGATGCCTGTGATGTCACAATCTCAAATGCCAATCCAGGCACAGTATCCGCAATACCAGCCAGTAGAAAATAAACCCAACCATCGGTAGTTTATCAACACCAGCCGCCAGCCGAATTTCAGTATCGGCCGTCTCCAGAGGTTCAGTATGGATCTCAGGAGGTGCGTCCTGTGCCAAATAGCAAGGCACTATATCAACAACCCACGGCGATGGCGTTTGATCTTACAGTACCACCTAGTGGACAAGATAGTGCACTGCATGAGACCATTGCTACAGCCAGAAAACAGGGAGATCTTGAGGCATGGCAATATCTGGTAATGTTACAACCGATGCCGGCCGGGAAAGGGAGTCAAGCAGGAGCGTCTGTCTGAACTGAGACCAGATATGAATCTTTCACCACAAAAATGTTAAAAGATATGAAGGAAGGAGTTAAACAATATGGACCTAACTCTCCTTATATGAGAACATTATTAGATTCCATTGCTCATGGAAATAGACTTATTCCTTATAATTGGGAAATTTTGGCTAAATCTTCCCTTTCACCCTCTCAGTATCTACAGTTTAAAACCTGGTGGATTGATGGGGTACATGAACAGGTATGAAAAAATCAGGCTACTAATCCTGTTGCTTATATAGATGCAGACCAATTACCAGGAACAGGTCCAAATTGGGGCACTATTAACCAACAATCAGTAATGCAAAATGAGGCTACTGAACAACTAAGGGCTATTTGCCTCAGGGCCTGGGAAAAGATTCAGGACCCAGGAACCTCCTGCTCTGCTTTTAGTTCAATCAGATAAGGCTCTAAAGATCCATATCCAGACTTTGTGGCAAGGTTGCAAGATGCAGCTCAAAAATCCATTGCAGATAATAACGCCCGAAAAGTTACTGTAGAAATAATAGCTTATCAAAATGAAAATCCAGAATGTCAATCGGCCATAAAGCCATTAAGAGGAAAGGTTTCAGCAGGAGTTGATGTAATTACAGAATATGTGAAGGCTTGTGATGGGATTGGAGGAGCTATGCGTAAGGCAATGTTATTGGCTCAAGCAATTACAGGGGTTGCTTTAGGAGGACAAGTTAAAACATTTGGGGAAAAATGTTATAATTGTGGTCAAATCGGACATCTAAAAAAGAATTGCCTAGGCTTAAATAAACAGAGCAAAAAAAAAAAAAAAAAAAGAGCCACCTGGCCTGTGTCCAAGATGTGGAAAAGGAAAATATTGGGCTAAGGAATGTCTTTCTAAATTTGATGAAATTGGACAGCCATTGTCGGGAAATGGGAAGAGGGGCCAGCCCCAGGCCCCGCAACAAAGTGGGGCATTCCCGATTCAGCCATTTGTTCCTCAGGGTTTTCAGGGACAACAACCCCCACAGTAAATACCACCATTTCAGGAAATCAGCCAATTACAACAATACAACAACTATCCCCTGCCACAGCAGGCAGCGCTGCAGTAGATTTATGTTCTGCTCAAATGATTTCTTTACTCCCTGGAGAGCCCCCGCAAAAGATTCCTACAGGGGTATATGGCCCACTGCCAGAAGGGATGGTAGGCCTTATTTTAGGAAGATCTAGTCTAAATTTGAAAGGAGTTCAAATTTATACTGGGGTAATTGACTCAGATTATAAAGGGGAAATTCAGTTAGTGATCAGCTCTACTGTTCCCTGGAGTGCCAATCCAGGTGATAGAATTGCTCAATTACTGCTCTTGCCTTATATTAAAATTGGGGATAACAAAACAGAAAGAACAGGAGGGTTTGGAAGTACCAACCCTGCTGGAAAAGCTGTTTATTGGGCTAGTCAGCTCTCAGAGAATAGACCTGTGTGTACAGTTACTATTCAGGGAAAACAGTTTGAAGGATTAGTGGATACTGGGGCTGATGTTTCTCTCATTGCCTTAAATCAATGACCAAAAAATCAGCCTAAACAAAAGCCTGTTACAGGACTTGTTGGTGTGGGCACTGCCTCAGAAGTGTATCAAAGTGCCAGGATTTTACATCGTCTAGGACCTGATAATCAAGAGAGTACAGTTCAGCCTATGATTACTTCTATTCCAATTAATTTATGGGGCCAAGACTTATTAGAACAGTGGCATGCAGAGATTACCATTCCAGTCTCTCTATACAGCCCCACGAGTCAAAAAATCATGACTAAAATGGGATATCTCCCTGGCAAAGGACTAGGCAAAAATGGAGAAGGCATTAAAGTTCCAATTGAGGCTAAGGGAAATCCAGAAAGAAAAGGACTAAGGTATCCTTCTTAAGGGTGGCCACTGTAGAGCCTCCAAAACCCATTCCATCAACTTGGAAAACAGAAAAGCCTATAAAGGTAAATCAGTGGCCACTACCAAAACAAAAGCTGGAAGCCTTACACTTACTGGCAAAAGAACAATTGGAAAAGGGACATATTGAGCCTTCATTTTCGCCTTGGAATTCTCCTGTGTTTGTAATTCAGAAAAAAACAGGCAGATGACACATGCTAACTGATTTAAGAGCCGCTAATGCAGTAATTCAACCCATGGGGCCTCTCCAACTTGGGCTGCCCTCTCCAGCCATGATCCCCAAATATTGGCCTTTAATTATAACTGATCTGAAGGATTGCTTTTTTACCATTCCTCTGGCAAAACAGGATTTTGAAAAATTTGCTTTTACTATACCAGCCAGAAATAATAAAGAACCAGCCACCAGATTTCATTGGAAAGTGTTGCCTCAGGGAATGCTTAATAGTCCAACTGTGTGTCAGACTTTTGTAGTTCAAGTTCTTCAACCAGTTAGAGACAAGTTTTCAGACTGTTATATCATTCATTATGTTGATGATATTTTGTGTGCTGCAGAAATAAGAGACAAATTAATTGACGGTTACACATTTCTGCAGACAGAGGTTGCAAATGCAGGCCTGACAATAGCATCTGATAAGATTCAGACCTCCACTCGTTTTCATTATTTGGGAATGCAGGTAGAGGAGAGAAAAATTAAACCACAAAAAGTAGAAGTAAGAAAAGACACATTAAGAACATTAAATGACTTTCAAAAATTGCTAGGAGATATTAATTGGATTTGGCCAACTCTAGGCATCCGTACTTATGCCATGTCAACTTTGTTCTCTATCTTGAGAGGGGATCCAGACTTAAATAGTAAAAGAACATTAACTCCAGGGGCAACTAAAGAAATAGAATTAGTTTAAGAAAAAATTCAGTCAGCACAAGTAAATAGATCACTTAGCCCCACTCCAACTTTTAATTTTTGCTACTGCACATTCTCCAACAGGCATTATTGTTCAAAATACAGATCTAGTGGAGTTGTCATTCCTTCCTCACAGTACGGTTAAGACTTTTACATTGTACTTAGATCAAATGGGTACATTAATTGGTCAGGCAAGACTACGAATAGTAAAATTGTGTGGAAATGACCCAGATAAAATCATTGTTCCTTTAAATAAGGAACAGGTTAGAGAAGCCTTTATCAATTCTGGCGCACGGAAGATTAGTATTGCTGATTTTGTGGGAATTATTGACAATCATTACCCAAAAGCAAAAATCTTCCAGTTTTTGAAATTGACTACTTGGATTTTACCTAAAATTACCAGACAAAAACCTCCAGGAAATGCTCTGACGGTGTTTACTGATGGTTCCAGCAATGGAAAAGCAGCTTACACTGGGCCAAAAGAACGAGTCACTGAAACTCAATATCACTCAGCTCAAAGAGCAGAATTGGTTGCTGTCATTTCAGTGTTACAAGATTTTAATCAGCCTATTAACATTGTTTCAGATTCTGCATATGTAGTACAGGCTACAAAGGATGTTGAGACAGCCCTAATCAAATATAGTGTGGATGATCAGTTAAATCAGCTGTTTAAATTGTTACAACAAACTGTTAGAAAAAGAAGTTTCCCATTTTATATTACTCATATTCGAGCACATACTAATGTACCAGGGACTTTAACTAAGGCAAATGAACAAGCTGACTTGCTAGTATCATCTGCCTTCATGGAAGCACAAGAACTTCAGGCCCTGACTCATGTAAATGCAACAGGATTAAAAAACAAATTTGATATCACATGGAAACAAGCAAAAAATATTGTACAACATTGTGCTCAGTGTCAAGTCTTACACCTGCCCACTCAAGAGGCAGGAGTTAATCCTAGAGGTTTATGTCCTGACGCATTATGGCAAATGGACATCACACATGTACCTTCATTTGGAAAACTGTCATTTGTCCATGTGACAGTTGATACTTATTCACATTTCATATGGGCAACCTGCCAGACAGGAGAAAGTACTTCCCATGTTAAAAGACATTTATTATCTTGTTTTGCAGTCATGGGAGTTCCAGAAAAAATTAAAACAGATAATAGGCCAGGATACTGTAGTAAAGCATTTCGAAAATTCTTAAATCAGTGGAAAATTACACATACAACAGGAATCCTTTGTAATTCCCAAGGACGGGCCATAATTGAAAGAACTAATAGAACACTCAAAGCTCAATTGGTTAAACAAAAAAAGGAAAAAGACAGTAAGGAGTATAACACTCCCCAGATGCAACTTAATCTAGCACGATATACTTTAAATGTTTTAAATATATATAGAAATCAGACCACTACTTCTGCAGAATAACATTTTACTGGTAAAAAGAACAGCCCACATGAGGGAAAACTGATTTGGTGGAAAGACAACAAAAACAAAACTTGGGAAATAGGTAAGGTGATGACATGGGGGAGAGGTTTTGCTTGTGTTTCGCCAGGAGAAAATCAGCTTCCTGTTTGGGTACCCACTAGACATGTGAAGTTCTACAATGAACCCATCAGAGATGCAAGGGAAGGCACCTCCGCAGAGACAGAGAACCCGCAATCGAACATCATTGACTCGCAGGGTGAACAAAATGGTGATATCAGAAGAACAGATGAAGTTGCCATCCACCAAGAAAGCGGGGCCGCCGACCTGGGCCCAGCTAAAGAAGCTGACACAGTTAGCTGAAAAAAGCCTGGAAAACACAAGGGTAACACAAACTCCAGAGAATAAGCTGCTTGCAGCTTTAATGATTGTATCAACGGTGGTAAGTCTCCCTATGTCTGCAGGAGCTGCTACAGCTAACTATACTTACTGGGCCTATGTGCCTTTCCCACCCTTAATTCGGGCAGTCACTTGGATAGATAATCCTATTGAAGTATATGTTAATAACAGTGCATGGGTACCAGGACCCACAGATGACCGTGGCCCTGCCCAACCTGAAGAAGAAGGAATGATGATAAACATTTCCATTGGGTATCATTATCCTTCTATTTGCCTGGGAAAAACACCAGGATGCTTAATGCCTACAATCCAAAATTGGTTGGTAGAAGAACCTACTGTCAGTGCCACCAGTAAATTTACTTATCATATGATAAGTGGAATGTCACTTGGGTCACAAATGAATAATTTACAGAATTCTTCCTATCAAAGATCATTAAAATTTAGGCCTAAATGGAAACCATGCCAGAAGGAAATTCCAGAAGAATCAAAAGACCCAGAAGTCTTAGTTTGGGAAGAATGTGTGGCTGATACTGCAGTGGTACTACAAAACAATAAATTCAGAATTATTATAGACTGGGCCCCTCGAGGCCAATTATATTATGACTGTATGGGCCAGACCCACTCATGTTCACAGGCTCCATCTGTCTGGCCCACTAATCTGGCCTACGATGGTGACTTAACTAAAAGGCTAGACCAGGTTTATAGAAGGCTAGAATCACCCTATCCATGGAAATGGGGTGAAAAGGGGATTCCATCACCCCGACCAAAGTTAGTTAGTCCTGTTGTTGGTCCTGAACACCCAGAATTATGAAAGCTCACTGTGGCCTCGTACCACATTAGAATTTGGTCTGGAAATCAAGTTATGGGAACAAGAAATCATAAGCCATATTATACTATTAACCTAAATTCCAATCTGACAATTCCTTTGCAAAGTTGTGTAAAACCCCCTTATATGTTAGTTGTAGGAAACATAGCTATTAAACCAGATTCCCAAACTATAAGCTGTGAAAATTGTAGATTGTTTACTTGCATTGATTCAACTTTTGACTGACAGCATGGTATTCTGTTAGTAAGGGCAAGAGAAGGCGTGTGGATCCCTGTGTCCATGGGTCGACGGTGGGAGGCTTCTCCATCCGTACATATCTTAACAGAAGTAGTAAAAGGAGTTCTAACTAGATCTAAAAGATTCATTTTTACTCTGATTGCAGTGATTATGGGTCTTATTGCAGTCACAGCTACTGCTGCGGCTGCTGGAATTGCTTTACACTCCTCTGTTCAAACTGCAGAATATGTGAATAATTGGCAAAAGAATTCCTCAAAATTGTGGAATTCTCAGACTCAAATAGATCAAAAATTGGCAAATCAAATTAATGATCTTAGACAAACTGTTATTTGGATAAGAGATAGGCTCATGAGCTTGGAATATCTTTTTCAGTTACAGTGTGACTGGAATACGTCAGATTTTTGTATTAGACCTCGAGCCTATAATGAATCTGAACATCACTGGGACATGGTTAGATGCCATCTACAAGGAAGAGAAGATAATCTTACCTTAGATATTTCTAAATTGAAAGAACAAATTTTTGAAACATCAAAAGCCCAGTTAAATCTGGTGCCAGAAACTGAGGCAATGGTAAAAGCTGTTGACAGCCTCACAAATCTTAACCCTATCACTTGGGTTAAAACCATTGGAAATTCCACTATTGCAAATTTTGTATTAATTCTTGTATGTCTGTCCTCTCTATTGTTAGTCTACAGAGGTATATCCAGCAGCTCCGGAGAGACAGCGACCAGCGAGAATGGGCCATGATGACGATGGCGGTTTTGTCAAAAAGAAAAGGGGGAAATGCAGGGAAAAGAAAGAGAGATCAGACTGTCACAGTGTCTATGTAGAAAAGGAAGACATAAGAGTCTCCATTTTGAAAAAGACGTGTACTTTAAACAATTGCTTTGCTTAGATATTGTTAATTTGTAGCCTTGCCCCAGCCACTTTGCTCCAGCCACTTTGACCCAACTTGAAACTCACAAAAACATGTGTTGTATAAAATCAAGGTTTAAGGGATCTAGGGCTGTGCAGGAAGTGCCTTGTTAACAAAATGTTTACAAGCAGTATACTTGGTAAAAGTCATCGCCATTCTCTAGTCTCAACAAACCAAGGGCACAATGTACTGTGGAAAGCCAGAGGGACCTCTGCCCTTGAGAGCAGGGTATTGTCCAAGGTTTCTCCCCATGTGATAGTCTGAAATATGGCCTCATGGGATGAGAAAGACCTGACTGTCCCCCAGCCCGATACCTTAAAGGGTCTGTGCTGAGGTGGATTAGTAAAAGAGGAAAGCCTCTTGCAGTTGAGATGGAGGAAGGCCACTGTCTCCTGCTTGCCCCTGGGAACTGAATGTCTCGCTGTGAAGCCCGATTGTACATTTGTTCAACTCTGAGATAGGAGAAAAGCTGCCCTGTGGCGGGAGGCGAGACATGTTTGCAGCAATGCTGCCATGTTCTTTACTCCACTGAGATGTTTGGGTGGAGAGAAGCATGAATCTGGCCTACATGCACGTCCAGGCATAGTACCTTCCCTTGAACTTAATTATGATATAGATTCTTTTGCTCACATATTTCTTGTTGGTCTTCTCCTTATTATCACCCTGCTCTCCTACTACATTTCTTTTTGCTGAAATAATGAAAATCATAATCAATAAAAACTGAGGGAACTCAGAGGCCGGTGCCAGTGCACGTCCTTTATGTGCTGAGTGTCTGTCCCCTGGAACCACTGTTGTTTCTCTATACTTTGACTCTGTGTCTTATTTCTTTTCTCTGTCACTCATCCCACCCGACTAGAAATACCCACAGGGGTGGAGGGGCAGGCCACCCCTTCAATTTGGTGACACATAGCCTGTGCCCTCAAAGAACACTGACACCCCGGTAACATCCATTCAAAGAGTTTCTCTGTACCTCCCCTCCTTTATCCCCAAGGTCACTGGGTCAGAGCTCACGGAGTCATTCACAACATGATGTTTAACACCGAGACGCTCTGGAATTACTCCTTCAAGACGACTCAGAAGAAGACCCATTGCTGAGACAATCATGTTCTCTCTCTCTCTGGATCACCACCCAGAGACAAGGACTGCCAGAGACCCTGGCTTCCACAGCTGCTGCCTCTCATTCCTGCACCTGTGGGATGAGAGTTCGAAGCTGTGTGACCTTGACCAAGTTACTTACCCTCTCTAAGCATATGTTTCCCTAAATGTGAAATAGGGATGATGGTGATGTGTTTATTTCACAGATTTGATAGAAGGATTAAATGAGAGATGCATCAAAAGCAGTAGGCACAGGGTCAATGCTCAGTGAGCTTTCTCTTTTCTTATCAATAGACAGGTCTCCATGAGGACAGAAACTGGCTTCATCTCGACTGTAGCGTCAGGGTTGGCCACAGTGTCTGCACCCAGCAGGACTTCAGTAAATATCTGTTTATACACTAACCACAGACTTAGGCATAAAAGCCCTTTGGAAAAAAGTTGACCATTTCATGCACCTTCAGACTATGAAGAGCAGTGATGACAACTTTAGCTTGAGAGGCTCTCAGTGCCCATTCATCACCGCTGTGAAAAGGCAGAAACCAGAGCTGTGTGTTTAACTCCCAGGCCCAAAATCTGTTGGCCTTGCTTTATCACTATGAACTTCCAATGCCATCCCTTTAGAATGCGACCTCTCTCTTCTTCCCCAAGGCACTAGCCTTCACCCCAGACCTATCCTTATTAGCTGGTGCCTCCTCTCTGTACTCTGAGCCCATGCTGTGCTCGTCAGATAGCAACATGGGAGAATACAGCAGCCCAGAATGCAGGCTGCAGAGTTAGATCCCCAGAACAGGATCTCAGCCGGTTCCATCCTTCCTTAGCTGGGCGACCGTGGCCATTGACTTGCTCTCTGTGCCTGAGTTGCTCCATCTGTGAAATGATGATTATCATAGTCCCTGCTTCAAAGAGTCACTGGGAGGATTAACAGAAAATGCAGGGAAGGTGCTTGGAAATAAATGCTCAAAAAAAGTCCATGTGGCCAGGCACGGTGTCTCACACCTGTAATCTCAGCACTTTGGGAGACTGAGGCAGGTGGATCTGTTGAGGTCAGGAATTCAAGACCAGCCTTGTCAACATGGCAAAACCCCGACTCTACTAAAAACACAAAAATTAGTCAGGCATGGTGGCAGGCACCTGTAATTCCAGCTACTTGGGAGGCTGAGGCATGAGAATCTCTTGAACCTGGGAGTCAGAGGTTGCAGTGAGCCGAGATGGTGCCACTGCACTCCAGCATGGGCAACAAGAGTGAAACTGTCTCAAAAAAAAAAAAAAAAAAAAGTCCATCATTCTTATTAATGGAGGCCAAATCATCTCAGCGCTTCTTTGGCTGATCAGTACCCTCCAAGCCAGTGTTATCCAATAGACCAGAGGTCCCCATCCCCCAGACCACAGACCAGTAGCGGTCTGTGGCCTGTTAGGAACTGGGCTGCACAGAAGGAGGTGAGCAGTGGACTAGTGAGTGAAGCTTCATCTGTATTTACAGCAGCTCCTCATGGCTAGCGTTACTGCCTGAGCTCTGTCTCCTGTCAGATCAGCAGTGGCATTAGATTCTGATAGGAGCACCAACCCTATTATAAACTGCATGTGGAAGTGATCTAGGTTGTGTGCTCCTTATGAGAATCTAATGCCTGATGATCTGTCACTGTTTCCCACCACCTAGAGATGGAATTATCCAGTTGCAGGAAAACAAGTGCAGGGCTCCCACTGATTCTACATTGTGGTGAGTTGTATAAGGATTTCATTATATATTATAATGTTAATAACAATAGAAATAAAGTACACAATAAATGTAATGCACTTGAATCATCCTGAAATTTCCCCCCACAAATACATGGAAACTGGTCCTTGGTGCTAAAAAAAATTGGGGACCACTGCACTAGACTATTCAGTCACGGTCCAATCAAACATTCTGCAATGGCGGGCTTGCTCTACTCTGCACTGTCCAACATGGGAGCTGCTAGCCACCCACATGGGCTGTTGAGCCCTTGAAATGTGGCTAGTGAGAATGAAGAGCTGAAATTTCAATTTTCTCTTAACTATTTTTTTTTTTTTTTTTTGAGACAGAGTCTCACTCTGTCCTCCAGGCTGGAGTGTAGTGGTGCAATCTCATCTCACTGCAACCTCCATCTCCCGGGTTCAAGCAGTTCTCCTGCCTCAGCCTCCTGAGTAGCCAGGATTACAGGAACGCGCCATCATGCCCGGCTAATTTTTGTATTTTTGTAGAGACGAGATTTCACCATGTTGGCCAGGCTGATCTTGAACGCCTGACCTCAGGTGATCTGCCCAACTTGGCCTCCCAAAATGCTGGGATTACAGGTGTGAGCCAACATGCCCGGCCTTAATTAATTTCTAAATCACAAAATCTAAACAACAAGTGGCTAGGAGCTACCATAGTGTACAAGGCAGCTGTGGAATCACAGGAAATTGTCAATGACCCTGTCCTGCTTCAAGTTGACTTTTCCCCCTCATGGTGAGACTCTAGATTCTTTCCTCTTCTCTCACATTTTTTAGACTTTTAGGATTAGACCATGAAAATAAGTTCTGTCCTTCCAAGAAAATAACGTCCATAACAATTTCTGTATACCAGGATGATTTCAGTGCTTTACATGTATTAATTTACAACTACTTTGAGGCAGGAGCTATGATTATGCCCATTTAACAGATGACAAAACTGAGGCACAAAGCGGTGCTGGAACTTCTCAAAGTCACACAGGTAGCAGGAGGCAGAGCTCGGATTTGAACTCACTATGGGTTCAGCAACTCACAGCTCTCATCTATGACATAATATTACTTCTGTGGTCAAAACGCTTAGATCTGGATTTCACAGGAATCTTGTGCTTGCCTGGCTGCTAGGGAGGTTTTCATCATCTTCCTTATCTCACAGTTCAAAACCCAGGGCCTCCATGCTCTTGCTATGGTGGCCGTTCACTGGCAGGAGGCTTCTGGGAAGGTTCTCCTTTTCTGTCATTTTTCTTATTCGTGGTTTTTTGTCTCATTGGTGTTTATCTGCAGAACTTTGTTTCCTTCTGCTCAATTCATAATCAGAGTGCTTTTCCTCCTGGCTGAATTCATAAGTGTTTGTGCAAAAAGAGGTTGGCGCAGAGCCAGGTGACTGACGACACCCAGCTCATCTGGCAAGTGGATATCAAATTGTTGTATCTCGTTCTGCCATTCACAGCTCCGCCGTGGGGCTGGGTCATCTGCCAGCTCTCCAAGGAGCTGGTGGGAAACCACTGAAATCAGAGCGAACCCACGGCCCGGGTGAGCCCGCCTTGGCACAGCACTCCAGCTGACCCCCAGTGCCTTTTGGGAACAAATCTGCATTGCCAGGCAGGGCTGTGGGAGGGCCGCCTGCCTCCTGTCCATCACAGAGAAAACCTACCCTTGTCCCGCGTCCCTTCTAGGCAGCCTGTGTGGGGATTGCTGCATTCACCTTTAATATGGCTAAAATGTTTTCCTTCAATGACAGTAATGCTGCCAGAACCCATCAAGACACCCAGGAACTGATGTGCCTTGGCAGATGATGCTGGAAAGATGGGATTCCCGGCAGCCTTTGCATCTGTTGCTCACAGCCCACGAGCATCTCCACCGTCCAGCAGGTCAGGGCACGGTCTCTCTCTCTCTCTCTCACGGTCTCTCTCTCACGGTCTGGGCAGAAAGAGAGAAGTCCATCTGGAGCAGACTCGGATTTTAAATGAGTGTCCCCAATAATTTAACATGATTGATGGCTGAGGTATTTCACCAAGTTCAGGAGTCCCAGTTCTCAGAGAGAGGCAGCCAGCCATGACTGTAAGACCTGGGCAAACCGTACAAACCAGACAGCAGGTCTCACCCCTCCCCAGAGAGCTCCAGAGTATCAAAGAGTGAAACAGCAGAGGGATGGTCTGGGTGGGGTCATCATGGCTGGCAAGGGTCTGTGACAGCACCTTGTTAGGCTACCCCCAAGAGGAAATTTGGAGAGAGGGTGGGAGGGCAGCTCTCAGTGCAAGCTAAGTCTCCTGGAAAGTAACTTCCAAACTTTGGAGGATTGTGAGCAAGATGGGACCAGCAACTTCTACCTAAAAGAATGTTAATAGCAAGATAACTCATCCTAATATTGGTCTAAGCTAGGTCTTTATTATGCATCATAAAGTTTCT
The DNA here is from genome assembly GCF_000001405.40 of Homo sapiens. Taxonomy (NCBI): domain Eukaryota; kingdom Metazoa; phylum Chordata; class Mammalia; order Primates; family Hominidae; genus Homo; species Homo sapiens. The sequence goes on from NC_000004.12 coordinate 9,671,886, forward strand.
GAGAATAACAATGTAACCTCCAAAAGGGCTGCGGGCTTTGAGGAATCTCAGGCAACTCGCTTCCTTCTGCTCAGTGACTCCCCTGGAGCACAGCAAAGCAAGGAAACACTTAGAGCCAAGCTTGAGTTCGAATTTCAAATACAGGGAGTCCATCTCTTTCTACCCAATTGTTCCCTAGAATCAGTAACTAAGTCCTTCCCCTTAATGGCACGTACTTCCTACCAAAACACAAGAGCGATGGGCTGTCCATGAGCCTCCCCAAAACATGTGCACCTTGTGACATAAATTCAGTCACCCAAAGAGACCACACAAAATGCAAAACCAAAGTGGAGCCTTTCCTTGAATTATAGGTTCCAAAGAGTTTTGGACCCTCTACAAAACCCAAGAGTTAGGAATTGCCTGTAAGAAGCACCAGCCCTTGTTTTAAAGAGGCAATTTAGGAATAATAGCCATGCTGATGCCACACTACGCTAAGGGAGAATAATGAACCTAATAAAACTAGCGATTTTCTAATTGCTTTTGCTGCTGGAAACACTGATTATTTTCTATATATATATATTATATATTTAATATATATAATATATATAATATATATTTAATATATATAATATATATAATATATATTTAATATATATAATATATATTATATATAATATATATTATATAATAAATACCCATTCTTTTGCATCCAATTAAGTGTTCAGATTATTTCTCAGAAGTATTTGTTGAAAATAGCACTTCTGATAATCAAGTGTCCCAAATAAACAGAGTCAAGTGTGGTGTGGTACATGTGTGAGTGTGTGTGTGTGTGTGTGTGTGTGCACACATGTGTTTTTCTGGAGCTCGTTTTATGGAGATCCCGCATAGCTCCCCAAATTCCTATGAGACCAAATAAGAAAAATCACAGTTTCCTAAGACTACAGCTTGGAATATCTTTGGAAAAGGTGTGTATTGAGAACACAGCATATGGAAACTATTTCACGTTGGCAATATCTGTGATTTAACATTGCAAACATTAGAAATACAACTGGTTCTTCAGTGCTACCTAAGTCCCTCATAATGGCAATATTAGCTTCTTCTAAATAATAAATTAGCCAGTCAAACTGTGTTCTACTGCATGTTAGAAGTTTCATCCTTCTCGTCAATGTCACATTTCAAGGCAAAGTCGATTTATATGTAAGTTAAACAAAGTGCTGTCGCTAAAAGTTGAGAATTATGTCTAGTGCGCATCAGAAATGGAATAAATAAGTATTAGAGGATTTGCAAGTGAAAGCAACCATAGAAATGCTATCATCAGGAAGGAAAATGTATTACCTGCAGAGGTTACAGATAAGACGCTAGAACCCAAAAGAGAAAGAATACCTGTAAATATTTCCATTAAGTTAATCAAGAGTGGCTGGGTATGGTGTCTCATGCCTGTAATCCCAGGACTTTGGGAGGCCAAAGGGGGCAGATCATGAGGTCAGGAGCTCGAGACCAGCCTGGCCAACATGGTGAAACCCTGTCTCTATTAAAAATACAAAAAATTAGCCGAGCGTGGTGGCATGCACCTGTAATCCCAGTTACCTGGGAGGCTGAGGCAGGAGAATTGCTTTACTCCAGAAGGCAGAGGTTGCAGCGAGCAGAGATCACACCATTGCACTCCTGCCTGGGTGACAGATCACGGCTCCATTTTGAAAAAAAAAAAGAAAGAAAAAAGAAAGAAAGAAAGAAAGAAAGAAAGAAAGAAAGAAAGAAAGAAAGAAAGAAAGTTAATCAGGGTGAGAATAGGATGAGTTTTTCACCCACAAAAGGAGATGAGATTCATGCATTCTTTCAACATGCATTCCATCAATAGTGAGCACCTGCTCTGAGCTAGGCCTGTTCTAGGTCCCAGGAAATGGGTAACCAACCAGACATGGCCCCTGATTTGGAGCTCACATTTTAGAGCAGCTAAATGGACAGTAAACAAGTGAGCAAATTAAGATCATCTTAAATTGGGGGAAGTTCTTTAGAGAAGCACTTCCATAAAGCTGAATCGCATCACAGACTATGACTGCCAGGCAGTAGGGAAGGTAATATCTCACCTGCCTGTGGATAGCAGAGCTTCTGAGGCCTTGCAAAGTATTTAGTAGTAAGATTTCTGTCTTAGCTCAAGTTCCCTAAAAGCAGAGCCTGAGGCAGGGATTGAGTGCATGTAATTGATTCAGGAAGAACTCTCAGGAGATAGGAGTAAGGAAAACAGGATATGGCAGGGCAGGAGCTAAGTGAGATGTGGTCTCAGCAGGAGACTGGCTCCAGTCTGATCTCACAGGGAGCGCCAGAGGATGAACTGCACCACTATGTTATCCCAGCCTAAGCTGTTTTGTTCTCCTGTGTCAGCCGGTCCCTGGCCAAGGGCTGCAGACTCTCTGGGGGCCCCAGCAGACTGGAGGAGAAGGAGCATGCTCTGTGGTCTACTCTTTTGTGCACACCCACCCACCTCTTCCCCAGCTGACACTGCTGGAGGAGGAGAGGGAGAGATGTCATCTCCTCCTATGGCAACCTGTGGGACGGCAATGGACCTTTTCCTGTTGGGTGTAATCTGCTGCCATCTCTTGCTGTCTGCAGCCTGATACAGAAGGGTGAAGGTCACCAGGTTCCACTGACAGGGGTCTTTGTCTCAAGTGGCAACCCTAGGACCGTGGGTCCCTTGCAAGATTCAGTCACATTTCAAGACTGTCTGCAACACACCCCATGCCTCTGATGGAAGGAACACAATGCCCCATGCTGCACACATTTCTGCCAGACTGGGGTCCCTGATCTCAATTTTCCTCTGCAGTCCCCAGCTCTGGGGTCTGCAGACACATTTCAGATCACTTCTTAGTATCTCCCAGGAGGCAGAAGCCAGAGGAAATAATCCTTGTCCCAATGCACCTGAGCATGCCACCTCACTACATGCTCTTTCTCCCTCTCCAGGAAAAATCAAGCTTGTTGAATACTTACCAATATGCCCACATGCATTTAGTCCCCATAACCACTTCTTGGGGCAGCATTACCATCCCCAAGTTACAGACAAGGAAACTGAGGAGAGCATTAATATAACATGCATCTAAGTGGTGGACAAAGGATCTAACCAGGCAGTGCGGCACCAGAGCACACATTTTTGTTGTTCAGAGAGATGGGGTCTCTCTCTGTCCCTCAAACTGGAGTGCAGTGGCCTGATCATAGCTCACTGCAGCCTTGAACTCCCGAGCTCCAGCAATCTTCCCACCTCAGGCTCCCGAGTAGCTGGGACTAGAGGCATTCACCACCAACACAGCTAATTTTTAAAAAACATTTTTCTAGAGATAGGGTCTGATCCCAAACTCCTGACTTCAAGCGATCCTCCTGCCTCAGCCTCCCAAAGTGCTGGGATTAAAGTCGTGAGCCCCCGCACCCAGCCCAGAGCACACTATTTTTTTTTTTTTTTTTTTTTTTTTAGATGGAGTCTCACTCTGTCGTCCAGGCTGGAGTACAGTGGCAAAAACTCGTCCCAGAGCCCACTTTTAACCACCATATCATTCTGCCTCTGGGTAGGTTAGTCAAGCTCTGTAGCTGATCAGATGTCTGTAGAGAGAAAGAGACATCAGTCTCCCCTTTTTCCAGACACCCCCAAATTTTACAAGTGATTTTCTCAGATCCCTCAGCATCAGGAATGGGGATGAGCAGGGCAGCCTTTCCCCTTCCCAACAGCCCAGCAGATATCCCAACATTACATCTCACTGGCTCTGACTAGAACATGAGCCCAAAGCTGACCAGTTGCTGTAGCCATGGCATTCAGCATCCTCAGTCCTCTGGCCAGGCCAGAGCTACATCCCACCTCTGGATCCTCGGGTTGAGTCAATACATCTTGAACCAGACGTGGACTGAAGCTCAAGGGGGAGTCAGAGTAATGTGACCCAGTCCACCAGGGAGTGGGTGCTGAGCAGGCAAGCATTCATCACCCACTGCACACACCAGGAAAGGCTTGTGGTGGCTTAGTCCCACCTGGGGGCAAAGAAAAGAGTGCCTGCTCTGTGCCAAAATGTGATGCCCAACACTGTATCTTAAAGCTAGCTGGCTTTGTAATCCCAGCTACTTGGGAGACTGAGGCAGGAGAACCACTTGGATCCAGGAGGCGGAGGTTGCAGTGAGCCAAGATCATGCCATTGCACTCCAGCCTGGGTGACAAGAGAGAAATTCTGTCTCAAAATAAAAAAATAAAAATAAAAAAATAAAAAGCTAGCCTGCTTAATCCTCACAAAGATGCCATCTACTTTTTGGCATTCTACAGGTAGAAACACTGAGACGCTGAGGCACTGGGAGATTTTAAAACTCACCACCAGCCGGGCAAGGTGTCTCATGCCTGTAATCCCAGCACTTTGAGAGGCTGAGGCAGGAGAATTACTTGAACCCAGGAGTTCATGACCAGCCTGGGCAAATTAGTGAGACCTCATCTCTATAAATATTAAAAAAAAAAAAATCAGGGCTAGGCGCGGTGGCTCACACAGGTAATCCCAGCAATTTGGGAGGCCAAGGCAAGTGGATCACTTCAGCACAGGGATTCAAAACCATCCTGGCCAACACGACAAAATTCTATCTCAACTAAAAATACAAAACTTAGCTGGGCATAGTGGCACATGTCTATAATCCCATCTACTTGGGAGGCTGAGGCACGAGAACTGCTTTAACCCAGGAGTCAGAGGTTGCAGTGAGCTGAGATTGCACCACTGCACTCCAACCTAGGTGACAGAGTGAGACTGTGTCTCAAAAAAAAAAAAAAATAGGTATGGTGGCACATGCCTGTGGCCCCAGCTACTCAAGAGCCTGAGGTGGCAGAATCACTTAAGCCCAGAAGTTCAAGGGTGCAATGAGCTATGATTGTACTACTGCACCACTATATATACATATATATGTATATATAGACACACATATATACATGTATATGTATATATGTATATAGACACACATATATACATGTACATGTATATATGTATATGTATATATGTATGTGTGTATATATACATGTATACGTGTATATATGTGTGTGTATATATATATGTATATATATAAAAAACACACATGCACAAATTCACCACCACCAACTCAGAAATTACCCTCTCCCTCTATTCTAAGGAATTATTTTTCATCTTGCCATCTCTGAAGTTGGAATACACCTTACAATCACTGGAATGTCACGGTCTCCTTGGCAGCATTTTTCTGCTTAGTAGCCCATAACATAATAGCACATCTTGTAACTAACAATGTTGTAGATGCTATGAGATCCTCGGGAAGCCCAGAATCTAACTCCACCCTGTCTGACTCCAAAGATCACATATTTCCTATGCCTTTGGACTGGGGCACAGATGTAGACAACTCGAGCTTTGCTGATTGTGAGAAAGGTATGAGAAATAGCCCTGATGGAATTTTCTTCTTGTACTTGCAGGGGAACAAAGCGGCATCATTCCATTATTCCAGGGGAGGTGCTAAATACAAGGGTGAGGCTGTCAAGCGGTCCCTGGTGGAGTCCTACATTCACCCAAACAGCAACGAGACAGAGCGGAGGGGAACATCGATACTGTCATGAACTGGTTCACCTAGGAAGACTTTGACTTTGTGACTCTGTGCTACAGAGAGCCAGATAACGTGGGACATCGATTTGGGCCAGAGGCAGAGAACAGGAAGTTGATGATTCAGCAAATCGACAGGACCATCGGGTATCTGGTGGGAGCCACTGAGAAGCACAGCCTGCAGAGCACCTCAGCATCATCATCACATGAGACCATGGGATGACCACCGTGAAGAAGAGACCCAATGTCAACAAGATCCCTTGTCCAACTACATCAAGTTCAGGAACTTGGTCAAGTTTGATATTGTGGGCTACGGTGGCTTTGGGATGCCCCTACCCAAATTGGGGCAAGAGGAAACCCTTTACCAGGCACTGAAGAATGCATACCCTCACCTCCACATCTTCAAGAAGGAGGAGTTTCCAGAGCATTTCCATCTTGCTAAACATGACCAGGTTCTGCCAATCGTGATGTATGCCAACTCTGGTTACAGTATCAATGGGGTAAGTTCATTCTAAAATGAATAAAGTCACCTTGGATCTAGGAGACAACCATTAGAGAAGGGTGGTTCTGCAAAAATCAAACATAAGTGCACAGCCGGGCAGGGTGGCTCAAGCCTATAATCGCAGCACTTCAGGAGGCTGAGGCAGGTGTATCACCTGAGGTCAGGAGTTTGAGACCAGCCTGGCCAACATGGTGAAACCCCATCTCTACTAAAAATACAAAAATTAGCCGGGCATGGTGGCGCACATCTGTAGTTCCAGCTACTCTGGAGGCTGAGGCAGGAGAATCGCTTGAACCTGGGAGGCAGAGGTTGCAGTGAGCCAAGATCATGCTACTGCACTCCAGCCTGGGCAATAGAGTGAGACCCTGTCTCAAAAAAATATAATATAATATAACATAATAAAACAAAACAAAACAAAATAAAATAAAATAAGTGCACACACTACGAGTTGTAGCCCACAGGGTCCTAAATGTTCCCCACCCCCCGCCCAACCAATGCTGCCCCAAATTACCATTATACAAGATTAATGACCAATTCAACTTGACAAGGCTGATTTAAAAATAAAAATAAGGCTGGCCATGGTGGTTCACACCTGTAATCTCAGTGTTTTGGGAGGCCAAGACAGGAGGGTTGCTTAAGGCCAGGAGTTCAAGACCAGCCCGGGCAACATAGGGAGACCCATCTCTACAAAAAACAAACAAATAAATAAATAGCCAGACATGGCGATGCATGCCTGTAGTCCCAGCTACTCAGGAGGCTGAGGTGGCAGGATTTCTTGAGCCCAGGAGGTCAAGGCTGCACTAAGCTGTGATTGCACCACTGCACTCCAGCTTGAGCAATAGAGCAAGACCCCGCCTCTAAAAAATAAATAAACAAATAATAAAAAATAAACACCAACTTCATTATTCAAAACTGTGCATAGCTCTTCACTAAACATTGAATAGCAGTTCTTTCATTTTTGTCTTCCCAACAGCCCTATAAAATAGATGATCTTAGTTCCACCATTTTAAAGAAGAAATCAAAACCTAGAGAGAAGCGACTTGAGATTAAAAATTTAAGGTTGGGCTGGGTGCAGTGGCTCACACATGTAATCCCAGCACTTTAGAAGGCTAAGGTAGGTAGACTGCTTGAGCCCAGGAGTTTGAGACCAGTCTAGGCAACACAGTGAAACATCACCTCTACAAAAAATGCAAAAAAAGTAGCTGGGTGTAGTGGCACGTGCCTGTGGTCCCAGCAACTCAGGAGGCTGAGGTGGGAGAACTGCTTGAGCCCGGGGGTGTTGAGTCTGCAGTGAGCCATGATCACGCCACTGTGAGATAGGAGGCAGGACTTGACTCCACAGGCAGGGCTTGGACACCAGACCAAATTGAGGACTAGCTAAAACAGGGCTGGGGCAGAAGCAGCTTTCCATCAGACATGCCCACCAGTGTGCCATGTGAGTTTACTATTGCCAAGGCAACACCCAGGAGTTACTGCCCCTTTCCATGGCAATGACCCAATGACTCAAAAGTTACTACCCATTTTCTAGAAATTCCTGCATAAACTGCCCTTTAATCTGCATGCAATTAAAAGTGGGTATAAATGTGATTGCAAACTCTCTGCCGCTGTTCTCTGCCTCCAGGGTAGCCCTGCCCTACAGGAGCAGTCACAGGGCTGTAATGCTGCCTCTTCAATAAAGCTGTCTTCTTCTATACCTCTGGCTTGCCCTTGAATTCTTTCCTGGGTAAAGACAAGAACCCTCACGTACTTTTGAGAGGTGACAGCATGCTGGCAGCCCTCAAGCTCACTCTCGGCGCCTCCTCTGCTTTGGCTCCCACTTTGGCGGCACTTGAGGAGCCCTTCAGCCCGCCGCTGCACTGTGGGAGCCCCTTCCTGGGCTGGCCGAGGCTGGAGCCGGCTCCCTCAGCTTGTGGGGAGGTGCAGAGGGAGAGGCGCGGGCAGGAACCGGGGCTGGGCACGGCGCTTGTGGGTCAGCGCGAGTTCTGGGTAGGCATGGGCTCACTGGGCCCCGCACTCGGAGTGGCCCGTTGGCCCTGCTGGACCCTGGCAGTGAGGGGCTTAGCACCTGGGCCAGCAGCTGCTTTGCTCAGTTTCTCGCCGGGCTTTAGCTGCTTCCCTGTAGGCAGGGCTCGGGACATGCAGCCCGCCATGCCTGAGGCTCCCCCCAACCCGCCATGTGCTCCTGCGTGGCCTGAGCCTCCCCGATGAGTGCCGAGCCTCCCCCATGAGCACCGCCCCCTGCTCCAGGGCACCCAGTCCCATTGACCACCCAAGGGCTGAGGAGTGCCAGTGCAGGGCACAGGACTGGCAGGCAGCTCCACCTGCGGCCCCCATGTGGGATCCACTTGGTGAGGCCAGCTGGGCTCCTGAGTCTGTTGGGGACTTTGAGAACCTTTATGTCTAGCTAAGGGATTGTAAATACACCAATCGGCACACTGTATCTAGCTCATGGTTTGTAAACACACCAATCAGCACCCTGTGTCTAGCTCAGGGTTTGTGAACGCACCAGTCGACACTCTGTATCTAGCTAATCTAGTAGGGACTTGGAGAACTTTTGTGTCTAGCTCAGGGATTGTAAATGCACCAATCAGCACCCTGTCAAAACAGACCAATCAGCTCTCTGTAAAACAGACCAATCGGCTCTCTGTAAAATGGACCAATCAGCAGGATGTGGGTGGGGCCGTATAAGGGAATAAAAGCAGGCTGCCCCAGCCAGCAGTGGCAACCCACTGGGGTCCCTTTCCACACTGTGGAAGCTTTGTTCTTTTGCTGTTTGCAATAAATCTTGCTGCTGCTCACTCTTTGGGTCCACACTGCGTTTATGAGCTGTAACAGTCACTGCGAAGGTCTGCAGCTTCACTCCTGAAGCCAGCGAGACCACCAACCCACCAGAAGGAAGAAACTCTGAACACATCTGAGCATCAGAAGGAACAAACTCCGGACACGCCGCCTTTAAGAACTGTGACACTCACCGCGAGGGTCCGTGGCTTCATTCTTGAAGTCAGTGAGACCAAGAACCCACCAGTTCCAGACACACTATGCTCCATTTCGGGGCTCCCCTGCCCTGCGTCAACTGCACTCTGGCCTGGGTGGCAGAGAGAGAGACCCTATCTTAAAAAAAAGAAAGAAATGTAAGGTTAAGTGCTGCCCCCAAGCCTGAGTGGCCAATCATTATACAGAGTACACAAAGATCACCAAAAAAGTCACCACAGAAGCCCCCCGCCGCTGGTTCTCATTTGCCCATATCAAAAAATATGCAAGCCTGTTCATACAAAGACACACACAGATGCTCATAGCAAAATTATTCATAATTGTCAAAAGGTGGCAACAACACAAATGCCTATCAACAACAGAAGAATGGGCAAACAAGTACAGTCTACCCGTGTGATGGAACATTAATCAGCCAAAATATGGAATGAACGGCTGATTCATGCTACAACCTGGATACACCTTGAAACCATTAGGCTAAGTGAGAGAAGCCAGACAAATATGAGATGATTCTCTCTCTCTCTCTCTCTCTCTGTGTATATATATATGCCCAGAATATGAAAATCCAAAGAAACAGAAAGTAGATTAATGGTTTCCAGGGGCCAGGGGTGGGGATAGTTGGAGGGAAATAAGGGGTGACTGCTAATGGATACAGGGTTTCTTCTGGGGTAATTAAAATTTCTAAAATTGATGGTGATGATGGCTGCACAACTCTGTGAATATATTAAAAACCACTGAGTTATGCACTTTATTTATTTATTTAGAGACAGGGTCTGGCTCTGTTGCCCAGGCTGGAGTGCAGTGGTACAATCTCAACTCACTGCACCCTCCACCTCCCAGGCTCAAACCATCCTCCCACTTCAGCCTCCTGAGTAGCTGGGACTACAGACACACACCACCATGCTCAGCTAATTTTTTTGTATTTTTGGTCGAGACAGGGTTTTGCCATGTTGCTCGGGCTCATCTCAAACTCTTGGGTTCAAGCGATCCTCCCACCTCAGCCTCCCAAAGTGCTGGGATTACAAGTATGAGCCACCATGCCCGGCCAAATTGTACACTTTAAATGGGAAAATTGTGTGGTATGTGAATTATCTTTCAATAAAGCTGTTATTAAAAAGCAGCTTTAAGGGCCAGATATAAGGGCCATGCCTGTAATCCCAGCACTTTGAGAGGCCAAGGCAGGAGGATCACTTGAGCCCAGGAGTTCAAGACCAGCCTAGACAACATGGCAAAACCTGGTCTCTACAAAAAATTTAAAAATTAGGCTTGGCGTGGTGGCTCATGCCTGTAATCCCAGCACTGTGGGAGGCTGAGGTAGGTGGATCACTTGAGGTCAGGAGTTCAAGACCAGACTCGCCAACATGGTGAAACCCTGTTGTTACAAAAAATACTTTTTAAAAATTAGCCAGGCATGGTGGTGGGTGCCGAGGCTGAGGCAGAAGAATCGCTTGAACCCGAGAGGTGGAGGTTGCAGTGAGCTGAGATTACGCCACTGCACTCCAAACTGCTGGGAGACAGAGCAAAACTCCATTTCCAAAAAAAAAAATTAAAAATTAAAAATTAGCCAGCGGTGGTGGCTCTTGTTTGTAGTCCCAGCTACTCAGGAGGCTAAAGTGGGAGGATTGCTTGAGCCCAGGAGGTTGAGGCTGCAGTGAGCCAAGATTGTGTCACTGCACTCTGGCCTCAGCAACAGAACAAGACCCTGTTTCACAATTTTGAAAACAATTAAAAAACAAGCCTAAAGAAAACACAAAAACCAATGCTAACTGTGAGACATAAATGAGGTTGTCTATTTTTTGTTAACTACCAACTAACAATTCATGGCAGAAACAAAGTTTAAATGATGCTATAGCCAGGCGCTGTGGCTCACGCCAGTAATCCCAACACTTTGGGAGGCTGAGGCGGGTGGATCACCTGAAATCAGGAGTTTGAGACCAGCCCGGTCAACATGGTGAAACCCCGTCTCTAATAAAAATACAAAAATTAGCCAGGCGTGGTAGCGGGTGCCTATAATCCCAGCTACTCGGGAGACTGAGGCAGGAGAATCGCTTGAACCCTGGTGGGGCAGAGGTTGCAGTGAGCCAAGATCTCACCATTGCACTCCAGCCTGGGCAACAGAGCGAATCTCCGTCTCAAAAAATAAATAAATAATTAAATAAATGATGCTATAAACCTCATGTGAGGGAAGACTGCCCCAGGTACAGCTTGAAGAACCCTTGCTGTGAATAGAAGCCAAATGCGATCATTATGTTTACCACTTACTTCATGTTAGCTTGCTGCAACTCCAGAGTGTAACAGGTATGAGAAAACTCATGGGGTTACTGTTGAATGTTGGTGGAAATATTCACATTAAAATACAACAGTTTATCACCTAAGGTATATTTTATCCCTCAAGTGGCCCGGAACACTGTGATTACTGCACACCAATCCCACGCCCATAAACCTGGTTTATGACGTTTTGTAACAGGGTATCTTGACAGTAGCATGAGGACATTTAACGAGACAAGAACATTCCCCACTGACCAGCCAGATGGTTTGAGGGAACAGGATGCTGTGCTCAGTTTAATATTCTGCTGAACCGACCATTAGCCAGAAAATCCTTTGGGTCAATGTCTCTCACTGAATCCACTTCTCATCCTGTCCACCTGCCTGCTTTGCAGTGCAGAGTAAAGTGGGCCTTCCTTGACTCTCTTCAGGGACCAACCTGCTTGAGGCCATCATGAGGACGTTCATTTTTTTTTTTTTTTTTTTTTTGAGAGAGTGTCACTCTGTCGCCCAGGCTGGAATGCAGTGGTGTGATCTCAGCTCCCCACTGCAACCTCTGCCTCCCAGGTTCAAGTGATTCTCCTGCCTCAGCCTCCTGAGTAGCTGGGATTACAGGCACACATCACCAGGCCCAGCTAATTTTTCTATTTCTTGTAGAGACAGGGTTTCACCATGTTGGCCATGCTGGTGTCAAACTCCTCACTTCAAGTGATCCACCTGCCTTGGCCTCCCAAAACGCTGGTATTACAGGTGTGAGAAAACGTGCCTGACAGAGGGCTTTCATTCTTGATGGACTGCTCCATAGCCTCAGAGACAGTCGGACTGGTTTCTTCAACCAGAGCGGAGCAGACAGGCAATTTCTGTATGCACCAGGCCAAATATTAGACCAACTCTTCAATGTACAGAGAGCATCATATTTCTTATATGCTAGAATATCTGTTGGTCTAAAATATAAATAAATAGTATTGTAGCCAGCCACAGTGGCTATAATTCCAGAGCTTTGTGGGGCTGAGGCAGGAGGTTCACTTGAGGTCAAGTGTTCAAGACCAGCCTGGGCAACATGGCGAGACACCCCCACCACCACCTGCCATCTCTACAAAAATTAAAATAATTAGCTGGGCATAGTAGTGTGGGCCTGTAGTCCCAACTACTTGGGAAGCTGATGTAGATGGATTGCTTAAGCCCAGGAATTTGAAGCTGCAGTGGGCTATGACTGCATCACTCTACTTCAGCTAGACCTTGTCTCAAAAATAGAAAAAAGTGTTGCAATTGACATTACTTTATCATTTGAAAAGAGGCACAGACAAGAAAGGTATTTGGCATTTACCATGCAATTACCCAGAATCCTCATCCCATCCTACCCCCACCCTTCCCCTAAAAGTATATGTATATGTATTTATACCATAAAAAATACATCTATTTGGCTCTGGAACCAGATTGCTTGGGTTCAATTACCTGATCTAGCATTTGCTCCTGATGACTTAGTGCAGAAAAGCTCTGTAACTCAGTTTCCCCAACTGTAAAATGGGGAATGGCACCTTTACTGGGCTGCCATGAGGGTAAAGGAGGTAACATATATTTATGAAGCATTCAGATTATCATCATCTTGCTGTTTCCAATGGGTACGCTTTCTACATTCTCTTTCTTAAAGACCTTTAAATCCTCGGTATTCTCTCCACCACCACCGAGAGCAGTGTCCTTGTAGTTTAAATTCTCAAAGACTTCATGGATTCAACAAGCATGACATTAACTAAGGGACAGTTTTCTTTCAGTGGATTGGAACCTAAAATGGCTTTTTTATTGTTATTATTTTTCAGAGAATTATAATGTGTTTCAACAAAGGCAGCCGTGGCTTTGATAATGTCCTCATGGATATGAGACCATATTCAGAGCTTTCGGGCCAGATTTCAAGAGGAATCGCCTGGCCGAGCCTTTTAATGGCATCCACATCTACCCATTCATGTGTAAGCTCCTGGGAGTCACCCCCAAACCCACAACAGCTCCCTGGCAGTCACCCAGGAAATGCTCGTGAACTCCTATGTCCAGCAGCCAGGTGAGACACAAAAGCAGCTGCCAGAAAACTGTCAGCATAGTCTGCTCTGTCCTGAGATAGAAAAGAATCAAAAAGGGGTCTCATGGTGGGGAGGAGGGAATTCAAGCACAACAATCCTGTTTCCCAGCAGCTTTGGAGCCCCAGGAACAAGATGCCAATAGCTCCAAACAGATAGCAGGGGAGGTAGGGAATCCCTCGACCTGCTGGTAACATTTTACATAGTGTCTTTTAGGCAAAGGGAAGGTGCTCTATAAAGTCAGGCTGTAATCCTTCCGGTCCTCAGGAAATCACTGTGTACAGTCTGCCCCCAAGATGCCCCTTCCAGATATGGAAATCAGCCCTCCTTCAATAGCACAGAAAGCTGTTCATAGGGGAGGAGCAAAACCCTGCTGTTCCCTCGATGCTGAAAAAAGGAGAGGGGAGAGTCTGAAATGAGACTGCAAATTCTCAAGACTTCAAACCCCTTCAATCTGGGTGATACAAAGGAAGAATAAAACCATCTCAGAATTTGCTGTTGCCTTCTTTTGTGTTTACAAACACTGGTTATCTTTCCTTATACCAGGAGAGACTTGGACACTGTCCAGTGATCTAATGAGCACTTAAAGCAATTACATGCAAAAAGGAGTAGGGCTGGGCACAGTGGCTGATACTTGTAATCCCAGGACTTTGGGAGGACAAGGTAGGAGGATCACTTGGGGCCAGGAGATTGAGACCAGCCTGGGCAACATAGTGAGACCTTGTCTCTACAAAAAATTAGCTGGGTGTAGTGTCACATGCCTGTAGTCCCAGCTACTGGGAGGCTGAGGTGGGAGGATAGCTGGAACCCAGGAGTTTGAGGCTGCAGTGAGCTATGATTGTGCTACGGGACTCCAATTCCTGCCTCTAAAAAAAAAAAAAAAAAAAAAAAAAAAAGGAAAAGAGGGGAGGGCAGGGGTGATACACATCCTTTCTCTTCTTGTAAGCCACTGCCCATGATCTCCTTTCCAACCTACAGGAAGCAGTCCCTTTTGTGGAAAACTAATTAAATGAATGACTAATTCACCAAATTATGGAGGATTTTTCTGCTTTTTAAGTTTTGGAGTTTTTCTACAACTATTTTGTAGCCCTTCCCCTGTCCCACATCCCATTGGGAGCCTGGGATAAGCTGTGTCCGACTGTCAGTTACTGATAAGCAGGACATCCCACAAACAGATTTTCAGTGAATTGGCTTTCAGCAAATTGATCACTTGGCAAATTGTTCATTAGGCAAATGGGTCATTTAGTGAAAAGGTCATTTAGTAAATCGGCTTTCAACGACTTGCCCTATGAGATTTCTCTAGAGTGAGCATTTTCTTGGGTTAAATGTACATTTCATTTCCATAATGAATACTCACTGGCGGCTAGATGGGAAACTTCCCAGGGAACCAGGAGCAACCAGAACAACCTCTTAAAAATCAGGCAATTAAAAACCCTCTGGTTTCTTAACAGGAGCGGAGGTACAGATGGCATCTGCTCTGCAAGGTGCAGTGATCGGGTTCAGCATTGTCACAGGAGCTCTTGCGGTTCTGTTTGTTGCTAGTGTGACATACACAGCCATTCATCGGAAAAAGGACTGAGTGGGCTTTGGGTCTCCTGTAGTTGATCATTCATATGATAACCCATGACAACTCCTTGCCACATGCCACAGGAGGTCCAGCACTCCAAGAACCCAGCAGCCAGGGCCAGCTTCATGGGTTTGCAACCTGGACAGTCCCACAGGGACACAGAAGAGTCCCCACTGTGGTTTAATAATCTGCCATCACCATCTTGAAATTCTTTATTTTTTAACAAGGGTGGCCAGGGATAGTGGCTCATGTCTGTAATCCTAGCACTTTGGGAGGCCAAGGCAGGCAGATGGCTTGAGCCCAAGGAGTTTGAGACCAGCCTGGGCAACATAGCAAGATCCCATCTCTACAGAAAATACAAAAATTAGCCAAGCGTGTAGTCCCAGCTACTTGGAGGCTGAGATGGGAAAATTACCTGAGCCCAGGGAGGTCGAGGCTGCAGGAGCTGAGATTGTACCACTGCACTCCAGCCTGAATGACACAGAGGGATCTTGTCTAAAAAAATAACCACAAGGCCGGGCGTGGGGGCTCATGCCTATAATCCCAGCACTTTGGGATGCTTAGGCGGGCGGATCACTTGAGGTCAGGATTTTGAGACCAGCCTGGTCAACATGGTGAAACCCCATCTCTACTAAAAATACAAAAATTAGCTGGACAAGGTGGCGCATGCCTGTAATCCCAGCTACTCAGGAGGCTGAGGCAGGAGAATTTCTTGAACCTGGGAGGAGGTGGTTGTAGAGAGTCGAGGTCGCGCCATTGCACTCCGGCCTGGGGCACAAGAGTGAAACTCCGTCTCCAGAAAAAAAAAAAAAAACAACCACAACAACAACGAGGGCCCCGCATGTGGCTGAAAACAACAGAAATGTATTGTCTCGCAGGCCTGAATGCTAGAAGTCCAAAATCAGGGTGTCAGCCGGGCTTCGCTTCCTCTGAAACATGTAAGAGAGAATACTTCCTTGCCTCTTCTGGCTTCTGGTGGCCGCTGGCAATGCTTGGTGTTCCTTGTAGATGCATTGCTCTAATCTCTCCTCCCTCATCACATGGCTGCCTTCTCCCTGTGTCTCTGTCTTCACCTGACATTCTCCTCTTTATTTTATTTTTTTGAAATGGAGTTTCCCTCTGTCACCCAGGCTGAAGTGCAGTGGCACAATCTTGGCTCACTGCAACCTCTGCCTCCTAGGTTCAAGTGATTCTCCCACCTCAGCCTCCTGGGTAGCTGGGATTACAGGTGCCCGCCACCACGCAGTGCTAATTTTGTATTTTTAGTAGAGATGGAGTTTCACCATGTTGGCCAGGCTGGTCTCGAACTCCTGACCTCAAGTGATCCACCCACCTCACCCTCCCAAAGTGTGCTGAGATTACAGGCATGAGCCACCATGCCCGGCACTCATTCTCTTCTTTTATAAGGACACCAGTGATTGCATCTGTCCCCCCAACAGCAGCCCCCAATCCAGTATGACTCATCGTTACTTGATTACATCTACAAGTACCCTATTTCCAAATAAGGTCACATTCCTGGGTACCGAGGATTGAGATTTCCAATTTTTTCCCTGACTCAATTTTTTTTAGTCAGGGCCTCACCCTATCACCCAGGCTGGAGTACAGTTATGTGATTATAGTTCACTGCAGCCTCAAACTCCTAGGCTCAAGGGATCCCCTGACCTCAGCCTTCCAAGTGGCTGAGACTACAGGTGCACACCACCATGCCCAACTAATTTTTTTTTTTTTTTTTTGGTACAGATTAGGTCTCACTCTGTTGACCAGGCTGGTCTCCTGACCTCAAGCGATCCTCTTGCCTTGGCCTCCAAAAGCACTGGGATTACAGGCGTTATCCCATGCCTGACCCTCTTTCTACACCTCAATCATTGTATCATTAGCCTGAGCTGCCCATATTCCTTATTCTGCCCATCCCTGACCAATCTCCTCCTTTAACATAACTTCCATCTCGATATCATGGGGCCTGCTGGGCACTGCAAACAGCCTAAGGAAAGTGGAAACTTTACTTAACCTTAAATCCTATTACAAAGTCCACATTGAACATAATTTATATTTGAACTATAAAAATTTTCTGTAAGTTGAAACAGGACCTATAAAGGTCTCTACACCCTGAAGCAACGTTTTAGAAAGAAATCAGTTGGTCCTTTTCTGCAGAAACAATTAACCATAGGAGAGATAAAGGAAAAACTTCAGTGTACTGATTGAACTTCCATGCCCATAGCTTAATTTCTAAAAGGCAATCATTCCATACTGTTAAACTGCCTTAGGTTGCTATTACTGTTATTAAAGAGACCCTCAAAGCCAGAAGTTGAATCTTGATTGTAGTTCTTGCACATAGACACACACTTGCAACTGAAACCACTCAGATTGTTCTAATGCTTCTTCCCATAGCAACACCACCTGGAATTTTACGTTTGGTTTTAAGCATCAGTCATAATCTTCACTTGCACCCGAACACACCGCACCTGTGAGAGCCACGTGACATTAAAAAAATCCTTTCAGTGAGGCCGGGCATGGTGGCTAACGCCTGTAATCCCAGCCCTTTGGGAGGCCAAGGCAGATGGATCATGAGGTCAAGAAATTGAGACAATCCTGGCCAACATGGTGAAAACCTGTCTCTACTAAAAATACAAAAATTAACTGGGCGTGGTGACGCGTGCCTGTAGTTCCAGCTACTCAGGAGGCTGAGGCAAGAGAATCGCTGGAGCCCGGGAGGCAGAGGTTGCCGTGAGCTGAGATCGTGCCGCTGCACTCCAGCCTGGCAACAGAGGGAGACTGTCTGAAACAAAAAAATCCCTTCAGTGCCTTGATCCTTCCAGATTCAGGTCCAAGATAGATGACATTTGTCCCTCATCAGAGCCCGCACACCAAGATAAAGATTTCTTCTGGCCGGGCGCGGTGGCTCACGTCTGTAATCCCAGCACTTTGGGAGGCAGAGGCGGGCAGATCACCTGAAGTCAGGAATTTGAGACCAGCCTGGCCAACATGTTAAAACACTGTCTCTACTAAAAATACAAAAATGGCCCGGCATGGTGGCTCACGCCTGTAATCCCAGCTACTCGGGAGGCTGAGGCAGGAGAATCACTTGAACCCAGGAGGTGGAGGTTGCAGTGAGCCGAGATCGTGCCATTGCACTCCAGCCTGGGCAACAAGAGAGCGAAACTCCGTCTCACAAAAAAAAAAAAAAAAAAGGTTTCTTCTGTGTGCATGGCTCAGCTCTGTGGTCCGCTAGCGTCCTTCCTCAATCCGCTTCCAATCTATGGAATCAGGAAAGACTGAACCAACCTAGATTTATTAATATTTTAGTATAACATAATACAGTGTTACTTACTATGGCATTGACCGTATATACCCTTTTGCTCCTTGGAAGAAAGGCAATTAATAGCTATTATGTGAGTTAGTAAAATAAGCCCAGGATTTATGAGTGTAACTAACCTGTTCCCATTGGTTTTCCTTGTCTCCTACAGGCAGAGAGCTGATCAAAACAGCAAAAGCAAAGCAGTGCCCCTGGCCCAGTTCTGAAGCCAACCTTCCTTAACCACGCAGACCCATCCCTGGTTAGGACTTGCTGTGGATTCTCAGGTGACTCCATCTCAGGATACAGGGACTGAGAGGGTATATGCAATATCTCAGACCCAGAAACCGTTGATTCTGTCTAAAAGCACAGCAATAACCACATCCCACCCTCTTGATTTAAATGAAAGTGTTTGGGAGAATAAAAGATGAACCTTTTTTTTCTTTGTCAGATCTTGCGCTCATTTGGTTCTGGTGGGGAACAACAGCTATGAGAGAACAAGTGTATTCAATTAGAATTAATTCCCCTCTCTTATTCTCATAGCTGAGCAGGGCTCAAGTGCCTCTCATCTGAAAGAGGTAATAAGATTTAATCTGTCTCCTCATCTACCTTCTGCAAGTATACTCAACAAATTAGCTCTCTGGACTCTTCCAAATGGAGTTTTATGAGGCATTTGCTAAGGTAAACGTTTTAGACTTTGAACACAGTTCAGATTTCAGGGGCAGTACTGAAATATGAACTGTGTTGCTAACTGCCCTGCCTTTCAACTCAAGACACAATAACTTTGAACTAAAATAATTATATTTTTGTTGTTTTCCACTCTGTCCCCAAGTCTATATCACCACCACCGCTAATCCCACCCCGCAGGAGCTAACTCCTCCTTCCTGTCCCTGCAAGATCAAAACTCCTCCTGGAAGCCCCGCTAGCTCTGTCTGCTCACCTTCATGGCAGATATCGCTATTGTACTTTTATATTCATTTGTATCATAAGTACTTCAATGTCCACTTCTTCCACGAGCCCCTGAGACCCTGGAGGGTCTGGACCACACCTAGTTTTTCTCACTGTTACATCTGCCTTGCCAGGCGCATGGTAGGCGCTTAGTAAGTATTTGGTGAACGAATGGCTTGTTTGGTGACAGTCCAAAGGCTGGAGGACAGAGGGAAAGCTCCCTCCTGTCGGGCCCCAGACGGGTGGCGCTGATGGAGAGGCGGCTGGGATAAGGCCTCCAGGACCGAAGCGCGCACCCATAAGGCCCCTGCCAAAAAGACCTTCCTGAAGGCGGAGGAACTGCGAGAGTGTCTACTTTGGCCCAAGGCCTGACTCGACGATCCCAGGGACCCTTGCCCTAACCGGCCCCGCCTCCCGGGCCCCAAACCCGTACTCGGCCCCGCCCAAAGCTCCGGCTCCTAGGGCCCGCCCCTGGCCCCGCCTCGGCCGACCATGGCCTTGCTCCTGGGCCTGCCTCAAACCCTCCGCAGGTAACG
This sequence comes from Homo sapiens, assembly GCF_000001405.40. Classification (NCBI taxonomy): domain Eukaryota; kingdom Metazoa; phylum Chordata; class Mammalia; order Primates; family Hominidae; genus Homo; species Homo sapiens. The sequence continues at coordinate 9,691,602 of NC_000004.12, forward strand.
CCTCCCGAACGTGAGCCACACTCCGATTCCCTCCTCAAACCCCTCCCCGTTTCCCACACCCTGGACCCCTCGCTCCGTCTCGGCCCCGCCCCAAGCCCAGCTCCGTCTCGGCCCCTGAGCCCAGCCCCGACCCACCTCCCAGTCCCTGGGTTCCTCCCGACACCGGCGCCTCCCTAAGCTCCGCCTCCCAGGGCCCGAGCAGCGCCTGGCCATACCCCCATGGCCCGCCTCCTGAGCGTAGCCCGCAGCCCAGACTCGGACCCGCCTCCCGGACCCTGGGCCCCTCCCCACGTCGGCCCTCCCTAAGCTCTGCCTCCCAGAGTCCGAGCACCGCCTGGTCATGTGCTACGACATAGTCAACGCCCCGCCCCGGCCCCGCCTCCTGAGCCCTTCTCTGTGCTATTGTTTTCTTCTTAATAAAATGGGGGATATAATGATAGCTACCTCTTAGGGTTGTTGTCAGAGTTGAGTACAAAAGCCTGTGGATCAGTGCCTGGCTCATGGTAAATGCATGTCGGTGTTAGCTACTGTTTTTATTCGGTCTGAAAATGTTTAATAAATGCCTTTCGTGAGCCCGGCACCATGGATCAGCAGTACCCATGACAGATGAGGCTCTGCTTGCATGGGAGAGCCAGAGAACAAACAAATAAATGAATAAACAAGAAAAGACCAGATGAGAGTAGCTTTAAAGCCAATAAAACAGGGAAATGGTGAATGGAGTAACTGGGGAGAAGAGTCACCAAAGTCGGGGAATCAGGGAAGCCTTCCCCAAAGAGGTGGCATTTGAACTGGGGCCTGAGTGGTGAAGCAGCTAGCCATGGGAAGGGCTTGGGGAACAGGATATGCAAAGTCCCTGTGGTGGAAACAAGCCAGCTGTGGTTGAGGAACAACAGCAAGGCAGCCAGTGTGGCTGGAGTGGAGTGAGCAGGGTGGGCAAGAGGTGAGGGAGAACAGGCCAGAGAGAGGGATTAGGACCAGGTCTTGTAGGGCCTTTTACGGCATGGAAGGAGCTCTGAAGCAATGAAGTGCCTTGCCCCGTGTCACATACCAGCCGAGACAGTCTGCCTAACTCGGGAGCCAAAGCTCGCTGCTGGGCTTGAGGCCCCTGTAAGAGGACAATGTAACCCAGGCTGGTATGGGCACATTCTGCATTTCCACTTAAACTCAGATGGCAAGCCCATCAAACCTTGGTGCCATGGCTGCCCTGGTAATTCCTGGCTGACCAGTGCAACCAGGGAGCTGGCCCATGACCTGGGTGGCAGCTAAGTAGCCAAGACTAATGTGGCCAAGAGTCAGTCTTCTAGCCTTCTTCCTGTGACTCATCCAGGTGCACCTGCAACATTTGAAGGTCAGGCTTTCAGCTGCTGTGGCTTCCACTTCCAACTGGCTCCACGTCCCCAAGGAGAGATCACATAGCGCTTTGCCAACACATTCTATTGCACGTTTAATGTTCCTGTGAATGCACCCTTGAGATTTCTCTCTCTTCCCTCCACATAGAGCTTAGAAGCAAAGTTAAGAGACTCATCAGATTCTGAGCTTCTGTGGGATATTTTGCAGAAGGTAAGAGTCCCAGAGTCCCTGGGACTCATGACCCTGCCTCCTGAATCTCTCCGGAAGACCTGAGAGAAGAACCACAGATGTGCTTGTACCCTTTAAAAACACCCCTGTTCAAAGAACAAAAACATTGAGTCAGCACTGCAGGTGGGTGTCAGCACCTCCGATAGCTCCAGCACTTTTGTTTTCTATCTAAGACTTAGACAAAGACATCAGTATATACAAAAATCTGCATAAGAGGGGGGAATCTAGGGAATGTTTTTTAAACCATCCACAGCAGAAACAGAGATGACAGGTGCAAAACAGCTTCTAGCATTTGGTAGATGCTCAGAGAGTTTCTTTTTTCATTTATGAGGCCTGTCCTGTCCACTCCTGTCTATTCTAGACCTAAATGGGCCCTTGCTTTGCCCAGGGTGGGGTTTGCACTCAAGTGCATCTGCATGAAGGTGAGAGGCAGGATCACCACCCGGCCCAGCCACAGCCTGACCTTGGCCTTGAGGGCCAAGTGCAGATCACCCTGCATCCTGGGTCTTCACCTTCAAAGGGCCATGAGCCCTTCAGAAAAGACAAAGCAACAGACTCCCTCCCAGAAAGAAGTGCACCAGAAGAATACGTTTTCCATACAAACTCAGGGGAGGCAGACATCCTCCACCCCCACCCACCCAGCCCATCCTAGGAGCCCCAGTGAAGAATTCCTGTGCTAGAGGTGAACCAAGATTATCCACGTGGAAAAGATGCAGCCACAGCAGGGAAGACTTTCAGGGCAATACAGTAGGACAGGGCTTCAAGCAGGGAGATACCTGAAGTTATCTTGCACCCTACTCTGAGTTTCACCCTGAGCCTCACTCTCGTAGGTGGTGAAGCATGAAATGTAGGGAGAGCTGCTTTAAAATCCAGCAAAAGGCTGGATGCACTGGCTCACACCTGTAATCTCAGGACTTTGGGAAGCTGAGGTGGACGGAACACCTAAGGTCAGGAGTTCAAGACCGGCCTAGCCAACATAGCAAAAACCCATCTCTACTAAAAATACAAAAAATAGCTGGGCGTGGTGGTGCACGCCTATAGTCCCAGTTACTCGGGAGGCTGAGGCAGGAGAATTGCTTGAACCTGGGAGGTGGAGGCTGCAGTGAGCCAAGATCGGGCCACTGCACTCCAGCCTGGGCAACAGAGCGAGACTCTGTGTCAGAATAAATGAAAAACCAGCACCAGCCTGAAGAGCCTGTATATTGCGTGGGGTACTTTGCTGCCCTTGGGCAGAATCTGCATCCCTCCCAGCCAGCAGGCACTGCGGACCGTCTCCTCCCTCTCCCTCCAGGCTCTTGTTTTCCCACCGTCCCCCCTCCTGCTGCACAATTCCCTCTGCCCTCATTTCCAAGTGCCAGGCTGTGGCCACCTCAGAGCTTGCACCGGCTGTTCCCACTGCCTGGAACTTGCTCGTCCTGCACTTGGCTTCTCTTGGCTTTAGTTGGAGTGTCACCTCCCCTCCATCCTGTCCCCAGGGACACATGCTCCAAGAGAGCAGTTGCCGAGTGGGCCTTCCTGCCTCTTCCATAGAGCCAGACAGTTGGCGACTGTCCTTACTGCAAACCCTGGTTCACACTGGCTCCCCTGGGAGGGAGGTGGTTTGGGCCCACATGCCCTGTGTTCCTGCTCAGAATGGGCATTAGAAATGCTGCCATAGCCTGTGCCACTGCAGTGGAAGCATTTTTAGGAAACGGCTTATATCTTAAGACAAACTGCAGATGCGTGGGGCCAGAACGCTGTGTCCATCTTCATCTTTGCTGAGGGATTGGGTAGCCTGGAGTTTGCCCTCTGCTGTGTTGGCTTGAAGCTCATAGGAGACTTAAGATGGGCTCTCGAGCAACCAACGTTCTGTCCTTTGCTGTAGACTGTGAAGTATCCTGTGTGTGTGAAGCACCCGCCGTCAGTCAAGTATGCCTGGTGCTTTCTCTCAGAACTCATCAAAAAGGTCAGTTATGGGCAGTGTCCACCCAGTAGCCGGACAGCATAGCCACCTGCATGCTGCACACCCTGTCCTTCCCAGGCCCTGGGCCTGCTTTGCAAACCCCAGCATGGCAGGGGCCTCCCCAGGCAACTGGCTGCAGCTGTGTGTGACCCATGGGAAACAGTGCAGGGCGGGAAGAAGGGGAGGCCAGCGTCTCTCCCTCACTCTGCCTCCTGGGGTTTCCGCAGCAGCTGCTTCTCTGGGGCCCCAGTTTCTAGCATATGGATTCTCATTCCTACCAGGCTGGCCCAGCCCACAGCACTGGAACCCTCACCCACACCCTCTGTCCTGCCCGCCAAAGGGTTTGGAGTTTCCTGCTCTTTTCCGTCTCTCGGTTGCCCCACGGGCCCCTGTTGGAAGTTTTTCCTCTTGCCATACCTTTGGAACTAGTTCCTCTGGTGAATTCTCCGCATTGATCCTGCTGGAATGAGCTCTTTCCTGACTGATATAGGATGGATTTTATTTTTTACTTATTTATTTATTTTTTTGAGACACAGTCTCACTGTGTTGCCCAGGCTGGATTATCGTGGCACAATCTCGGCTCACTGAAACCTCTGCCTCCTTGGTTCAAGCGATTCTCGTGCCTAGCCTCCTAAGAAGCTGAAACTACAGGCAAACGCCACCATGCCTGGCTAGTTTTTGTATTTTTAGTAGAGACAGAGTTTCACCATGTTGGCCAGGCTGGTCTCGAACTCCTGACCTCAGGTGATCCGCCTGCCTCGGCCTCCCAAAGTGCTGGGATTACAGGCATGAGCCACCGCACCTGGCCTAGGATGGATTTTAAAGATGGGCCCGAACATGCAGGGTTTGACGTGAGGATGTCGAGAGGCCATTCCTTAGTAGGCAGTAGCAGACCTGCTGAGTGAAAGGGCCACACTTTTAGCAAATAAACAATCCCCTGCTTCTCCAATACCTGCTTTCTCCCTAGTCCTCCCCAAAAGGGTGCATCTGTGGTCACCAGCAGGTCTGCCCTGTGCCACCAAGAGAGGGCAGCAGTCACCCAGTGTACCCTGCTGCTGCCCTGTGAATCTTAGGACGGGGCCAGCTGTGGAGAAGCAGCCTGCTGACAGCCACAGCCTGCAGCATGGGCCGCCCTCGCAGTTCTGCCTGGGCTCACTTAAAAGCACCTTTTGTTTTCCTCCTCTCTGTCATGGTTATGTGGCAGCTCTCACGGAATCCTTGTCTCCTGCACTAGACTACACCTAACCCTACCCTCTCAACACCTCTTGTTGAAGGCCCTCCCATCCAGGTTTCCCTATCAAGTGAATTATTTTTTTAGAGACAAGATCTCTGTTGCCCAGGCTGTCCTCGAACTCCTGGGCTCAAGCAGTCCTCCCATGTCAGCCTCTAGAGTAGCTGGGACTATTCAGCACACACCACCACGCCCAACGAAGTGAATATTTTATATGCCAACTGGCCGGTATTACACCATTCCATCCCAAATCTCCCCTCCAAGCTTGGTGAAAATCATCTGGCCATTTTTACAGATTAGAAGGAAAGCAAACAAGCTCTTACTCTGTCTGCCCCCAGCACGAGGCTGTCCACACGGAGCCTTTGGACGAGCTGTACAAGGTGCTGGCAGAGACCCTGATGGCCAAGGGGTCCACCCAGGGCCACTGGAGCTATTTGCTGGTATGAGAAGGGCACCCTCCTCCCCCTCACAGCCCAGATACCCTTCCTGCACAGACAAAGTGAAAACGTGGGTGTGGGTTCAAGTCCTGACTCACCCATGCTGCAGTCTTAGACATGAGGTCTGTTAACCTTCTTTGGCCTCAGTTTCCCTGTCTGTAAATCAAGCACTTCAACAACAACAGCATGTCTCGTGGGGTTGTTGGGCAGTTGTCCAATAGGTAACACACACTACCTGCTGCACAAGGACCTGGTGCCCAGTCCTCAAAGAATACTTGACAGGGCCAGGCGCGGTGGCTCACGCCTGTAATCCCAGCACTTTGGGAGGCCGAGGCTGGTGGATCTGAGGTCAGGAGTTCGAGACCAGCCTGGCCAATATGGTGAAACCCTGTCTCTACTAAAAATACAAAAATTAGGCTGGGCGTGGTGGCTCATGCCTGTAATCCCAGCACTTTGGGAGGCTGAGGCGGGTGGATCACCTGAGGTCAGGAGTTTGAGACCAGCCTGGCCAACATGGTGAAACTCCATCTTTACTAAAAATACAAAAATTAGCAGGGTGTGGCATTGGGCGCCTGTAATCCCAGCTACTCAGGAAGCTGAGGCAGGAGAATCTCTTGAACCCGGGAGGTGGAGGTTGTAGTGAGCCGAGATTGCGCCATTGCACTCTGGCCTGGGCAACGAGAATGAAAGTCTGTCTCAAAAAAAGTACAAAAATTAGCCGGACATGGTGACACATGCCTGTAGTCACAGCTACTTGGGCAGCTGAGGCAGGGGAATTGCTTGAACCCAGGAGGTGGAGGTTGCAGTGAGCCAAGATCGTGCCACTGACTCCAGCCTGGGTGACAAAGCTCAAAAAAAATAAGATAAAACATAGATACAGAAAACCACAAAGGAAAAACATAGCATATTGAAACATCACAAGGCAGTCACCCCTTCATAGCCACACCCAGGCCCTGGCCACCGCTGACCTGTGCTCCATCACCAGAATTCTGTCGTCTCAGGAATGTTGGATGAGTGGACTCCTGTGTGGCCTGAGATGAGTGTCTTTCATGCCACGTGACACCGGAGGCCCATGCAAGCTGTTGGGATGTGAACAGTTAGCTGCTTCTGATTGCTGAGTGGCGATTGGTCCTGTCATGGTTTATTCAGCCATGTGGTGGATGGCTACTTATCTTCTATGCCACTTGTCTTCTGATTGCTGGACTGACTCTCCCGCCCTCTCTTGGTGCAGCCCTCGGGAGGCTCCGTCACACTCTCCGAGAGTACGGCCATCATCTCCCACGGCACCACAGGCCTGGTCACATGGGACACTGCCCTCTACCTTGCAGAATGGGCCGAGAACCCAGCAGCCTTCACTCACAGGTGGCCTCGGGGTGCAGGGCAGGCTTACCTTGGTGCAGTCACAGACACGGTCCCCTTTCCTCCCGCCAGGACTGTCTTAGAGCTTGGCAGTGGTGCCAGCCTCACAGGCCTGGCCATCTGCAAGATGTGCCGCCCCCGGGCATACATCTTCAGCGACTGTCACAGCCGGGTCCTCGAGCAGCTCCGAGGGAATGTCCTCAATGGCCTCTCATTAGAGGCAGACATCACTTCCAACTTAGACAGCCCCAGGGTGACATTGGCCCAGCTGGACTGGGACGTCGCGACGGTCCATCAGCTCTCTGCCTTCCAGCCAGATGTTGTCATTGCAGCAGGTAATGCCCAGCCCCGGGCATCCTGTGCAGGCAGTGTCCTTGCAGCTCTACCCAGCTCTTGGCTCTGGGAAAAGGGAACAATGGACGCTGTCGGGCATGGACATGATGGGGCTTCCAGAAGAGTTACTCTGGGCCTCCAGGGTGACATCAAAGGACAGGGGTGCCTCTTAAGGTGACCTTCAAGCCACAGCCCTCTTGTTGGAGACAGGCATACTCCTGTTACAGTTGTCACCACATGGCTCTGTCCCAGAGCCATGCCCTGTGTCCTTCAGAGACCACAGGAGGAAAACAACCACTTCTGGGACAAGGACAGGGCTCTTGAGAGAAGGTGGTGTTTGGCTGGGCCACCAAAAACCCCTCACCCCTGCCAGCACACTCAGTCCCTAAGGTGTCTCTGGTCACCCTAGAGACCAGAGAGGGGTCTCTGGTCAAGCAGAGCTCTGCCTGTGGTCCTGGGCCCCGCCCTGAAAACCACAGGTCCAGCGGTGGCCAGGGACACAGGTCCACGCCTGCAAGCCAGCAGACCAATCGGCAGATGCCTGAAACACGAAGTTCATGGCAGGGTCAGGCTTTGTGTCATTCGAAGCCCTCTAGATAGGCCGAGAACCAGAGCTGTTTTTCTAAGGAACACCAGTGAGTCTGGAGATTTTTTTCTTTTGCTTCGGTCTTTTGCAGCTTGCTCTACTAAGGGTTCTCCTTTTTCACCAAGTAATTGCCTTTCCATCTAATGGCACAAATGGTCAAATGGCATCTACCAATCTCATATGACCGCTGCCTCTCTGGCCTCGCCCTGCTGCTGAGGACAGCATGACCTGGAACTGTCCGCTGGTCCCATTCAGTAACCTGAAGCTTTCACCGTAGACGTGCTGTATTGCCCAGAAGCCATTGTGTCGCTGGTCAGGGTCCTGTGGAGGCTGGCTGCCTGCCGGGAGCACCAGCGGGCTCCTGAGGTCTATGTGGCCTTCACTGTCCGCAACCCAGAGACGTGCCAGCTGTTCACCACCGAGCTAGGTGAGCCTCCATGTCCACCTGCGCCTGCATGGTCCCCGAGCTGTCCCTGCAGGACTCCATTGGAAGTGAAAGAATTGGGCACCGGGGAAAAGCTAGGATGCCCCACACTCCCACACCATGCGGGGAACTCGGGCAGAGGACAGTGAGCAGGGTGGGCTTGGGGCATGGAGGGCTTGCGGCAGCAGGAGGGCAGCTCAGCCCAGGGAGGGAAGGTCTGAGCCCAGCAGCCCTACTGTGTGCTTCAGAGCAGGGTTCCCTAAGCCCTTGGGCCTCGGTTTCCTCATCTATAAAATGGAGGTGGCAGGAGAGGCAGTCGGGTTCAGGGCTGGACACAGCTGTGGCCTGCAGGATGCTGGAGCACAGGCTATACAGGCGGATCCACCATGCCACTGTCCTGAGCACCCAGTCGATGGAAGACGAGCAGGATGACTGTAAAGAAGGGGAACTGGCCCCGTAGTGTGCCAGCAACTGTCCTCAGACCTGACATTTGTCAGCCCCCAGCACCTGTGAGGGTGTGCTGTCTTTGTCCCATCTCACTGACAAAGACACTAGGACACACAGAGGCCAAGCGACCCCTGAACTCCCGCAGACTGCAGCCCGGCCACCTGGCTCTCATGCCTCCACACTACACCCAAGCCCCCCAATGCCATCAGCCTCTGCTCCAGCTCCCCCTGAGCACAGCCCCTCCTGGGAGCCATGTGCACAGATGCACCTGCAGCAGCCTCTGCCTGCACACAGAGACACGGATGATCCAATGCCTGCCCACGTGGGGCAGCCCGTTAACTACAGAGCCAACAAACAAGCCAGCACACGAAGGCATACTGGGTTCCACGACAGAGTCCCGCAAAACGTCGCACAGGAGGCTGGCTGGGCGCGGGGCTCAGGCCTGTCATCCCAGCACTTTAGGAGGCTAAGGCAGGAGGACTTCTTGACGCCAGGAGTTCAAGACCAACCTGTGCAACATAGTGGGACCCCATCTCCACAAAACATACAGAAACTAGCCAGGTGTGGTTGCGCACACCTGTAGTCCCAGCTACTCAGGAGGCTGAGGTAGGAGGATGGCTTGAGCCCAGGAGGTGGAGGCTGCAGTGAGCCCTCATCTCACCACTGCACTCCAGCCTAGGCAACAGAGCAAGACCCTGTCTCAAAAAGGCAAAAAAAAAAAAACAACAAAAAAAAACAAAAAAAAAAACAGGAAGTCTTTCTTCAGATACTTACATGAAAAAATACCTGCAATATCTTTTAAGTGAAAAAAGTGCCAAACAGCACACATAGCATAAGCCCCTACCAACCTTTTTTTTTTTTTTTTTTTTGAGACAGAGTCTGGTTTCGCATTGCCCAGGCTGGAGTGCAGTGGTGCCATCTCAGCCCACTGCAACCTCGCAACTCCCAGGTTCAAGCTATTCTCCCATCTCAGCCTCCTGGGTAGCTGGGACTACAGGCGCGTGCTACCACGCCTGGCTAATTTTTGTATTTTTTGTAGAGTTGAGGTTTCGCCATGTTGGCCAGGCTGGTCTTGAACTCCTGACCTCAAGTGATCTGCTGCCTCAGCCTCCCAAAGTGTTAGGATTACAGGTGTGAGCTACTGCGCCCCGACCCATTTTTGTTTAAAAACTAATAATAATCACCCACACATGGTTTTGAGTACCTATATTCCCAACTACTCAGGAGGCTGAGACAGGAGGATGGCTTAAGCCCAGGAGTTTGTGGCCACCTTGAGCAACATAGCAAGACTTCATCTCAAAAAAAAATTATCACAATCATCATTTTCACATAAGTATACCTATAGGGGAAAACCTAGAATATATATACAGCAGGCTTGTCCAACCTGCGGCCCAACACAAATCTGTAAACTTTCTTAGAACAGTATGAGGAGTTTGTGTGATTTTTTTTCTTTTAGCTCACCAGCTATCGCTAGCATTAGTGTATTTTATGTGTGGCCTAAGGCGATTCTTCTTCTTTCAACGTGGCCCATGGAGGCCAAAATATTGTATATCCCTGATATACACGTGAACAGGTGCCATTGGCAGGATTATAGAGACTTCTACACGTTCATGTCTGTTCTACTTCATTTTTAAAAATACGCATTTTCCACTTGTAACAAAAAACTGTGATTGAAAATCATCCGAGGTCACAGTGTCTCACACCTGTAATCCCAACACTGTAAGAGGCTGAGGCTTTGGGAGGCTGAGGTGAGTGGATCACTTGAGGTCAAGAGTTCAAGACCAGCCTGGCCAACACGGTGAAACCCCATCTCTACTAAAAACACAAAAATTAGCCAGGCATGGTGGTGCACGCCTATAATCCCAGCTACCCGGGAGGCTGAGGAAGGAGAATCACTTGAACCTGGGAGGCGTTGCAGTGAGCTGAGATTTCGCCACTGCACTCCAGCCTGGGGCACAGAGTAAAACTCCGTCTAAAAAAAAATAATAAAAGAGGCTGAGGCAGGAGCATCACTTGAGGCCATGCGTTCAGGACCCCATCTCTACAAAACAAAAAAATTACTGGCATGGTGGCATGCACCTGTCATGCCAGCTACTCAGGAAGTGGGAGGATTGCTAGAGCCCAGGAGTCGAGGCTGTGGTGAGCAATGACTGTGCCACTGCACTCCAGCCTGGGTGACAGAACAAGATCGTATCTCAAAAAAAAAAAAAAAAGAATCATTCTGGCTAACGGCTCTTCAGACATCTGTGCTTCTGAGAACACCAGCCCCTTCTAAGCTTTGTGTGTGTGTGTGTGTGGTGTGTGCGGTTTTTTTTTTGTTTGTTTGTTTGTTTGTTTTGAGATGGAGTCTCACTCTGTCACTCACGGTTGAGTGCAGTGGCACAATCTCAGCTCACTGCAACCTCCGCCTCCTGGGTTCAAGCAATTCTCCCACCACAGCCTCCCAAGTAGCTGGGATTACAGGCACCCACCATGATGCCTGGCTAATTTTTGTATTTTTGTAGAGATGGGGTTTCACCATGTTGGCCAGGCTGGTCTCGAACTCCTGACCTCAAGTGATCCGCCCGCCTCGGCCTCCCAAAGTGTTGGGATTACAGGCGTAAGCCACTGTACCCGGCGGCTTTCTAAGCTTTGTGAAGAGTGGGTTGACTGAGCAGCCAGGTAGATGTGGGTTCAGATCTCTGCTTCTGTCCCGCTGTGCCAAGTGCTAGGATGGACGCAGGCAGAGAGTGGACAGCAGCACGGTGCCTGCTGCTAGCCATTTCTATGCAAAACCAGATTTCTTGTCCCATCCTGGAGGCCAATTCTAGGCACCTGGGTGGGCCTGGGAACCTGTGAACCAAGTAAACTGACTTGGACACCCCCCACCCCGCCAGGCCTGTCCTAGCAGCCCCACACAAAATGCTCATGTCCTGTCCCCAAACACCGCCATCCTCAAACACGTGTTCTGTTTCCAGGCCGGGCCAGGATCACATGGGAAGCGGAAGCTCATCATGACCAGAAACTGTTTCCCTAAGGAGAGCACTTGGAGATGGCAATGCTGAACCTCACACTGTAGGACTCACACACGACTCCAACAGGATCGTGAGAATCAAGTCACTCTCGTGGGAAGAATTTTTATATGGGAAAGCGGATAAAACTTTCATTGGACTGGAATGTTTGGAGAGTGTTAATTTCCAAATCAGGAACCACAAAGTGCCCTCTAATAAGACATCGGCTATCTAAGCGTGTGGGTGCCCCCTTTCTGCCAGCAGTTCTGGTTCTTAAGAAAATCACCATAAATCAGACATGAAAATTCTGGCTCCGAAAATAGCAATTTCTTTGTGCAAATAAAAACGTGTGTATCAAGTATGATGTTCCCCCAACGTGGACACACTCGGTTCCTCACAAAGCCAAGCCCGCTGCAGCTGTCACATCCCTGGGCTTATGGTGCAGCAGGTGCTTTTTTCAAGACAGGAATCAACATGTTAGGAACACGGCAGAAAGGTGGCACCTGGAGACCAAACGCAGGCTAAGGAGTACTGCAGAGGTCACAGGGAAGTCACAGAACAGTAATACTCTAGCAGGAGCATGGGGCGTGAAGAACAGAAGAAGACAGGAAGCGTTTCTGAGCCTCCAGAGAAGAAATCAGGGCCAACCACAGCTTCCCCGGTCACAGAACCAATTCATTCACCAGGCGGCACCACTGCCGTCATATCAGCTTCTGGCCACTGGGAGGCGCTACTCGAAAGGATTTGCCCTGAGACTCCGAGAAGAAGCTGCGGGAAGGACAGCAGGGGCCCTGGGGTTTTAGCCTCTGGCCCAGGAGTTCTGTGTCCATAACCAAAGGGAGCACAGTCTGCACCCAGCTCTCATCCCATCGGAGCTTCTGCGACTCCCGCAGGTTCTTCCGGAACTGGTTTAGCTTGCCCTCAGGGTCAGGAAAGTTTGAGAAAAGCATCTGCAAAAAAATAAAGAGCAGAGCTTACCTCATTGCCTGTCCCAACCCCATCCCAGGTCACCACCTGGATGACCCCAGGTCCCCGACCCAATAACAACCCCTCCCAAGCCCCTAACTCCCTCACTTGAACTCAAGACCCTTCACGCCCCAGCAGTGCTCCGCCTCCAACTTGACATTATGCTTTCCGGAAACTTCCCCTGGAAACTTACCTGTATGTCCCACTTTCCCACACTTGGTGCCCTGGAGCACCTTCCGGCCTCTACATGCTGTACGTTCCCCTGTGAGCACCCTCCTCTCGGCCTCTGGCCAACACAGTCCCACCCATCTGTGGGTAATGAGTGGCTGTCGGTGTTCTTTTCAGCCTTGCTAAACTGTCTGAATCAAGGATCACAAACTACAGCCTGCAGGCCAAATCCAGCCCACAGCCTGTGTTTCTAAATAAAGTTTTATTGGAACAAAACCACACCCCTTAATCTACAGACGATCTGTGGCTACTTTCACACCACAACAGAGTACCATGGTTGTGACAGAGACTGGGGCACCCAGTCTAAATGACTTCCGACCTGGACCTTTACTGAAAATCCTCCCAGTCACTCTGTTGGCAAGAATGATGTATTACTTTTAGCAATAAGAAACAAGTAACCTTTGCAGAATTCCGCCCATCTTTCAAGGCTGGTCCCAGAAGCTCCCTTTACCTACACACCTACCTGATCCTGATCACTTCCTAAACTGCAGCCCGACCCACCCGGCTCCAGCATCATTTGTGGAGTGTCAGCTCCATAAATCCAGAGGGCAGGAGGGGGTGTGTCCTAACTTTCCCGAGCCTACTGTACCAAAACTGGGCAGCAGAGAGGGCCAGCATCTGTGACCTCTGCTCCCTCCCTAGCTTTTCCACCAGACCCCACATGGTCCCACCCTGGCTGTGAGAAGCAGGGATCAGGGAGCGTGGCTCGGTGCCAGTCTCCAGAACCCTGCCCACCCGGGCGTGGTGGCAGACGTGGCTACCTGCAGCTGAGCTGCCAGTTCCTCTGAGTCCTCAAGGACCAGGCCGTTTTCTTCATGTTTCACCAGCTCATGTAAACTGCAGAGAGAACCAAGGGAGCCTGAGAGCTGCCTGGAGAAGATACCAGACCGCTGTGGTGCCCACCAGGGCTCCCACCCACCCCACGCTCAAGCCAGGCTGGGGGTTGGAACAGGGGGGTGTGGTTTCCAGGAGCTGGTTCTTAGACTTGGCATCTGAGGGTACAAAGGCCTGGGGGGGGCGCTGGTGCACATCAAAATGGCCAAAGCGATTTGAGGAGGGAGCCTTAAGGAGGGTTTGTACCTTCTGTGCTGCATGCTCTTCAAGGACTGAAGAATTATTTTTGCATGTTTTTCTTAATTCCATGGCCATGGAATAAGTAAAGGCAACCCCCTGGAGACTGGCTCAGCACATAAAAGATGACTTTTCTAGGGCACCAGGTTTGATCCTGACATTCCCTGAGCTCAGATCACACGAGGGGCTCACATCCCTGAATCCCATCCAGGGGCCGGCTCCTGAGCAGGGGCCAAGGGCTCAACTTGTGCTGAGGCTACTGCTTCTAGAATCTCCTCTAGTGCCACCCTTCCAAACACCCGTCTATGCTGGGTGGAGTGAGGCCACAGCATGACACTCATTCAACTGATTCAAACCCACCACGTAAGCTTGGCCAAAAGGGACATGGTGGGAGAGAAAACAACAAAGAAAACCATGTAAGCCTGCAGGCAATTCCCGCCAATTCTACTCCAGGAGCAAAAGCCCCGAGTGGAGTTCTAGTATTTAAGATGCTTTTTTTTTCATATTAGGTTGGTGCAAAAGTAATTGTCATTTTTAATGGCAAAAACCGTGATTACTTTTGCACCAACCTAAATATAACATGAGCTCTAAATGGAAGCAACTACTTCAATGAGGCTCAGCCCAGCCACAGCAAATGCAGGGCTCCTCCTCCTGGCCTCCAGTGTGTGCTGGACTGACCGAGGGACAGGGCCTCACTGTGGGCATCTCGCTCTGCACTGCTTCCCCCTCAGCGGTGGATTTGTGAAGCTATCCCCAGAAAGATTCGGGTTCTGCTCCTACCACTTGAAGTTCATGGCACACACAGGCAAACAGCACCCGAACATGTCCACCACCTTCATGGGCAGGTCCAGGCCACTGGAGGACATGTGCAGACAGACACCCAGGTCCACCGACCATGCTAGGCAAGAGGGGTGCGGTCAGAGCGCTGGTCTCTGCCTTGGGAACACAAATCCTCCCAGCACAGTGAGGGAACATCCCCGGAGGGGAGTGAAAATCTCATAAGGCCCCCAATATCACCAAGCACAAGTGGCTTAAGCTGGCCAAGCAGCCACACGGCCTGGCTGGGACATCTGAAAACATAAGTTGACACTTTTTCTACATAACCACAATTTGGTTTTGTTGTTGTTGTTTTGTTTTGTCTTGTTTTGAGACAGAGTCTCACTCTGTCACCCAGGCTGGAGTGCAGTGGCACAATCTCAGCTCACTGCAACCTCCACCTCCCAAGTTCACCTCCCACCTGTAATCCCAGCATTTTGGGAGGCCAAGGCGGGTGGATCACCTGAGGTCAGGAGTTCAAGACCAGCCTGGCCAATATGGTGAAACCCCATCTCTACTAAAAAAATACAAAATTAGCGAAGCGTCGTGGCAGGTGCCTCCAATCCCAGCTACTCAGGAGGCTGAGGCAGGAGAATCGCTTGAACCTGGGAAGGCAGAGGTTGCAGTGAGACAAGATCATGCCATTGCACTCCAGCCTGGGCTACAAGAGTGAAACTCCATCTCAAAATACTAATAATACTAATACTAATACTAATACTAATAATAATAATAAACCACAGCACACCCACCACAAACCAGCTGTCACTGTGAAAATAAAGCCATATAGCTTAACATTTCTAAAGACTAGCTGGGGCCAGGCATGATGGGTCATGCCTGGAATCCCAGCACTTAGGGAGGCCAAGGCAGGAGGATCACTTAAGGTCAGGAGTTCAAGACCAGCCTGGCCAACACGGTGAAACCCTGTTTCTACTAAAAATACAAAAATAAGCCAGGTGTTGTGGTGGGCTCCTGTAATCCTGTAATCTACTCAGGAGGCTGAGGTGGGAGAATCACTTGAACCCAGGAGGCAGAGGTTGCATGAACTGAGATCGTGCACTCCAGCCTAGGCAATGCAGCGAGACTGTCTAAAACAAAGACTAGCTGGAGAGTCCTGCCAGGAAAAGGCCCTCAGCCTCCAACTGCTCTGCTCACTCAAAGCCGGAAGATGCAGCTCTAGAGACGCATCAGGACCAAGACACGACTCCCCACTTGGAGGAATCAATGGGGAAAGAGACGGAGGCAAAGGAGAACCATCTCACTGGGAGAGGCGACGCTGTTTGACACATCATCCTTGTACCTCCCAAAGCCACTGCCCTCCCACACCTGGGCAACAGTGGCCCCAACCCCAGGCCCAGCCCTCCTGCAGGAAGGAAGAGGACTGAATGGAGGGCGTGGCAGGCTGAAAGGACGTGGCCTCCTCAAACGCCTTGGTAAACGGCCTCTGGGGCCAACTGGCAGGGAGGGGCTGGCACACCAGGAAGTAGCCTCCTCCTGGGAGTTCAGCCAGAGCCAAGGTCCCGTGCCCAAGTGGCCTCCAGAGCCACCTTTTCAGAAAAAGCACATCCCGCCCACCCCGTTCCCCCTGCTTAAGGCCCCGCCTCCTCCCTGAGCCTCCTGCTGGCCTCTCACCTAGAAGCAGGGGGTAGTCCTCGGCCTCCAGCCAGGGGGTGCAGACCTGGATATGCTGGAAATGCTTCTGGTGGATGAGGCAGCTGTAATACTCCCTCAGAGGCCGTTTGCCTTCACAGAGAAGAGGAGACACTGCCATGGACCCGTCTCTGTCCCTGCCACGTGGCCCCAGGCCCAAGACACTCCCCCCTAGGAGGGATCCCTTTCCCAGAAGCTCCACTCCTCGGCAGCTCCAGTCAGGCCCCATGCGGGCCCTTCCAGAAGCAACCCAGGAGCCCCAAGACCTGCAGGGGTGTGTGCACGCTGACCCCTGACGCACAGCCCTGTACCTGCAGCCAGCTGGCCTCGGGCTGCAAACATGGCGGGGTAAGCACTGGCCTGGCACCCGACCGCCCACTGGGTGGATCCAGCCTTCTGTCTGTGTTGTGCGCAGGGGACACGAGGACTCCCCCTTCCCTGACACAGCCTCCAGAGCACATGGCGCGGGTTCCAAACCACTCCTGGGAGCCTAGAGGCCAGAAGAAGGAGGAGAGCAGGACCAGCAGCTGGCCCAGACCCCGCCTCTTCCCACACCGCTTCCGCTTTTCTCCCTCCTCACTGAGTCACCTTGAAAGGGCTCAGCAGCAGTAACTGTGGGACAGGGGCTCTTCCATTTGAAAAATTAAGAGGCTCGGTTAAGGCACCAATGACATGGCCGGGCACAGTGGTTCATGCCTGTAATTCCAGCATATTGGGAGGCCAAGACGGGTGGATCACCTGAGGTCAGGAGTTCAAGACCAGCCTGGCCAACATGGTGAAACTCTGTCTCTACTAAAAATACAAAAATTAGCCGGGTGTGGTGGTCACCTGTAGTCCCAGCTACTCAGGAGGCTGAGGCACGAGAATTGCTTGAATGTGGGAGGCGGAGTTTGCAGTGAGCCCAGATCGCACCACTGCACTCCAGCCCGGGCGACAAAGACTCTATCTCAAAAAAAAAAAAAAAAAAAAAGACACCAATGACGTAACAACAACAAAAAGAAGATGCTTGGAAACTACTGAAAAAGTAAAAAGTTTGGTATCTACAGATTCAAATCTGGGCTCCCTGCCCTGCTGTGAAACCCTCTGAGCCTCAGTTTCCCCCATGTCAAGCAATATAAGACCCTATGGCAGAGAGCTGCAGTGAGGATTAAGGAGACAAGATCGTGGGAAGCACAGGGTAAAGACTGCATGCTCCGCCCCCTCCGCCATCCCCCAACCAAACAGAAAGCCAGGGTCCCAGGCGGTACCTGTTATCACACAGACGAGAGAAGGAAGGTTGTGTCCGTCAAGAGTCAGTTGTTCAAACTCTGTGTTTAAAAAAAGAAACAATTCTACATGGAATTTCTGATAGAATTTTTTTTTTTTTTTTTCTGACAGACTCTCGCTCTGTCACCCAGGCTGGAATGCAATGGTGCGATCTCAGCTCACTGCAATCTCTGCCTCCCAGGTTCAAGTAATTCTCATGCATCAGCCTCCCAAGTAGCTGGGACTACAGGCGCCCACCACCATACCTAGCTAATTTTTGTATTTTTAGTAGACACAGGTTTCGCCATGTTGGCCAGGTTGGTCTCGAACTCCTGACCTCAGGTGATCTGCCTGCCTCAGCCTCCCAGAGTTCTAGGATTACAGGTGTGAGCCACCATGCCCATTCAGAAAAAAATTTTTAAATAAACAATAGCCAGAGTCACCTGGTAAGGTGGAGAAAGAGCACTGCTCTGGTGGGGAGGCCACCATCCTCTGTGAGATACTCTCCTGGAGGGGGCATTTCAGCCTGAGGGCCTGGTCACTCAATGACCCAACTGGGGATTCAGGGCGGCCCACCTCCACCACCCCCACTGTCCCCAGGCTGCCCCACCCAGTGGTCCAGCTCAGGAACATGCTGCAGGCCAGGCAAGCAGCTCACAGCTCAGTGGCCCCCGACAAGCCCAGAGCTCCTCACCGCAGCCACACAGCTACTTTCTAAAGCTTCCAGCAGGATGGAGAAGTCTTCATCCTCTATGAGAAGAGAATTGAATGTCAGGGTCCTGTTACTAGACACCTCTCTTCCAGGTCACACACCCTCCCCTTCTCACTGAGACTGTGACGGGGTGGGGGCATGCAGGACTGGCAGAGGTGAGGAGAACACAGGTTGGCCAGGTGCCCGTCACACCAAACCCATGTGCCCCAGGGGTCCTGCAGACCTGTCCAGCTCGTGCTGCTGACCAGCAGGGCTGGCTGCTCATGGAGACGTGTCACCAGCCTGCTCCCAGCATCCTGCTCCATGAAGGCCGACCGCTCCGTGGCTGGATCCTCAGGTTCTGAGATGAAAGAGCAGAAAAAAAGCCTGTGAGAGGCCACAGAGCAGGCCCAGGACCAAGGACGGGCATCTCCTGCCATGGCGAGGCCTGCAGGCTCCCAGCGGTTGGGGTGCCTGGCCACATCAGCAGCACCAGGCCACCCCTGCCATCCGAGGCCTGGGCTTGCTTTCTCTAATATTGTTGCTGGGTGCTAAGATTACAACAGCAAACAAGACTGACTCATTCCTTTTCTCCACGGGACTTACTGTCTTATCATCCCCTGGACTCAAGATGAGGGTGCAGGGATGCCCTCCCACACCACCCCAGCTTACCCAGGGGCACACCTCAGGGTGTGTGGACCTGCACAAAGGTCCCCTCCTTAGCCCCATGAGACACCCCAGGGGACACACAGGTCCACAGATCCTGCCACAGATCTGGGAACCCATTGACAGGAGAGTAAGACAGTGCAGGGGTCCACAAACATTTCTTAAAGGGCCAGAGAGTAAATACTTCAGGCTTTGCGGGCCACAGGTTCTCTGTTGCAAAACGCGATTCTGCTATTGTAGCTCAAAGGCAGCTGTAGACAACTCAGAAGTTAATGAGTGTGTTGTGTCCCAATGAAACTTGATTTACAAAATCAGGAGACTGGCCTGTAGCCTTAGTTTGCCAACCCCTGGATGAGTGGTTTCCCAGGTCTGCAGCGAGAAGGGGAGAGGCCAGGGCAGTGGCGAGCAGGAGAGAAGGCAGCTGAGGATGGGAGGCCTACCGGGCCCTGAACAGAGAGTGTGTGCTGCCCAGCTTCATGAAGAGCCAGTGCTGCAGGTCCAGAGGTGCCTCTTTAAAGAAAGATGCCGGTTTGTCGTAGACGGTCACAGCCCTGCAATGAAATCATGGCGGGGCTATTGGGGGTGCTGAAGAAAGGCCTCAGGAATAGAGGACTCAGAGGCTCCAGGAAAAGAAGGACGCTTGGGGAATCCAAGTCTCAGACGATGACAAGAAAAAGCCTTGCAATTACTTGGGAATGCACAGAGAGATGTCCTAGGACCAAAACTGCCTGGACCCCCTGGCTGGCTGGGAAGGAAACTCTGCCCCCTCCTCTCCCAGCTTCCCCAAATTTTCCCATAATGTTGCCAAGCATTAGTCCAGCGTGAAGGCTACTTTCTTCTCAAACCACTCATTTGGGTCCCGCGCCCAATGTCACCCATCCTCAGCAAAACAACCTTTATTTCCTTCTTCCTGCTTTCCAGAAAGTTCCCCTAAAGCCCTGAGAAATCACCGAATGAAAGAGGCTTTTTACAAACAGGAAACTTAAGTGGAGTGCCAATACACAACATGAATTGCACCAGGCTGGGTCTAAGATAAAACCAGACTGTGGACAACAGGACAGATAAGACCCCCCACATGGCTCTGCACTGCCTGGGTCTGTTATTATGTGGAGGAATGTCAGTCTGTTGCTCCTGTGGGTGGAGCTGAAGCATGAACCAGGAGTCTTCATCCTTAGAAAGCAGTTAGACAGACACCTGAGAACCAATCCCAAACTGCAGACTTCCACAGAACCTTCTGGAACCTTCCCGAATGCAACTCATTACTGCCAGAGGGTCTTTGATGAGAGTCTACTCTCCACCATTTGTCTTCAAAGAGAATACCCACATATTCTCTTTCCATGGAAAGGTAAGTTATTAGAGTTTATGCAGTCTGGTATATTAATTGAGAGCTTTACTTCAAAGAATGTCACGTTTACGATTCAGTCTCACAGACTGGGTTAAAAAGGCAGTATTGACTATTAAGTTGTAAATTACTGTAATGATCATTATTATTATTCAAGCAATCTGTGAGAAATGAGCATTATCTCACAATATCTGCATTTTAGTGAACCTGAGGAAAGAGTGTATTTGCTGGAATTACAGAAGCCTGAGAACCACAGGGGAATTCTCACTGCAGGGTATTCAGGGTCAAAGGCTGATTCTATTTTGCATGCTCAGTCCTTCCTCAATTTATTTTTATTTCTTTCTTTATTTTTTGAGACAGGGTCTCACTCTGTCGCCCAGGCTGGAGCGCCTTGGTGCAATCTGAGCTCATTGCAACCTCACCTCCTGGGTTCAACTGATTCTCCTGCCTCAGCCTCTGGAGTAGCTGGGATTTCAGGCACCCACCACAAAGCCCAGCTAATTTTTGTATTTTTAGTAGAGACGGGATTTCACCATGCTGGCCAGGCTGGTCTCGAACTCCTGACCTCAGGTAATCCTCCTGCCTCGGCCTCCCAAAGTGCTGGGATTACAGGCATGAGCCACCGTGCCCGGCCCTCAATTTTGTTTTTCTATTTATTTATTTATTTATTTAGAGATGGATTTTCGTTCTTGTCCCCCAGGCTGGAGTGCAGTGGTGTGATTTCGGCTCACTGCTACTTCTGCCTCCAGGATTCAAGCGATTCTCCTACCTCAGCCTCCCGCGTAGCTGGGATTATAGTTACGCACCACTATGCCCGGCTAATTTTTGTATTTTTAAGTAGAGACAGGATTTCACCATGTTGGCCAGGCTGGTCTCGAACTCCTGACCTCAGGTGACCCACCTGCCTCAGCCTCCCAAAATGCTGAGATTACAGATGTGAGTCACTGCACCTGGCCCCCCAATTTAATTTTAATAAAATTATCAAGGAAATAAGCCACAAAAGGACAATGTGCAGACTTTAGAACAGAGCTATCCAATAGAAATACAATGTAATCCACATGTGTAATATTAAATAATTTAGTCACCACATTAGAAAAAGTAAAAGGCGTGAAATGAATTCTCCTAGTAAACTTTATTTAACCACTATATTCAAAATATTATTATTTCAACATTAATGAATACTTAAAAATTCTTAATGAGATATTTTATGTTTTTCTTTTTGCTTATGAAGGCTTGGAAATCTAGTGTATATTTTACACTAACAGCATATCTCAACTGAGACGGCCACATCTCAAGTGGCCAGTAGCCATGTGTGGCCTGAGGCCATGACTCTGGGCAGTACAGCTTTAGGTGAGTCTAGGGCAGGGCAGAGGGGGGCACCTGGGATCAGGTGTGGAGCCTGGGGCCTTGTTTTGCACCGTTTGGTGAGGGCACTTTCTTTCCGTAAAACCCAGGTCAAACGTGCCTCACAAAGGGGCCAGTGGAGGTGCCTCCATTTACTTGGGAGCTTGGCCTCTCCAGCTTGCCTTCCTACTGCCTGGAAGAAGATTGATGTCCTCTTGCCTTCTCTAGCCTCTTTCCCAAGAACCCTCCCAGAATTTAGTCCTATGAAGGGCCAGGGGTGCAAGGAGTCACCCACACAATGACAGGACCCACCAGCAATACCAGAAGTTGGCCAGCCCTACTCATCCAAATTCCTTTCTGCCAGCTGGACATCACAAGGATTTCAGACTTCCATCCTGCGGCAACTCCATTTTGGGGTCCGGGGGTTTAAGGGTTACTCTATTAGTCCTTTCTCACTCTGCTAATAAAGACATACCTGAGACTGTGTAATTTATAAAGAAAAAGAGGTTTAATGGACTCACAGATCCACATGACTGAGTAGGCCTCATGATTATGGCAGAAGGTGGAGGAGGAAAAAAGTCACATCTTACATGGCAGCAGGCAAGAGAGTTGTGCAGGGGAGCTCCCCTTTATAAAATCATTAGATCAGGCAGGGAACAGTGACTCACATCTCTAATCACAGCACTTTGGGAAACCAAGGTGGGTGGATCACCTGAGATCAGGAGTTTGAGACCAGCCTGGCCAACATGTTGAAACCCCATCTCTAATAAAAATACAAAAATTAGCCAGGTATGATGGCTCACGCCTGTTGTCCCAGATTCTCGGGAGGCTGAGGCATGAAAATTGCTTAAACCCAGGAGGTGGAGGTTGCAGTGAGCTGAGATCACGCCACTGCACTCCAGCCTGGGCAACAGAGTGAGACTCGGTCTCAAAAAAAGAAAAAAAGAATTAGATCTTGTGAGACTTATTCAATGTCATGAGAACAGCAGGAGAAAGACCCACCCCATGATTTAGTTACCTCCCACTAGGTCCCTCCCACAACATGTGGTGATTATGGGAACTACAATTAGAGATTTGGGTGGGGACACAGCCACACCATATCTGAGCTGGGCATCTTCTTCCTTGAATGCACATTGGCCTCTGAGGCACTTCCTGGTTAACCTCATTCCACAGCTGAGAAAACCCAGGCTTGGCACAGGCAAGGGATCTGACCCAATGTCTCCCATCTTATTAGAGGAAGGACCAAGACTGGACCCACAACTGTACTCCTGTTTTGTGTCACCATGCTGCCCCCAAGATCAGATCTCAAACCAAGCAGACATGGGGGGCTCAGAAAGTCCCCAGCCTAGAACTTTCCTGTCACCCAATGACACTAAAGGCTAAGCTTTCTTCTTATTATTCTGGATTCACGCTAGAATGACCTTGGGGTGTGTTTCACACGTGCCGATGTCTGGAGTTTCACCCCCAGCTAACTGACTATGAATCTCTGGGTTGGGGCCTGGGCACTGATATTCATGCAGAGCTTCTGAGATGATCCTGTTGTATCGCCAAGGTTGACACCTGCAGAAACCTTGCACACTTTTTCATTCATTTAGTTATTAAACATGTAATATTTATTATTATTTTTCCAGACACAGAAGCGTTGCAAGAATAGTACAAAGACATCATTTATACCCTTCGCTGAGATTCCCCAGTGCTACCATTTTACCCCATTTGCTTTATTATTTTCTAAGTGGCAGATGAGTTATCTTTTACCCCTAAATATTCCTGTGTATTCCTTAATAACACGGACTTTGTCTTATATAACCAAGGCAATATCAAAATCAGGAAACTAACCCTGCTACAATAAGGTTTTCTAATGTAGGGACCTCATTCAGATTTTGCCAGTTAACCCAATGATGTACATTGGAGCAAACGATAATCCCAGATCATGCATTATTTTCAGTTGCTGTGTCTCTGTAGGTCCCTTTTAGCTTGGAACAGCTCCTCGGTTTTTCTTTATCTTTCATGGTATTGGCATTCTTGAAGAACGCAAGATGGTTATTTGATAGATTGTCCCTTACTTTGGATTTGGCTGATGTTTCTTGGCGGTGATATTCTTATGCATTTGAGGTGGGATTATCACAGCAATGGTGTCATGTTCTCTGTGCATCGCATCAGGAGGGACATGCTGATGGTTTATCCCATTACACCAAAGTGAATGTTGATCGTTCAGTGAAGGTGGGTGCGGGTTCATTGCATTATATTGCAGAAGCCATCATCAGCCATACTCGCTCTGATTAACCAATCATCTTATGTAGCCATTTATCTAACAAGGCTGTAAGGGTCTTGAACTCAGGGTAAGCAAGCCTTAAAGCAGAAGAGAAGAAAGAAAGGCTTTGGAACCTGGAGCTTTGGCAAAGGGCGCAGGTGTGGGGAACGCACCACCAAACTTGCTCCTGGCATTAGGATGAAGAGGAAGGAGAACATTCTATCTAGAAGGGGTTTGGGGTTAGCCAGAGGGGTGTGGGAGAGTCAGAGTCTGCCAACTTGTGGTTTTGCTGAGGGCTACACTGTGGTAGACAGGTGTTTCATTTCTGCTCTTGAAAATTTTGTTTCACAATCCTTCATCTAAAACAGAGCAATTCCCTTTTTCTAAGTTTTGGCCCACTTTGCTTCATCTGTCTTCTGTTCTCTTATTTTTAGAGACAGGGTCTTGCTCTGTTGCCCAGGCTGGAGTGCAGTGATGTGATCATAGGTCACTGCAGCCTTGACCTCCTGGGCTCAAGCAATCCTCCTGCCTTAGCCTCCTCAGTAGCTGGGACTATAGGTGTGCATCACTGCACCTGGCTAATTTATTTTATTTATTTTAGTTTTTCTAGAGATGAGGTCTCACTCTGTTGCCCAGGCTGATCTTGAACTCTTGGCTTCAAGGGATCCTCCCACCTCGGCCTCCCGAAGTGTTGAGATGACAGGCATGAGCCACCATGCCCACCTCTGTCTTTTCTCTTGGGATTACTGACTTCCACATTAGCTCCAGGAATAATTTCTGTTAAGGTGATGCCTGGCTCGACACTTCTGGTAACTCCCGTTGTTTATCTATTGCTTATCTCCAGAACCTATGTGATGCTTCCTACTTCAAAGTGCACTAGTGCCTGTCAGCTTGAAGGCATCCCCTGAGCTGCTGGCAAACAAGGCCTTTTTACCCAGAGATTAACCTCTTATTTGTTTCAATAAATGATCAAAAGTTGGTTTGCCTCCTGTGCATATGTTGGTTGGGGACAAGAGGGGATTGTGGTGATTTCTGTCCACCTGGGACCTCAGGCCTCCTGGTGGCCCCTGAACAAAAGTGAGGCAGGCAGAGCAATGGGCAGTGTTCCCTGTCTGCCTCGTTGCCATCAGTATTCCTGCCTGTGGTTGTCTTTGGCGCATTATCAGGATGTGTCCCTCCCTCATCTTTGTTCCCTCTCCTTCTTGTATTTACCTTCACCTGGGCTGCTAAGTGCTGCGGGAGAAACATTGGGTTGTTGTGGAGATTGTGGCCATGAAAATTTAGGTTCCCCACCCTCAGGTTGTCCCTCACTGGTCTCTGCCTCATACCTTTGAAGAAAACAACTCGTGGAGGTCGTCTTATTCATAAAGGTGAACATTTAACAGAGCAGAGCACTGTTGTGGGTTGAATTGCATCCCCTCTCTCACAAAAGACTTCTTGGAGTCCTGACCCCCAGTACCTCAAAACGTGACATATTTGGAGATAGTCATTACAAAGGTAGTCAAGTTAAAATGAGGTTGATAGAGTGGGCTTTATCCAGTATAATGGGTGTCCTTATGGAAAGGGGAAATTGGCCAGGTGCAGCGGCTCATGCCTGTAATCCTAGCACTTTGGGAGGCTGAGGCAAGAGGATCACTTGAGGCCGAGGTTCAAGACCAACCTGGCCAACATAGGGAGACTCCCATCTCTATTAAAAAGATAATAAATAAAATAGGCCAGGCACAGTGGCTCATGCCTGTAATCCTAGCAGTTTGGGAGGCTGAGGCAGGAGGATCACTTGAGGCTAAGGTCCAAAACCAAACCTGGCCAACATAGCAAGACTCCCATCTTTAAAAAACAATAAATAGGCCAGGTGCGGTGGCTCACACCTGTAATCTTAGCAGTTTGGGAGGCCGAGGCAGGTGGATCACTTGAGGTCAGGAGTTCAAGACCAGCCTGGCCAACATGGTGAAACCTGTGTCTACTAAAAATACAAAAAAATTAGCTGGGCATAGTGGCAGGCACCTGTAATCCCAGCTACTCAGGTGGCTGAGGCAGGATAATTGCTTGAACTCGGGAGGCGGAAGTGGCAGTGAGCCAAGATTGCACCACTGCACTCCAGCCTGGGTGACGGAGCAGGATTCTGTCTCAAAATAAATAAATAAATAAATAAATACATACATACATACATAAATATATATATATATACACACACACACACTACATATATGTGTATGTGTGTGTGTAGATATAGATATAGATATGGAAAGGGGAAATTTGGACACAGATGCACACAGGGAGAAGGCCACGTGAAGATTGGACTTCTGCTGCCACAAGCTAAGGAGCTGGCGGAAGCTCGGAGGGAGATCCTTCCCTAGCATCTTCAGAGAGAGCATGGCCCTGAGAACGCCTTCATCTCAGCCTTCTGGCCTGCAGGTGTGAGACGATGCATTTCTGTAGTTCTAAGCCACCCAGCTTGTGGTACCTTGTTATAGCAACCTGAGGCATTTAATACAGCAGCATTCTGAGCCCTTCCCATATAAACTCTTCATTGAATCTTCACCACAACTGCCCCACCCATAAGTGCTGTTGTTATTGTCTTCATTTCGTCTTCATTTTATCCATGATGTCTGCAGCACAGACAGGTTCAGTAGTTTGCTCATGGTCACTTGAGATAATAAAAACTCCACTCTAGGGAACCTCTCATGCCTGCCTCTGGCTGTCGCCTTCCCTCTCCCCTTTCCTCCTGTCCCCTTCCTCTCCATCTCTTTTATGAGGCCTTCTTTGTTGTCCCATCTCTTTTTTGTATTTTTACTTTGCAGTAATTTTTTTTTTGTGGGGGGGAAAGGGGGTCTCGCTATGTTGTGCAGGCTGATCTTGAACTCCTGGCCTCGAGCTATCCTCCTGTCTTAGCCTCCTGAGTAGCTGGGATTACATGTGTGAGCCATCATACCCAGCTGTTGTCCCATCTCCTAAATGTCTGCTTTCCCCAGCATCCCTGCCCACAGTTCCGGCCTCAGTAGCCCCTCCTGAGCCTCATTCACCACCTATGCTGATGAACTGCTGCTCGCCCTCCTCCCAGGCAGGTTGCCCCATGGCCACTGAAGGCTCAGCCCATCCACAACAGATTCACAAAGCCTGTCCTTCAATGCTGGATTTCCTAGATTTCCCAGCCAACAGTCCCACCAGCTTAAAACCCTGCAGCCATGCCTAAATCCTCTATCTTCCTGTACCCCACATCCCCACGACCAACCCCTGCTGATTTAATGGCTAAATCCCTCTCTTGACAGTCAGGACCAGCTGCAGAATTTGCAAGGTCCAGTGCAAGATGAAAACATGGGCCCCCTTATTCAAAAATCAGAGGAAAAGCACTGCTGAAGTATTAACATATACAGCATTTTCTTTCCTCTGTGGTCTCTGTGTCTCAATTTATCATGATGCTTTCATTTGTTATTTAATGTCCTTCTAAGTAAAAAAAAAAAAAATAACATTTTAAATTACCAGCATGGATTATACTGTTCCTCTTTATATTGTGCAATGCCAGATTTCAACAGGAACATTGGACTCAAATGTGGAATCACAGAAATGACATAATTTGTACTTTGCATGTGGGATTTTTTTGCCTCACAGAAACAGTGAGATGTTGCAGGAAACTAATTCAGCTGTTTTTGTTTGTTTGTTTGTTTGTTTTTATTTTTTTCCCTGAGACAGAGTCTTGCTCTCTTGCCCAGGCTGGAGTGCAGTGGTGAGATCTCTGCTCACTGCAACCTCTGCCTCCCGGGTTCAGACCATTTTCCTGCCTTCAGCCTCCTGAGTAGCTGGGATTACAGGAGCCCGCCAACATACCCTCCTATTTTTTGTATTTTTAATAGAGTCGGGGTTTTGCCATGTTGGCCAGGCTGGTCTCGAACTCCTGACCTTGTGATCCACCCACCTCGGCCTCCTAAAATGCTGGGATTACAGACATGAGCCACCACACTCGCCATTCAGCTGTTTTTATTTCACTTTTTCACACCTATACAATCTACCACCACTCTCTACCTTTGGCTTACTGATGTGTAAGGAAGAATTGAAAGGAAAAATAACTATGACTCTGCTATCTTTGCTTCTCCTGTGTCATCATTTCCAGTGGAAGTGGCTGGCTACTACAGGGAATCAGATGGGTAGAAAAGGCTGGGAGAGGGTTCCTTGTTTGTTCCTGTTTCTTAGAATGCCATTGACTTGGTTTTCAATTCTGATTCTATAATAAGAGAAAGCGTGACCTCTTAGTGCTGTCAGCATGTCTCACGGACTCCGTTGTGGACATAGTAGGCTTCCCTTATGCTAACTTGGAGCCTTGCTGGACTCCCATGCACTGCGGGCCCCCCAAGATTCTATGCTCAGGGCACAGCAGACACGCCATGGGGAGTGCAGTGGCAAGGGATGGGGGTAACTCTTATTGTTGGTGTCTCATCTGCCCATGCACATGTTCTATTGCCCATTGGATTTCACTGATAAAACATAGATTCAGACTGGGTGCAGTGGCTCACGTCTGTAATCCCAGCATTTTGGGAGGCTGAGGTGGGCAGATCACTTGAGGTCAGGAGTTCAAGACCAGCCTGGCCAATATGGTGAAACCCACTCTCTACTAAAAATACAAAAATTAACCAGGCGTGCTGGCAGGTGGCTGTAGTCCCAGCTACTTGGGAGGCTGAGGCAGGAGAATCACTTGAGCCTGGGAGGTGGAGATCTCAGTGAGCTGAGATGGTGCCAGTACACTCCAGCCTGGGTGACAGAGCAAGACTCTTTCTCAAAACAAAACAAAACATAGACTCAAAGATAAAATGAGGAGGAATTTTAAGACGGTAACAGCAAAGCATTAAGCCAAGCTCAGGGTCCCTCTCAGCATGGGGCCCTGTGTGACTGCACAGGCCAAACACCCATGAATTCATCTCAATTTCCATCCCTCTTACACTCTTCCCCACTGCTGTGGTCTCAGGTGGCACCTTCCTCATTTCTACTCCGGAGTACTGCCTGTACCCTGATTTCTTCAAGGGTCTCTCCAGTCCATCAGACGCAGGCCAACCCAGGGTTTCTCTGCATTGCAATCCAACCAATATCACCCCCCTGCTTACCAGCCTGCAGTAACTCCCATGTCCCTTCAGGATAAAATTCAGACTTCTTAGCAAGGCACTGCTTATTTCTCCAGCCTCTGTGACAGCCTCACACCCTACATTCGAGCTCTGCTGATCCTGGAGAAGCTCCCTCTGAGCTTTTGCACACCTGTCCCTGCTACTTGAGGGTGATTTCCACCTGGTTACCTCCTGACATCACCTCCCACCTGGAAGCCTTCCTCGTCTCTGGGGTGGGTCAGATGTAGCTGTTTTTGCCCTCTCCCTACAGACCCTGCATTTCCTCTCTCCCAGCGTTCATCTTGTGATATACAATAAGCAATTGACTAAATTGTCCTTAAAACCAGGGCCATACCAGGTCTTCTTGGTGACAAATGAGGGAGCAGCGAGTGCTTTTGCCCTCTAATGGCATCTCTGGATCACTAGCTGGAGGCCTTGGGACTCTAAGCACCAAGTTATTCAAGTGCTACAAATAAGACTGCATGGACCCCGGTCTTTCCTGTTTCCTCTCTGCGTCTATCAAGAAGGAGCAGCTGCTTTTTGAAGCCCTGCTTTCCTTCTCACGGCTTTGCTCACCCCCACCCTGCTTGGCCTCCAAACTCAGAGCCTTAACTTTCCTATAAATACAGTTTCTCTCCAACTCAACTTGATTCATTCATTCAGGGTCCTAGTTCTCTCTCTCTGCCATTCCAATTCTCCTCTTTCCATTATATTTAAGAGAACCCTGGCTGGGCATGGTGGCTCACACCTGTAATCCCAGCACTTTGGGAGGCCAAGGCAAGTGGATCACCTGAGGTCAGGAGTTTGAGACCAGCCTGGCCAATATGGTGAAACCCCATCTCTACCAAAAAACAAAAATTGGCTGGGTGTGGCGGCACAGGCCTGTAGTCCCAGCTACTCGGGAGGCTGAGGCAGGAGAATCGCTTGAACCTGAGAGGCAGAGGTTGCAATCACACCACTGCACTCCAGCTTGGTTGACAGAGTGAGACTCTGTCTCAAAAAAAAAACCAAAACGACCAAGAAAAGGGCATTCATTTATGGTATAAGAGCGGAAACCAAAAGGCAGAGGTTCCTCGATGGAGCTCTGCTGGGACCGTGCATATCAGCCATTCAACCTCTTCAGCACTTGGTGCACATCCAGGAAAGCCCCACTGGGATTGATTTAGGGGCTATAAAGAAACATTATCAAGCAGGTGAATTTGCAGCTACAGAATCTGCAGGTAATGAGGATTGATTGTAGATGCACCAATGAACTGGAGGTCAGATTTTCAACTGAACCGTCCAGGAGATGGCCAGCAACCAAGAGCTAGAAAAAAAGATTCCTGGAGAGTGGTGAAGAAAATAGAAGTCTTAGAGGCTCAGAGACAGATGAAGGTAATCCCTCAGCTGTCACCTGAGCTGTGGCTATAAAATGAGGCAACAGATTAAGAATAGTAAGCATAAGATTGAGGCCAGGCTCGGTAGCTCATGCCTGTAATCCTAGCACTTTGGGAGGCCAAGGCAGGTGGATCATTTGAGGTTGGGAGTTAGAGACCAGCCTGGCCAACATGGTGAAACTCCATCTGTACTAAAAATACAAAAAAAATTAGCCAGGCGTGGTGGCACATGCCTGTAATCCTAGCTACTCGGGAGGCCAAGGCAGGAGAATCGCTTGAACTGGGGAGGCAGAGGTTGCAGTGAGCTGAGATCTCACCACAGCACTCCAGCCTGGGCAACAGAGCAAGACTACATCTCAAAAAAAAAAGAAAAAAGAAAAAGAAAAAAAAGATTGGGGCAGTCAGAAGCAACCACCGTCAGCAAAGGAAGGATGAGGGGGAGTGAATAAAGGGTCCACAGGAGAATTAAGAAAGCGTGGACCCTTGGGGCCATTCAGTGAAGCGGAGCCAGGTCACTGGCGAGTGTGTCTGGGAATCAATTAAGGATGAATATGAAGCTTGAGACCAGGCCAGCATAATCACCATGTGGGCGCCCGTATTTTTTTACATTTGCTGACTGTGTTTCTGTGAAATACAAAGGAAGAAATGCTGTGACTTCCCCTCATTCTAAGGTGAAACCAAAGAAGGCGAAACTGAGAGACCTGTCCGAAGTCCTCCACCGAGCCAATGGGGAGGCTGGAATAGATACAGCCGGTCACCCGACCTGTTCTCTAGGCACGGCTTTTTGGATTTGCCACTTACATCTGCTTCAAGTTTTAGAAACTTCCAGGCTGTGGCTTTTTTGCTGCTTTGGGGAACAAAGCATGTTCGGTCAAGTGTACAGCAAACCTGTCCTGCTCCTAAATCCAATCATCTCCAAAATAGATGTTTGACGTTTATAGTGCTACTCTCCAAATGTCATTATCATCCCTAAAGTGAAAAAAAAGGTTTAATTATTATGAGCAGTGAAATTACCATATAATCTTCCAATTAACTGAATAAGGCACCAAATAAGTGCCCTCAAGCCTTAATTTCTACCTTGAAGTTAAGGTAGATGTCATGATTACCTGGATCATCCTACACATCCTCAAAGTGGACAGAGTTGAAAGGCTGTCTAAGCGGGCGGGGTGGAAGGCGGTGCCCTTCTCCCTCTTGTCTGTTTGTCGAGCTCTGTTGGTTCTCCTAATTGGTTAGCGACCCTGAGTGTTTCTGAGAGCCTTTTGTTGTATGCCGGGGCAGAACCACTAATCTGGCCAATTCCAAGCAGAAAAGATCAAGTATAGATTTCATATCTGAGTTTTAAGTGCTAGTAAAAAGTTGCATTAAGTTGTCAAATGCACTGCGATCCTGGCTTCATCACCAAGTGGCTCTGCAGTTTGAGGATTATGCTGCATCCTGAAGAAAAGAAAATTGTTCCGTTTAGATGTTTGGGGTAAAGGGGGATTGATCCAGTTACTTTTCAACTAATCTAAGTCAGATGGTGTTCACTGCATAACTTTCTAAGGTTGGTACTTGGCCAAGCAACAAGGTGATCAGTTTTATAGGACTAAAGGCCTTTGGTTGCAAAGGCATGAAGAAGTTTCTACCAGTCCTGTTTGAAATAAAATAGTAGTGTAATCTAAAGATTGTAATACAAGACCAACACAGCAGATTTACAGTAACTTTTGATAATTGGTTGACTGATGTGCTTCTCTCTCTCTCTCTTTCCGTAGACGTGTGAGTAGCATATTACATAGAGAAATCTATAAGCCCTGGGTTATGTTGGTTGCTGATGAGGATTAATCAGAAGCTACTACTCACTTATTCACCTTTGATCTGCTCTTGTTCTGGTAGTCTTCTTCACTGTCTCATTCATTCAAGAAGTGTTCATTGGGCTGGGTGCGGTGGTTCACACCTGTAATCCCAGCACTTCGGGAGGCTGAGGTGGGTGGATCATGAGGTCAGGAGTTTGAGACCAACCTGGCCAACATGGTGAAACCCCATCTCTACTAAAAATACAAAAATTAGCTGGGCCTGGTGGCATGCGCCTGTAATCCCAGCTACTTGGGAGGAAGAGACAGGAGAATTGCTTGAATCTGGGAGGCAGAGGTTGCAGTGAGCTGAGATTGCACCACTGCACTGCAGCCTGGGTGACAAAGCAAGACTCCGTCTCGGGAAAAAAAAAAAAAATTTCATGGTCATGTCAGCATCCTCCCCACCCCCTCTTCCCCAGATCAACCAAAAAAATGGAGAAAAATCTGGAAGGCCACTCCTTTAGACCACTCATGCTAAGTATGAGTGCACACTCACAAAGCGTGCAAGCCAGCTATATTAGTTCATTCTTGCATTGCTATAAAGAAATATCTGAGAGTGGGTAATTTACTCTTGATCTTAGCCAAAAGGCTGAGAAGCAATGGGATTGTGTAATTTACAAGGAAAGAGGTTGAATTGGCTCACTGTTCTGCAGACTGTATGGGAAGCATAGCAGCTTCTGCTTCTGGTGAGGCCTCAGGAAGCTTCCAATCATGGCAGAAGATGAAGGAGGAGCAGTTGTTCTCTTACATGGCAGGAGCAGGAGCCAGAGAGAATGACTGGGGGAGGTGCTGTGCACTTTTTTTTTTTTTTTTTTGAGATAGAGTCTTTCTCTGTCATCCAAGCTGGAGTGCAATAGTGTGATCTTGGCTCACTGCAAGATCACAGTGATCTTGGCTCTGCCTCCTGAGCTCAAGTGATTCTCCTGCCTCAGCCTCCCAAGTCGCTGGGATTACAGGCACCCACAACCACGCTGGCTACTTTTTGTATTTTTACTAGAGATGGGGTTTTGCCATATTGGCCAGGCTGGTCTTGAACTCCTGACCTCAGGTGATCCACCCACCTCAGCCTTTCAAAATGCTGGGATTACAGGCATCAGCCACCATGCCCGGCCCAACACACTTTTAAATGACCAGATCTCACAAGAACTCACTTACTATCGTGAGTACAATACCAAAGAGAATAGTGCTAAACCATCCATGGGAAACCTGCCCCCATGATCCAACTGCCTACCACCAGGCCCCAGCTCCAACACTGGGGATTACAATTCAACACACAATTTGGTGGAGATACAGATCCAAACTCTATCACCAGCCCTTCTGCTTTCACCTCCCCCGTTTTAGACAACCAGCGTTTGAATTGCCTGTTCCAATTCTGTGCCAAATTATGACTCTGAAGAGGATGCCTCTCTGCCCATTGTTGGACATTATGGGCTGTACAGAGTGCTCTTTTTTCTGAAGCAATGACGTTGGCCATCAAGATTCATGCAGTATCTCCTGTTCTGTTTTTTTTTTTTTAATTTTTTTTTTTGAGACAGAGTCTCCCTCTGTCTCCCAGGCTAGAGTGCAATGGCATGATCTCGGCTCACTGCAACCTCCGCCTCCTGGGTTCAGGTGATTCTTCCACCTCAGGCTCCCAAGTAGCTGGGATTGGCTAATTTTTTTGTATTTTTGTAGTGACGGGTTGTCACCATGTTTGCCAGGCTGGTCTTGAACTCCTGACCTCAGGTGACCTGCCCGCCTCAGCCTCACAAAGTGCTGGGATTACAGGCATGAGCCACCATGCCTGGCCCTTTTTCTTTTTTTTAATGGCACTCTGAGTGTTTGCATCTTCTACCACACAAACAAAGCCCAGTCCGGAGACAGTGTCTATTCCTGTCAAGACCTAGATGCAGCCCCCCAGGGCTGCCAGCATCCATCTCACTTGCCACTTATGTTAAGAGCTTTCCCACCAGGGAATGTACCTCGCAGCCATGGGCAGTCTCTCTTTCTCTTGCTGGCAGACAGAACAGTTCTTTTTTTTTTTTGAGACGTTGTTCCACTCTTGTTGCCCAGGCTGGAGTCCAATGGCATCATCTCGGCTCACCGCAACCTCCGCCTCCTGGGTACAAGCAATTCTCCTGCCTCAGCTGGGATTATAGGCATGCACCACCAAGCCCCGGTAATTTTGTATTTTTAGTAGAGATGGGGTTTCTCCATGTCGGTCAGGCTGGTCTCGAACTCCCAAACTCAGGTGATCCATCTGCCTCGGCCTCTCAAAGTGCTGGAACTACAGGCTTGAGCCACCGCACCCAGCGACAGAACAGTTCTTATTGGCATTTTGAGCCCGAGGGGCATGGCTAGATTCAGCCCATCTCTGCACTGCTGCAGAACCGCCTTGTTCACTCATTTCACGGACCCAGGCGACCACCTCAAAGGAGCACACAAAAAAAATCCACTTGGTGACTCCAGCCACCTCCAGAGACTGGAAGGGAGTTTTTCTGATGGGCGTGAACCTGTTCTACCTCAAGGCATCTTTCACCTCTCCACAGGGCTGTGCCCCATATGGACATCCCGTTAATAAGCCAGGTGGCTATTGTCCTCTTGCCTGAGTGTACAGCCAAGACACTGGTCACTGCCCAGGAGTCAGTAAAAACCCAAACAGGGGGCTTCTACCACTGTTCAACTGATCAAATATATATTTCACAATATCACACTCCTGTGGAACACTTTGGGACACATACTATGATTCTTTGAAAATCAGTTATTGCCATCATTCTAGTATAAATCAGCAGCTAGAAAAAGAGCATGCAATTCAGCTCACTGAGCTGACTGATTTTTACCATCTTTAGCCAGAGTAGCAGCTGTCCAAACAGGATGTTGTTTGTTCACCTCGAAATTGTCATCCATAGACCAAACAGCTGGGGGTGAGTGAGTTGAGAGCTGGTTATATAGGGCACTGTTGAACTGCTGATAGAATCCAGCAGCTCCTCACTCTTCCAGAGTCAGTCGTAGGAGAAAAGAGCCTCCCTGCTTGGGAATATCTCCTCCCTGCATTCCCCAGGTAGCATGATCCAGTATAAACCATTTCCATTTTATTATGTTGCTTTCTTTCTTTTTTTTTTTTTTTATCTGAGATGGAGTCTTGCTCTTGTTGCCCAGGCTGGAGTGCAATGGTGCGATCTCGGCTCACTGCAACCTCCGCCTCTCAGGTTCAAGCTATTCTCCTGCCTCAGCCTCCTGAGTAGCTGGGATTACAGGCATCCGCCAGCATGCCCAGCTAATTTTTTGTGTTTTTAGTAGAGACAGAGTTTCACCATATTGGCCAGGCTGGCCTTGAACTCCTGATCTCAGGTGATCCACCCACCTCGGTCTCCCAAAGTGCTGGGATTACAGGTGTGAGCCACTGCACTCAGCCACCTTCCTCCTTTTAAGGACGCTTGTGATTCTATAAACTCCTTCCAGATAATCCAGGATGATCTCCCCCATTCAAAATCCTCAACTTACTCACATCTGCCAAGTCCCTTTTACCACGAATGTCTGGTAACATAATCACTGGTCCTGGGGATTAAGGCCTGTGGACATCTTTGGGGGCCGTTATTCTGCCTACCACATGGACCATCTTTGACTTTCTTAACTTCCATTCACTTTTCTTTTTTCTTTTTCTTTCTTTTTTTTTTTTTTTTTTGAGATGGAATTTTGCTCTTGCTGCCCAGGCTGGCGTGCAATGGTGCAATCTCAGCTCACTGCAACCTCTGCCTCCTAGATTCAAGTGATTCACCTGCCTCAGCCTCCCGAGTAACTGGGATTATAAACACCTGCCACCACACCCGGCTAATTTTGTATTTTTAGCAGAGATGGGGTTTTTCCATGTTAGTCAGGCTGGTCTTGAACTCTCGATCTCAGGTGATCCACCTGCCTCAGCCTCCCAAAGTGCTGGGATTACAAGCATGAGCCACCACACCTGGCCCCTCCACTCACTTTTCCACCTTTTCCAAACAAGCTTCTGTCCCCACCCCCCATTCCATATGGATTCAAAATGGTTCTTGATGGCCTCCATGTTGCTGAAACCATGGGGTTGTTCTAACTGTCCTTCTTCCTCAACTTCTGGCACTGTAGACCAAACAGCTTGAGGCATGGGCAGGCAGCCTGGAGGACCAGAGCATTTGGGCGATGGCTAGTCCTCATGAGCCTGTCCTGCTGTCACCCAGCAGCCCATCCTCGTGGGACAGAGGCTGGCTACAGAAGGCATTCCGCACCCACTTGCTCCATGAGTTACCCAAGGCTCCGTGTGCCTAGGCTTTCTTTATTGTTTAAAAGTGTAGGTCAGATAACTGCAGGTGAAGTTTTCTTAAACATTTTTGTTTACATATCCAAAGTGGATAACTGGGTGAGCTTTCACAAAGTAAAGCACATGCACACCATGCAGATCAAAGAACAGGGCATGTCCAGCTCTCCTGAGCTCCTCGTTCTCCCCTCCCTAACGCTAGCTCCTCTCCTCCCAAAGGTAATGCTATCCTGGGGATAGGGATTATTTTTTTTTCCTTTTAAATAGACTTAATGTGTTAGAGAAGTTCTAGGTTCATAGAAAAATGGAGCAGAGGCCAGGCCCTGTGGCTCACACCTGTAATCCCAGCACTTTGAGAGGCCGAGGTGGGCAGATCACGAGGTCAGGAGTTTGAGACCAACCTGACCAACATGATGATGAAACCCTGTCTATACTACAAATACAAAAAATTAGCCGGGCATGGTGGTGCATGCTTGTAATCCTAGATATTTGGGAGGCTGAGGCAGGACAATTGCTTGAACCTCGGAGGTGGAGGTTGCAGTGGGCTGAGATCTTACCACTGTATTCCAGCCTGGGTGACAAAGAAAGAAAAAAAGAAAGGAGAAAGAAAGAGAGAGAGAGAGAGAAACAAAGGAGGGAGGGAGGGAGGGAGGGAGGGAAGGAAGGAAGGAAGGAAGGAAGGAAGGAAGGAAGGGAGGAAAGAAGGAAGGAAGGAAAGAAGGAAGGAAGGAAGGAAGGGAAAAGGAAAGAAACAGAAAAGAAAAGAAAGAAAAACGGAGCAGAAAGTGCAGAGTTTTCATCAACATCTACTCCCACCTGCCACACACACACACACACACACACACACGCAGCTTCCCCCACTAGCAATATCAAACCTGAGTGGGATATTTGTCATAATCAATAAACCTACATTGACACATCACTATCACCCAGAGTCCATAGTTTACATGAGGGCTCACTCTTGGTGTTGTACATTGCGTGGGTTTGGACATATGGACAACTACGTGGATCCACCATTGTAGTATCACGCAGAGTAGTTTCACTGCCCTAAAAATCCTCTGTGTTTCACCAATTCATTCCTCCTTTCTCCTGACCTCAGGCAACCGTGGATATTTTCGCTGTCTCTATAGTTTTGCTTTATCCAGAATGTCATATAGTTGGAATCATACAGTGCGCAGCCTTTTCGGATGGACTTCGTTCACTTAGGAATATGCATTTAAGGTTTCTCCATGTCTTTTTGTGGTTTCATAGCTCATTTCATTTTAGTGCTAAGTAACATTCCATTGTCTGGAAGTGGGCCTAGGTTTCTTTGTTTTTTATTGTTGTTGTTGTTGTTGATGTTTTTTGAGATGGGGTTTTGCTCTGTTTCCCTGGCTGGAGTGCAGTGGCACAATCTCAGCTCACTGCAGCCTCCACCTCCAGGGTTCAAGCAATTTCCCCACCTCAGCCTCCAGCGTAGCTGGAATTACAGGGGCGTGCCACCACACCTGGCTAATTTTTTTCATTTTTAGTAGAGATGGAATTTCACCATGTTGGCCAAGCTGGTCTCGAACTCCTGACGTCAGGTGACCCATCCGCCTCAGCCTCCCAAAGTGTTGGGAATACAGATGTGAGCCACCACACCTGTCCAGGCCTAGGTTTTTGAAGAAGGAATTGAACTGAGTGTAGGCCAGGTTATACTGCTAAAGTGTCTTCTTTGTACTTGGAATGTGCTAGGATGGATAGACTTCAAAGTGCAAAGTGCCTGAAGGATCTGGCATTAGTCAATTCTATGCACTGAGCTTCTGTCCCCAGAATCCCACTCTCAGAGGAAGAATATGGTAAGGCTGGTTGGATAGGTGGGGCATGGATGGGAGGCTCAGGCCACTGCACTGCACATACAGGTCTTGATGAGGTCTGGCAGAGGTCAAGTTCTGTTTAGCGGGGATAGACTATGTGACAGAGTGAAGAAAGGTAATGGTCTAAAAGCAGCAAAAGTTTCATTCCCACTCATGTGACAGTCTGTGGAGCAGGCAGCTCCTTTCCTCATGAAGCTGGGACCCAGGTATCTTCCATCTTGTGGCTCTGCTTCTCCAGAGCCTTGTCATTTTTTTCATCTAGCTATGGTGACAAGATCTTTTGGATGAGCCATGAATATTAAACTAAAGGCAAACTCTGAAAATTGATTTGACGTGTGGTCAGCTGCTCATTTAGCACAGTGTGGGGAATGCTGGGGTGATGGACAAGAAGGTTTTCATGAGGAGGCTGAAGAGACCTAAGTATAGGGGTACCAGCCTGGGGCACTTCAGAAGGGGCACTGGCCTAGGGGTAGCATCAGGGTGATCCTGATTTCCCTGGGGCAGGGTGTGGCTCATGACAGGGTACTGAGAACCCACCAAGAAGGCTGGAACTTTCAGTACTCATTGTTTTATGAGGGCCTGCCTGTGTGCCAGGCGGGAAGACACTGACCAGAGGCCCAGGGCCACTGAAGGGTCTCGGCCTGGTCTCTTGTTGCCTGGGGGGTTCACTGTACAAGTGATGATGTAGTTCCAAGGGGCAGGATTCTGACCCACACTCCTGGTGCCAATGTCCATTTTGCCACTCATGTTAGATTTTGCTTCTCTAAGGGAACTTACTCAGGATAGCTGCGTTCTTGGACATTCTTCCAGTGGTTTTCAAGGGTGAAAAAAGGAGTTTCAGCAAGACAGCTAACGTCTGGATGAGCGAGCCAGGAAGTGTCTGTAGCCTTCCTCTAGAGAGCACTCTGGGCTGGTGGGCGTAAGGACCCCAGATTCATGTGCGTCCATGTGAAGAGACCACCAAACAGGCTTTGTGTGAGCAACATGGCTGTTTATTTCACCTGGGTGCAGGCGGGCTGAGTCTGAAAGAGAGTCAGTGAAGGGAGATGGGGTGGGACCGTTTTATAGGATTTGGGTAGGTAAGGGAAAATTACAGTCAAAGGGGCGTTGTTCTCTGGCGGGCAGAGTGGGGGTCACAAGGTACTCAGTGGGGGAGGTTTTGAGCCAGGATGAGCCAGGAGAAGGAATTTCACAAGACAATGTCATCAGTTAAGGCAGGAACAGGCCATTTTCATTTCTTTTGTGGAGGAATGTCATCAGTTAAGGCAGGAACCAGCCACCTGGATGTGTACGTGCAGGTCACAGGTGATATGATGGCTTAGCTTGGGCTCAGAGGCCTGACACCCAGGGCAGGCTGGCTCAGCCCCTTTGACTTCAGATTTCAGGGAAGGCCAGGGAGCTGGATTGGGTGCCTGGATTTTCTGAGAATTATGTTTCTCAGAGGATTTTGAAACCTAAACAGGAATACTTTACACACAGGCCATCAAGCAGGAACTGGGAAGTTCCGAAGCCGCCCTCTTTCAGGCCACCTCCTCCCTTCAGAGGCCAAGGGTGGCCAAGCTGTCTCCCACACACCTCAGTGAAAAGTCACTGGCTCTCCTCCCAGCCACCTCGCTGTGACCTTGTGAGGTGTGAGAAGGAGGAAGGGGATCTACGTTCTGGATGAGCCTCCTTCCTCCTTGCCGAGAAATAATTTAGGCCCCTGCACCTGCTGGGCCTCAGACCTTCTCAGAGCCCAGGGCCCACTGTGGCTCCTGCAAGCTGCCTGGGAATTCCACGGAGGCTGCCTGGCTGCCTGTCTTATTCCCAGTCTGCTGCAACCCATTTCCTAAGCTTGGGTGGCTGAAAACAACAGAAATTCATCCTCTCACAGTTCTGGAGGCCAGAGTCTGAATCCAGGTGTTGGCAGGGCTGTGCTGCCTTTGAAGGTTCTAGGGAAGAATCCTTCCTGACTTTTTCCAGTTTTGGGTGGTGGCCGGCAATGCGCGGCATTCCTTGGCTTCAGATGCATCATTCCAGATGCACACGGCTGTCTTCCCTCTGTGTCTCTTCTTTTCTTCTTATAAGGATACCAGTCATATGGTGTGAAGGGCCCACCTTACTCCAGTATGTGGCCAAGTTAATTCATTACATCTGCAACCACCCAATTTACAAATGTCACATTCTGAGGTTCCTGATTGAAGGGGTGGGTTGCCCCTCCACACCTGTGGGTGTTTCTCCTTACATGGAATGAGAGACCTGGAAAAGAAAGAGACACAGAGACAAAGTATAGAGAAAGAAAATAGGGCCCAGGGGAAGGGCGTTCAGCATACGGAGGACCCATGCCGGTACCAGCCTCTGAGTTCCCTTAGTATTTATTGATCATTATCAGGCGTTTCCCGGGGAGGGGGATTTGGCAGGACAATAGGGTAATAGCAGAGAGAAGGTCAGTAGGAAAACACGTGAACAAAGGTCTCTGCATCTTAAACAAGTTAAAGAATTAACTGCTGTGCTTCTGATGTGCATACACATAAACATCTTAATCCATTAAATAGCAGTATTGCTGCCAGCATGTCCCACCTCCAGCCCTAAGGTGGTTTTCCTTTATCTCAGTAGATGGAATATACAATCGGGCTTGATACCAAGATGTCCCATTGCCCAGGGACAAGCAGGAGACAGATGCCTTCCTTTTATCTCAACTGCAAAGAGGCCTTCCTCTTTCAATAATCCTCCCCAGCACAGACCCTTTATGGGTGTCCGGCTGGGGGACAGTCAGGTCTTTCCCTTCCCAGGAGGCCATATATCAGGCTATCACATGGGGAGAAACCTTGGACAATACCTGGCTTTCCCAGGCAGAGGTCCCTGTGGCCTTCCGCAGCGTTTTGTGTCTCTGGGTACTTGAGATTAGGGAGTGGTGATGACTCTTAACAAGCATGCTGCCTTCAAGCATTTGTTTAACAAAGCACACCCCGTACAGCCCTTAATCCATTTAACCCTGAGTTGACACAGCACATGTCTCAGGGAGCACAGGGTTGGGGGTAGGGTTACAGATTAACAGCATCTCAAGGCAGAAGAATTTTTCTTAGTACAGAACAAAATAGAGTCTCATGTCTGCTTTACTTGAAAAATCAGATCACACGTGGACTTGGAGAATGAATGCAAGATTTTATTGAGTGGAGGAGGTGGCTCTCAGATGGATGGGGAGCCAGAAGGGGGATGGAGAGGGAAGGTGGTCTTCCCCTAGAGTTGGGCTGCCTAGCAGCCAGACTCTCCTCCAACCGCCCCCAACTGAATTCCACATCTCCCCACTGTCAAAAGCCTGCCAGCATCTGCTGATGTCTGTCGGTGTGCTCTTCTGCTTCTCTGCTCCTCTGGATGTCCAGCCATTTGTGTCTGTGCCCACTAGGGTCTTGGGTTTTTTATGGGCACAGGATGGGGGTCATAGCAGGCCAGAGTAGTCTTGGAAAATGCAATATTTGGACATGAAAACAGGAGTGCCTGTTCTCACTAAGGTGCAAGGGCACAAGCCCAAGGGCAAAGCCCTCGCCAGGGACCCCACCCTTCTCTACCCAGCATTCCCCTGCCCCCCTTCCATATCAACATGAAAGCTGACGTTGGCTCCTGTGCCCCACCTCTGGGCCTGGTTTTGTGACCTCTGCACCAGAGCTGCTAGGGAGGCCCTACCCCACATGTTGTTAACTCAACAGCCCTTCCCCAGGGGAACCAACGTCCTCCTGTCCCCAAACCCAAGGAGGAGTGGTGGGTTCCTGGGCCTCTTGTAAACCGACTGAATATTTTCCAGGTTACCTAACCAAACTCCTGCAAAACCACACCACCTATGCCTGTGATGGGGACTATCTGAATCCATAGTGCCCTTGGCATTCTACAATAAGTATCCAATCGGCATTTTATGGGCAAGATTACCCAATGTGTAGTTCCCAGAAGCCTGCCTGCCAGAGGGAAGACAGCTTAACCTGTGTGGCACCCACCACCTTCCAGATATTGCCTTTTATAGACACGTTAAGATGATACAGTTTCAACAGACACTCTTTCTGTCTCTCTGGGTATAAATATATTTGTGATTATATAGTTCAATCCAAGCAAAACTGATCCATAAAAAATCCCAACTTATACAGATCACCAGTTTTGTAGGTGAGCTATTATTTGCTTCTCAAAGGATTTGTTACTCAACAAAACTAAATAGAATTCCTACCTATTGTAGAGCCCCTTTGTACACTTCAATATGAATTTACTTGTAGGTTTACTCCTTACTTCAGTATAGCAAAGTACAACCAGGATAGATTCCAACCTCCAGGCCCGTATCTCCCATAAATACTCCTGTAGAAAGGGAAGGTGTGTTCTTTAATGGAAACCACAAGTGTCTCTTTGAGGCAGACATCTGAACTCATGACCAACTTCTTAGAGAATGTACTCAAAGGGCCAGGCGCAGTGGCTCATGCCTGTAATCCCAGCACTTTGGGAGGCCAAGGCAGGTGGATCACAATGTCAGGAGATTGAGACCATCCTGGCTCACACGGTGAAACGCTGTCTCTACTAAAAATACAAAAAATTAGCCGGGTGTGGTGGTGGGCACCTGTAGTCCCAGCTACTCCAGAGGCTGAGGCAGGAGAATGGCACGAACCCGGGAGGTGGAGCTTGCAGTAAGCAGAGATAGCGCCACTGCACTCCAGCCTGGGCAACAGAGCGAGACTCTGTCTCAAAAAAAAAAAAAAAAAAAAAAAAAAAAAAAAAAAAAAAAAAAAAAAAAAAAAAAATCATTATTAAACATATTTACTAATTAAATGGTTTTGGAGTACACTCTTTAAAAAAAAACAATTAACTATGTTTTCTTCAACAGTGCACACGTAATGCCAACTTTGTATGACATTGCAAAGAAAGATTTTACTATGTTAAGCAGATTAAACAAACAAACAAACTTTTCCTTGAATTCTTTAGGAACAAAGTACAACCTGGTCCAAATCATCCTAACCTAGAATGCACCATCAGCTTCACAGTCAGTTGTTCCTGGATTTACCAGATTTGGGGCAGACTTCAAGCTTCTCTAAAGAGGGATTCTTAACTGACAACGTGCCTTGTTTTTTCCCTTTTCCTAGGAAAGGAAATGATTTTATTTGGTATCATATCATCTTTCTTGCTTTTTTTTTTTTTTTAATTAGAGATGAGGCCTTGCTATGTTTCCCAGGCTGGTCTCCAAATTCTGGACTCAAGCAATCCTCCTGCCTCAGCCTCCCTCCCAAAATGCTGGGATTACACGTGTGAGCCACTGTGCCTGGCCTCTTTCTTGTCTTTTAAACAAGTAAACGTAAGCTGGGCATGGTGTGCATTCATATATTCCCAGGTACTTGAGAAGCCGAGGCGAGAGGATCCCTTGAGCCTAGGTTTGAGCCCAAGAGTTCAAGGCTGCAGTGAGCTATGATTGCACCACTGCACTCTAGCCTGGGTAACAGAGTGAAACCCTGTCTCTAAAAAACTAAACTAATGCTGGGCGCAGTGGCTCACGCCTGTAATCCCAGCACTTTGGGAGGCTGAGGCGGGCAGATCACGAGGTCAGATCGAGACCATCCTGGCTAACATGGTGAAACCCCGTCTCTACTAAAAATACAAAAAAATTAGCCGGGTGTGGCGGCACATGCCTGTAATCCCAGCTACTCGGGAGGCTGAGGCAGGAGAATTGCTTGAACCCGGGAGGCGGAGGTTGCGGTCAGCCGAGATGGTGCCATTGCACTCCAGCCTGGGCAACAAGAGTGAAACTCCATCTCAAAAAAAAAAAAAAAAAAAAAAAAACTAAGCTAAACTAACATAATAAATAATTCATACACACAAGGGGATGCCAGTTGAGGGGCTGGAGGTGAGGTTTAACTGG
Source organism: Homo sapiens (assembly GCF_000001405.40). Taxonomy (NCBI): domain Eukaryota; kingdom Metazoa; phylum Chordata; class Mammalia; order Primates; family Hominidae; genus Homo; species Homo sapiens. The sequence continues at coordinate 9,735,459 of NC_000004.12, forward strand.
GCTCTCTCTAGAGAGAGAAAGAAGCTTAATGCTTCTTTCAAGTAATTTCTGGTCTGTCTTTACCTATGTGGATCCCAAGCCAACATTTGAGAAAAGGTCCCCTTCAGTGAAGGAATGTGTGACCTGAAGTGCTGAGCAAGAGAAACTTCCTTTCTAGCCACGCCCTTCCTGGGGCCTAACTCCATGTGTCTGCCTCCTTAACGCCAGCACCTCTCCTCCATTTGCCCCTTAGTATAATTCCCAGGGTCTTTGCGCTTGTCAACAGGTTACTTCCCACCTGCTTCCTGCAGAGGGCTTTGTTTTCTGGGATCAGAGACAGCATGAGCCCACAGGGCCATCCCCGCTGCCCCCTTCTCAGGGTGCAGCCCCGGGGAAATGAGCAGTGGGACTTGGAGAGAGCCCATCAATTCCTTCTGGTGGAAGCTGATGGTGCCTTCAATTTTTGTTTCTGCTTCAGATGAATTAAAAAACAAAACCGTGTGTGAAGACAAGGAGCTGAAACTGCACTGCCATGAATCCAAGTTCCTCAACATCTACTCTGTGACATATGGCAGGAGGACCCAGGAAAGGGACATCTGCTCCTCCAAGCCAGAGCGGCTCCCCCCTTTTCGGTATGTGCTTTTGTATGTGTATTAGCCGGGGTTCTCTAGAGGGGCAGAACTAATAGGATATATAATGGGATATATATATATATATATACATATATATATATGATTGTGGAAGTCAATACTTAATAACACAATCACAATCTTGTGATCGTGAAAGTTAATAGTTAATAAACTCCCATATGTGTGTGTGTGTGTGTGTGTGTGTGTATAAATGCTTGTAAACAGTAATCTGCCAAAAATAAATAAGTAAAAGAACAAGAACTGGCCGGGCACAGTGGCTCATGCCTATAATCCTAGGACTTTGGGAAGCTGAGGCGGGTGGATCACGAGGTCAGGAGTTCAAGACCAGCCTGGCCAACATGATGAAACGCCGTCTCTACTAAAAATACAAAATTATCTGGGTATGGTGGCGCATGCCTGTAATCCCAGCTACTTGGGAGGCTGTGACAAGAAGAATCACTTGAAACTGGTAGGCGGAGTTGGCAGTGAGCTGAGATCTCACCAATGCACTCCAGCTTGGGTGAGAAGAGTGAAACTCTGTCTCAAAAAAAAAAAAAAAAAGACAGGGTCCTGTTTTCATGGGGTGAACAGTTGAGGGAGAAAGGCAAGCATTAACCAAATAGGCAGACACATCATCATGCCCTACTATGACAAATGCTATTTTAGAAAAGGGAAGAAGACTATAGCAGTGGAGGGGGCCTAATTTGGCTTGGGGGTGGTGGTTTAAGTCTTCCAAAGAGAACCATCCTGTAGGGTGAACACTAGGGTATGCACACTAGCTTCACTCTAGGGGCTGAGACACTGAGATTGCTGAGTGGGAGAGGAAAGGTGTTGATGAGGAGGAAGATGGCCCTGGTTTAAACTGCTGAGAACAGGGTCCTGCACACAGTAGGAGCTCCATGAAGAGTGGTCCCTAGTGTTTTCACCAACATATCTGAAGTGGAGCAGGACGGTGATCAATCACACCCCTGTCCCCGACCTCATTCTGAACCAGTTTGAAACAAGCAGATGCAAAAATCTGACAAGTGTGTTGACAACGGTGATTTTAAAGGACCTAAGAGATTCTCTGGATTACAGAACCAATTTCATATAGTAGAGGGGCACATTCCCTGCAGTGGCCTGTGTCATCCACAGCCAATTAACCTTTTCACTGCCTGGTTATTCTGCAAAGTGCATCCTAGAATTACCTTCCTCTCTGAGCTCCTCTTCAAAATTCTGATTCTTTCTCAAACTGTAAAGCCTCTGGCATTTGCCAAGAGCCAAGGCCCTCCTGAAGCCACAGTTTGAGAATAAGCCAAGAGGCAGACATGAGAAAGAAGTACCACTCCTGGCAGGGAGAGCTGACACTTCCCAGGCCACTGCATCCTTCTCAGGGCCCAGAAATGAATGCGAGGTAATTAAAGCAGAAAGCATTTTGCAACAGCTCCGCTCAGCTCTCCAAAGCTGCCATGGTCCCAGGATCAGTGGTGTGCCCTGACGACAGCCAAGGGACATTCCTCAAGGCCCTGGAAATCATCAGCCACCTCCAGCAACTTCACCGGGCCTCCCTGGGAAGTCTCCCTTGCTGCTGATAGGCACGAACGCACCAGGGCCTCCTGTACATGGAAAACGCAAAATCTAGGAATGTCCTGTGGTTGCTGATCCTGGGACATCCCCAGAAGAATTTAGTTAAGCCTTCCAAGAAAGGAAACAAGGTTTTCTTGCTGCTGAAGATGTCTCACTTGTTCTTTTTTAAAAAAGCAGTGCAATTGAATTTGCAGTTTGTTTTTGCTTTCTTTCCATTTCCTGTTGCTACTTCTCCAAGATCTCAGCTGGGCTGAGGAACAAACAAAAATAAGCAATTTTATGCAGGAGGAATATTCGGTTTCCACTCCCTTCTCCCAGCCTGCGGCAGTGTGCTTGGCCTGCAGAATTCTTGCTCTGCCCTCTGTTTCAGCGGGTGTTGTCATCTGCCAGCTGCTTTGCCTGGGGATTCTGACATCCCAGGGCTTATTCTTAGGGTCAGTTCAGCAGAGTCTTAAACCACCTTCAAAGGAGTCGGTCACGCTGCCATCCTCTCTGCATCTTTCTGTAGTCCTTTCTGATAATATTTAGCAAATCACTTTAGCACAGAGTCTTCGAATTCTTTCCAGATTTACGATGGAAACACAGAGGCAAAGAGCTTGGGGTAGAAAGCAGAAGAGCAGGTGCTGGGAGAGTTTGATGGTGGATTTTGAGTTGGTCACAGTCATTTTGCTTTACTAAGTCCAGGGAAGCTCATCTTCAGAGTTAACCACCACATATATATATATATATATATATATATATATATATATATATATATGTATATATATTTTTTTTTTTTTGAGATGGAGTCTTGCTCTGTCACCCAGGCTGGAGTGCAGTGGCACACTCTCAGCTCACTGCAACCTCCACTTCTTGGGTTCAAGTGAGCACGTCCGGCTAATTTTTGTATTTTTTAGTAGAGACGGGGTTTCACCATGTTGGCCAGGCTGGTCTTGAACTCCTGACTCAAGTGATCCACCTGCCTCAGCCTCCCAAAGTGCTAGGATTACAGGCATGAGCCACCATGCCCGGCCCAGAGTTAACCACTCTATTGAGGTGTTGTTTATTTTTCTCAAAATTCTATTACACGTGAATAAAATTCAGTGATTTTTAGTAAATTTAGAGTTGTGCAACCATCACTACCCTCCAGTTTTAAAACATTTTCACAATCTCCCGAAGCTCCTGTGTGCCCATTTGCCATCACTGCCCCATTACCAACCCCCCGGTCCCAGGTAACCACGCATCTACTTTCTCTCTAGATTTGCCTTTTCTGAATATTTCATACAAATGGAATTATGCAATGGATGGTTTTGTGTGTGTGTGCACAGCTAACTTCTTTAACTGAATGTAATGTTTCAGAGGTTCGTACATGTTGTAGCATGTATCATATCAGTACTTCACTTTTTTTTTTTTGGAGTTGAAGTCTCACGCTATCACCCAGGCTGGGATACAGTGGTGTGATCTTCGCTCACTGCAACCTCTGCCTCCCGGGTTCAAGCAATTCTCCCTGCCTCAGCCTCCCAAGTAGCTGGGATTACAGCCGTGTGCCACCACGCCCAGCTAACTTTGTATTTTTAGTACAGATGGGGTTTCAAATATGTTGGCCAGGCTGGTCTCGAACTCCTGACCTCAAGTAATCCATCCACCTCGACCTCCCAAAGTGCTGGGATTACAGGTGTAAGCCACCATGCCGAGCTTTTCATTCCTTTTTATTACTGAGGTGCATTCTGCTGGATGGACATATCATATCTTGTTTTTATTCTCCATTTTTTAAATCTTGCAAAATAGACCTAAAACCACCTCTCTGGAGCACTTGATGATCATGTGGATACCATTGGTTTGTGTGTAAGTATGTGCATCTAACAGGGAGAGGGAGTGACTCTTGCACCGATTTGGAAAGTGATTTTAAAATCTTATCTACATTGCATTTAAAAATATATTGAGTCCACATTTTAAAAATATACCACGTATTTAAAATATTTCTTTTTGGCTTTTAGTTCCCAAGAACATACTCACAGTGATTGATCCAGCCATTGCTAATCTAAAACCTTCTTTGAAGCAGAAAGATGGTGAATATGGTAATTTTTATGGCTTACTACCAGCATTTCTCTTTAAGTAAAAGTAAACAGCCCCTGGGTGACCACAGTTGGGAATACCTTGATTAGAATGGAAGGGGCTGTCAGGAGGTGTGTTTGAGGTACCGGTCCCGGTGACGATAGTGCTTTGGCCAATAGTTGCAAATCAACACCAATTTATTTTGTTATGACTTTTTTAACATCAGAAGTAGGATAAACCTCCCCTTCATTCTCCTCTCACTTCCTAAAAGAAAATCACTTTGAAAAGACATCTGCTCAGAAATAAATTTGTGCTTCCTGGGTTACACAATGAGCTTTTTGCAAAGCTCAGCCCATTGGAACCTGCGTAGGTGCCAGTGCCGGCTAGGACTTGAGGGCCTCTGTACCTCTGTAGACACCACCTTCCTCCTTAGTTTCCTTCCTTCCTTCCTTTTGCTTCAGAGTTTCACTCTTGTCACCCAGGGCCAGCTAGGACCTGAGGGCCTCTGTACCTCTGTACATGCCACCTTCCTCCTTAGTTTCCTTCCTCCCTTCCTCCCTCCTTCCCTCCCTCCCTCCCTCTCTCTTTTCTTCCTTCCTTCCTTCTTCTCCTTCTGCTTTCTTTCTTTCTCTCTCTCTGTCTCTCTCTTTCTTTCTTTTTCTCTTTCTCTCTCTTTCTTTCCCTCCCTCCCTCCCTCCCTCCCTCTCTCCCTCTCTCCCTCTCTCTCTCTCTCTTTCTTTCTTTCTTCCTTTCTTTCTTCTTTTTCTTTGGAGTTTCGCTTTTTCTCACCCAGGCTGGCGTGCGGTAGCGCAATCTCCACTTACTGCAACCTCTGCCTCCGGGTTCAAGTGATTCTCCTGCCTCAGCCTCCCAAGTAGCTGGGATTATAGGTGTCCACCACCACACCTTGCTAATTTTTGTGTTTTCAGTAGAGACGGGGTTTTACCATGTTAGTCAGGCTGGTCTCGAACTCCTGACCTCAGGTGTTCCCCTCGCCTCAGCCTCCCAAAGTGCTGGGATTACAGGTGTGAACCACTGCACCTGGCCCCTCCTTAGTTTTCACTTGGCTTTTGTAAATAGGGTGGACGGGCTGGAAGAGGGGGGGGATGATGGGGTTGAGCATTTGGATTTTCTTATCAAATCTAACTGGAATTCAAACCCGTGGGGTCCCTAGTAGAAATTGCAGAGACCCAGTAGAGCATCTAAGATGTTAGGCTTTGGTGAGAGTTTTGTCTTGTGTTACCTTTATTGTATGTATTAGGTCTTTCCCCGCTAAGTATAAAAGTAAAGTATGATATGAAAACCACATGAAACACCCCTAGTCCAAAAGCTCAGTGAGAACTATGGTAATGTTCTTCTGTGTCCTTCTAGCTGACCACCTTGGCTTTCTGGCAGGCTCTGTGTTCCTCAGCTCCACTTCTCTTTCTTTTTTTAAAAAAAATAACTAATTAATTAACTATTATTATTATTTTTCTAAAGACAGGGCTTTGCCAAGTTGCCCTGGCTGGTCTCGAACTCCTGGGCTCAAGCAATCCACCCACTTCATCCTCCAAAGATGCTGGGATTACAGGCGTAGGCCACCACACCCAGCCTCCTCTTATTTTTCTAACAGGGTTCCCACCCGATCCATAAATAGCCTGGTCCCCCTGCAATGGGGGCCTGAGAGCCAGCACTGTGCCATCTCTCCTCAAAGGCATCTGTCCTGTCTGACATGGCTAGGAGTCCCCCAAGGCACCACCAGGCTACGCTATCACAGGCTTGCTAAGCTCCATCCAGCAGTGTAACCAGGATCTAAAAGCGGATTTGCCTCACATTTTGCTGTTGTTTCCAAAAAAAAATGTAGCCCCATACCACCTCCCTCTGTAATGGCGACTTGTTTTATCTCTGGCCACACAGCACAGCGGACAGCAACTCCAAGCTTAACGTGAGATATTATTGGCCGGGGGGGTGGCTCACGCCTGCTATTCCAGCACTTTGGGAGGCCGAGGCAGGCAGATCGCCTGAGGTCAGGAGTTCGAGACCAACCTGGCCAAAGTGGTGAAACCCCATCTCTAATAAAAATACAAAAATTTGCTGGGCATGGTGGCACGTGCCTGTAATCCCAGCTACTCAGGAGGCTGAGGTAGGAGAATCGCTTGAAGCCAGGAGATAGAGGTTGCAGTGAGCCGAGATCGCACCATTGCACTCTAGCCTGGGCAACAAGAGTGAAACTCCATCTCAAAAATAAATAAATAAATAAATAAATAAAATAACATAAAGTGAGATGTTATTAAGCCTCCAAGGGGCGTGATGAATGTCATTGTCTTTAGGATGGGAAAATCCATTTGTTCCCTTCCGCAGTGGAGTGGAAGACCAGCACCTGAAGTTGGAACCAACACTTAAAACAATTTCTAATCCTTTTTGTACTTTAATATTTTCAGGGACTGCTTACTATTTAATAAGTGCTCTTCCTGGGTTAATCATCTATAATTTAGCCAGAGGCCCATTTGTTTGATTTCTGTGACTTTTAATTATTCTGGCAGTCCCTGGGGTAGGAACAGCAGAGGTCTCTTAGAATAGGCATGCTATGAGCAGCTGTGATTAATTGGTTTTGCATTTTTCATGAAACAGGTATAAACTTTGACCCAAGCGAATCGAAGGTTCTGAGGAAAGATGGAATTCTTGTTAGCAACTCTCTGGCAGCCTTTGCTTACATTAGAGATAGGTCAATGAATCAAAGCTTCCTAGAAAGCTGATGGATTTCCTAAGGTCTTGTTAATAAATGTGCTGTTCAATTATAACACTCAGATAACTAAAGGACAATGACTTCAAGTTTGACATGCCAACCACCACTTCTAAGACTCAGAAACACAGAGGCCTGAGTTCAGGCACAGTCGCAACCAGGCAGTCAGAAAGAGAACCACATAAACAGACAAAGTCACACTATTTAGGAGTTGAGCTCCACAGATATTGTTGGTTTTGAAAAGTAGAAACCCGAGGAATGCATTTCCCAGCTCTAAAATTTGGGAAGGAACTAGGATTATTGAATTCCAACCCTGGCTGGAAGAAAAATGAGCCCAAAGGTCACTTAGTAAACAAGACAGATGATGGCCCATGAAGACAGAACCACTTTCTGGGTCATGAGTGTTATTCCTAATGGTTGCCAAGGATTCCCTTGTTAGTCTTCCCCATGAGGATCAATCAGACTCAGCCCTCATGAATTAGCAGAGCCAAAAGGCTTATACAAAGGCTGGCCACACTGTGGGGACCTCATCACTGGGGGGAAGGTATGTACAGTTTTTCCTCATGACCCTCTCTGCTTATCTTAAGACAGAACACATTTTGGAATGTCATCTGCAAGTTTCAGCAATGCCTGCCTATGTTCAGAGAGACAAAAACCAGAGACCTTCAGTAAAATACATGTTAATGTAGCACATAACAGTATTACTATTCAAGGCCTGCAAAGATGGGGCTATTCAGGGTAAGCCTGTCTCAGAGGAAAATAGAGGCTTAGGGAATGTATTTGTCTGTTCTCATGCTACTAATAAAGACATACCTGAGGCTGGGTAATTTATAAAGGAAAGAGGTTGAATGGACTCACAGTTCCACATGGTTAAGGAGGCCTCACAATCTTGGTGGAAGGTGAATAAGGAGCAAAGTCACGTCTTTCTTGGCAGCAGGCAAGAGAGCTTGTGCAGGGGAACTCCCCTTTATAAAACCATCAGATCTCATGAGACTTATTCACTATCATGAGGACAGCATGGGAAAGACCTACCCAATGATTCAATTGCCTCCCACCACGTCCCTCCCATTACACATGTGGATTAGGGGAGCTACAATTCAAGATGAGATTTGGGTAGGGACACAGCCAAACCATATCAGGGAATGATCTCAATACATGAGATGCAGAGTTCAGTCTTGGGGTCCCCTGCTGTTCTATTCTCCTTCTGCATTAGAATTCCTCCTGTGTGTTTGTGTGTTGTGTGGTTGTTGGTTTCTTCTGTGGGTCCTCTGTTTTCTAGTCACCTTCTCATTTTCATGTCTTGCTGTTCCTGATCATTGTCAATGTTAAGAACTGTAAGGATTTTTCTTGTCAGAAATATCTCCATATTTACAAAGAGCCCAGGGAGCTTCTTGGAGAAAATCCATCATGAAAATCCTCCAGACAGAAAATAACAATTGAAGGGGAATGAGACTGACATTGTGCTCAGTGAGCTGTGGCTGTGCTGTGTGCTTTACCCCAACTACCTTGTCGGTTCCTCTCAACAACTGCCTCAGCCAGCCCAGCTGCCATATCAAAGTACTCGAGACCGGATGGCCTAAATAACAGACATTGATTTTCTCACTGTTCTGGAGGCCAGAAGTTCATGATTGAAGTATCCACCAATCCCTTTCTGGTAATGGCTGTCTTCCTGCCTTGCAGACAGCAGCCTTCTTGCTTGTCTTCACATGACAGAGAGGGGGAGAGACCGAGACAGAGACATCTCTTCTTGTTATAAAACCACCAATCCTATCAGATTAGGATTCCACCCTTATGACCCCCTTTAACCTTAATTAGCTCCTAATGAGTGAATTGGGGGGAACACAATTCAGTCCACAGCAACAACCCTGAGAGATGGGACTCTGGTCCCCTGTTCTGCACTTGAAGCCGGTGGTCAGAGGAGTTGAGCCATTTGCCTGAGGACACCATGGTCAACGGCAGGGCCAGGATTCAGGCTCAGCTAAGACAAGGCTTGCACTCCAGCTACTCTGAATTTTGAGGGATGCAACCACCTCCCCACTCTGATCCTGAGTTGTCTGAATTAGGTTTCCTCCATCCGTTTCTATCCTTTTATGTGATTGTCATTCCCAGAAACCACAGGATAGAGATATTCGTTTAGTGACTGTCTCTTCTGCTAGTGGCTCAGATCCACAGGGGCAGCTGCTTTGTCATCTTATTTCGTGTGGTGTCCCTGCATCTAGGATGCGGTGCTGGTACAGAACAGGTGCACAGTCAGTAGTTAAGGAACAATTGAATGATGACTGCTGATCTGGGCTTATGAGCTTTTTCCTGTGCCTTATTGTCGTCCAATATTTGCTGTCTATAAGATATGAATTGTTTTTTTAAATGTAAGGGATTGATGAGCTGTTATTTGGTTTTATTGAGGGGTGTTTTGGGACATTTATCTCAACAAACCATTGCCACGCCTCCACATAATGTCCAAGAGAAAGAGTCTCTAAATGCACTGTGTTGGATGTTAGCTAAATGAAATCACCACAAGAAGCTTGTGACTCAAATCACAGAGGCTCACAAAGCCCTATAGAACGGGCGACTCTGGGCTTGCCTGTGGGTTTTCTTGGTGTGTCTGTATCGCTGTCTGGGTGGCCACTCTAGAGGTGAGAAGCATGCAGCACATTCTCGGGGGTCTGCAGGCCAGTGTGTCGCAGAGGTGCATGTGGACATCAGGCTGGGCCATTCCGACCTAAACAGGCAGTGGCCACCAGCCAACGTCACACAGTGCTGAGCTCCATCCTCAATGCTGCTGGAGAGAGGAGCCCAGACAACTCTCAGTCGCATCCCCGGCCCCACTGTGGGGATGTGACCCATGGGATGAGCTGGGGTCTCTAGGCGCCCCCAAAGCAGGAGCAGCTGGGAGCCAAGAGTGTGAGCAGGGCAGTTTCCAGCCCAAACCACCCAAATAGATAGCAAATTGAGTGAATCCAAAAGTGCATTTCCCAGGTCAGGCTGCAAGTAGCTTTGACACAGTAGTGCAGTCCAGTGTACATGGGGACAAAGAGGTGAGAAACCAAAATCGAGAGATAGGTCCCCTGATAATTAAAGCACAGAGGTTGGCAGAAGGGAGAGGGATATGAACAAGTGTTCCTGGTGAAATGTCTCCTGGGGTCATTTGAATGATCTGTGAGATGGTTTCCCCAACATTGAAAAAGCTTAGGCATGTTTGAATTTACTGTCATTTCAATAATACAGACTTACTCCCTGAATTCATTCTAGAATCAAGATCATGAGTCTGAGGAAGCTCATAGAAAAAAAATTGGAAATTAGAGAAATGGAAAAGGAGTGGTGTGTGTGTATGTGTGCGTGTGTGCATGTGTGTGCATGTGTGCATGTGTGTGTGCATGTGTGTGCACGTGCATGTCTGCATACGTGTGTGCATGTGTGTTCACGTGTGTGCATGTGCATGTGCGCAAGTGTGCGTGTGCGTCTGTAAGCATGTGCATACGTGTGTGCATGTGCATGTGCATGCCTATGTGTGAGCGTGTGTGTGCATGTGGATGTGTGCATGTGTGTGCATGTGTCTGTGTGCATGTGTGTGCATCTGTATGTGTATATGCGCGTGTGCATGTGTGTGTGCACGTGTTTTTGTGTGTGCATATATATGTGTGCATGTGTGTTTGTGTGTACGTGTGTACATGCATATCTGCGTGTGAATGTTTGCATGTGTGAGCCTGTACGTGCATGCATATCTCTGGGTGTGCATGTGTGTGTGCATGTATGTGTGTGCATATGTGTGCATGTGCATGTGTGTTTGCATGTGTGTGCATGCATGTGTAGCTCTGTGCATATGTGTATCTGTGTGTGCATGTGTATCTGTGTGTGTGCATGTGTGTGCCTGTATGTATATCTGTATTTTTGTGCGTGTGTGTATCTGTATGTGTGCTTCCATGTGTGTGTGGGGGTACATGTGTGTATGCATGCATATGTGTGCATGCATATGTGCGTGTGTATCTGTGTGTCTAAGTGTGTGTTGGAAGTTCTTAGCAACGCAGTGTAATAGCTGGCTCGGCATGAACCATTGTCCCCTGGCAGATTGTGCCCAAGGAGACTTATGTATTTACACAGTCTTGCATGAGAATATGACCTCTCCTATTCCACCGAATTACTGTTTCATTGACATCTGGCTTTGGGTGTTTACCTCATATGTGCCCGCAGGCATGCCTTTTGTGGCCTAATATTTCCATCGCTACCCCTGCCCCCTTGGGACAGTGACAGTTATGTCATCAGCCTCTGGCAGGACCTGCTGTGGGCTTTTGGGGCACAGGGGTAAGGAAGCTGGGCAGAAGGGACAGGCTTGCAGCCTGGAATGTCCTGTGTTGGGAGGCATCATTGTTTCATAAGGGAGCAACTCCAGGGCCACAGAGAAGCTCATACTGAAAGAGAAACACAACAACACGCTCCAGAGTCAGAGCTACGTGATTCCCCCACCAGGGAGGACCACTGGAAATCAGCACCACCTTGTCACGGTGATGTGGATTCAGATGTGTTCCCATGGTCTCCAATCTCTGGTTCCATGACAGAAGGTTTTGTCACACCCCTAAGTGCTGTCAGACCAGGGCTCGGTATGCTTTGTGCTTTCTTCTGGACAACCCTCGGGCCCTGACTGCTGCCTTGATCCTCTCAACAGCAATAGGGCCCCGACAGGGGGAACCCTCGCCATGGCCTCTGGGTGTCTTATCTGGACATGAAGGAGCTGGAGTGTGTGTTTGCCCCAAGTCAGGATCTAACGGTGGAAAGGAGCCTTAAAGGCCATAGGTCCCCCTTCAGAGCCTCCCCAGCACATCCAGCAGCTGATCAAATGAAAGTCATTCACTCCAGCTGGGGATGAACCAAGGCTAAATTTCAAACAATGCCGGCAACAACACAGTGTGAAGATTCTGTTCAATCACAAGGAAAACTCTGTTTTTCCAGAATACAGAATAGGAAAAGGAGACACAAAAGTATAAAGTAGTCCAAGTGATTCTAGAGAACAGTTGACATTCCCTTAGTGTAAAGCCTGGGACCATGGAGAGAGCCCTGGCCTGAGCTTGGGGTCCCAGCCAAGTGGTGGCTTTGCACAAGTGACTTGACTACGACAAGAGGGGTTGGACCAGCTCATCACTAAGATTCCAGCTGACCAACATCTGGTGAGTTTGTAACTTCAGACTAGTTGATTCAGATGACTAGGAAGCCTCATTCCCAGGACCTGCCAAGCATGGCCCATGTTGCCCATCTCTGGTGGCTGCATCTCAGCAGAGTAGATGCAGACTTGCCCTAAAGAGTCTCACTTAGCAGGAGGCAGGCCTAGACCAAGAGGCACCTGGAGTCTTATGAGAGAGAAGCTCGCCTGGCAGGAGAACCCAGACACCCACCTCCCAGGAGAAGAGGAGAGAGAAAAAATGGGAACTGATTTTATGGAGCCCCATCCCCAGGGCACCAAGCCGAGTGCTTAAATCCATGATTCCCTCCTTTTATGCACTCAGCAAATATTTTCATAATGCCCACTCTGTGCCAGAGATGGCACTGGGGATTTGGCAAAGAACAAGACGGTTCCAGCCCCTGCCCTCAGGGAGCTTGCATTCTAGGTGGAAAGGATGGCACCCACTCAGCAAATGAGTGAGGATTGTAAGTTGGGCTGTGAAGAAGACGTTCAAGATACTCTGAGACTAAATGACAGGGGACATGGCTAGGCTAAGGCAGGGGGAGGTGTCTAGTAGTGCTGGATGAAGAGGGAGGAAAGAACTTTCCAGGCTAACAGAAGAGCACATGCAGAAACACCAGGGTGAGCAGGCATCTGATGCAACACGAGTGAGGAATGGCAGACCAGAGCGGGGAGTGGAGAAGAAATGGAAGTTCTCGGGAGTTGAACTTGGGGAGGGTGACAAGAGCCAGGTCATAGCCAGCTTCCTAGGCTGTGGTCAGAACTTGACTTTTATTAGTTTGGTGCAAAAGTAATTGTGATTTCCGCCATTACTTTCTTTTTTTTTTTTATCAGACTGTGTCTCAGTCACCCAGGTTGGAGTGCAGTGGTGTGATCTTGGATCACTGCAACCTCTGCCTCCCAGGTTCAAGCCATTTTCCTGCCTCATCCTCCCAAGTAGCTGGGACTACAGGCATACGCCACCACCCCCAGCTAATTTTAATTTTTATATTTTTAGTAGAGATGGGGTTTCACCATGTTGCCCAGGCTGATCTCAAACTGCTGACCTCAAGTGATCCACCTGCCTCGGTCTCTCAAACTGCTGGAATTACAGGTGTGAGCCACCATGCCCAGCCAATTTCTGCCATTACTTTTAATGGAAACAGCAATTACTTTTGCACCAACCTAATAGCTTAGGACAGGGAAGAGGTCATCTATATGTTTTAAGTCAGGCAGTGGTGTGACCCAACGTGTATTTCTAAAAGATTATAGAGGCCATGCAGGAAAGATGGTTTCCATGTGGTCTGTGGTTACTTTTGCACTACAACAGCAAAGCTGTTATATTTGCAACAGAGACCACATGGCCCATCAACCTGCAATAGTTCCTATCTGGCCATTCACTAGAAGAGGGAGGCAAGAGAGCAGGATGGGAACCAAGTGCCTGCAGGGAAGATGGAGCAGAACAGTGTTTCATCCCTGTTTTTCAGATAATTTCATGAGGTCGAAAGACATCTTAATGAAAGTGAAAGTACAAGGTACTTACCAGTAGATATTCACACCAGATGCCATGTCTCACACCTGCAATCCCAGCTTCACACCAGATGCAATGGCTCACCCCTGTAATCCCAGCACTTGGGGAGGCCAAGGCAGGAGGATCACATTCAGCCAGGAGTTTAAGACCAGCCCGGGCAACAAAGTCAGACCTCATCTCTACAAAAAAATATAATAAAAAGTTAGCCGGGCATGGTAGTACATGCCTGTAGTCCCAGCTACTCAGGAGGCTGAGTTGAGAGGATTGTTTGAGCCCAGAAATTCAAGGCCATGGCATGCTATGATTGTGCCACTGCACTCCAGCCTGAGTGACAAAGGGAGACTCTCTTTCTCTCTCTCTCACATGCTCTCTCTCTCTCTCTCTCTCTCTCTCTCTCCATATATATATATATATATATATATATATATATATATATATATTCACAATATATTTGCTGTCAAAGGATTATCATCAAAAGTCTATAGAAAATATACTCATCCTTGGGCTGGGCACAGTGGCTCACGTCTGTAATCCTACCACTTTGGAAAGTTGAGGCAGGTGGATCACCTGAGGTCAGGAGTTCAAGACCAGCTTGGCCAACATGGCAAACCCCATCTCTACTAAAAATACAAAAATTAGCTGGTGTGGTGGCACGCACCTGTAATCTCAGCTACTCAGGAGGCTGAGGCACAAGAATCGCTCGAACCCAGGAGGTGGTGTTTGCAGTGAGCACACATTGTGCCACTGCACTCCAGCCTGTGCGACAGAGTGAGGGTCCATGAAAACGCAAAACAAAACAAAATAAAACCAAACCAAAAAAAAAAAAACAAAAACAAACAGGCACTTCTGACGCAGGCCGCAGCATGGATGAACCTTGAAGACATTCTCGTCAGTGAAATCAATAAATCCCAAAAGGATAAACACGCCCAGGCTCAGTGGCTCGCACCTGGAACCCCAGCACTTGGGGAGGCTGATGCAGGTGGATCACTTAAGCTCAGGAGTTGGAGACCAGCCTGGCCAATATAGTGAAAGCTCGTCTCTAGTAAAAATACAAAAATTAGCTGGGCGTGATAGCGCACACCTGTAATCCCAGCTACTCGGGAGACTGAGACACAAGAATCACTTGAACCCAAGATGCGGAGGTTGCAGTGAGCCAAGATCATGCCACTGCACTCCAGCCTGGGCGACAGAGAAAGACTGTCTCCAAAACAAAAAAATTAAACACGGTATGATTCCACTTATCTATCAAGTGTCTAGAGTAGTTAAACTTACAGAGTTGCAAAATATAAAGGTGGCCCCCAGGGGTGGGTGAGAGAGAGGAGTGGAGAGCTTGCTGAATGGGTGCAATTTCCATTTTCAAAGATAAATCTGTTCCGGAGATGATGGCGGTGATGGTTGCTAAACAATGTGAATGTACTTAATGTCGTGAAACTGTAAAGTGAAAAAGAGTGGAAATTGTAAATGTTTATACTGGCCATTCTATATGAACTAATATATATATAATTTTTTAATATTTATACGTGGTATATTTTCCCATAATAAAAGATGAAAATTAAAGCAGTTGGATCTTTAAAAAGAAGAGAAAGAAGCAAATAATACACACCAGCTTTCTCCTGATTAGAAGAAGAGCCCCAAAACTTCTATGGACACTCACTTTTCTCTTCTTCTTCTTGCATTATTATGAGGAAATCCTTAGAGGCTGGGGAACTTGGGTGACTTTGGCTAATGAGGAGCTCTGTGTCTTGAACCCCCCAGGCCACAGAACAGTAAATACTCAGTCTGTGCTTCCAGCCCTGCAGTGTGAGGTTCCAGTCCTGTGGGCTCCACACCCGTCACCTGTATCAGGAGGCTCATGTCTCACCCTGTCTTCTTGCCAGCCTTGAGGACGGAGTCTGATCCTCCATCGTGCACCATGCAGGGAGGACAGTGGACCTGTTCTCCGTGGTCATGGCCCAGCAGAGGGGAAGGACAGTTCAGTGAGTGTAGGCAAAAGAAAGTGAGATCAGACTCTTACTGTGTCTATGTAGAAAGGAAAGACATAAGAGGCTCCATTTTGAAAAAGACCTTTACTTTCAACAATTGCTTTGCTGAGATGTTGTTAATGTGTAGCTTTGCCCCAGCCACTTTGACCCAACCTGAAGCTCACAAAAATATGTGTCATATGAAATCAAGGTTTAAGGGATCTAGGGCTGTGCAGGACGTGCCTTGTTAACAAGATGTTTCCAAGCAGTATACTTGGTAAAAGTCATCGCCATTCTCTAGTCTCAATAAACCAGGGGCACGATACACTGTGGAAAGCCTCAGGGAATCGTGCCTTGAAAGCGGCCTATTGTCAAAGGTTTCTCCCCATGTGATAGTCTGAAAAGTGGCCTCGTGGGATGAGAAAGACCTGACCGTCTCCGAGCCTGACACCCGTAAAGGGTCTGTGCTGAGGTGGATTAGTCAAAGAGGAAAGCCTCTTGCAGTTGAGAGAGAGGAAGGCTGCTGTCTCCTGCCTTCCCCTGGGAACTGAATGTCTCGGTATAAAACCCGATTGTACATTTGTTCAATTCTGAGATGGGGGAAAAACCGCCCTATGGTGGGAGGTGAGACATGTTCGCAGCAATGCTGCCTTGTTATTCTTTACTCCACTGAGATGTTTGGGTGGAGAGAAACATCAATCTGGCTTACGTATACGTTCAGTCATAGTACCTTCCCTTGAACTTCATTATGACATAGATTGTATTGCTCACATGTTCCTTGCTGACCTTCTCCTTATTATCACCCTGCCCTCCTACTACATTCCTTTTTGCTAAAATAATAAAAATAATAATCAATAAAAACTGAGGGAACTCAGAGGCTGGTGTTGGTGCAGATCCTTGGTATGCTGAGCGCCGGTCCCCTGGGCTCACTTGTTTCTCTATACTTTGTCTCTGTGTCTTATTTCTTTCCTCAGTCTCTCATCCCACCCAACTAGAAATACCCACAGGTGTGGAGGGGCAGGTCACCCCTTCAAGTGAGTGCTGAGGGACGGTCGAGAGCCTTCTTTTGTTTCCTCCTCCTCAGGACAAACAGGATAGTGCGGTGGGCAGATGGGAGGAGACCAATGTGCAAACTCTCTGCTCAGCAGTCTGTGGAGTTTCTGTTCTTGATTGTGCTGGGGGTCTCAGAAATCTTCTTCAAAATTTTGCTTCCCTCCCCCACTTGTTGTCCTTTTCATAGACATCTCACCCATGATAGCAGGGAATGAGTCCCTCTAAACTATTCCCTCAGAACAACAAAAAGATGATGAAGGTGATGATGAGGATAAAGAGGATGATGACAGACACCATGGTATCATGAACACTTAACTGAAAGCTTCCTAAAGGCCAGGCTCTGAGCTCTGTGCTCTATGCAGCTTGTTTCATTTCATCTGTGTAGTCTCTCAGTTATTAGTGCACATTTCATGATGATTTTACAGACTAGAAAAGGAGCAACACATTTTCATAGAACTTGTACCAGATCATGAAGTCAAAAAGGGTGAAGCCTAATTTGAACCAGGCAGTCTAAGGCCAGACACATGGCATTTGGCCAGTCCTCTCCCTGCATCCAACCTGCCCCCTCCAATCCTTGTCACTCGGGCCGATGCCCCTGCTCACTGTGCCCTTCCCTTTGGGGGTTCCTTTTAGACCACAGCTAGACCAGTGGGTGCCACAATCACTGTGTCAACTATGGAAAGGGCAGCTGAGATCACATCAAAGATTCCGGAAAGAATTGGCACAGGATCATTCGGGATCCATCTGTCCCTTGCCCCTGTTCCTGGCTTTCCTTACAGCTCTCGACTTCCTCAAAGGAGTCATCAATTCGGGGTTTGGCTTCCATTCCTATTGAGGAAGCTGGAAAGTGTTTCAAAAATGCTCCTCCGATGTGCCTGTGGTTAAGACCTCTGAGCTCTGTTGAAAACTTTTGGAAGCTGGGAGCGGTGGCTCACACGTGTAATCCCAGCCCTTTGGGAGGCTGAGGCAGGCAAATCACAAGGTCAGGTGTTCGAGACCAGCCTGGCCAACATGGTGAAACCCCGTCTCTCCTAAAAAGAGAAAAAAATGAGCCTGGCGTAGTGGCGGGCGCCTGTAATCTCAGCTACTCAGCAGGCTGAGGCAAGAGAACAGCTGGAACCTGGGATGCGGAGGTTGCAGTGAGCCGAGATCACTCCACTGCACTCCAGTCTGGGCAACAGAATGAGACTCCGTCTGAAAAAAAAACAAATACAAAAACAAAAAAGAACCCACAACATTTTGAGGGTTGGGAGACCATCAAGTATAGTGCCCGGGACTTAGAGTCTGGTCATTAATTTTCAATACCACCCTTTCTACTTCTCTGTACGGCAAGGGGTGAGACGTCCATCCTCTGAGACTCAGCACTCTGATCTGAGTTGATTTCTAGTTGATCCAATGGAAGTGAGCGATGATTAAACCGATCGTGGTTGCCTGCTGTGTGATCTCTACGTAATGGATGCATAAAGTAAAGGCAAAGTGAATTTTAGATATATTCATAAATATTTTAAACTTAAACTCCATACGGTTCAACGGAAATATCCCCTGACCTGAAGTTCTGGTTTCCCTGCATTCCAGACAGGACATTTTATTTTGTCCTTATCTCAGTAAGTACTAAGTATTGCGAGAGGAACAAGTGAGTCTCTTGTTTCTGATTCCCCAGAGCCTATATCTTGCTTGACACATAGGAGATAGCAAAAGGAAACATCTATGTGAATTATTGAATTGACACTTCCTTGGTTCACAAAAATTGGCTGTCATCAGTGTGACGTCAGTGTGATAGAGTGTGTGTTTTTGGCTTTTTGTTTTTTGAGAAGGATTTTTGCTCTTGTTGCCAAGGCTGGAGTGCAGTGGTGTGATCTCGGCTCACTGTAGCATCTGCCTCCCAAGTTCAAGCCATTCTCCTGCCACAGCAGCCTCCTGAGTAGCTGGGACTACAGGTGTGCACCACCATACTGCGTGAGGTTTTTGTGTTTTCAGTAGAGGTGGGGTTTCACCATGTTGGCCGGGATGGTCTTGATCTCCTGACCTCGTGATTCGCCCTCCTCGGCCTCTCAAAGTGCTGGGATCAGAGGCGTGAGCCACAGTGTCTGGCCAAACGTTCTGATGAAAACTCTAAGTCCACCGAAGCTAAGGACAGGAGTTATAGCTTCCATGAATTTGGAAACAAGACCCACCGATTTGAGTAAGCAATTACTCTCTTGAAGGAGAAAAGTCAGAAAACAGAATGATGAAATCACTAGGACCCAACTGGCCTGTGGAACTATTTTCTGCTTATGAACTATCAACTTTCATTTCATTTCCAGATGGCATGGTCTCAGCAGCTATACAGTGTTTACAGATGTTCTAAATCAAGGGAATTTGTATCAATCTATTCGAATAAAATAAAACATTTGAGTTCTTAATTTCCTTTAATTAGGATAACCTTTTTCTTAAAGTGAAGAGAATGATTTTATTACATAGTTTCCTTTGGTAAAGATAAGCTATATTTTCTAGCAATTATGAATTTGTTATATATGATGATCTGGTTCTTGGAACATTCTTGAATCTAGTGACTCTGAGGCGGGTGTGTACAACAAGAAGTGAATAACACAGAAATCAATGATGAAAGCATTAGAAGACAATTGAGTTTGTCAGAACTGCAAAATATTGCTGAGTGTGGATTGCTCTGAAATCTGAAAACATGACTTGTGAATTGCTTCTATCCAAAATGCAGACACGATGCTGGGTGTTGGTTTACCTGTTTCCGATTTCTCAACCCTCTTTTCTAGGCAAAAGGTGTCCAATCTCTACAGACCCACAGAATCTAATGGATGTCTCTATATTCCTCCTCCTAGAACCACAGAGGATCCAGAACGGCAGCCGGTCCTCACTGGGCTGTTCCTGTCCATGTGCCTGGTCACAGTGCTGGGGAAGCTGCTCATCATGTTGGCCTTCAGCCCTGACTCCCACCTCCACACCCACATGTACTTCTTCCTCTCCAACCTGTCCTTGCCTGACATCAGTTTCACCTCCACCATTGTCCCCAAGATGATTGTGGACATCCAGTCTCACAGCAGAGTGATCTCCTATGCAGGCCGCCTGACTCAGATGTCTCTCTTTGCCATTTTTGGAGGCATGGAAGACAGAAATGCTCCTGAGTGTGATGGCCTATGACCGGTTTGTAGCCATCTGTCACCCTCTATATCATTCAGCCATCATGAATCCATGTTTCTGTGGCTTCCTACTTTTGTTGTCTTTTTTTTTTTTTCTCAGTCTTTTAGACACCCAGCTGCACAACTTGATTGCTTTACAAATGACCTGCTTCAAGGATGTGGAAATTCCTAATTTCTTCTGTGACCCTTCTCAACTCCCCCATCTTGCATGTTGTGACACCTTCACCAATAACATCATCGTGTATTTCCCTGCTGTCATATTTGTTTTCCTTCCCATCTCGGGGACCCTTTTCTCTTTAAAACTGTTTCCTCCATTCTGAGGGTTTCATCATCAGGCGGGAAGTATAAAACCTTCTCCACCTGTGGGTCTCACCTGTCAGTTATTTGCTGATTTTATGGAACAGGTGTTGGAGGGTACCTCAGTTCAGATGTGTCATCTTCCCTGAGAAAGGCTGCAGTGGCCTCAGTGATGTACAAGATGGTCACCCCCATGCTGAACCCCTTCATCTACAGCCTGAGAAACAGGGATATGAAAAGTGTCCTGCGGCGGCCGCACGGCAGCACGGTCTAATCTCAATATCTTCTTATCTGTTCCATTCCTTTTGTAGGGTGGGTTAAAAAAGGCAGCAAGGTCAAATAAGAATGACATCACAGGGTGAACACCCACTGTGACATTACGAGTAATAGCTCTCTAGGATATAGAATATACTGTCACAGAGTATACACACATGGGGTACACCCACTGTGATATTAGAAGCAATATCTCCCTAAGTATGATGAAAAATATCACAGGGTGTGCACACTGTGTGATATAAGGAGTAATATTTACCCTGGATATTATGACTCATATCAAGGGTGTACACACACGGGGTACACGCACTGTGATATCAGGAGTTGTGTCTCCCTAGGATATTATGAATACTATCACAGGATATACATTATGTGTGTACATCCACTGTGATATTTGAAGTCTTGTCTCTCTATGAGATTATAAATAACATCAAAGCGTGTACACCCCTGTGACATATTAGGAGTAACATCCTTCTAGGGTATTACAGCTAACGTCACAACGTGTACACCTCCTGTGACGTTTTGTACACTCTTTGTGACATTAAAAGAAACATCCCCCTAGGATATTATGAATAATAACACAGGAGGGGTACACACATGGTGTACACCGCCTGTGTCATCAGGAGTAACATTCCCCTAGGATATTACGAATAATACCACAGCAGGTGTACACACATGGTGTACACCCCATGTGACATTCGGAAGAGCATGCCCCTAGGATATTAGGAATAGTGTCACAGGCCTTGAATACACATTCTTAATGCATAATGTCACCCCCCGTGACATTAAAAATAACATCCCCCTTGGATATTACGAATATGACAAGGAGTACAGCCCGTGTGACATTAAGAGTAACACCCCCTGAGGATACAATGAATAATATCAGAGGGTGCACATGCATTGTGACCTTAGTAGTAACATCTCTTTAGGATATTACAAATAGTATCACAGGGTGTACAGGAATTGGGACATCAGTAGTAACATCCCGCTGGGATATGACGAGTCATATCACAGGGTGTACACCCCCGTGACAATAGTAGCAACATTTCCCTAGAACATTATGAATAATATCACAGGAGGTACAGCCCCTGTGATTTACGAGTAACATGTCTATAGAATATTACAACTCATATCACTGTGTGACTCTGTGTACACCCCGTGTGACTTTAGGAGTAACATCCCACAAAACTATGATGAAAAATATCACAGGGTGAACACCCCCTGTGACCTGAGGAATAGCGTAGTTTTAGGATATTGTGAATGAGGTGACAAGGTGTACACACCCTGTGACAATAGGAGCAATATCCGTCTAGGATGTTAGGAAGAATATCACACGGAACACACCCCCTGTGACATTAGGATATGACAAATAATATCACAAGGTGTACACGCATCGTGACATTAGTGCTAATATCCCTCTGGTACACTATGAATAATATCACAGGGTGTACATCCCTGTGACATTAGGAGTAACATCTCCCTAGAATGGTAAGAATAATAAAACAGGTTGTACACCCCCTGTGACATGAGGAGTATCATCTCGCTAGAATATTACGAATAATGTCACAGGGTGTTATCGTCTGTTCGAATAGGAGAATAAACCCCTGGGAAATTATGAATACTATCACAGGGTGTACAGCCCTGTGACATTAGGAGTAATATCTTTCTAGAATATCACAAATAATATCACAATGTGTACACCCCCTGTGTCATTAACAGTAAAATTGCCCTAGGATATTACGAAATAGAACACAGGGAGTACACCCCGTGTGACATTAGAGGTAACATCCCCCAAGGATATAACGAATAAGATCAGAGAATGTACCTGCATTGGGACATCAGTAGTAACATCTCTTCAGGACAATACGAATAATATCAAAGGGTGTCCACGCATTGTGAAATTAGTAGTGAACTCCCGCTAGGATATTAGGAATTTTATCACAGGTTCTACACGCCCTGTGACATTAGCAGTAACGTTTTCCTAGAAGATTACGAAGAATATTAAAGGGTGTACAGGACCTGTGAATTACAAGCAACACTTCCATAGCATATTGCAAGTAACATCACTGTGTGTACACGCCATGTGACATTAGGGGTAACACCCCACAAAATTATAACGAATAATTTCACAAGGTGTACATCCTCTGTGACAATAAAAGTAACATTTCCCTAGAATATGACGACAATATCACAGAGTGTACACCCTCTGTGATATGAGGAGTGACATCTTATGAGGATAATACGAGTAATTTGACAAGGTGTACAAACCCTGTGACATAAGGGGTGACATCCCTCTAGGACATTATGAATAATAACAAAAGGAACTTACCCCGTGTGACAATAAAAGCAACCTTCCCTTAGGAAAATGAGAATAACACCACAAGGTGTACACACAATGTGACATTATTATTAAGGTAAAGCTAGGATATTGGGAATAGCAAGACAGTGTGCAGAGTCCTGTGACATCACGTTTAACATTCCCTTACAAAATTACGAATAATACTGAAGGGTGAATACCCCCTGCGACTTTAGCAGCCTCATCTTGCTAGAATATGGAAGATAATGTCACAGGGTGTGAACCGAGGGTCGCAGTACAGAAAAGATCCTAGGAAAAATCGGGGAGGAATATCAACCCCGCTCCACC
Source organism: Homo sapiens (assembly GCF_000001405.40). NCBI lineage: Eukaryota > Metazoa > Chordata > Mammalia > Primates > Hominidae > Homo > Homo sapiens. Next base: position 9,758,452 of record NC_000004.12, read on the forward strand.
CCTGGATATTACGATCCACATCGCAGGGGGGCGGGCGTCCCCCGCGATGCGGGGAGTAATATCACCCTCCACACCCACCCCTGGATATTACCATCCACATCTCAGGGGTGCAGGCGCACCCCTCGATGCTGGGAATAATATCACCCCCATCTCCCCCCTCTGGATATGAAGACACACATCGCATGGAGGCGGGTGCCCCCGCGATTCGCAGACAAATAGCACCGACCACTCCCCCGCTGGATATGACGATCCACATCGCAGGGAGGCAGGCGACCCCCCCATGCGAGGAGTAATATCACCCCCCTCTCCACCCCTGGATATGATGATCCACATCGAAGAGGGGTAGACGCCACTAGCGACGCGGGGAGACATATCACCCCCCTATCGCCCCCTGGATATGCTGATCCACATCGCAGGGGGGTGAGGCACCCCCCGCGACGCGGGGAGTAAGAGCCAGCCCCTCTTGCCCCCCCTGCCTCTTAGGACCCCCATCGCAGGGGGGTGAGGCACCCCCCGCGATGCGGGAAGTAAGAGCCAGCCCCTCTTGTCCCCCTGGCTCTTAGGATCCGCGGTGGACTCACAGCCTGTTTACCATATCATGAGTTATATCATCTCCCGCTCTGGGGATTATGAACTGTTTTACAGACAGGTGTACACCCTCGGTGTAAAGAGGGTGTGCACCCGTCTGTATTGGATGTGATATCATCATCTTCCTCCCTGAATATTGAGAACAGTATCACAGAAATGTTTCTAGTTCTGTGATATCACTTGTCATATCCTCCTCTCCCACGTTGGAATTAAAAACAATATCAGTGGGGGCGTGTCCACCTTCTCTGATATTGAAAGTAATATCCTCCTCTTCCCTCCAGGATCATGGGAACGATATCCCTGGGGGGTGTCCACTTTCTGCCATCTATGTGTTCGTATCAATCCCTCCGCCTTGGAATATTATTAAGGACAATTTCACAGGGGGGTGTACAGTTCCTGCGATATTGGGAACAATATCAGCCTCTCGGCCTCTGAATATTAGGAAGCATATCACAGGGTGGGTGTACACCTCCTGCTCTATTATGGGGAGTCATATCTATCTATTATGGGCAGCAATATCATCCTCTCCCTTTCAGGATATTAATAACAATTTCACAGGCTGGGTGAACACAGCCTGTGATGCTGGAATTATTATCATCCTCTCCCCCTCGGGATACTAGGAACAATATCACAGAAGAGGTTTACACTCCCTGCGATATTGGGAGTAATATCATACTCTTCTGTGAATATTAGGAGCAATATCACCAGGTGGCTGTACGTTCGTTGCTATGTTGGCAGTCATTTCATACTCTACCCGCTGGGTATTAGGATTGGTGTCACAGGGTGAGTGTACACCTACTGCGATATGAAAACTAATATCGTGCTCTCCATCCCTGGATATTAAGAACAATATCACAGGTAGGTATACACCCCCTGCGGTATTAGCAGTAATAATATTATGAATTATTAAAGATCAGTCTTATTAATAATTATGAATGGGAATGTTAATTAATAGTATAACGTTATTAATCATTAATGATTATTTTCAAGGTATGATTATGCATGATTAAAATTAATTTTAATACTAATGACACTTTTAATATTAGTTATTAATATTCATATTAATTATTGTTTTATTACCAACATCACTTATGATTGATTGAAGTAACATTAATTACTGATATCTTTTTTATTATTAATAGTGATATTGCTATTAATTATTAATATTAATATTAATTATTAGGAGCTAATATTACTGTTTTCTAATGAATAAGATCAACATCAGTTATTAATATCAGGCATCATTAATCATTAATACTAATCATTTATTGTTATCGTTAGTATAACTATTAATATTAATTATCATTATTATCAGTATTGATTTTAAAAATTATATGATCAGTTATTAATATTGATCATTATTAGTGTCAATTAATAATTGAGATTATTAATTTCGGTAAGTCACATTCCACCCCTCCCTCGGCAGCTCGTTTACGACCCAAAACGGGGATACAAACGCCCCTGAGAGAGCAGCGGTATACAGGGATAGATGAGGATGGTCACGTGGTGGAGAGGCGTTTTTGGGTACCAGCCCTTCACCTCCGTCAACCTTCTCAACTGCAAAAACAATACACCGCCCTATACCAAAAAGCCACAAGCTCTAATTGATTTGCTCCAAACTATTATCCAGACCCACAACCACACCTGGGCTGATTGGCACCAGTTGCTCATGTTCCTCTTTAACAGCAAAGAAAGGCGGAGAGTCCTGCAAGCAGCAACTAAGTGGCTAGAGGAACATGCACCAGCTGATTAGCAAAACCCCCAAGAGTATGGAAGGACCCATTTACCAGGAACCGACCCCCAGTTGGACCCACATGAAACAGAGGATATGCAAAGGCTAAACCGAGACAGGGAAGCTCTCTTGGAAGGATTAATGAGGGGAGCTCAGAAGGCCACAAACGTTAGCAAGCTCTCTGAGGTCATTCAGGGAAAAGAAGAAAGTGCAGCACAATTCTACAAGAGACTGCATGAGGCCTATCGTATGTATACTCCCTCTGATCCCGATAGCCCTGAAATCAGTGCATGATTCACATGGTTTTAGTCCGTCAAAATGCAGAAGACATGAGAAGAAAACTGCAGAAAGAGGCTGGGCTTGCAGGGATGAATCCACCACAATTACTAGAAATAGCTAGCCAGGTGTTTGTAAACAGGGATGCAGCAAGCCCTAAGGAAAACGGCAAAGAGAATGGAGGTCAGGCCTGGAGAAACACCGACCTGGTTGTTAGCTGCAGCAATCAGAGGGGACCCCCAAAGAGGCAAGGGAAGGGGGGCCCCGGGAAAGAAACTCAGCTTGGCTGTCAGAGTTTGCAGCGTACCCAGTGTGTTTATAGTAAAGAAATAAGACGGTGGAAGAACAAGTGCCCTCAGCTCAAAAGAAAACAAGGTGACTCAGAGCAGGAGGCCCCGGACGAGGAGGAAGGGGCCCTGCTCAACCTGGCAGAAGGGTTCTTGGACTGAGGGAGACCAGGCTCAAGCGTCCCCAAGAGCCTCTGGTCAGAATGACAGTCCGGGGTAGAGACATTGATTTTCTTGTAAATAGAGGTGCTGAACATTCGCTAGTAACTGCCCCGGTTGCCCCCTTATCCAAAAAGATGATTGACATCATCGGAGCCATGGGGGTTTCAGCAAAGCAAGCTTTCTGCTTGCCTCGGACTCGTACTGTAGGAGGACATAAAGTCATTCATCAGTTTTGGTACATGCCTGACTGTCCCTTGCCCTTTATGGGAAGGGACTTGCTCAGCAAGCTGAGAGCCACTATCTCTTTGACAGAGCACGGCTCTTTGCTGCCAAAGTTACCCAGAACGGGAGTCATTATGACCCTTATGGTCCCCGAGAGGAGGAATGGAGACTTTTCTGAACTGAGCCAGGCCAAGAGAGAAGACCAGCTCTGGCTAAGCGGTGGCCAAGAGTACGGGCGGAAGACAACCCTCCGGGATTGGCCAGTTAAGACTGGGGCCCAGCCGGTTAGGCAAAAACAGGACCCGGTCCCCAGAGAAGCCCTTCAAGGTATCCAGGTCCGTCTCAAGCACCTAAGAACTTTTGGAATTATTGTTCCTTGTCAGTCTGCGTGGAACACTCCCCTCCTGCCTGTTCCCAAGCCACGGACCAAGGACTACCGGCCGGTACAGGATTTGCGCTTGCTTCATCAAGCTACACTGACTTTCCCTCCAACAGTACCTAACCCGTCCACATTGTTGGGGTTGCTGCCAGCTGAGGACAGCTGGTTCACCTGCTTTGACCTGAAAGATGCTTTCTTTCCTATCAGATTAGCCCCCGAGAGGCAGAAGCTGTTTGCCTTTCAGTGGGAAGATCCGGAGTCAGGTGTCACTACTCAGTACACTTGGACCGGGCTTCCCCAAGGGTTCAAGAACTCCCCCCACCATCTTTGGGGAGGCATTGGCTCGAGACCTCCAGAAGTTTCCCAGCAGAGACCTAGGCTGCGTGTTGCTCCAGTAGGTTGATGACCTTCTGCTGGGACACCCCACGGCAGTCGGGTGTGCCAAGGGAACAGATGCCCTACACCGGCACCTGGAGGACTGTGGGTAGAAGGTGTCCAAGAAGAAAGCTCAGATCTGCCGACAGCAGGTACCTTACTTGGGATTTACTATCTGACAGGGGACGGAAGGCAGCCCAGGATCAGAAAGAAAGCAGGTCATTTGCAATCTACCGGAGCCTAAGGGCAGAAAGCAGGTGAGAGAATTCTTAGGAGTTGTGGGGTTTTGTAGACAGTGGATCCCAAACTTTGAAGTATTAGCCAAGCCTTTGTATGAGGTCCCAAAGTGGGCGGGGTCCGGGAACCTTTGGAATGGGGATCCCAACAACAGCAAGTCTTTCCTGAGTTAAAGGAAAAACTTCTGGCAGCCCCAGCCCTGGGGCTACCCGATCTGACAAAGCCTTTTCTATTTTATGTGTCAGAGAGAGAAAAGATGGCAGCTGGACTTTTCACCCAAACTGTGGGGCCCTGGCTGAGGCCACCGGCCTACCTCTCTAAACAACTAGATGAGGTAACTAAAGTATGGCCCTCCTGTTTGAGGGCCTTGGCAGCAACTGCCCTGCTAGTACAAGAAGTAAATGAGACCAGACTATTGTAGGGCATGGGAAGGGCCGGGGCCTCTGCAGGCCCTGAGGATCGCCATGTTTCCTTCTTTAGTTTTTGAGACTTTGGTGAAGATCCTCTGCCTGCTTCTAGCACACACGTCCTGACCTCCTTTCCCCTTCAAGACACAAGATGGCGCTTTAAGCCTGGTTGTTGAGAAAGAGGACTCCAAACGCTTGAGTTTCTTCCCTCTGCTCACTCTCAGATGTGGCTTGCAAGGGAATCTGTGGGGTCCACCTCTCCACAGCTTGGTGGGTGGATTCTATCTTCCTCCTCGGACAGGGGAGGACCAGCAGCCAATCACTCCTTCCTGCCGGAGAATGAAGTGGCACTCAAACTGTTTTTCTGACATCAGTAACAGCTGCCCACACTCCTCCGGCAGGCATCTCTGAAACATCAGTTTTGGGTGATTGGTCTAAGCCAAGGACCTTTGATATCAAGGGTAAGTCCGCTACCCTTTGCTGGAGATGGGCACGGAGTGGGCATGTGAAGAGTGCCAGACCAGGCATTGACAAACTATGGCTCATGAGAAGAATGGAGTGTACATTTTGAAAGGGTCATCTCTCTCTCTCTCTCTCTCTCTCTCACACACACACACACACACACACACACACACACACACACACACAGAGAGAGAGAGAATATGCTGCAGGGATCATACACGACCCGACCAACCTAAAATACTATCTGTTCCTTTATAGGAAATGCTTACAGACCCCTGGTCTAAACACTGAGAGGTAAGGGGACTCTGTTGCGCCACCCTGGAAGGATTTTGATCCCTAAATAAGAAGAGGTGAGGAGGGAGCCTGCCCTTCCTCATGGCTTGAATGTGCTTGTGAGAGGCAGTCAAGCCTGGAACTGTGGCAGCCGGCTTGTGACCATGAAGCAACCAGCCCGAGAAGAAAGGCCCACCTGCCGAGGAGGGAACAGGAGCCTGGGGCCTCAAGGATGTTGCTGAGCCTCCGTGTGCCCCTGGAGCCGCCTTCCTCTGGAGTTCTTGTGATGGCAGATAATTCAATGTTGTCATTGTTCAAGCCAGGGGTGGGTGAACTTTTTCCATAAAGGGCCACGTGGAAAACATTTTAGGCTCTGGGTGTGCCATGAGATCTCTGTGGACACTACGACCCTAAAAACAACCATAGACAATGTGTAAATGAATGGGTACACCTATGGTCCAATAAAACTTTATTTATAAAAATAGGTGGTGGGCTGGATTTGGCCCTGAGGGTCAGAGTTTCCTGTGTATTTTGTTTGTTTGTTTGTTACTTGCAGCTGACCTGTCCTAACTAGTATTCCCTGAAGTCGGCCTCAGCTCAGAAGTGCCCTTGGGTTCTAAGCCACAGGGGCTAAGCTTGAGTGTGGGCGGGGTCTGCAGCAGGGTGGTGGGAGGGATAAGCACATAAAGCCCCACCCACTGATCTGTCCTTTCTATGGTCCAGGTTGTGCTTTCCTGCAATTTCTTCTCATCATGGGCCTAGCAATCATGATGGGAAGGCACCACTTTAACAGAATGCTTTCAGCATTTCCAGGTGGTCCCTGCTTGCCCTCAACACTACACGCAGGCCTCAGCCTCCACACCTAGCACGTTTGTTAAGCAAGACTAAGCCACATGAAGCAACAGGGCAAGGGGAGGGCCCTTGTGTCCGCAGGGTCCCATGGCAGAAGTGTGGTTCGGGGAGAAATGGGGGAGTGTGCCCTTCCCTGAACAAGCACATTCCCTCAGTGTGGAGGAGCCCCTCCAACAATTTACAAGTGCTATGATGACACGATGCTCATTCAGACCATCAGCTGCAGACGGATTGCAGAAATACGTGAGGGCTGTGTCCTCAGAGGTAGGATGTGGTTGCTCCTTGTCCCTAAGCTGGGCCCTGAAGGTAGGGCAGGATTCCAGCCAGAGTGAATGGACAGTGAGGCTTTGGGGAAGGGCTCAGATTGCCTCTCGTGCTTGTGTTCACAGATTCTTGATGATTGGTCATTCTCCAGGGAGACGAGGCTTCGAGGCCAGGTCTCTGCTCTGAGTTGCCTTCACCACCCTGCACCTTGGTGGCAGTAAGAGAGCGACCTCAAAGGGCCACTGAGAGAATCGTGGGGGATGCATGTACAGCTCCAGGTATGGCACCCATGCCAGCCCATGGCAAGCTCTTACTACGGTTGCAGGTGTAATTTCCAGTCTCTGCCTCCAGGGATTGCTGCTGAGCACAGACAGACGTTTCCCTGCTTACAGAGTGAGGCCGCCAAGATGATTCTCGGATCTCTGGTTTGTATACAGCCCAAATAGCCTGTGAAAGGGGGAATGATAACCCCCAAAGATGTCCATGTCCTAACCTCCAGAACTAGTGAACGGGATGTTGGCAGAAGAGACTCTGTGGATGAGATTACTTCAAAGATTTGCAATGGGGATTCTATCATGGGTTATCTGTATGGATACGCAATGTAATCACAAAATGTCCTTATAAGTGAAGAGGGAGGCTGAGGAGATTTGACTACAGAAGAGAAGGTGATGTGACAGTGGAGGCAGAGATTGGAGTGATGTGGCCACAATTCACAATGCCAGCAGCCACCAAAGAGGCAAGGAATGGATTCTCCTCTAGGGTTTCTACCAAGGGCCCTAGCAACACTTCAATTTTAGTCCAGGAAGACTCGTTTTGGATTTGTGACCTCCAGAACTATGAGAGAATACATCGGCATTCTTTGAAGCCACCAGGTTTGCAGTAGTGTGTTAGAGCAGCGTGGAAAATCCATTGAGTCCCATTGCCCTGCTTTTTGTGCCTTGTACAAAAGCAGAAAATGGCATGGATGGAATGGGAGGTCATTATGTTAAGTGAAACAAGCCAGACACAGAAAGACACACATTGCATGTTCTCACTGATTTGTGGGATCTAAAAATCAAAACAGTTGAACTCATGGAGCTAGAGAGTAGAAGGGTGGTTACCAGAGGCTGGGAAGAGGAGTGGGGGGCTGAGGGCAGGTGGGGATGATGTTAGAAAGAATGAATAAGATGTACTGTTTGATCACACAGCAGGATGACTGTAGTCAATAATAACTTAATAGTACATTTACAAATAACTAAAAGAGTGTAATTGGATTGTTCGTATTAGAAAGGATAAATGCGCTGGGTGCGGTGGCTCATGCCTGTAATCCCAGCACTTTGGGAGGCCGAGGCGGGTGGATCATGAGGTCAGGAGATCGAGAGCATCCTGGTGAACACTGTGAAACCCCATCTGTACTGAAAATACAAAAAATGCTGCTCGGGAGGCTGAGGCAGGAGAATGTCATGAACCCGGGGGGCGGAGCTTGCAGTGAGCAGAGATGCAGAGATTATGCCATTGCACTCCAGCCTGGGCGACAGAGCTAGACTCCGTCTCAAAAAAAAAAAGAAAGGATAAATCCTTCAGGGATGGACACCCCATTCTCCATGATGTGCTTATTTCACAGTGCATGTCTGTATCAAAACATCTCATGTACCTCACATATATATGCACCTACTATGTACCCAGAAAAAAACAAAAAAGAGTATAAAAGAAAAAAAAAAATCCCAAAAGCAGAGAAGAGGGCAAATGAGAGTCGGGGACTGTGATCTCAGTTTGCCCAGGATGAAGCCGGGTGACCTGGTTACAGAGCAAGCCCCTTGGCTTCTTGAGCTCCCATCTGCAGAGTGAGGGGCGGATGCAGGGGAAGGGTGTGACTTCGATGAACATTCCCTCCAGGTGTCTCTGCCCTCGGCCCCCTCTCAGGATTGTTTGTAGCTCTTTGCCTATTCTTGGCCATTTGGAGTTTTCAGGGGCCCTACTAGGTCCTCTTGACTTCTCACTTGGCTCTCCTTGGTGGTCTAATTCATGGCCAAGGGCCCACCTGCCATCCGGACACTGCTTTTCAACCTGACCTCTCAGCTCCAGGCTGGTTATTTCCAACAGCCTACTTGGGTGTCTCAAAGGCACTTTACACTCAATGTGTCCAACACTGAACTCAAGGCTCCCGGCATCACCAGCCAGTTATCCCTCCACATTTCCAACCCCATGGATTGCACCAGTGTCTGTCCATTATGCAAGCCGGGCTGCAAAGGTTGTCTTGATGCTGCCGTTATGCTGTTGGGGCTCAGAACATGACACCCCAAAGCATGGTGCCTCAGCCTGAGTATTTTGAACTGAAGGACATTGGAAGGAACTCAGAAGCCAGGTCTTTCCAACCTTCTCCTCACACCCTCTCTTCTGCTTGCCTTCATCCTCCAAAGTGAGTCACAGAAACCAGAATTTATCTTCCTCAAGATGGGTCATAGAACCTAGAAACCCTCCTGCTAAAGCAAACCATAAAACCTAGAAAGGTCACTCTCATCTTCTCCTTCTCCTTTGAAAACTCTCATTTCAGTAGGGGTCCTGCCCCATACCTGGGAGGAAGGAAGCCTACACAGAGAGGCTGAGAAAAATCTGAGCAGACAGTTTTGCTGGGTCCCCTTTTAGTCTGTTCCCAGTAGGTCATACCCATTTGTTCAATCACATTTCTATCCGGCTGTCCATTCTTCATCTAACCTATGCATAAAAATCAACAGTTTTCCCTCGGCCTTTGGGTTGCCATTTCTGAAGCCTCCCATGTCACATAAAACTTGGATTAAATAAATTTGCTCTGCTTTTCTCTTGTTAATGTGTCTTTTCCTATAGGAGTGTCAGCCATGACCCTTAAGATGGATAAGTAAAGGACTCACACCTTCACAGCCCTACAGCCCCATCTCCCTTCAGTAGCCACACCTGCCACTTCTACCCACAAATACTTGGATTCCACTCATCTCTTCCCATCATCATTCCTACCACTCAATTCTCTGTCACCATCATCTCTTGATGGGTCTTCTGGAGCAGCTTCCTCACTCATCTCTCCAGTTCATCCCTTGCTTCTACCAGTCTGTCCTTGCTATGGCAAGAGGGGCATTTGAGAAAGGCAATTACATGGTTACCCCTCCCCTGCTCAGCACCCTCCAATTTGATGGACACCAAAATCCTTGCCTTGGTCCCCTTGGTCCTGCATGCCCTCCTCTCTGGCCTCATCTCAAGCCACTGCCCTCGTGCTGCACTCTTCCTCTGTAATCCACATTGCCGGCTTCTTGTGTTTCTTGAACATGCCATGCTCCCTCCTGCTGCAGCAGGACCTTGCACTTGCTGCTTCCTCTTCTTTCTTCTAGTGAATTCTTACTCCTCCTTCAGCTCTCCATTCAAGCCAGTGCCTCAGGGAAGTCTTCCCTCACCTCTAGACCAGGTTTAGTGTCCCTGCCATGAAGCCTCACAACACCATCTAGCTTTCCTTCCTTGCATCTGTCATAGCTTTTGATCATACAATGATGTGTGGGACTTTCTGAATAGTGGTCCCTCTTTACCAATTAACTGTGAGCCTCAAGAGGAAGGAACAACGTCTGTTTGCTCCCCCTCTGTATCCCTAGTGATGGTAGAAGGGGAGCTCAATCATTATCCTCAAATGAACTAAAAAGAAAGGATGCTTAGATTTTTTTTTTTTTTTAGACAGGGTCTTGCTCTGTTGCCCAGATGTGATGATCACAGTTCACTGCAGCCTCGACCTCTGGGGCTCAAGTGATCCTCCCACCTCAGCCTCCCAGGTAGCTAGGACTACATGCATTCGCCTCTATGCCTGGCTAATTTTTGTATTCTTTTTTTTAGAGATGGGCTATCGTTACGTTGCCCAAACTCGTCTCGAACTCCTGGGCTAAAGTAATCTGCCTACCTCGGCCTCCCAAAGTACTGGGATTACAGGCAGGAGCCACTGTGTCTGGCCCAATGCTTAAGATCTTTTGAGACAAAAAGGAGGAAGTGGGAGATAGTTTCAATACGACAGGAAGCTCCGGAAAAAAAAAAAAAAAAAAAAACAACAACCAAAAACACACCCCCCAACTCCTGCAAAAACATACATGTATTTATTTGATATTTGGCTGTGCAGGTTAAAAAGTTATTTATTTATTTATTTGCTTTTGGAAAAACTCAAGTCAGCTTGATGAGGTCACTTTTTCCTGCCACTCGTTCCTGTTTGGGGAGTAAAGGGACTTCCATGGTCTGGATGGATAATTGTGATGAGGAGGTTACCGGGATTGCCCTGAGAGAATGGACTGTGAGATTTCGGGGATGGAAGCTGCGTCTTCATCTCTATAATCCCTTGTTTGGCACAGCGTCAGCCTGAGGAGATGCTTGGTGGCAAATATGAATTATGGCACACACTGTTAATTTCTTACCCAGGAGCAGTTCCTTTGCTTGCTAACAGAAAATCCTGATTTTGCCCGGAGAAACAAAATGTCCAGTGTCAGGTGATGACTCATGGTTGGTTTAAGCCAGGCTGGGGCCTTTTGTTCCTTTTTGCCTGATATTTGAAAGAGTTTACAGTAGGGACTGTCCTGTGGTCCACTTTTGGATAATGAGACATAAGGAGAAGTCTGCTGTGTCCTACTAAGAAGATTTTCTTCACTGGTTAAAGATGAGAGACACATCAAGAAAAGCCCCCTTGACATAGCTTCCTCCATCTTGCTCCTGGAGTCTGAACTTGGTCATGATGGCTGGAGCTATAACAGCCATCCTGTGACCATGAGTCTCCAAGGGTATAAAGCAGTAATATTCAGGAAGGTGGAGCCTTTGGACAAAAAGATAAAAGGAATCTGGGGCCTCAGCTACATCACTGAGCCTTTCCAAGCCCTTGCCTTCTTCCTCTTAAATCCTGTTATGTTAGATAACTAAATGTCTTTATTGCAAAAGCCACAAGTAGTCAGGCTTTCTGTTATTCACAGCTGAAAGCATTTCCCTTATTTTCAAATAATTTCAGACTTATAGAAGAATTAATTGTAAGGCAAAGAACTTTCATGCCCTTCACCCACATTCACCAATTGTTATTTGCCACATTTACTTTCTCCATCTATAGAGTCTATTCTACTCTATTATCTTTCCCTGAACCATTTGAAATTCAGTTGCAGGCATCCTTCTCCTCTCCCTTAAACATTTCAGAACATATTCCCTTAGAACAAGAAGAGTCTAGTGCTGAAGTTCAGGGAATTTGAGGTTGATGCCATACAATCACCTAGTCCTTGATAATTGTCTAATATACAGTTCACTTAAAATTTTGCCAACAGTCTCAATAATGCCCTTTAAGGCATGTTTCCCCTGATCCAGCTGTCATAACTTTTTAGTCTACTTTAATCTGGAACAGTTCCTCTACCTCTTTTTGTCTATCATGGAGTTGACACCAATGAATAGTTCAGGTCAGTCCTTGAAGGTCCCTCCATCTGTGTTTGTCCGATGTTTCCTCCGGGGACTGGAATGCTACAGAAGCGATGCTGTGTTCTCAGTGTATCACATCAAGAGACACTTGGCACCTATTTGTCCTATTCCTGGTGATGTTAACTTTGTTCAGCTCATTAAGGGAGGACCTGCTGGGTTTCTCTACTGTTAAGTTACCACTTTTTCTCTTTGCAATTAATAAACCATATGAGTGGAAGTGCTATGAGACAATGAAAATATACTTTACCTTTTTAAATTTTCACTCAGTGATGATTCTTCCTTGAATAAACTATTATGATCATGCAAATGGAGTTTTCTATTATTCCCTTTGTATTTATTCACTGGCATTCTACTGTAAGAAAGTCTTCTTCCTTCTTCCCTCCCTCCCTCCCTCTCTTCTTTCTTTTCTTCCTTCCCTTTTCTTTCTTTCTATAGCTATAGGTTCTCATTTTATTCAATAGACTATAATCTACCATTATCATTATTAATTTGGATGCTCACATCATCCCAGATTTGGCCAATGGAAGCCCCTTCAAGTTGATTGATGTGTCCTTTGACATGTCCCTGCCATTTTTTAAATGCTTCCTTGCTTTCTGGAACCACACAGCACTCTGGGCTCACCTTGTACTTCCCTCCCCCAGCGTTAGCATCAGCCACTTCTCCAAGGAGCTCTGAGTCCTTTTAGTGAAGGGTGGTGTTTATAAACCACAATCTGGATGGTTTGTGGATATTGCAAAGCATTCAGTCAGAAGCCATGGGAAATGGAGCAACATTTATTGAAACTTATATTAGTCAAGCAACTTAATGCTAGGCTAAGCTGCAGTGAGTAATAATCCCTAACCTCAGTGACAGTGCAGAAAAAGAAGGGTTTCATATCTGGAGTGTGATGCAGGTCAATGGGAGTTTCCTTCACCTGGTGACTCAGGTATCCAGGCACATTCATTTCTGCAGGTCTGCCTTCTTGACATGAGGTCACTGCAGAAGGAGAGAGGGTGTAGAGTCATGCCAGTTCTTAGGTGCTCCTGACAAGGAGATCTGCAGCACTCTGCTCACATTCCTGTTTTCCAGAACTCAGCCAGTACCCAACACAACTGCCAAAGAGTCTGGGAAGCATAGAGAGTGCACAGATAGCTGGAGATCCCTCATCACTATTGTCATGATATGTTCATCTATGCAACACATATCAATGGGTTCATCCCAGTCAGGCTGACTCCAAGAGGCTAAGATGACTTCACCTTGAGTGGTTTGCAGCTGGGAAAGAAAGGTAAGTCAGCACCGAGCGAACAGATCATTCACTTCAGTGGGCTGTTGAGCTGTGCTAGAGGCAGGTGCAGCGTGCTGCAGAAATACAGAGGGTGGCTACTACCCTGGAGTCTTGAGGAGATCCTGGTGTGCATTGGTGTGGGGTTTGAAATGTGAGTGGGCACTCACCCCCTTCAAGAAGAAGTGGGAAGGACATTTCAGACAGGGGCAAGTGCAAAGGCACAGGGCCTGAAAGAACTAGGCTGGGAGAAGAGGACAGCGTTGGAATGGGTGGAAGAGGGGTCTGCTGGGGAAAGCTGGGGAAGCAAGAGATGAGGCTGGACAAGCAGATTGTGAAGGGCCACACTGAGGAGCTGGGAATTAGTGCATTAATTTTTATTAATTGGATTAATGATTAATAATGTGGGTTGCAGGGAATCATAGGGAGTATGAAGAACACTGTGGTTGTGTTTTAGGAGGATTGCCTTGGTGGTAGAATGTTGGATGGAGGAGATAGGAGTGGGGGTGAAGACATCAGCACTGAGAGACCTGCCCAACAGCTCTGGCAGCCATGCAAGCAAAAAGCATCAAGGACCTGAATTAGGAGGTGGCACTGGGGATGGATAGAAGGGGTTGGCTGGTGGAGCCATTTTGAGATAATGAATCAATGATAGCTTCCATCTATTGTGGATTGTCAAGATGTATTATTGGCTCACAATCCTTCCTGGCCTTTCCACATTCCTGCGACTTCCCTGTGGACAGGACAGAGCAGATTTCTTACTGTGCACATGACCAGCTTTGGCTAGAGATGCATGAGCAGAGTTAGTGCACACCTGGTCTGACCGGAGGCTCTAACAGAATGTGGTGTTGGGTGGCCGCATTGACCCCACCCCTGCACAATGAGAAGAGCAAGCTCCAGGGAACCACCGGCCTCTGAATGAGACACACAGAAGCAAACAGAGCCTGGCCCCCAGTCTGAGGCAAGGCTTCCCAGCTGACTGCAAATTATTAACAAGAAATAAACACTTGTTTTAAGCTGCTGAGACCCTGGGGCTGTGTGTTATGTAGCATTGCTGTAAAAAAAACTTGACCAATACAGGGACTTGCACTTTTGTAAGTACAGCATCTCATTTACCCATGATATCTCTTCATAGTAAGCATTAGGGATGCCATTTTATTTTTTTTTTTATTTTTTTTTTATTATACTCTAAGTTTTAGGGTACATGTGCACATTGTGCAGGTTAGTTACATATGTATACATGTGCCATGCTGGTGCGCTGCACCCACTAATGGATGCCATTTTAAAGATGAGGCAACTGAGGCTTAGAGAGGTTACGTCACTTGCTTAAGGTTCCAGAGCTGGTAAGTCAGAGAAGGATATGAACCCAGGACTGTCTCGTAAGCCCATCCTTCTGCCTCTGTCTACAGAGTGCTGCCTTTCAAAGGTGGCAAGCTCCTGAGTTAGCCATTTTAACCTGCCAGAAACCTCCTTGCTCCTGAACTGGGAAGAGGGACTGAGCTTTGGATTTCAAGAGGAGGCTCTAGGGCCACCATCAGGGGTCCTGTGGTTGAGGTGATGTGGCTGGCTCATCACCTGGGCCTTTCCACCTGCCCCTCCCCATCCCCTCCCCTCTACCCTATTCCCTGCCCTGTGCCAAGCTGAGCACATTGGCAGGGCTGGTGGCTGGGAGCTCAGCTTGTATCCTGTAGCTACAGAACAGAGCTTTCATTGCTGTAATACAGAGTTGAGTCTTTTGATATCAGCAGTGGGTGCAGCAAAACCCCACCGATTTTCTTATCAAGTTTTCCATTTGTGTCAGTGAAGCAAATCCAATTTAAAATACATCTTCAGAAGAAGGAGGGTCAATGAGTTCAAATAGAAGAATATTTGCTAACTGGATTAGGAAAACTCGCTTTGTGCTAAAATGTTTGAGGAAAATCCTCTTAGCACAATTTTGCAGGAGCCAGGCATGTGAAAGGATCGTTTCCTCACTATCATCCCCTGAGATCAGGGCTCTGGCTGGATGAAATGAGGCAGGAGTTTATTAGCTGCTTAGTTGATTAGAGCCTGTGCTGATGAGGCTGAGCTCTGACAAGTCAACGTCAGAGAGAGATCTTGGTTTCCAGTAGCTTTTAATTCTGCTCAACTCTTTGTGGGAAAGAGCCTGGGTAAGAGAGGACACCCACTACTTACTCAAAACCACCATCCCCACCAGACAAGCAGCTCATGGAGCCCTTCCAGGGAAAGACTGAAGGCTGTGGAGACCTAGCTGCACATTATATTATATTTTGCATCATAAGGTCTTATTGATACACAGAACACTCTCAGTTTCAAAAAATGATGAGAAACTCAGTCTTTTTTTTTTTTTTTTTAAGATAGTCTTGCTCTGTCTCATCTCCCAGGCTGGAGTGCAGTGGTGCGATCTCGCCTCACTGGAATCTCTGCCTCCTGGTTCAAGCGATTCTTCTCCCTCAGCCTCCTGAGTAGCTGGGATTACAGGTGTCTGCCACCTCACCCAGCTAATTTTTGTATTTTTAGTAGAGATGGGGTTTTGCCATGTTGGTCAGGCTGGTCTTGAGCTCCTGACCTCAGGTGATCTACCCACCTCGGCCCCTAAAGTGCTGGGATTAAAGGCGTGAGCCACCACATCTGGCCAAAAAATGATGAGAAACTCAGTGTTTTGGAAAGCAGGGAGAATGTTTAGTGTTCTAAAAATGTATCCTTTCACACGTAAAGCTTCCTGCCTCTGAGCCTTTGCCCGTGATGTTCCCTCTGTTAGGGTCGTGCTTCCACCCTGCATGCTGGTGAATTCCACTTTGCCCTCCAGCCCAAATGTCATATTTTCTGGACAGCCATTTGCCATGCTGCCCACCAAACAGGCTGTCCCTTGTTCTCATGCCACTGCTGAACATTGTTTATTCCTTGTGCTAGGCAGGGCTTTGTCAGTTGTAACAACTGAAACTCCACTTAGACATGTTTCAGCTAAAGGGTAACTTATTGACTTTTGTAACTGCAAAGACCATGGTATGCCTGAATTTTGAGGTCCAAAGAAATCATTTTCTCTCTCTCTCTCCTCTTCCTCTCCTCCTTCTCATTTTCCTTCTCTTTTTCTTTCCTCTCCTTCCCTCCGTTCTTCTTTTTCCTTCTTTTTCTCTATCTTCCTCTCTCCCTACTTCTTTCTCTTTCTCTCCCTTTAATTTGCTCTATTCTCTATATGGGCCTCATTCCTTCTGCAAATAAGGAAAATGACCACCTGGAAACCCAAGGCCCACCACATACCAGCAGAGCCACCCAGCCAAAAGAAACCCAGCTTCTCTCTCCAGCATCTACACATCAATCCAGGCCAGAACTCCATCTGACCCTTGTGAGACATGCTTGCACACCTCGGTGGACCACTGAGGCCAGAGAATTCAGCATAATGACGGGCACTTCTGGGGTCATGGGCCTTCCCTGTAGCTAAGGTGACAGAAGGACAGACTGGTCTGGAATGTCCATGCCAGCTGGCTCACATGGCCAGCCATTGATGCTGGTTGTTTCTGGGAGCTCAGTTGTGCTCTAGACCAGAAAACCTCCATGTGACCTCTCCACATGACCCTCACTTCTCACAGCATGGTGGCTGGGGCCCAACGGGGAGACTCTCATGAGCAAAGTTTCCAAAAGACCAAAGTGGCAGCTGCGAGCCTCCTCATGGCTGAGCCTCAGCCCCCATGCAGCATCAGAGCCACTGCAGTCTTGGCTTCCCAGGAGACCAGCCCAGAAGCAGCAAGAAAGGGGACCTGGAAACCAGGAGGTCTGCTTCCAGGGAAGGCCCTCTGATATAATTTGGATATTTATCTCCACCCAGATTTCATGTTAAATTGCAATCTCCAGTGCTGGAGTTGGGGCCTGGTGGGAGTTGTTTTGACCATGGGGGTAGATCCCCCATGGCTTGGTGCTGTCTTCGAGATAGTGAGTTCTTGTGAGATCTGGTTATTTAAAAGTGTGTGGCATGTCCCTCCCCACACCCACCGACTCTCTCTTGCTTGTTCCTGTTTTGGCCACGTGATGTGCCTGCTCATGATTGTAAGCTTCCTGAGGCCTCCTTAGAAGCCAAGCAGATGCCAGCACCATGCTTCTTGTAAAGCCCGCAAAACCATGAGACAATTCAAACTCTTTTCTTTATAAATTACCTTGTCTCAGATATTTCTTTATAGCAATGCAAGGATGGCCTAATACACCATCTTTGGAGACTAGCTAGCACATGGGCCTTCTCCATCTGTAGCTACACTTCTAGAACACACGTGGCTTCCAAGGCTACTGCAGCAGCCGGGGGAAGAGCTCAGGGTCCTGTGGGATGTTCCTAAGGCTCAGATCTGTGGTTCACATCACTTCCGCTCACATTCTATTGGCCATAATCTCGCTCCCTAGCCTCCACTTGACAGCAAGGGAACCCGAGGGAAGGGATCTGCTGGGGGCCATCTCTGCCACAAACAGCAAGTGAAAGCAAGTAGACAGGAAGCCAAGACTGATGCCCAAGTCAGAGAGGTGCTGAGGAAAGAAGTCTTTCTTTCTTTTTTTTTTTTTTTGACAGAGTTCTGAATGTTTCAGAGTAGTCCAAGTACACCCAAAAGCACAATAATTAAATGAGGGGCAGGAGAGTGGCTTAGAAGAAGATTGTTTTTCTGGATTCAGCTCCAACAAAGTTTGTTCCGCAGGTCTTGGTGCTGTGCGATCATCCTTCTCGCCACTGATATTCAGCCTGGATACCCCACTGTTGCTCTAACAGGGAGGAAAATATTTTCCTGCCACTGCCCTGAGCCTCCTGACTGACCCCAGCTACCTTGGACATCCCAGCTTTTGGGACTACCCCAGACCTCCCTATAACCAGCAATCAGAGGCCGGCACAGCAAGAGTGCTTTGAAATGCTGCCTGGTGCTCCAGGGTGACAGGCAGCACCTGCTGTCATTGGTTGGTGTCTGTGCAGTATTTGCTAGAGTTTTGTGGATCTCAGCCTTGAAACCTGTGTCTTTGTACAGTCAAAGGGTCTGAGTTGGGAGAAGGCACCTAGATATGCTCCACCATAGCGTTCTGGTGTTTCCTGTCATCCCTGAAGCCTCCGAGTTCTTATAACAGGGGCTTAAAGACTGTAGCATTGAGATATGAAGGCTCGTAGTTATTGTCCAGTTCAGAGGACATTAATTCCAGGTATCTGGAACTTAGAACAAATCCTCATGCCCTCACCATGGCAACAGGGCTCACCTCCTCTGTCTCATACCTCTCCCTCCCGTGGCCACTATTGCTACAGATATCCTGACCCTTTTACCTCTTTATCAAATAAGCTCACTCTGCCCCAGGGCCTTTACATGGGCTTACTTTCCTCCAAGATGACAACTCATCCTGAAGCAGCTTTTCCCTTCAATCCAGCTACTCCCTCTTTTGTTATTCTGTTTGATTTTATTTATAGCATTTAGCACTGTATGACATTGTTTATTTTGAAATTGTTTATTTCTCTCTCCTCAATAATATAAGCCCAAGAAAGATAAGGAATATGTTTTTAATTCTGTTTCTGTCCCCGGGCCCTAGAATAGGGTCTGGGAGATGGTTGCAGCAGAATCCCTAGCTGAAATGGCAATCTTGTGCTAATTAGAAAAAAAGAGCTCCCTTGCCCCCGTCTCTGTTTCTTTTTTTTTTTTTTTTAGATGGAATCTCCCTCTGTTACCGAGGCTGGAGTGCAGTGGTGTGATCTTGAAGAGAGCCCTTTCTTGATATACTTTATCATCTTCTGCTAGAAGTTTTTCTATACTCATTATAAAAACCCACCCTATCTGTCACTTACACACCATGTATTGTCTTGCTTCCACCCCATCAAAAATGCTTGTGGAATGAATGGATTGGTGAAAGTCAGGGGGACTGGAACATCTGAAAACAAATGTCAGTGTGTGGCCAGCGTCTGTGCACCTTTCTTGGTTGATTGAAACTTCTGTGCATTGATTTCATGGTGTTGGGCACAGAATCCCCTTTTTGCTCATTACCAACAAAGATTTGTCAAGCACCCACTCACTGTGTTCGCTTGGGGAATTCAGACATGAACAAGACACAATTTCTTGATTTAAGAGGCTGAGATTCTAGAGGGCCAGGCGGTGATGTGAAAGATGGTGTAGTCCAGGGTCATAACGGCTGCACTAGGAGCCAGCCCAGGGCTCTCCTGGAACACAGGACACCTGTTCAGTGCAGAGGACTCAGTAAGTCTTTCTGGAGAACTGATTGAGCTGGCTTTGCAGGATGGAGAGGTTCAAACATTGCTAAGTGCTTTGTACAACTTATAAAAATCCATGTTGCCCAGTCTCCAAGCAGTCTCATGTTCAGTAGACAAAAGGCAATTTTCAAACTGAAATGTTTTACTTGCATTTCTACTTCTATTTTCTTTCTTTCTTTCTTTCCTTCCTTCCTTCCTTCCTTCCTTCCTTCCTTCCTTCCTTCCTTCCTTCCTTCTTTCCTTCTCCCCGCCTCCCCCGAGTCTTGCTCTGTTGTCCAGCAGACTGGAGTGCAGTGGTGCGATCTCGGCTCACTGCAACCTCCAACTCCTGGGTTTGAGTAATTCTCCTGCCTCAGCCACCTCTCTCTCTTTCTGTAGCTGGGGTTACAGACACATCCCACCACGCCTGGCTAATTTTTGCATTTTTAGTAGAGACGGGGTTTCACCATGTTGGCCAGGCTCTTCTTGAACTCCTGACTTCAAGTGATCCACCTGCTTCAGCCTCCCAAAGTACTGGGATTACAGGTGTGGGCCACCGCACCCGGCCCTTTACTTGCATTTCTTAAGTTGTGTGAAGTCAGCAGGGATTGTTCTCTAGAATTCCCTTTTACTCTCCTATCCATATTCCCCCAGATCGTAGTTCCCTCACCTCTTTCACACAATCTTCCCTGCAAAACTCCACCCACAGCTTTCAATACCTCTCCCCACTTCTCTGCTCTTTATTGGGAAGACAAGCACAGTTTCTTCCTTTTGGGACCATTCCTCCCTCCTCCGGCTTTTCAGGTCTAATAATGTATCCATTCTCTATCACAAAAGCCAAGCTAGAATCCTCTTTGGAGCACCGCCCAGGTCAAGAAACTGCACAGATAGAGCAGAGGGAGAAAGGAGGTTCAGAACACTCATGCATTAATTGTTTTGGTCTCATCACAGTTTCTTTTTTTTTCTTTCTTTCTTTTCTTCTTTTTGTAATGGAGTCTCACTCTGTCACCCAGGCTGGAGTGCAGTGGTGCGATCTTGGCTCACTGCAACCTCTGCCTCCCGCACACCACCATGCCTAGGTAAGTTTTGTATTTTTAGTAGAGACGGGGTTTCACCATGTTGGTCAGGATGGTCTCGATCTCCTGACTTCATGATCTACTTGCCTCACCCTCCCACAGTGCTGGGATTACAGGCATGAGCCACCACACCTGGCTGGTCTCATCACACTTTCTAAACGACTATTATTAACTCACTTCCCAGATGAGAGAACTGAAGCTCAGAGAGATCAAGCGACCTGCCCAATATACCAAAGCTAGTAAGTGCCTATTCTTCCTGCCTGCCATACTTCCCTTCCCTCTGTCTTCCCCTTTGCCTACTTAACTGTGATTCAACCCAAAGAGAAATTTCCCCAGAAAGCCTTCCCTAAACATCTTGCCTTGGCCAACCTCCCCAACTGCTGTACACTTAGATAAGGCTGTGAACTTTCCCTTCACAGCCCTTGTCACATTTGTAATTGTGTATTTCTTTGGATTATTCCTGGGTTAAAGTCTATCTAGACTTTAAACTTTTTTTTTTTTTTTTGAGACGGAGTCTGGCTCTGTCACCCAGGCTGGAGTGTGGTGGTGTGATCTCGGCTCACTGCAAGCTCCGCCTCCTGGGTTCACGCCATTCTCCTGCCTCAGCCTCCCAAGTAGCTGGGACTACAGGCGCCCGCCACCATGCTCAGCTAATTTTTTGTATTTTTAGTAGAGAGGGAGTTTCACCATGTTAGCCAGGATGGTCTCAATCTCCTGACCTCACGATCCACCCACCTCGGCCTCCCAAAGTGCTGGGATTACAGGCGTGAGCCACCGTGCACAGCCTAGACTTCAAGCTTTTAGAATAGCATCTCTCTCTCTCTCTCTCTCTCTCTCTCTCCCTCCCATTGTATAACCAGTGGGTAAAACAACATATGGGACATGTCAGTACTTGTTAAATATTTGCTGAATAAAAGAATGAATGACTGGAATTCAAACCCATGTCTCCAAAATCCAAGCTCTTGTCTGACATCATGACTTGGTGTTCTCCAGGAGAAGAAGATAGGGGAAGGTCATTCCAGGTTGAGGAAATACCACATGACCGTTTACAATGGGTGTTCTTTTTTGGTGGCGGTGGTGGTGGCGGCAGCTTGAATCCAGGCTGTATTCGGAGTAGTGAAAGGAGAAGAAGCAGGAGCTGTGGACAAAGACAAGGGCAATATGAGGAAAAGACCTTGCATGCCTGGCCAGGAACAGGGGCCACAGGGAGCTGATCATGAAACACACTGACGGTGTTTCATCAGGGGAGTGACATGAACATAGTCACATTCAGGAAAGATCACTGCCTGCTGGGAAGACAGAGGGTCAGGGCAGAGACTGGAGGCCAGGAAAGTGCCACCATCAAACAGGATGGAGGAGGCACAATTCTGGACAGGGATGTCCATGGCCAGAGGAGTGGTCCAGCTCCCAGAAGATGAGGAGAGACCAGAGGTGAGGATGGCCCTTCAGTTTCAGGTTTAGGCACCTGGACAGATGGTCTTGCCCTCTCCAGCGGCAAAAAGCACTGAGGGGGAAGGAGGTTGGGGGAAGGGACTGTGTAGGCTGAGCAGCTTAAGTCTGAGAAGGTGGGCCACTTGCAGATGTTGGTCCAGGGTACAGGTGCGTTTGGTGGAGGGGGAGACTAGGAAGGGAGGAGAAAGTCCAGTCTGTTTCTAGACCTCACCATGCTGCAGGTGTCTGGGCCAGCAGGTCGCAGCCGGAGCTATGCAGCTGGCTGCTGTCACATCCCTTTCTCTCCCAGCTGCCTTCAGCTGAGCTTAACGCCAGTAGAGGCCGAAACACTTCACAAATGCAACTTGTCAGCTGGGAGGTGCACTCAGAGCTCAGGAACACTGTTTTCCCTCTTTATTGTTTTCCATCATTCTTTTTTTTCAGTTTGGGTTTTGGGCCCCGTCAGTTCCTTTTCTGTTAAACACTGAGCTATTTATCCATCCCTCTCAAGGTTGAAAAAGAGAAAGGCTGTAAAAGTGCCCTGCAAAGAAGAGGCCTCCAACTCTATGGGGGTGGGGGGCTCTCTTCCTCCTCTTGTCTTCTGAGTTCATTCCGAATTATTCCCCAAAGGAAAAATCGTTCAAGGACTGGGGGCGGTGGTGGGGAAAAGGACAATCTCCCAAGAGGTCAGCTGAAGCCCCAGCCTCAGGGTGTTGAGAGAGGGGCTGGGGGAAGCGGGAGCCTGTTCCTAGGAGACACTGTCTACTGGACACCTCATCCTAGACGGCTTCCATGAGTTCTGACACTGTCCCAGGAGTAGGAATCATTATCCCACGCTGTGGAGAAGGAAACCAAGGCCGGGTAAAGTTATGTAGGGCCCTTAAAGTCGCAGAGCCAGGAATAAAGTCCGGATTGGGACTCGGGTCTGTGGGTAATCCAAGGCTGCCCCGCTTACCCTTCAAATGCTCTTTCCCCCTCCGGAAGCCCTCGCGTCCTCATCCTTACCCCACCTCTTGTTCCCCAAGCGTGGCCAGGGCTAAGGCTCCAGGGATGCGCCAAGCACCCTTCGGTTTTCCCGGGGAGAATTTTCCCCGGCCCGGGGACTAGGGTCTGGCGCTGGGGCGCCCCTCGGACCTGCGGGATCGCCCCTACACTCTGGCGCGCTGAGGGCGGTGAGCGAGGGCGCCAAGGCACAGGTGGGGCGGGAGTCGAGCGCGGAGGCTCGGGGGGCGGGACGCGGGGCCTGGGAGCGGCCAGGGACCGCGGCAGCGCCTCAGTGCCAGCCTGGCGCCCGCGACTGCCTGCCCCAGCCCCTCAGTGGCGGCTTGCTCTCTTCTCTCGCTCCGAACCAGACACAGCCGCTGCCGCTGCCGTCCGGCGCGCTACAGACTCCCGAGAACAGCCCTGGCTGTCAGCGAGCACCAGCCGCTTCCTGTCCCCATCGCGGAGACTGGAGGGGCGCACCACGGCCATGGAGCCAGAGGCGCTTCAGGAGGCAAGAGAAGTCCCCGCGCGCTCCGCAGCCCGGCGCAGCTCATGGTGAGCGCCCTCTGGGGCTCGAGGGTCCCTTGGCTGAGGGGGCGCATCCTCGGGGTGCCCGATGGGGCTGCCTGGGGGTCGCAGGGCTGAAGTTGGGACCGCGCACAGACCGCCCCTGCAGTCCAGCCCGAAATGCTGCCGCCAGGCAGCAACGGCACCGCGTACCCGGGGCAGTTCGCTCTATACCAGCAGCTGGCGCAGGGGAACGCCGTGGGGGGCTCGGCGGGGGCACCGCCACTGGGGCCCTCACAGGTGGTCACCGCCTGCCTGCTGACCCTACTCATCATCTGGACCCTGCTGGGCAACGTGCTGGTGTGCGCAGCCATCGTGCGGAGCCGCCACCTGCGCGCCAACATGACCAACGTCTTCATCGTGTCTCTGGCCGTGTCAGACCTTTTCGTGGCGCTGCTGGTCATGCCCTGGAAGGCAGTCGCCGAGGTGGCCGGTTACTGGCCCTTTGGAGCGTTCTGCGACGTCTGGGTGGCCTTCGACATCATGTGCTCCACTGCCTCCATCCTGAACCTGTGCGTCATCAGCGTGGACCGCTACTGGGCCATCTCCAGGCCCTTCCGCTACAAGCGCAAGATGACTCAGCGCATGGCCTTGGTCATGGTCGGCCTGGCATGGACCTTGTCCATCCTCATCTCCTTCATTCCGGTCCAGCTCAACTGGCACAGGGACCAGGCGGCCTCTTGGGGCGGGCTGGACCTGCCAAACAACCTGGCCAACTGGACGCCCTGGGAGGAGGACTTTTGGGAGCCCGACGTGAATGCAGAGAACTGTGACTCCAGCCTGAATCGAACCTACGCCATCTCTTCCTCGCTCATCAGCTTCTACATCCCCGTTGCCATCATGATCGTGACCTACACGCGCATCTACCGCATCGCCCAGGTGCAGATCCGCAGGATTTCCTCCCTGGAGAGGGCCGCAGAGCACGCGCAGAGCTGCCGGAGCAGCGCAGCCTGCGCGCCCGACACCAGCCTGCGCGCTTCCATCAAGAAGGAGACCAAGGTTCTCAAGACCCTGTCGGTGATCATGGGGGTCTTCGTGTGTTGCTGGCTGCCCTTCTTCATCCTTAACTGCATGGTCCCTTTCTGCAGTGGACACCCCGAAGGCCCTCCGGCCGGCTTCCCCTGCGTCAGTGAGACCACCTTCGACGTCTTCGTCTGGTTCGGCTGGGCTAACTCCTCACTCAACCCCGTCATCTATGCCTTCAACGCCGACTTTCAGAAGGTGTTTGCCCAGCTGCTGGGGTGCAGCCACTTCTGCTCCCGCACGCCGGTGGAGACGGTGAACATCAGCAATGAGCTCATCTCCTACAACCAAGACATCGTCTTCCACAAGGAAATCGCAGCTGCCTACATCCACATGATGCCCAACGCCGTTACCCCCGGCAACCGGGAGGTGGACAACGACGAGGAGGAGGGTCCTTTCGATCGCATGTTCCAGATCTATCAGACGTCCCCAGATGGTGACCCTGTTGCTGAGTCTGTCTGGGAGCTGGACTGCGAGGGGGAGATTTCTTTAGACAAAATAACACCTTTCACCCCGAATGGATTCCATTAAACTGCATTAAGAAACCCCCTCATGGATCTGCATAACCGCACAGACATTGACAAGCACGCACACACACGCAAATACATGCCTTTCCAGTGCTGCTCCCTTTATCATGTGTTTCTGTGTAGTAGCTCGTGTGCTTAGAAACCTCACCCCATTGATTGGTAGTTCGAAGAATTGGCAGAAGCAGTTGCAATAAACTCAGTCAAATGTACCCAGCCTACCAGAGATGGACCAACGATCCTATGAGAGAAGAGAGTATGGTGCTGGGTCCTTAAAAAAAAAAATGATACTTGGTCCTTAAAAAATATGCTCTCCCCTCCCTTTTTAAACAAATGGCTTGTTCAGTCACTTGTTTGTGTTTGAATTGATTTTTAAACAGCAGGTTGTGTGTGTGTGCAGTGATGTGGTGGGAGCACAGCTTTCCTGGGTCTGGATTCCCGTGGCTTTGTGCTTATGTCATTTCTTCTCTCTGTGCTGGTGGGGGCCTCTTTACCATAGCTTAAGAAGTATCCCTGATTTATTCTGGTGTCTAATAAACACAGATTATTTGTATTATGGGGTGACTATCTTTGCTTTGCTACATTGGGTTTCAGGATTGCTTCTGAAGAAACGATGAGTGCATCCTTAAAATGCAAAGAAGATATTTGCTGGGTCTGGAAGTACATGCTTAATCTCTTTACAGTTTGGCCTTAAAGATACACCAGGGCAAAGGACCTTGAGGAGCTTCTGTTTTCTCAGGTTTCTTTTTATTACTTATACCCATGTTGGGTCTGTGCTGAAACCTGGCTTCAATGGCATGGCATTAGATCTTCTCAAGACCAGATGTTTTTTTTCTCATATGGAATCTTTTTTGAAGTAACATAAGACAACTCTCCTTATTCCTAGACAGATGCGATCAGTTCATTGAAAAGATCATGTAGAATAATATCTTGAATCTTTCTCCATCTGACAACTGTAGCATGTTTTAGAATGACATGGCTTTTGAGAAATCGTGTTTTCTGAAGAGCTTTGAAATGTGTGAATCAAGATGCTTTAAAAAAGAAACTCTATTTTTAAATAGGCATTTTCCTTAGTGGACAATAGCAAATAGGGAAATGCTTTTTAAGTAAAATGTAGAAGCCAGAGATGAAATGTGAATGAACTTGAAATTGGAAAATCTGTAGGTCGAGGTGCTCAATAGAAAAGCCCGGCTGACTCCAATCATTTTGTTTTTCCTCTCTGCAGTGTGCACAGCCAAGGGGAGTGTTTTATTCCAGACCCACACCAGTTGAGAGCATATTATTACCATCAGATCTAAATGTGAGCACTATTAATGGAAGCAAATGAAATGTGAATATGCAATTTCTTGCAAGTCCCTGCTTTGAAGCCGTTTTATCAAGGACAGTTCAATCAATTTTGATCTCTTTAAGGCTAATTTTATTGTCAGTCTTCTGTGCAGCCATATCTTGATCACTGCAAAATGTGCAGTTCCTGGCACATAGTGCTTAATAAATATTTGTTGAATGAATGACTATTTCTGGAACAGTGAGATTGAAAGCAAATCCTATTCAGTACATCAATTTTTATATATAATTTAGTCAAAATGATACTGGAATCTGAGGTCCGTGTTCAGTTTCTGACCTCCTGTGAATGGATAGCTAAGCGAACCATTAGGCAACATTAGGGGCAGTGAAAAGCACCCAGCTCTAGGATTCAGGAGATCGTCGCATGACCTTGAGTGAGTCAATTAACCTTTCTGGGCCTCATTTTCTGTCTGTGTCTGTAAATGGAAAGACTTCAACTAGATCACTGTTTACCCAATTGTGCTTTGTGATGCATATGTTAATGGATGGGGTCTCTGGTGAAATAAGTTCAGCAAACCCAGGTTCAACACCTGTTTTCTCGATAGGACTTCTTAGAGCTTCTCCTGTGCATGATGCATCCTCCAGTGGGAGAAGATTCTGTATCATTTCCCAATGCTGTTCACCTCGTGAACCTTGTTTGGTGGAATTCCTGTTACTGTTTCTCTGAAGTCCATAGTCACGACTTGAGAAACTCAAATCTAACTGATCTGGAAGTTTTTACAATATTCTGTTCTAAAGCAAGAGTTGCTATAAGCAAAATCTTTTGTGAAAAACACTGTTCTAGGCTCCAGTTTAAATGAGTTCTGTGTTATGGGAAATGGATTATGTGAGGACTTTGGAATTTCCTTCTGTAAAATATCACTCACCATTCATTATAGTTAGGTACTATGCTCTAGGCATTGTTCTAGATGCTGGGAATGTAGTTGTCAATCAAATTCTCTGCTGTCTTGGAACATTTATGTGAGTCAGGGGAGAGATAAGCCAATAAAGAGATCTGTACTATATTGCACTGCATTGCACTGTGCTGTACTGACCAGGATAGATAACGCCAGGCAGGGGTAATTGCTATGTTGCAAAAAAACCCAGGGTGAGTAGGGTGGTGAAGCTGCTGTTTTATTTATGGTGGTCAGGGGAGGACTTTCCAAAGAGCTGCATGAAGAGAGACCTTGACGAAGTAAGGGTTGGAGGGCTGCTAATGTCTGGGAAGGAGAGTAATTCAGGCGGAGGGAGTGGCAAGTGCAAAGGCTTGGAAATGGGATTGTTCCTGGTGCCCTCGGAGGAGTGTGGCTGGAGGGCTATAAAAGAAGAGCGTCATAGGATTAATGTTAATTGCTGTAGCAGCAATTGCAGCAGGCATGATGGAGACCCAGCCTGAGCTGGGTACACACATGTGTTAATTCATTTGACTCTCGCTGCCCTGTGAGGTAAGCACTTTTATTACCCCATTTTACAGATAAGGAAATGAAGGCATTGGCAGGCTAAATAACCAGCCTGTGGTCACAGAGCTCCTGAGTGGCAGAACTCAACTTGAACCCAGGTAGCCTGGCCGTGGAGTCTTTAATCCTAACTGCTCTTTGATGGTGAGAGAGGATGCCAGAACATCTTCAGTCAGCAAATGCACTAGTGCACAGATCAGGACATTCAGTTTTTTGTTCATTTATTACTGAAATAGTTAATTGATTCATCCCCACAGCTATACAACAGCAGATCTTCATTGTGTACCTGCTCTTTGCACAGCTTTGTGTTTGGAGGGAAGGCACCCTAGGGTTATGGGCAAAGTAGCTCTTACATGATGGACCAAATGCTTTCCTGGATTCTTATTTATTCCTCACATTAACCTCACATGTTATTATTTTTCCATTTTACAGATGAGGACATGGGGGCACAGAGGACCTTGAGGACAAGGTTGTTTGTCCAAGGTCATGGGAAAATTAGTAGAGGAACCAGGGTTCACCCTAGGTCAGTGGTTCTTAAATGAGGGAACTTTGCACCCTGCACCCCCACAGATATTTGGCAATGTCTGGAGACATTTTTGGTTGTCACAACTGGGTGTCAGGTGCTCCTGCCATCTTGCGGGTAGAGGCCAAAGATGTTGCTAAACAACTTCTGGTGCACAGAGAATTATCCAGCCCCAAATACCCATGTTGCAGCACTCGAGAGGACTTGGCCAGGCAGGCAGACTCCAGGTCCCAGCTCCCTGTCCACAAGGCTACCTGCCTGAGATTGGAGGCTCCAGTGCCCTGAGTTTGAAGTTTGGCTCCACCATTTATTAGTCATCTGAATTTGGGCACCTTTCTGAGCTCCAGCTTCTTTATCTGAGCAATGGGCACATGAACCACACAGAGCGTGTATTACACAAAACACATGCCCCAGAACTTGTTCTGATACATGCTGAATCTTCTTTTATAATTACACATCCATACACCATATTCATTGGTTAGAAGTGAGTCATTACGTCCAAATCATATTCAAGGGGAGGTGATCAGACTTTACCTCTTCATGGGAGGAGTGCCAAAGAATTTGCAGAAGAGATGTTTTACATTTTATGCTTTATTTTTAAACACTTGTTCTCACATAGTTTCAGACTTACAGAAACCTTGCAACACGGTACAAAGAATTTCTGAATATTGTTTACCCAGATCCCCCAAACATCAATGTTTCACTGTATCACTTATCTCTGTTCTTCCCTTTTTCTTCTGAGTCATCTAAGATGTGATGCCCATTTACTCTGAATATTTTGTTGCATATTTCCTAAAAACAGGGAATTCTCTCATCTCATCTACAGACTTTATTCAGACTTCATGATAATGTCCTTTATAACAAAACAATCCAAGACCATGTGTTGCATTTAGCTGTCCCCTCTAATTTGAAAGTTTCTGCTGCTTTGTCTTTCATGACACGGACCTTTGTGAAGATTACCTGGCCAGCTACTTGGTAGACTTGTCCTTCAACTTGGGTTTTTTGGTGCTTTTCCATGATTGGATTCTGTCATGTATGTTGGGCAGGAATATCACAGATGCCATGCTGAGCTCCTGTAGCTCATGGCATGAGGGGCAGGTGCTGTTAATTAGTCCCATTACTAGCAATGTTAACTTTGCTCATGAGGTTACGGTGCTGTCCACTGTTTTACTCTTTATAATTAATATGTATTTCCTTTGGAGAAATACTTTGAGACTATGAAGATATCCTATTATTTCTCAAACTTGCATCCATTGGTTTTAGCATTTATTAGTGGCCCTTCCCTGAATCAGTTATTACTGTGGTTGTCAAATAGTGTTTTTAAAAAAAATTCCATAATCTTTCTAAATGTATTGTTGGTTTTCTACTGTAAGGAAGAATATTTGTTTTATATATTTATTTACATCAGCATAGAATCTTGGTTTTTTAGTTTTCTGTTTGTTTGTTTTTGAGACAGGGTCTCACTCTGTTGTCTAGGCTGGGGAGCAGTGGCATGATCACAGATCATTGCAACCTTGACTCCAGGGCCAAAGTGATCCTCTCACCTCAGCCTCCCAAGTAGCTGGGACCAAAGTCATATGCCACCATGCCCAGGTAATTTTTTTTTTTTTTTGTAGAGACGGGGACTCCCTATGTTGCCCAGGCTGGTCTCAAGCTCCTGGGCTCAAACAGACCTCCTGCCTCAGCCTCCCAAAGTCCTGGGATTTACAGGCTTGAGTCACCATGCCCAGCCCGGGTTTCTAGTTTTTATAATAGGTTATAATCTTTTACTTGACCCTGTTAATGGATACTATTTTGACATTCCAGGTATGGGACCTGGGGACACATGTGTCCCATTTCTAAGATATTAACACAATGCTCAGTCTAGGGGCAACACTCAGAACACTGTTTTCTATTGTCTTCTAAGACTGTCCCTGCCCTCAAATCTCTCAGTGAGCTGGGGGTATCCATACTTATCATGATATTTAGGTTGCCCTAGATTTGATTAGTGGGAGCCCTTTAAGTTGATTCTTGTGTCCTTTTGACATGCTGTCATTATTCTTTGAGTAGTTTTTTACTTTTCAACACGAGATATGTCAGACTCATCTTGTATATTCCCTGTCCAAGCCTTGGAATCAGCCATTTTTCCAAGGAGACCAGGGTTCCTTCTAGTAGAAAATGGTACAGAGAAATCAAGATGTGGGCACTAGGGTGTTTATTGTTGCTGGGGTGACATTGTTTCTATATCCTCTTAAAAGAAGAGCTGGGAAATGGATACATGTATATACATGCACACATATTCATATGTGCATATACACATATCAGTGAGCATCTCTATTTCTATGCCTATTTATGTAGATATATCAAATCCCATGCATTCATTTTGATATCTAGCAGAAATATTTTAAAAACCATCACCTCTCGTTCAAATCTTGATTCTCTAATGTTCTAGTTCATGAGACCTGGAAGTCAAAGAGATTAAGTTACCTTCCTAGGTTTTAAAAAATATTAAAAAGGGAATAATTAGTTGCTTACCTTGTAGTTTATTGTCAGGGTTATGTGCTGTGATGCATGTGGAATGTGTAAGGGCATTATACAATGAGAATTTAGAAATGGTCTTCTTGTGACTGTGTCCTTAAGAGCTGAGAGTACAGGGCAGAACCTTCCTGTTTCTATGTAGTGGTTCTGTGCTCCATTTTACAGGCAGTGTGGGAAGCTACTAGGGATCAATAATTCAAGAGTCAATATGCAGTAGATGGATAGAGTGGCTAAAGAGCAGACTAGACTTGCCTACACCTAGAATAGGAAGAAATAGGACAAGATGTCAAGCTTGATAGGAGGAAGTTGTTGATATGAGGGGAGAGTTAAGCGGAGAATGTTGAGCCCATGTGGAAACCCCTGGGCCTCTAGGCCAATTCGGGGGAAGGGCTTAAAGGGAATATGAGTACCCCTACTCACAAGAGCAGGCAGAGCCATCAGACTTTTGCTTTGACACTGTTAATGAAGTACCATTTTGATATTGCAGGTATGAGACCAAGGGATACATGTCTCCCATTTGTGGGATATTAATAATACAATGCCAGTTCCAGGGAAAACACTCAGAATATTGTTCTGATTCTCTTCTAAGACCATTCCTGTCCTGAAAACTCTTAGTGAACTGAGAGTACCAGCACTCCACCAACACTGACAGAATAAAGAAGACAACCAGCATTTGTTGTCTATATATTGGGTGAGGTGCTTTGTATACATCTTCTCATGCAATCATTGCAATATTCTTGTGACATAGGCACCATTGTCCTCATTTGAAAAAGGAGGAAAAGGAGGCTGAGAGAGGTTCAATAGCAAGCCAGGTTATGCTTCTAGTAAGTGATAGAAGTGGGATTTGAAGAGCATCTACTCCTGGAGAACCCCCCTTTTGGGCTTTACACAACTCTTTGGAGGGACTCAGGAAGAGGAGAGCTCCTTCATGTATATTGCCCATGGGTCCTCTCCAGGTGAAGTATTTTGAGGTTCTGAAACCATTATCAGACTTGGTTGTAAATTCCCTCTCCATCTTGGACCTTTTCCTGTGCTCTTCCAATGGCCCTTTCCAATGGGTAATTAGACCTCAGTTGTCTACATGAGTGAGATCTGCTCAGCATGGAGGGGGCTCTATTTTTCTACACACTTGATAATTTGTAGATTTGGGAAAGCATGCCCAGTATGGCTTGTAGGGGCTAACACATATGCCCTCATTCATATGTCAACTTGGCTTCATGGGTAGGGGCTGCCTGGAGTCCTGGGATGAGAAAGACTACAAAGTTGTATTCCAACCAATGACATGGAGGGGCCTGGTTAATAAATGATTTCTATTAGGAGTTTGGGAGGTGGGGGATGTGTGAATGTTCTAAGTACTTGCCATTCTGGGTCTCTCCGTAGCCCCTAAACCTGTCTGTCCTAGAACTACTTGAAAGTTAAAATATTGATGTCTGGGGCCGACTCCAAATTAGTTAAATCTGAATTTCTAGGGAATAGGGCCTAAGCTTCACTTTTTTAAAAAAATTGGATGTGTTAGAATGTATATAGCCACAATCGAAAAACACCATTGGTCTTCACTATCCTTAGGCATGTTTGAAATTTATCTGCCTTGATCCTGCCCTGATCTTGCCTTTGCTACAATATTAAATGGGCTCTTATTAACAATGAATACATCTAATTATTCTCTAGATCTTTTATTAGCTTGAATTATTCTTAGATATTCTACCACATAAAATAATTTGAATGTATAGTCTTTGTGGTTGATGGTCTAAATAGCTAAACTCAAACCTCACTGCAGCTGTGACTAGAAAGTCCTCATTGATGGAGAACCCTAGAGGTCCTTTTAGAGGAGAAAAAATAATTCAGTGGGCCAAGCTGTATGTAATATTTTGCCTCTGATTCTCAGATTCCTTGTTGGCAAAATGGGAATGCAAAATAAATAAGGAGTCTATAGTCAGTACCTAATAAGCATTTGTTGAATAAATAAATTAGTGGAATACAAAATTAAAATACTTGTCTCATTAAACATCTAGAGAAAAAGGAGACAGATATAGAGCTAATCCATGCCTGTTACACCATTTAATGCTAGGTGTATGGAAGCAGATACTGTGTCTCTCTAGTTTCACAGGCTCTCAGATAGAGAGGAACTGTACTCTAGGAGCTGCATGTGACTAGTCATTCTCAAGAAGTCCCCACCCCAATGCCTGATTTGATGAGATTCTGAACTTTAGTTGATGCTGAAGGGGGAGGAGATTTTTAGGGATCTTGGGAGGACCCAAGTGTATTTTGCATGGGGTGGAGGATGTGAATCACTGGGGGCTGGAGGACAGGCTTTTTTGTTCTGATAGAAGCCAGCAGTCACGTTGTGGGTGTTCTATGAAGAGGCCCAGTAGCAAGAAACTGGAGGTTGTGGGAGTGTCTGACCAAGAGCCAGCCAAAACCTGAACCTGCTAATAATCACATGAGGGAGCTTGGAAAGGAAGCGTCCCTCAGTTGAGCCTTCAGATGAGACCATAGCCTTATATTACTCCTTGATTGCAGCCTTTGGGAGACTGTGAGCCAGAAGACCCAGCGAATCTTTGCCTGGGCTCCTGACTCATAGATACTATCAGAAAAACACTTGCTGTTTTAAGCCGCTAAGTTCTGGGTTAATTTGTTATTTAGCAATAGATAACTAATATAGAAGAAAAGGGAGAGAACATTTATTGAATCCTTCACTATACCCCAGGTACTTTGTAAACCTTTTTCCATTTCATCCTTAAGTCAACCTGGATGAAAATATTCAGGTTCAGAGATGCTGGGTGAGTGTGAGGGACAGGATATGAATCACTACTGTTTGATTTGAAAGCCTGTGCTCATTTCTCTATTCCAGGATACAAACCAGGAGATGTTTTCTATTCTATGTTTCTTTTTTTTTTTTTTTTTTTTTTTGTGGCAGGGAGACAGGGTCTTGCTCTGTCATCCAGGCTAGAGTGAAGTGGAGCAATCATGGTTCACTGCAGCCTTAAACTCTTGGGCTCTGGTGATCCTCCTGCTACAGCCTCCCAAGTAGCTGGGATTATAGGCATGCACCACCACACCTGGATAGTTTTTTTTTTTTTTTTTAATTTTTATTAGAGACAAGATTGCACTACGTCACCCAGGTTGGTCTCAAACTCCTGAGCTCAAGGGATTCTTCTGCCTCAGCCCCCACAAAGTGCTAGGATTACAGGTAGGAGCCACTGTGTCTGGCCACATTTTCTCTGTTCGTAAAGTCAGCAGTAGAATAGCTAACATTGTTGCTAAAGAGTTTGTATAGAGTGAGTAATTATTAGTGTCCCTGCATGCAGCCACCTGCTGTTGCTGACCTTCTGTGCCTCTGCAGCCAAATACACATCAGGTACATATGTACACACACTCCACAGGCACACAGATGCCTCCACAATACACATGTGCCCAAGATGCAATTGCGAGCACACAACTGCACAAATAAGCACACACATGTGTCTTCACAAAGAACTATCTCCACCTTCATTTTCTCCCATCCAAGTACTAACCAGGTCTGACCGTTTTTAGCTTCCAAGATCAGATGAGATTGGGGCATGTTCAGGGTATATGGCTGTAGCCTACATCCTCTTTATTTATTTATTTATTTTTGAGACGGAGTTTCGCTCTTATTGCCCAGGCTGGAGTGCAATGGCGCGATCTCGGCTCACAGAAACCTCTGCCTCCCGGGTTCAAGCCATTCTCCTGCCTCAGCCTCCCGAGTAGCTGGGATTACAGGCATGCGCTACCACGCCCAGCTAATTTTGTATTTTTAGTAGAGACGGGGTTTCTCCATGTTGGTCATTTTTTAATGAAAGACCCTTTGAGACAGTTCATACTTAAATATGTAAATAGTGCACAAGATTTTGCAGCCTGAACAGAAACGGCCACTATAGATTTTTCTCTTTAGCAATTTTCTGTGTGCTGTAAGCAAATTTGAAATCTGGCTAGAGACTTCAGAAATCATGTTGACCACTCCCCATATTGTGCAGATGCGGAAATTGAGGCCCTGAGGGACTTGCCCAAATACCCCAGCAAAGTGGTATGAACTGAAGTCCAGGTCTCCCAACTCCCAGTTGACTGTCCTTGCTGTGGCACTGTGCACCGTCGGTGGGGAGAACACTCCTGGTCCTTGGGAATCCATTTCCAAAGGACATTAGGAGCACAAACAAGTTCATGCCCTATTCTTCTTTCCACATAAAAGAAGTTGATGACATTTATGCTTTCACAATATCCCATTAAGATAGAACATTGTTGAATTATTTGTGGATTAAATACAGATGTGCAGGGATTTTAGGGCCCTGATTGATTTTCTATTGAAAGAAGTGAAAGGAATGTTAATTTACAACTGGCAAATGTTAGCTCTTAGGAGGAGGCAAAACAGCATTTCAAAGGCCTGTTTTTTGTTTGGTTTTGGTATTTCATGAAAGAGATTTTTCTGTGCAAAGTGGCAGGAAGCCATTTTCAACAAGAGCTAAAGGGAATGAAGATTTAAAAAATGGACTGAAAACAAATTCAAAGGTGCCAGGCCTTTGTTGCTGCAAGCCCCTCCTGCAGGATGAGAGGCTGCTAAAACAAAATCAATAATTTAAGCAACTTTCTGTCCCTCTCTCCCCTGCTATTCTGGTAAAATGATTTGACATTTCAGACAACAAGGAATGAACATCAGACCAGGAAGAAAAGGGCTTGGGTATGAGTCCCAGTTGTGTGATTTTAAGTAAATGATTAAACGTTTCTGAATTTGGTTCTCTCATCTCTAATAATGAAACCACCATGCTTACATCTTGAGTGTAAAAAATGCTCATTTACTAGAACTCATCCCATATCATATGCCACATTAGGATTTGTGCAGAGCGATCTCATTAATTCCTTTTTTTTGTGTGTGTGATATGGAGTTTCACTCTTGTCTCCCAGGCTGGAGTGCAATGGTGCGATCTTGGCTCACTGCAACCTCTGGCTCCTGGTTTTGGTTTCAAGCGATTCTCCTGCCTCAGCCTCCCGCGTAGCTGGGATTACAGGCACCCACCACCACGCCCGGCTAATTTTTTGTATTTTTAGTAGAGATGGGGTTTCACCATGTTGGTCAGGTTGGTCTCAAACTCCTGACTTCAGGTGATCCACCCACCTCAGCCTCAAGTGCTGGGATTACAGGTGGAAGCCACCACACCTGGCCTTGTTAATTCTTTATAGCAGCCCTGTAAGGAGGTCTGTTCATTCTCACCATACAGCTAAAGGTGCTGAGGCTCAGAGAACTCAAGCTCCTCACTCAGGGTCACACAGCTAAGAAGTGACAAGGTGGAGATTTAAACCTATGCTTGTCTGGCTAGGCACTGTCTTATATAGTAAGAGTGTGGGGATGACAGATTGCAAAACAAAGCAAAATAAAACTCACAGGCTCTGAAGATGTAGTGACTGCCTACTCTGCCCCTGTGCTAGTGACCCAGAGTTAAAGATGGGTTCTCATCATGGTCTCTGCTTCTGAGGATCCCTCAGCAGCTTGAGAAGAAAGCAAACCTGGTGGTGGCAACGAGGGGATCTGATACTTTGGATTCCATTTTGGACTCACGTTTAAAGTGCATATGGGCTACCCACGTGGGTGTATGAGCCGAGGACCAGAGCAGAGGTCTGGGTTTGGGACCAACATCACCAAAGATGATAGCCAACACTGAGTGACTGCTGAATTTGTGCTGGGCACTGTGCCAAAGAGTTCTCAGGCATTAACCCATCCTTTTTTTTTTTTTTTTTTTTTTAAGACAAAGTCTCACTCTGTCACCCAGGCTGGAGTGCAGTGGCACAATCTTGGCACACTGCAACCTCCATCTCCCGGGTTCAAGCAATTCTCCTGCCTCAGCCTCCGAGTAGCTGGGACTACAGGTGCACGCCCCCACACTCAGCTAGCATTTTTGTATTTTTAGTATAGACAGGGTTTCACCATGTTGGCCAGGGTACCTCGATCTCTTGACCTCATGATCCACCTGCTTCAGCCTTCCAAAGTGCTGGGATTACAGGCATGAGCCACTGTGCCCGGCTGCATTAACCCATTCTATCCTCAGACTGATGCTGTGAGGCTGCTGTCCTTACCTTGCTGTACTGAGCAGTGAGAAAACTTGCTTGTAGGTGAAAGTTAAAACCTCAAGGAGGATTCTTCTTGAAAGCCATCCCAGGGTTTTTCTATTTGGTGATTCATGATCAATCTTATGCCCCAAGTCCCCACATTCCCTCTATTTTGAGTCACTCAGTCTCATAAGAGCCCCTGGTGCCTTTATTTTGCTTCCTTTGAATTCTGGATTCAGCGTGCATCAGAAATGTTCTCCCTGAGAGCTGGAAAGCATTTTTGTGATGGCTGGGCTGGAGGGCCATTAAGAAAATAACTTTGCACACCAACAAAAAAGACTAAAGTCTTAATTGCTGATCAAAAAGTCAACAGGAAAGGATGCACTACTGCATATATGGTGAGGGACGCATTGCCTTGGTCAGGGCACAGGTCCTTTGTCCCTGAGTCCTGTTTCCTTGTGTGGCTAGAGGGCATTTTCACACTCTCTGTCCACAAAAGACCTCAGGGGGAACCAAAGAGCAGCATGAGCAGAGGGCCATGGTCATGGGCATTGACTGGGTGCTTGCTACATGCAAATGCTCTGTGTTAAGCACCTTGGAAACACTAACTCATTTACTGTCCCAACAAATCCAGGTTGTAGGTACAAGTAATAGTCCCACTTTACAGGTGACAAAATTGAGGAATAGAGAGGTCCGGTGATTTGCTCAAGATCACACAGTACATGTGGCACGGCTGAGATTCAGACCCATAAGTGAGACTCTAGAGCTTATTCTTCTCACTGAACCCCCTGCCTCTCATGGCTATGTGGCTCACGCTCCCATAGACTTAAGTCCTGAGGCTGAGGAAGGGTCCTCAGATAAAAGACGTCAATTTCTGTGTCTTTTTTGAGCAGCCCTCATGAACATCGACACTCATTTGAGGTTACTGAGCGCATTTGCCTGACCTTAACATTGTCATCCCAAAGCTGTTTGCCAATTCATTCCCATCTCCACAGCCCTATCTTTCTCCAGCAGTCTTGGTCTGTGGTTCTAATGAACATAGGAGGCTTGGTTCATTTGGATGCAGGAAGTGAGGAGGAATAACATGAATGAGATTGACAAGATGCCTCAATTCTAATCTGTTGAATGGAGATATTTATCATGCCTCCTTATGCAGTGCTGTAAGGATTAGATGAGATTCTTTATATAAAGGACTTAGAACAATACCTGGTGTGTTGTTAGTACTCAATTAACTTTATACAATGTATTAGTCAGGCTTTGTTGTGATGATGCTACATAACAAGTAATCTCAAAATCTCAATGCCAGCAACAAACATTTACTTCTCATTTCCATAGGTCAGCTGTGGTTCTACAGGGCTCTTCTGGGCTTGGCTAGATTCAGATGGGCCTGGATCTGGGTGGTGAATTGGCTTCCTATTTGCTTCACTTGGCTGTCATGAGAGGATCCAGGGAAGTAGCAGCAGTTATCTGAAGCATATTCATCTCATGCTGGAGGACAGGATCACCAGAGGCCATGCAGGAATGTTTAACGCCTCTGCTTGGATGTGGCATTCACTGAGTCACTCACATTCCATTAGCTGAAGCAAGTCACATGGCTAAGCCCAATGTCAGTGGGGTGGGGAAGTACACCACTTCCATGGAAAGGAGGGAAAACGGATGTTTGCTGAATAATAATACAATACTATGATCTACCACAATACTATGATCTACCATTATACTGTGATCTACCATTAACATTTCTTGAGTGCCTAATAGCTCTCAGGAAGTGTTCCAAGAACCAGGGATTCTAGAGATGAATCACATAGCAGCTCTGCTCTCTGCTCTCAAGGGTGCCTTCACTACAGACTGTGGTCACTGCAAGGACAAAGGTGGCCCCAGGACAACTTAACCTCTCCTGAACTATTTTAATTCTCACAATTTCCCTGTAACCCCAGTATCACTATCCTTATTTTACAGACAAATAAACTGGGACTCAGAGAGGTTCAGTAATTTTCTTTTGTTCCCATGGCTAGAAAATGGCTAAGCCTAGAACCAAACCTTGGTGTGATTGTTCCAGGGTTCTGTTCTTTGCATGACCACTCTGGACTCAAGTATTTAGGCAGAGGTATTAGAACTGAGATGCAGACTGACCAAAACTCTCATATCTTGGCAGGAGCCCAAGTCTGCATATGTATGAGCCTCATCCACACATACGCAAGCTCTGGCTGAGACATCTGTAACCTAGACTTTCATAGCTGGGCTACTAACTTCAATCATCTGAAGGAAGATTCAAGTTATCAACTGCCACCAATTCAGTTAATTATCCATAAACTTGTTTCTATATTGCCCTGTGATGCTCAGTCCAAGCCCAAGTCAAATGCTCCCTCCTGAAAACTTCTCTGATTCCCTAGCCACCAGTTTCTGCCTGTGTTGCCTGTCCACAGCACCAAACACTTAAGACACTTTCTCCATGATCCTACAATTTTTTTATTTTTTTGAAACAGGGTCTCACTCTGCGCCCAGGCTAGAGTGCAGTGGTGCACATGATCCTACAACCTTGATGTATATATTTTAGGCAAACACTGCTCACAGAAAGCCCATATTCTCCTATTCCACCTCCACAGTCCCCAGAGTTCCAGCCCAGTGCTTGGCATTCAGCAGGGGCTAGATGAAAGTGTGTGGAATGAGTGAATGAACGATGGATGGATAGAGGCTGCTGGGTCCTTAGGAAAGAGAGCAGATGAGATTTATTTTTTATTTTTGTCCCTATCCCCTCTTTGGTCCTTTGGAGGGATTTTAGTCAGGATGGGTCTGGTGCAACCAGGTGATCCAAGGGTTATAGGCACAGAGGAAAGTAACTGGAGCTCCCTTTGGGTACCACAGTAAACACTGGTGATGGAATGCCATTGTCTTATCTTCTGAGAAGTAGCAGGAGGCTTCCAGATTCTTGTGTTTCATCAACTGGCTCCAATCATTAAGCTAAATACTCAGCTTATGCAATGCACTTGCCCAGCTGATTTAGAAGTGGCACCTTCGCAATCAGTCTGGAGCATTTGTGTGGTCACTGTATTCCAACATTCACTACAATTAGGGACTGCCAGAGAAGACTGATTGTCTTCATGGGTTACTTATAACCAAATCATAGTAGCAATCATTATGTAAAGAGAGTTGTTTCTCCACACCCCCAACTTCCCCGCCTCACCCACCCCCAATGTCAATCCATCCATTTTATTTAATGCTTCTGGCTGCAGTGATTAGATGTCATGAGCGTGATAGGGCCTTCAGTTGGAAAGTGCTAGAGGCAAAGGAGTTTTGTTATTCTCATCCTTAGAGACACAGAATCCAGAGGTAAAGGGGACTTAGAGATTTCTAGTCCAGCAGTCCCGTGTTGTAGATGGACAAACTTGAGTATCAAAGTCAGGTAGCTTCATGAAAAGAGCATAAATGTGGAAATCCAAGGCTCCATTTCTAACTCAGGCTTAATCACAGATAACGTGTGTGATGTTGAGCTACTTGCTTAGTGTCTCTGGGTCTGAGTTTTCCTTTCTAGAAGATGGGGAAACTAATACTTATTCTAGGATGATTAGAGATAAAGTGTAGAAGTTGCCTGGTGTATGGCAGCTGGTACAATGGATGCCATAGTAAAGGAGTTGGTGCCAGCATCACTGCATCACTGCTCTCCTTCCATCACTCCACATTGCCTTCAACTGGCTGAGTGCTGCTGCAGAAGAACTGACTCCTATGTTCCCTGGCTCTCAGCATGACTCAGTTTGACTTTTCATAAGTGCAGGTAAGCAAGATAAAATGGAAGTTCTTGTTCCTCTCTACAGACAGAAAATACCAGCAGGAGACCAGCCAAGCAGAGCTGGGGGAAGTCTTGAGACTCACCCGATGGTCTCCATGATCTTTGTCTTAGTTCCTTTGAGCTGCTAAAACAAAATACCTTAGATTAGGTAATTTATAAACAACAGACATTTATTTATTTATTTATTTATTTATTTTTGCAGTTTCTGAGGCTGGGAAGTCTAAGATCAAGGCATCTGCAGATTCAGTGTCTTGGTGAGGGCTTGCTCTCTGCTTTAAGATGATGCCTTCTTGCTATGTCCTCATGTGGTGGAAGGGGTCAAAAGTTCATCTTCATCTCTTTTATAAGGTCATTAATCCCATTCAGAATGGCTCTGCCCAAATGCCTTAATCAGCTCCTAAAGGCACCACCTCTTAAAACTATCACCTTGATTAAATCTCCACATATGAAATTTGGAGAGACACAGACATTCAGACCATAGTAATCTCCATCCTCTGATGTGGACCAGCAGCACACTCTCAGTCTTACGTAAATGACTCTGCAAGTGCAGCTTTCTGAGCTCCATTCCAATTGTACCCCCCCCCCACCCAACTTCTACACCAGTTTTGGTGAAGCCCTATGTAATCTCATGACCTACAGGTAGATTTGATAGATGGTGTTATGGTACCAGGAGTGGGCAGTGGCCAAAACACAAACCCTAAAATATGTGGCTCTAGAGCCAGATGGCAGTCAGCAAGAGAACCGTTACTGAGGGTTGGAAAGATGGTAATCTATCTTATGCAGTGGTGAAATATTTGGTAAAGCTGTTGTAGGAATAACTTCAAGGGCGGATGATGTGCTGAAGGAACTTGAAGCTTAAGGTGAAAAGATGGGGAAACTGAACATTAGTAACATCCCTTGGTCACTACTGTAAGAAAGAGATGAGCTCAGAAAAGAATTGGCTAAATTGTAAGCAGGTATAAAAAGAAATAGAGAGGGTCCAGGACTTCTGGAGTCCCATTTCTCCCAGGAAAGGGCCTGCCTCAGTATCCCTGCCAAGCTCAGTTACTGGCTAGAAGCAGCTTGAGTGAAGCTTGAACTCAGTGCAGAACTGAATTTCAGAGTGCTGCAGCTGGGCTCTAGGTCATGGACGTGGGTTGAATTTTTCCCCCTCAAATTCATATGTTGAAGTCCGAACTCCTAGTACTTCAAAATGTTACCTTATTTAGAAATGTCCTTGCTGATATTATTAATTAAAACAAAGCCCTATGGAGTATGGTGGACCCCTAATCTAATATGATGGGTGTCCTTATCAAAAGAGGAAATTTGGACACAGGCATGTATAGAAGATGATGTGAAGCCACAGAAAGAAAGTGGCCATTTATAAGCCAAGCGGGGAGCTCTCAGAATGAAATCAACCCTGATGACACCTTGGTCTCGGACATCTATCCTCCAGAATTGTGAGAAAATACTTTTGTGTTGTTTAATCCATACACTTTGTGGTACACTCAGCCTTCCTGTGAGTTTTGCATCCTTGGATTTAAGTATCCACGGATCAAAATTATTCAGGAAAAGGAACACTAAAAATAACAATACATCAATAAAAATAATGCAGTATAACAACTATTTACACATAGCATTTACAACGCATCAGGTATTATAGGTAATCTGGAGATGATTTAAAGTAGATGGGAGGATGTGTGGGGTGATATGCAAATACTATGCCATTTTATATCAGGGACTTGAGCATTTGTGGATTTTGTATCCTTGGGGTCCTGAAACCAATAGCCATGGATACCGAGGGACAACTGTATTTTGTTCCAGCCATCCTAGTACACTCATGCAGTCAGGCGCAGTCCCTGGAGTTGGAGGTCTGCCAGGTTCTTCTCATGGATGCCACAGCAGCTACCATGACACCAGCAGAAGTGTGGAAGGCACTTGCAGACTGGTGTTGGCTGCTTCTGGAAACCCTGCTTCTACCACATGTGTAAGACACGTGGCTCATTTGAATGTGGCTTTTGTTGTCAGGAGGAAAAAAAAAAAGACACATGGCTCAGTCCCCTCTTTCCCTCCAGCTGACAGGCAGTCAACCACCTGGCAGGTGAGCAAAGCTATCCTAGACTTTCCCCACCATCTCTCAGCCTCGCTACCACCTGATCACACACATGTGAGCAAAACCAGCCAAGATCAGTCTAGTTCAGCCCAGAAGACCCCCTCCTGGGCCACTGCCTGGTAAACTTACAAGCTAAATACAATTTGGGGGAGTGGTTTCTTCCAGCAGTAGCTACCGCTAACTGAGGATAATTATAACCTCACAGAGGAAAAGCCACTTGAGGGTGTGTTTTTGAGCTGGTTTACACAATAAATTCAACCCCGTTGGAGACCCTAGTGAGCTGTGGAGAATGCAGTCAACACTGTAGCTCTGAAGCATAAGTGGCTGAGGGACTAACCCAGTGAGTCTCATCCCCATCGTTGAGGGTGGTTCTCGCAGACATTAACTCTCCTGAACTGCTGGGCTACGGGCTGAGCCAGTTTCCTTAGCTTCAGAGGAAGTTGAGGTAGAAAAGTTGAGCCTCAGAGGGCATTGAGATGAAAAGCCATCAGGGTGCCCAGGAACTGTCCCCCCGAGCAGCAGCTGCAGTCAGCTACAGTGGCATCTCCTGCACGTGGTGAATCTAAGTTATCTAAGTTGTAACATGGACAATGCAAAGAAACAAGGGGGTTACAGGATAGGGAGACCGGCCAAAGAGAATAGGTTTGGGAGTGCTGTGAAACTGCTGAATGTGATGCATTTTAATGGCTTTTCTTAATCTAACTCAGGGGATCACTTAATGCTGAACATTTCAGGCAAGGGTGAGCAAAAGATGGACTCCCAGCTGATTGATTGGGCAGCTGTGTTTGGGCTGCAGCGCTGGGAGCTCTACTCCATCCCACTTGAGATGCTCCCTGGAGGAGGCCACCTGCTTTGCCTAGTGTGGCCTTGTTCCTGCTTCTCCAATGATGGGCTTATCAGCATGAGACAAGTGCTTACTAGCCAGGCTTGTTTACTCGGTACCGAACCTTTTAGACGGCCATTCCAGCAGAGAAATAGGGATGTATGTGTACATATTTGATTAGAGACAGGGCATTTACAGATTAAAGGGTTTGGGAGAAATGTTTCTGAAAAATGCTCTTTTTTTTTTTTTTAAACTAGAGCTCATAATGAGAAGTAATGAATTTCAAAGAAGTAGTGACCTGTGGATCCTGGCAACGTGGAAAATACAATGTTGGGTCTGCAGGCTGGCCCCTGCAGCGCCTCCCCAGGACATTCAGGGACAGCCAGCGCCATACTTGGGAAGGAAGGGCTCTGTGGCCGATATGATATGGAGGAAGGGACTGGGTGAATCTCCATGCTTATTAGCATAATTAGCATATTAATCTCTTCCAAAAGGTGAGCAGTAAAGAGGTTTTTTTTGTTCTTTTCTTTTTTTTTTTTTTTTTTTGAGATGGAGTTTCACTCTTGTCGCCCAGGCTGGAGTGCAATGGTGTGATCTCGGCTCACTGCAAACCTTTACCTCAAGGTTCAAGCAATTCTGCCTCAGCCTCCCAAGTAGCTGAGATTACAGGT
The DNA here is from genome assembly GCF_000001405.40 of Homo sapiens. Lineage (NCBI taxonomy): Eukaryota > Metazoa > Chordata > Mammalia > Primates > Hominidae > Homo > Homo sapiens. The sequence continues at coordinate 9,802,704 of NC_000004.12, forward strand.
GCCCACCACTACGCCTGGCCAATTTTGTTTTGTATTTTTAGTAGAGATGGAGTTTCACCATGTTGGCCGGGCTGGTCTCAAACTCCTTACCTCAGGTGAATCCACCTGCCTTGGCCTCCCAAAGTGCTGGGATTACAGGCGTGAGCCACAGCGCCCGGCTGGGTAAAGAGTTTTCTAATCCTGCCTTATCCAGGAATATTTCCCAATTGTACTCTATCACAGAACCCTTTCCGAAGACCCCAATTAACTTCCCCAGAATACTTTGTAGATGCTGGACTGCAGGAATTCACTTCACACCCATTTTCTTGATAGATATATGGTGTCAGAGGAGATGAAACTTGCTTGGCAAGTGTATTGGCCTGGGAATTGGAAGGTTTGGACCTGGGCCTGACTTTGGCACTATCTTGCTATTTGTCCTTGGCAAACCACTTAGCCTTTGTAGGTTTCAGTCTGTCTAATTCTCTCTGTTTTCTCATCTATTAAATAAGGCTAATAACAGTTGGGTTGTTTGAAGATTAAATGTGAGTTCAAGGGAAATTCTTAAACAGCCTGAACACAATATGAGCTTGAGGTTGTTACTGTGATGATGATGATTTTGATGGTGATGATATACGGCACTTTGTGCCTGTATTTTTACTACATCCTCTAGCAGTATGCATTGTCATTTATCTACCAAGAACTGTGCTAAATGAATTATTTATTTAAATCCTCACATCAATGCTTAACATAGGCAATATTCTTCCCATTTTACAGATGAGAAACTGAGGCTCAAAGAACTTATGTCACTTTCTTAAGGTCCCAAAGCCAGTACACAGCAAAGCCAGGATCCCATCGCAGCCTGAAATCTCTTTGCCACTAAAAGAGTGGTCCACTATCCACCAGGAGAGATTGAGGAAACCTTCATTGACAGCTATGGAGACATGCTCTATCACACTCTGACCTCTTACTGCAAGTATTTTCAGTAGCACTTGCTATCACTTGATATTATGTGTCTGGTCTGCCTACCCCATAGAATGTCAGCACTAAGAGGAACTGAGTTCTTCATTGTCCTTTAATTATGGTGTCCTCAGTGCCTAGAACCCAGCGGATGCAGTAGGCTCTCAATAAAGAATTGTTGGATAAATGAATGAAGGATATACTTATTAAATACCTCCTATGTGCTAGGGGATATGTTAGATCCTCTGATACAATAATCACCAAGATAGATTGTGTTTTTGTTTTGATAAAGCTTAGATGAAGTTGTCTAAAGGTTATATCTATTCATTTCTTACCCTCCCTGTCTTCCAACAAAATATGAATCAAGCACTTTTTAATTTAACCATTGGTGCTCTGCAAAGTGATCTGAAGGTGTTTTACCCATGCATGTTCTTCTCAAGAAGTTCATAGTTATAAGGAGAGCAAGATACATGAACAGATGATAAAAATACAATTTTAAATCACTAGAAACTCTGTGTATGAGGAGAAGAAAATAGCTCTACCTGGTGTCATGAAAGCTTTTGGAAGAAAGGTGATGAATGTTCCTGGGTGAATAGGGATTTGCTGAGTGGACTCAGGAGCCATGAACTTTTATGGTTCCAGGGTAGTGCCAGCAGGTCTAGGTTGAGAGAGGTCAACACACATGTAGAGTTCACCGGGGCTTGGTTTACTGTTCACAACTTCTTTAAATGGCCCTCAACTCATCTGCCTTTCTCTTTGACTTTTGTTCCTCACTTCCTTCACCCATGGGCTGTTCAGCTGAGCAGAGCAGCTGTGAGCTGTGGAAAGCACCTTCTGTTCTGGGAGGATGGTGAGGGGTAGGACCCTCTTTATAGGCCACTGATTTATTCCCATTTGCTGACTCACCACCACATGCCAGGCAAGTTACCTGCCTGCCTACTGTGATGCTGCTCCCCTCCTCTCCTCCCACCAGGATTTTGAGGCTATATCCTGTCTTTGGCCAAATGCTGCATTTTTTCCTATTATTGTGTTGGAATCACTCTTCTTTAATCCTCCCATCTGCCACATCAGTACTACAGTCTTCAAGAGTTGCAGCAGGACGGACAGGAGAGAATTGCTTGGGCTTTGAGGTAGTTTGATGCGGTTTCTAATTCCAGCTTCGCCACTTTGTTAGGGTAGAGTCCACTCATGACAGCAGAACCCAGGCTTGGAAGTTCAAAAGACAGACTTTAACAGGGGGAAGTAGTTGGAAGAGCTGAGAGGGCTAACAGGGGTGGGGACAGCCCTGTTGTTAGGGACAGCAGGAGGCTTCTATCCTCCCTAGAGCCAGAGGGACAAAAAGAGGAGATGATGGGGCCCCAGGGGAAATGTGGCCCCTGAAAGAGACTCTGCCTGAAGTAGAGTTGCCCTGGCCTCGCCCTCTGCCGGCCTGCAGATCTCCTGCCTGTGTCTCCCACTGACTGAGTCAGCTGGGCTAGGCTGAGTTAGGCCACATGACACACAATCCCTGAATCTCAGTGGTTTACAGCAGCAAAGCTTTACTTTCTTGCTCATACTGCAGTGTAGCCAGTGGTGCTTCACTCCAGAACCCAGGCTGATGGGTCAACCTCTCCATGGGACGCTGCTGATTTCATAGCAGAAGGACCACAGAAAGGCGCTGAGCCATGAGCTGGATCGAAAAGCCTCTGCTCAGACGCAACACACATCATGCCCATCTGTGTTTCATTGGCTAAGCAAAACCTCCTGGTCACTTCTGAATTAAACTCATCAAGGAAGTGTAACCCTGAGGTGGCTCATGCCTGTAATCCCAGCACTTTGAGAGGCTGAGGCGGGTGGATCACCTGAACTCAGGAGTTTGACACCACCCTGGGCAACATGGTGAAACCCCATCTCTACTAGAAATACAAAAAAATCAGCCAGACATGGTGGCAGGTGCTTGTAGTCTTACCTACTCAGGAGGCTGAGGCACAAGACTCGCTTGAACCTGGAAGATGGAGGTTGTAGTGAGCCCGCACCACTGCACTTCAGCCTGCGCAGCAGGGTGTCAGTTTTTTTTTTTTTTTTTTGTCTCAAAAAAAAAAAGCCCCCTTTGATCTTGATAAAGAAGCATCCACTCTATCTTCCATAACTACTCTGTGGATGAATAGTAATGGCAATAGCCAACAGTTATTGTGTGCTTATTAAGTGCTGGGCACTGTTCTAGGGGTTTTCCATGTAGCAACTAATGTTCTCACTATAATTCTAGAAGTAGTTCTTACTATTTTCCCCATTTCACTGGTGAAGAATGCTGAGGCAGGGCAGGTTAAGTAACCTGACCAGAGTCCCACAGCAAGTACGCGGTGGAGCCTGGACTTGAACCTAGGCTCTCTGGCTCCAGGGATTGCTCTTCTGTGCTGTACTTCAAAGGAAAGAATGCAGAGAAGGTGTTAGCCTGAGGCTGGGAGCAGTCAACACTCAGTAAATTCTTTCCACCTGCATGTTTGGCTGTTGGGAACAGGCCCCAACATCTGGCCATCAACTGGCCCCAAAACTGGCCATAAACAAAATCTCTGCAGCACTGTGACATGCTCGTGATGGCCTTGACACCCACACTGAAAGTTGTCGGTTTACCGGAATGAGGTCAAGGAACACTTGGTCCACGCAGGGAAAACCGCTTAAGGCGTTCTTAAACAACAAACAACAGCATGAGCGATCTGTGCCTTAAGAATGTGTTCATGCTGCAGATAACTAGCCAGCGCCATCCCTTTGTTTCCCATAAGGAATACTTTTTATTAATCTACAACCTATAGAAATAATGCTTATCACTGGCTTGCTGTCAGTAAATATGTGGGTAAATCTCTGTTCGGGGCTGTCAGCTCTGAAGGCTGTGAAACCCCTGATTTCCCACTCCACATGCGATATTTCTGTGTGTGTCTTTAATTCCTCTAGTGCTGCTGGGTTAGGGTCTCCACGACTGAGCTGGTCTCAGCATTTGGCTCCACTCAAGAGGGCACTGGAGAAGGAGCCCTCCCCTTGGAATAAAGGCTGTGTGCATGGGGGGTGGGAGGAGAGAAGTGGGGGTAGTTGGGGAGCACAATATAGAGTGCCTAGCTTCACAGCAACCTGGGAAACATCAGCTTTCAAATCCCTGCATAATGTTTCTTTAGGCTGGAAAAATGGCTTTCTGCTGCCTGGCTCTCAGTGCCTGTGACAGTCACTCAAGGGGGATATGCTTGAACTCAAAATAGCTTCTCCAGAGGACGCTTGAACTGATTAGAGGAGCATCTGGTTGGCTTTTAAGACTCTTGAAGACTGAAAGATACCAAACTCATCGATTTCCTCCTGAGTCCCCTTCTCAGCCCACTTTTCCAGCTGACTGACACCTGCCTTCTGGTTGTTCAGGTGTTCACATGGTTTGGGGTCTGGGTACAGAAAATGGACCCTGTTTCTTAAAAGTAATCCCAGATATAGTGGCCATCCAGCTGGCTGGCATGTGGATGGAGGAGATGCCGTGACTATGGAAAAGAGGGGCTGACACTTCCACAAGGGATCAACTTCAGGTGCACCCCTCTGTCCTTTGTCACTTGCTATGGTCCTCACTCAGGGCTGTGGCCACATTGAAACACCATGTCCCTGGCACACACCATGCTGTGTCACATCTCCCATGCCCCTGCTCATTTTATTTCTTCTAGAATGCCCTTTCTTCCTTGTTTATCTCATAGATCCCTATGCTTCTTCAAAGTTCAGCTGAAATGTCTCTTCCTCCAGGAAGCTACCCCCTGATCTCCCCCACATTCCCTGCTAATCCTAGGCCAGATGCCTCTTGTTTGAGCTTCCATGGTTTATGTTGAGACTTGCCACAGACTCTTCCTGTCTGTTTATCAGTTCTCTCCTCTGCTGAACTGAGCTGTTCCATAGCTGGGCCAGGCCTCTTGCCTTTTGCATTTCCAGTGCATAGCATCAGTGTGTGATGGATACTTACCAACTGAATGGCATTGCTGAGAAGCCACTTACTTGGACTCTGCAAACTCAAGTAACTGATTTGCAGGAATCTGACTGATTTGTTGAGATACACGGGCCAGGTTACCCCATGTGGACCTTAGGCTTGATGGAAGATTTGGCTAGAATTCAAGATCTCCCAAATCCTTGGCCAGCTGTCAGTGGCCAAGGACGGTTTCTCTAAGGAGAGATGCAGTTGAGGCTGGTCAAATGCGTGTTTCTTGTGACTCTCAGGGCCCTAGAATGGAATCAGAACATAGCCTCCTTGTCCCAGCAAGTGAAGGTGGACGACATGGTTTCGGCGAGCCCCCTGAAATAGTTGGCCCCAGGCCTATTTATTTGCTCTTTCCTGAAATCTCACCATGTCTTGCCACCTTGCAGCTGGATTGGCTCTAAGTCATGATGGAGCCCATAGATAACACTGCCATCGTGGAAGCCCCATTGCCATCTCTGGGCTGGGTGGCTGGCTCCACAGCTCTATCCTTGGCCAGGAGCAGGCAGGGCTGTCACGGTGTCTTGGCTGGAGCAGGGACCTGACTTCTGGGACTTGTGCTCATTCTTTTTCTAGCAGCTGTGCACAAGCCCCCTTTTCCACTGGCCAGGCCTCTTCTCAGAAAACTTGTTTCCATTTTGATGAGGTTCTTCTCCCCTGGGGCCAGCCCCAGTTCACCCTGGTACCCTAGGTAATTAATCACACACTCTATGCCTGTCATTACGTTGCCTTTGATCTCACTGGAACTTGAAAGTGCGGGTTCTGCTTTTGGTGTACTCTGCCTGCGTCGGCCACAGTGAGAAGCAGTCAGCCTTTAGGGGCCATTGGGTGGTGACCTCTTGTTGAGGGGATGGGCTTGGCTAGCAATTCCTCAGTCCCTGGAATTATCAGTAATAATAATTATTGTATTTATAGTAATAATAGTAGTAATAACTATTACTGGGACCCGCCTTCTTCCAGCCTCTCGGGATAAATTATTTAACCTGTTATTAGTATGGTTCCACATTTAAAAGAGAGACTTTGGAATTCTTCCACCAGCATCTTGCACCCACAGATAAAGATTGCCCACATGCAGGATGATGCCTCATAGATGCAGTCTTTGAGAAAGGTTGTCTCTCCCTTTTGCAACATGATTCCAAAGTGAGCAGCAGTGTGAACCAGAGAGAATACTGTCTTTTGGCTTAGGAATCTCTCTCCTCTGTCCTATGTGGACTTGGGGTCACAGCTGCCCTGCACAACTCCAGGGGCACCATTCACACAAAAGAAGGTACAAAAGAAGGTGCAACACAATGACTCTGGCTTGGACTGTACCTGGGAGGCATCAATTCTTTCTTGAATCAGACATCAGGATTTTCGCTGCAGCCCTGGAAATGGGCAACATTTGTGTTTGAGTCAATTGGCCTTTCTTGGAAGCCCCCTGATGCAATGGAAAAGAATGATTCTAATTTGCCCTAGTTGGGAAAATCTGTTCATTTTCTCGACATGATGTGGCTTGGTAGAATGTACATTAAACTAAGGTTTAGAGTAGGTAGGCTCTAGGAAATCTTGAGCAGGTCACAGATGTCAGACTCGATTTTTAATTATACAAATGGACAAAAGTGGACAGATAATCCCAGCCTGGAAGTTTCCTGGTGGGAGCAGAGTGTGTGGATCAGATGTCCCTGGGTATCATATCCTGTTGTCCCCAGCCCAGCTGCGTTGGTTGCTTGGGGTCATGGGAATGTTAGTGTTGCTCTGAAGCCAGGAAAGCACCTAGTTAGTGAGGATTGGAGCGAACAGGGTTGGGCATGGGTAGCCCACTGTCTTTTCCATTCAAACAGAAATACTCTGTGGACCACAGGGCGCCTGACTCTAGTCTCTTGTGTGTACTGGGGTGGAGAGAAGGGAGCAGAATGGCCCGGGCACAAGAGGAAGAATCGTGGAAAGGCTGGAGAGAAGAAGCAAACAACTGAGCACATTCCAGACGACCCTTCAGCCTGGCCTGCAGGACCCACCATGACATACCTTCTCCCAGCCTCCCTTGGGATAAGTTATTTAACCTCAGTGAATCCAGTTTCCTCACTGGTTAAATAGTGAGACCAATACCTGCACTGGCAGGGATGTTGTGAGAATTAGAGATAATTCATTTTAGGCACTTAGCAGAGTCCCGAATAAATTACGGATATTGCTATTACTATCAATGGTTTTAACTTATCCCAACCTATACAACCCTAATCTAGCCGCCATCAACAAGTTTTCTTTTCTTTTTTTTTTTTTTTAAATTCATGTGATATATTAAGTCAGGTCTCCGGTCTAGACAGATGCATGCAAAAATCATTTTGTCCAGGTAACCTATTTTATAGGTGGGCACCTGAAGCCCACGAGTAACATTTTGATGCTATTCTTATATTATTCTTCTCTGGCCATCCAATCTAAAGTCACAATCCAGACACTTCTAGCACATCACCATGTTCTAATTGTTGGCATTGCACTGATCACCATTTGACCTATTTGGTGGTCTATTTATTTGATTATTTCCCATGTTTCTCCACTTGAATGTCAGCCTCATAGAAGGCTGGGCATTTTCTGTCTTCTTTACCACCATATGTCCAACACCGAGAACATTACCGAGTGCACAGTAGAGCCGCAGTTAAGTGTTCTGTGATGAATGGATTGTATTGAATGAGTGGTGAAGAGCCTCTTTCTGCTTTATGGTTGCCAGCTGTGACTGTGGGCAAGTCATTTTTCTCATCCTTAATTTCCTCTGAGATGAAGTGGGGACAATACCTAGAGGCAGGTGCAGCATGAGCTCAGGCATCTCCAGCCAGGCCTCAGGGAGACCCTTTAAGGGATGAGATTTTGGTAAATTCACCATGGTGTGTCTTTTAGCCTTCAAGATGAAATCTTCCTTAGTATCTGATAATTAGTTGGACTGGGAAATGAATCACACCTACTAGTCTCACGAGAGACTGATATATGAGCCAGGCATGAGCATTTACTAATTTTTGCTGCAAAAATAGTATCATTAAGAAAAGTCAGTGTTCAAATTGGCCTAACCAGTTTGCTGGAAGCCAAGTTATAATCAGAAAGCTGCTGAGGGATTATGGAATGAGAAAAAGGCACATGGGTTAACTGACATAAGTATTTGCCATTTCTGGCGGTTGGCTTGGAGAGTTATGCATTCATTTCCAAAGGAAGGAGAGATCGGACAGGTTGAGCCTGTAAGCTGGGGCATTTTCATCCTGGAAGGGCCAGTGGGCAATGCCCTTTGACACCCTGAACTTTATCTTTAGGCTCTCACCGCTGATCATCATCCCCTTATGATGAACAGAGCCTGTTTTGAACCACACTAGCGATAGTTGTGTCTTCCAAACAAACTTTTCCAACCTTTTCTGGTTTGCGGGAGATTCCCTCCCTGATTCTAGGTGGCTCTGAAAGAGTTGTCCATGAGATTATTCTACTTCTTGCCCTCTACCCTGTCCACCACTTCTGGGCTGAGCACATGACCAAGCTGGCCAATCAGAGGAACTAACCCTCCTGGGATGGACTCAGGGATACACAAATGACCTGAATAGGGCCAATACAAATCTTCGTGAGATTGAAGTCTGGACATTGGGGGTGGTAGACAGTTTGCAAAGCTGGCCGTAGTAACTCCTCATCCTGCATGCCCCTTTGGGATGTGACTTTGGGGGCCTCTCATCAGCAGCTGAATTCTACTTCCCCTCTCCTTAAATTCGGGCTGGTCCCATGACTTGGTTTGATCAGTTGAAGAGATGTTGTATGAGTTCTGAGTTCTCAGCCTTGAGAGGCCTTGCAGGTTCTATTCCTGCTCTCCTTTCTAACACTGCTGCTTTGTCAGAAGTCAGGCTGGGGCCTTTTGGAGATGGTAACACTTGGTCTAGGGACCATATTGAGAGAAGAGAAAGAGGGAGAGACATCCCAGCCATTCTAGCCATCCCAGTTGAGTCCCCTGACATGTGAATAAAGCCATTTCAGACCAATCACCTCCAGCTGACACCACCTGGCCACAAATGACTGATTAAATTCAGGAGACACCACAGGGATCCACAGGATTGCCCAGCTGAGCCTGAATTGCTGATGCACAGAATTGTAAGGAAAGAAAAGGTTGTTTTTTCAAGCCACTAAGTTTTGGGGATATTTTGTTCCTCAGCAATAGATAACTGATACATTGGGAGGGAGAAGTTTTTTCCTCACTGAGGTGGCCAAGCTGAGAAGACACAAGGCTGAGGATATGGAGGCTGCCATCTTGAGAAACTGAAGAATAAAACCAAGCAGAGAAAAGCGGAAGGAAAAAATAAAGGAGGCAGAGTTGAAATTTTGAAAGATGTTATTTGAGTCCCTGAATCCAGACAAGACACGAGCCTGCTGTACATTAGCCTTACAAGACTTCCTAGTTAAGCAAATAAGAAACTTCCTTCTTTTATGTTAAAGCCACTGTGAGTCCAGATTATGTCACTGGTAACTGAAAGAGTCCTAAGTAATAAACATTCATTTGTTGAGTGTGTTATTACATGCAACTCGGTTTCAGCCAAATTTTATTGGCCTGGTGATTTTCAGCACTTTTAAAGTTAGTTCCTATATCTCTCAACAATCCCTGATTTTTAAAAATTATCTTATTCTTGAATTAGTTTATTCATTCAGCTGCACTTTATTTAGCACTTACTATGTGTAGAAACTGCGGCAACTCCTGGAGATTTAGCCGGAAATGACATATCCAGTGTTCCCAACTTCCACTTAAAGTTATTTAATTAGAATTGTGTTAAATTCCAAGAAGAAAAAGAAATGGGCATTAAGAGAGTGTGAATATCCTATCCTGCAGTCTTGTTGTGAAAACCAAAGAGGATTATATGTGTGAAAATACTTAACATAGTTCCAGCATAAACATGTTTTTTTTTTTTTCCTCATGGTTTGAAACTATAAGCCCTTTCTAACATACCTGCTCTCATCACTAAAAATATCTGTCTTTAGATGTCCTTTCTGCATCTAGGTCTTGCATCTAGATGCAACATGCTCAATTTGCCAAATGCGTAGGTAGCTGAGAAGTGCCACATTTTAAAGACTGCTCTAAATTCAAGAGACACATAGTCATGGAACTGCTGGAGGTTTGGGCTTTCGACACACTCTGAAATACTGCCTCTCTCCTCACCACCCACACTTCCTGCTGATAATCCAAGTTTTTTTTTCTTTGCCTTTATTACTTCCAAGCTCTAGTTCTTGGCTGAGACAAACTGCAGTCCCCAAATGCTGTGATTTAATGAGAGGAAATTTACTCGACTTAATGTACAAATTTGCCAGGGGAAGTGATTTTGATAAGGATAATTACATTCACATCTTAGTGTAAATTATAGCAAATATCTTACACTGTGAGCAGCTGCTGAGTCCCTGTCACTCAGTGTGACCTCTGTTCTTTGGGTTTCATAACCAGCTAATGAATGTTTAGTGAAAGCAAAATGAGAAGGCTGATTATAATGATCTGAACTCCCAGAGCCTCAGCACTTATTCAAGTAAGAGGCAGTATCAGAATTGAGTTTTTTCTGCATAGACCTATGTTCAGCCATATATGGAAAATGTGGGGCAGGCGGGTTGCAGAAATATTTAGGAAGTGGTGTTGGTGTGATACTCATGGCTTTTCAGAGTCTAGACCAAAACCATCAACCAGTTTCATCTCTCATTTTTACTCTCATAGCCACCACACTTGTCCATACCAACAGTTTACTGTTCTCTGAATATTCCATTTACTTGTTCACTCCCATGTCTTCAGCCCTTGGTCTTGTATTTCTTTTTTCCCTCTTCGCAGTTTGATGAAATCCTAATCCTCACTGGAGATGCAGCTCACATCTGCATCTGCACCTGCCCTGGTCACCTGGAGCCACATTCATTCCCTTCACAAGGCACCCATCACATTCTCTTTATATATTTATGATGGTATTCATTTGTTCAGTAAACATGTAAGGAGCACTTATGAGGTGCCAGAAAAGTGGAACCCTAAGAAAAATCCAGTGTAGTTAAGGATCCCAGAGTCTATCATGGGAGATGTGCAAGTGAAAAATAATCACAACAATCCTAAAGCAGTGATAAATCCATCAATAAAAGTGAACACAGGCTTCTATGGAAGTCAAAAGGAAAGAATCTAGCACAGACTGGGGAGTCAGAGAAAGAATTCTAGAGGCAAGGGTGCCTCAGCATAGTAATTAAGAATGAATGGGCCAGGTGATGTGGCTCACACCTGTAATCCCAGCACTTTGAAAGGCTGAGGCAGGTGGATCACTTGAAGCCAGGAATTCAAGACCAGCCTGGCCAACAAGGTGAAACCCCATCTCTACTAAAAATACAAAAAAAGTAAAAATAAAAATAAAAAAGTAAAAAATAAAAATATAAAAAAGATCCAGGCGTGGTGGCACATGCCTGTAATCTCAACTACTTGGGAGGCTGAGGCAGGAGAATCGCTTGAACCTGAGAGGCGGAGGTTGCAGTGAGCCAAGATTGTGCCACTGCACTGCAGCCTGGGCAACAGAGTGAGACTCCATCGCAAAAATGAAAAAGAAATGGATAGAAGTTATCCAAGTAAAGAGGAGGAGAAGGACATTCTACACAGAGGAAACACTAGACTCATTCTGGCTATCAGTGGTTTGTCTTACCTACCATTTTCTCAACTTCTTGAAGGTAGGTATTTGTTTCAGCTATTTTTATATTCCAATTACCTAGCACAAGCATAAAGTAAATGCTCAAAAAACGTCTGGTAGATGAATGAATTAACCATTAATCCAGAGTATATTAATTCTGGTCTTGTTTGGGGATCCAAGAAGTGCTAAAAAACTCACTGAATGGTGAGAAAAACATGGCCAGAAACAGTGGGTCTGTAGTAGCCATCTATTGCTGTTTAACAAACCATGCCAAAAGTTGGTGGCTTAAAGCAACAATAATTTATTATTTGTCATGGTTCTGTGAATTGATTGTGTTCTTCTCTTCTTCTGTTACTTCCTCCTGGGCTCACTTGTATTTGACTGGAGGGTCACTTGGATCTGAGCTTAGGTGGGACAGTGGAGACACCTGGACTCTCCCTTTATGTGGTCTTTCATGCTCAAGAAGGCTGGATTGGGCTTCCTCATGTGATGACATCAGCATTCTGAGAGAAAGCGCTAGAGCAAAGGTGTTTATCAACTTCTGCTTGTATCGCATTTTCTGATGTCTCAGTGGTAAAAGAAAGTTGCACGGCTAAGAGACAATGCAGTAGAGGATTACACGTAGGCATGTACTGGGGGGCACAGTCCACCAAGACCACAAGGTTACTAGATGTCAAAGTGCCACGGTGAAAAGGATTAACAAATGTATGTGGTACATGCAGGTAGGGAAACAGATCAGAGTCATCACTCTGGAGACAGAGAGGTCCTGTGGTGTAGTGATAGGAACACTAAACTTGACTGGATTGGAAACTGGAAGAAGAGGGTTTGAATCACAGAAAATAACCCAATGATATTTACTTCATGGGTTGTCTCCAGCATCATACACAATAGTGTGAAAATATTTATGCAAACTTGAAGATAAATGAGCACTGCTAGGTGGAAAGCCCACGCCAGCACCAGGGAAAGCACCAGAACTCCAGCAAAGCTGCTGTGACTAGAGAATCCAAGACTAGGAATCCGTGCTCCTTTAACCTGGAGGCACCTGCGCCCCACAGATACAACTTGTCAAGTGTCTAAAGAATTGGGCTGACTTCACATATTCTCATTTGCCTTGTGCCCTTTCCTGTCATAACCTGCATGGATTGAGTTTAGGTTTATTCATGAGTAAGGGAAACCCAAGTAAGAGTAGCTTAAACTAGACAGAAGTTTTGACGGTCACAAGCACAGGGCAGAGGTAGGCAGATCACAGCTGTTACAGAAGCTCTGCTCCATGAAGTCCAGACCCAAGATCCTTAAAGTTCCCTGGCCTGTGCCGTTAGGGTGTGGCCTTCAGTTTCATGGATTAAGGAGGGTGGCCGGTGAGCCTGTCACTACATTTGCATGCTTCATTTGTTCCTCCCTCCAACAAAGGCAAATTTTCTGGTTCCTATGATGGACTAGAAAGAAAGTAAAAGGTGTTACATGTGTGGGATTAAAAGTCAGCCATCTTGGGATTCTGAAGGAAGAGAATCCTTCAGAGTTTTGAAGTCCTTCAAAATGTCTATAAAGAGCAGCAGCCAAGGTGTCTAAGCAAGGTAATGGCTAGTCTGGGTTAGGACAGTGTTTGAATCATGTAAAATAAAATCCAATAATATTTACTTTAAAATAAAAAATGAGGCCGGGCACGGTAGTTCACGCCTGTAATCCCAGCATTTTGGGAGGCCGAGGCAGGTGGATCACTTGAGGTCAGGAGTTTGAGACCAGCCTGGCCAATATGGTGAAACTCCATCTCTACTAAAAATACAAAAATTAGCCGGGCATGGTGGCACACGCCTGTAATCCCAGCTACTCAGGAGGCTGAGGCAGAAGGATCACTTGAGCCTGGAAGGCAGAGGCTGCAGTGAGCTGAAATTGCACCACTGCACTCCAGCCTGGGTAACAGAGCAAGACCCTGTCTCAAAACATAAATAAATAAATAAATAAATAAATAGAATTTCTAACATTTTCTTCTCACATCACAATAAAGCATCTTGTGCTCTGCTCACTCATTACCTGCTCTGGAGACAACTGCTCTAGGCTGTCTGTAATAGTTTTCTGCTGCTGCTGTAACTAATTTCTAAAAACTTATGGCTCGACAGAGAGGAGAACGGTGGTTTTCAGGAGATGAGGGAAGGGGAGAAATGGAAAGATGATAGTCAAAGGGTACAAAGTTTCAGTTATGCAGCATGAATAAGTTCTGGAGATCTCATGAACAGCATGGTGACTACAGTTTCAGGTACTGTATACCTGAAATTTGCCAAGAGGGTAGATTTTAAGTGTTCTCACCACACATAAAAAGAAAGGAAAATGGTAAATACATGAGGTGATGATATGTTAATTAGCTTGATTGTGGTGATGGTTTCATAACATATACTAATATCAAAACATTGAGTTCTACATCTTAGATGTATGCAATTTCAGATATACGAGTTCTACATCTTAAATGTCTAGCCCTTGTGACTCAGTTGATTATACTTCAATGTAGCTGAAAAAATGGAAATCTGGGTGATTTTCTCTTTTCATAAGTTTTCTGTAAGTGTGAAAGTATTTCAACACAAAAAGTTAAAAATTAAAAAAAAAACGATGACACGCACATACACCCTCTTAGTGGCTTAAAACAACAAAAATTTATTATCTTACAGTTCTGGGGATCAAAAATCCTAAAATCAAAGTGTTCATAGAGACGCAACACCTTGGAATCTTTAGGGGATAATACATTTCTTTTCCTTTTCCAGCTTCTACAAGCTGCCTGCTATCCTTGGCTCATGACCCCTTCCTCCGTCTTCAAGGCCAGCAGTGCAGCATCTTCAAATCTTTTTCTCTCTCTCTCATCTCTTCTTCTAGTATCACTTCCTTTCTGACTCTGACTCTGCCACCTCCCTTTTATAAGGACCTTTGTGTCCTTATGAGGACATTGGGTTTACCCAGTCATCCACGTTAATGACCCAAACTCAAGATCCTTACTTTAATCACATCAGCCAAGCCCCATTTGCCCTGTAAGTTAACATACTCGAAGGTTCTTAGGATTACGCCCTGGACATCTTTGAAGGGGCCATGATGCTGCCTGATATACTACCCATTCATTAACTCATTCATTCAATCAATGTTTGTCAGGCACCTTCTACGTATGTGCCAGGTACTATGTTGGCTGAATACAGTGGAGAATCAAACAGACAAGACTCCTGCCCTCCTGAAGCAGTTCTTCATTTTTCTAGATGAGCACCACTGATCCAGCCCAGAATGGGTCAACATATGCAATAATAGAAGAGGAATGTTTCATATGCTTAACATACATGCACAAACACATCCACTCACATAGTCACATTTGTATGAGTGTCCTCGTTACTGCAAATGTTTAAAACGTGTTTTAGAAACATTTTTTGTTCATGTAATGTCCACTCCGAGTCCTTTTGCTAAATGAATGGGACTTCATTATAAGGGAACACTCCTAACTCTCCATGCAACTCTCCTAATTCTCAGTCTTATTAAACAATAAAAAGCAGGGAGATTTTTTGCCCTACCAAACTTGAGTCTTCATAATCTCAGCCCCCTAATCTCTCTGGAAGCCATGGGTGACTCCATCCTGTTCTGCAAGAGCAGCAGACAATCCCTGCTGCCAGAGGCCAAGCTCGACCAATCACTGGCTTTGTCTGTCCCTCCTGTTTGCTGGTGTTTGGCAGGGCAATTGTGCCGCATTCTTGGATTGACCAGTGAGTACGTGGCTAGGCACTGTTTTGAGTGACTGCCTTCCAGTGCTACATTACTTATAGTTTCCCAAACTGTAAGACAAATTGGGGTTGAGGATTATAGGTTCACTAGTCACCTCCTTGTCGGAGGCCCAGCATCTTCAGTTCCTTTTATTGTCTGCACTCCAGAGATGGATGCTGGGTCGTGGATGACCCTAGCCATGCTGAGCGGGTGTCCTTTGCAAGACTTTCATCTCCATCTGACACGCTGTATGGGGCCAACCATTATGTCCTCTTATTTCTTCCTGGATCTGTTAAACAGGAACTTCTGCCCTTTTTACTCACTCCTCCCCCAAGCAAGGAGGACTAATCTTCTGGCTCAAGTTTTTGTTTGGATAAAGTATAGAGCTGTGAGTATTGTCGAAGAAAAATTTCACTGGACAGACTGAAACAGGTAAGGGGAACTTTATTCAAAACTATTGCAGTAGCTGTCAAGACTATTGCAATAGCGGAGACAGCTTGAACTCAACTACTCAACTCTGATTACAACATGGCCAGCTGGGGATTTATAGTAAGGAGCAGGGTGAGGGAGTCAGTGGATGGAAAATTACTGAGAGAACTTTGGTTATGATCCAGGGACAGGGGGTTTTCACTAAACTGGCTTAGCAGAATTCTCGCTAACACTGGGGCTGCTGGCCAAGGCCAAGGCCTAGTGGGGAAGAGTGCTCAGAGGAGCTGGACTAGAGTTTGGTCAAGGAGGAAGTCCCTGTCACGATTATTATTTTCTTTGTCCTGGGAATTGCTTGCCACAGCATTGACACAGTCTCTGTTCCTCCATCCAGGGATGGTCTAGCCCTTGTGAGTGTGTGTGGGATGGGGGCAGGTGAAAAGTATACAGGTCTTGGGCTGGGTGCGGTGGCTCATGCCTGTAATCCCAGCACTTTGGGAGGCTGGGGCGGGTGGATCACAAGGTCAGGAGATCGAGACCATCCTGGCTAACACAGTGAAACCCCGTCTCTACTAAAAATACAAAAAATGAGCCAGGTGTGGTGGCAGGTGCCTGTAGTCCCAGCAACTCGGGAGACTGAGGCAGAATGGCGTGAACCTGGGAGGTGGAGCTGGCAGTGAGCCAAGATTGCACCATTGCGCTCCAGCCTGGGCAACAGAGCGAGACTGTCTCAAAAAAAAAAAAAAAAAAAAAAAAGTATACAGGTCTTGATGGGTACAGTCAGCTCAGGAGTTCAATATTAGGAAATATGGCTAAGATGTTTTCTCCAGTACAGCTTCAGTCAGTAACAGAAACAATATTTTGATCACCACTCTGCTACTCCACTGGCTGTTTCTGTTTTTCATTCCCACCAGCCATCTATTGGAGTTCCCACTGCTCCAAATTCTTGCCAACACTTGGTACTATGAGGATTTTTTATTTTAGCCATTCCAATAGGTTTGGGATATCTCATTGTAATTTTAATTCTGATTTCCCAAATAACTAATCATGAACCACCTTTCTTCATGCTTATTTGCCATTTGTATACCTTGTGCCTGTTCATAGCTTTTGCCCAGCTTTTGAGTTGTTTTCTCATTGTTGAGTTTTGAATGCTCTTCATGTATTTTTGATACAAGTTCTTTGGTGGATATGTGTGTGAGAAAAATATGTGAACATATTTTTATCCCAGCCTGTAGCTTGTCTTTTCATTCTTTTAACAGTATCTTTTGGCCCGGTGTGGTGGCTCATGCCTGTAATCCCAGCACTTTGGGAGGCCAAGGCGTGCAGACCACCTGCAGTCAGGCATTCAAGACCAGCCTGGCTAACATGGTGAAACCCCATTTCCACTAATAGTACAACAATCAGCTGGGTGCAGTGATGCGTGCCTGTAATCCTAGCTACTTGGGAGGCTGTGGCAGGAGAATCGCTTGAACCCGGGAGGCAGAAGTTGTGGTGAGCCGAGATCACACCACTGCACTCCAGCCTGGGTGACAGAGCGAGACTCCGTCTCAAAACAACAACAACAACAAAAACCCCCAGTATCTTTCAAAGAACAAGGTTTTAAATTTCAATGAAGTATAATTTACCGAATTTTCTTTTATGGATTGTGTTTTGGTGTTATATCCTAAAGTCTTTGCTTAAATTTAACAAGAATTTCTCCTAAGTTTTTTTCTAAACTTTTTCTAATTTTATGTATTATATTTAGGGTTATGATTCATTTTGAATTCATTTTGAATTCATTTTTAAGGAGTGAGATATAGGTTGGAGTTTATTTTCTTAAACTATTTCAGAACCATTGTAGAAAAGATAATGCCTTTGCATTTTTGTCAAAATTCAATTGATCATTTTTGTGTGGGTCTATTTCTGGATGCTCCATTTTATTCCACTGATCTTTGTGTCTATACTTTCACCAATATTGTAGTGTCCTGATTGCTGTAGAATTATAATAAATCTTAAAATCGGGTAGTATGAGTCTTTTAACTTTATTCTTTGTTTAAAAAACTGTTTTGCCATTCGTATACATTTTAGAATAAGCTTGTTAATTTCTATAAAATTTCTTTTGGGATTTTGATTGAGATTGTGGTAAATCTATAGATAAATGGAAGAAGATTGACCTTTTAACTTTAGTAAAGTCATTCATTCAGTGAACACAGTGTATCTTTCCATTTATTCGTTCTTTGACTTATTTCATCAGTGTTTTGTAGTTTTCGGCAGAAAACTAAAGAACGTAAATATGTTTTGTTAGATATTTAACCAAGTATTTCTTGTTTTGGGAACTATTATGAAGAGCAACTTTTTTATGTTTTAGTTTTTAATTGTTCATTGCTAGTACAGAGAAATACAATGAATATTTGTGTGTTGAACTTCTATTCTGTAACCTTGTTAACTTTTTAGTTCAGGTAGATTCTTTGAGATTTAATATGTAAACAATAATGTGTGTGAATAGAAACAGTTTTATTTTTAATGTTTTGCTTTTCAATCTGTACACCTTTTATTTATTTTTCTCACCTTGTTACACTGACTTGAACTTCCAGTATGATAGTGAATAGAGGCAGTGATAGAAAATATCTTTACTTTGTTCCTGATCTTAGGGGAAAAGCATTTAGTTTTGCGCCACTAAATATGATGCTAGCTGTATCTTTTTTGTAGATACTCTATTTCAGGTTAAGGCAGCTTTTTTCAATTCCTGGTTTGGTAAGTGTTTTGAACATAGAGGGATGTTGAATTTCATCAAATGTTTCCCCTGTATCTATTGATATAATCATATGTTCTTTTCCCCTCAGTCAGTTAATATGGGGGATTAAATTGACTGATTTTGGAATATTGAAACAGTTTTGCATTTCTCTACCTTGTTGTGGTGTATTATCCTTTTTATAAAAATTGTTGATTTAACTTGCTAATATTTGATAAGGAATTGTGTGCCTTTGGATGGATGAAGCTGGAATCCATCAATCTCAGCAAACTAACACAGGAACAGAAAACGAAACACTGTATGTTCTTATTCATAAGTGCGAATTGAACAATGAGAACACGTGGACACAGGGAGGGGAACATCACACACCGGGGCCTGTCAGGGGCTGGGGGGCAAGAGGAGGGAGAGCATTAGGAGAAATATCTAATGTAGATGACAGGTTGATGGGTGCAGCAAACCACCATGGCACGTGTATACCTATGTAACAAACCTGCATGCTCTGCACATGTACCCCAGAACTTAAAGTATATCTAAAAAAAGAAATTGTGTGCCTTTGTTTATGACAAATATTGGTCTGCAGTTTTATTTTCTTGTACTGTTTTCTTGTATTATTTTGGTATCAGGTTTGTGTTAGTTTCATAAAATGAGTTAGGAAGCATTTCTCCCTTTTGAATTTTCTGGGATAAATTGTGTAGATATTTTCCCTCAGTATTTGGTAGAATTTTCCACTGAAACCATGTGGACCTGGAATTTCCTTTGTTGGAAAGTTTTAGCTAAGAATTCTGCTTATTTAAGTGAATATGGGACTATTCAGGTTATCTATTTTTTCTTGAGTGACTTTTGATAGTGTCTTTTGAAAATTTATCTATTTCATTTAAAGTTGTTGAATTTACAGGCAGGGTTATTAACAGCATTTCCTTATTACCCTTCTAATATCTGTAGGGTCTGTAGGGATATTGCCTCTTTCATTACTGCTCTTGGCAAGTTGTGTCCTATCTCTCTTATCCTCTCTTTTTCTCCCTCCATCTCCCCAACATCACTTCTTCCATACTCCTTCTTTTGGTTAGCCTGGATAGAGGTTTATCAATTGTATTGATCTTTCCAAAGAACCAATTTTTGGTTTCATCGATTTTCTTATCTTGTCCTGTTTTTGATATATTTCCATTTTGGATTTCATATATTTTTATTCTTATCTTTATTATTTTCTTCCCTGTGTTTGCTTTTTGAATAGTTTGCTTTTATTTTTCTAGTTTCTTAAGGTGAAATTTTATATTAATTATTTGAGAGCTTTCTAGCTCAATTGACCCATTTATAACTACATAATCTCCTCTTTATCATGGGTAATTCCTCTTGTTTCAAAATCTACTTTTTCTACTATTAATATGCCAGCTTTCTTTTGATTTGCATTTGCGTACTATATATTTTCTCACTCTTTTACTTTTAACCTATCTATATCATTATGTTTACAGTGGGCTTCTTGCACATAGCATATAGATGGGCCTTCAAAAAATTCAAACTGGATTGACAGTTCTTTCAGTGTTTAAAAAAATACTGAGATATTGTTCCAGTCTCTTCTGGCTTATTTGGTTTCTGATGAGAAATCTAAAGTCATGCAAATCATTTTCCACTCTGTGTAATGCTTTGATTTTCTAAGGTGACTTTCAAGATTTTTTCCTTTATATTTGATTTTCATCAGTTTGATCACATTTTTTTCCCCCAAGGGCCACCCCTTTCCTGTCACTCTGGGAAGGGATCGAGGCAGGAGATGTCTCCTGCAGCTTTTTCAGTCCATGTCCATTGCACAGTTTCTAAAACTGCCCTGTCCTGGAGTATAAGCCAGGAGATACTCACTGCCATATTAACTATACTTTGGGTTTTGGTTTCTCTCTTCAATTTGCCTGATATAATTTATTTTTCAGAGTCCTTACATGTTTTCATTACGATTCTGCCCAGGGTTGCTAGTTATGATCAGTGGGAGAAATAGGGTGGAGTGTGCTTACTTAGCCAGAACTAGCAGCTGGAAGAGTTACTTTTAGCGAACCTGAAAAGAAGAAATATAAACCTCCATGGCTTGGAGGTGAGAGAATATGTAAAATAGTAAGACAAGGGCCTAATCCCCAACTCCTGGTCAGGAATTAGGAAAGGAGACCTGTTAATTTGACTAGAGATTCTTTTAGGGTCTGTGAATGGATACAGGGTGCTGTAAGCGGCTGGTACCTTTCAGCCAAGAACCAGAGCCTGTGAAGCAAAGCTCATGAAAATGTCTGTCTCTCTAACTCGCCACTCCCCATTATATTTGGGTATCTGGAAAACAACTTTTTTTTGTGTCACATGTATTTTATTTCATTGAATATCATATGAACATCGGGAAAAATGTGAGACAACAAATCCTAGATTATCAACTTAGGTAACAGAGAGGAGGAAGGCCCAAGCAAACATAAGAAAAAAGTTCTGTACTGAAACACAGCTATTCCATTCTACTCATTTGTAAAGTTAAAGTGTGAATATTAGAAAGTAATACAATATTAAGGACACTAAAAGAAAGAATACCCCCTAGATTTGTGGTACAAGTGTGTGGCTGTGAAAAACAACTTTATACATGAAGAATTCACTGGAGTAAATATCAGAGTATAAACAAAAGGGTTTGGAATTGAGATGATGCATTTGATTTAATACAAAGTGGAAAAAATAGAAGATAAGAGACAAGAAGATTGTAATTGTGTTTCATGTATTCTGTGATTCCAACTGGATGAATAATAAGCAAGAAATGTACAGAGCTGTCTAAAAATTAAATTGCTTATGTTGGGGGAGTGAAGGATATGAGATTATGGGTGTCTTATTGTTTTATTTTTCAAAAATTTCCTTAATGTGGCTGCTGTGGTTTGAATGTCCCCTCTAAAAGTCATGTTGAAATTTAATCCCCAATGCGGCAGTATTGAGAGGCAGAGTCTTTAAAAGGTAGTTGGGTCATGAGAGCCCTCATGAATTAATGGATTAATGAGTGAATGAATGAATGGGTCATCATGGGAGTGGGACTGGTGGTTTTATAAAGAGAAGAGAGACCCCAGTGAACAAACTTAGCCGCCTCACCATGTGATTCCCTTTGCCGCCTCAGGACGGCAAGAGGCCCCACCAGTAAGAAGGCACTCGTCAGATGTCCCCCTGACATTGAACTCTACAGCCTCCAGAACAGTAAAAAAAAAAAAAAGTTTGTTTGTCTATAAATTACCCAGTTTCAGGTATTCTGTTATAAGCAGTAGAAAATGGAGTGAGAAATGGCTCTATGAGCTTTTCAAATAAAATAACATGTAAGAATAATTCCTGGCCTATTGCCTGACAGTCATAGTGTTCCCCATTCTATTTCTGTCACTTATTTGGGAAGGTTTTCCTGATTCTCACCTCTCACCCCAGTCATCCCTGTGGCATGTTTCTATATCACTGTATTGATGACAATTTACTGTACTATAAAGTACAGTACTGATGACAACTTTACAGTTAATGCTTTGATTTTCTATCTTCTCTGGTAGACATGGGCTTTTGCAGGTGAGGGCAGTATATTTTCTTGCTTACTGATACATCTTTAGTATGTAGCTAGTGCCTTGTCTATGATAGGTACCTAATAAATATTTATTGCCTAAATTCTCAAGTCTCCAAATAAAAGAGAACACCAAAAAGCTAAGACTTTTATTTTACACTGTCTTTGGCTCTTTTGGTCTCAGGCACTTTTGGAACCCACACCTCACTTTCTCTTCGTCTTGACAAACACTGTCCAAATTTTTCAGCCAACCCAAAGCTGGATGGCATAGTGCATTGAGTTGGCAATTAACCAAAGGAGTGGCCCAGTGATGAAAGAATACTCCACAGAAAAGGAAAACTGAACTCAAATTTTGCCTAAGGCTGCCATGGTCAAGAATGATCTGAGCAAACCCAAGGGATTATGGCCAAAAGGATTCTAGTGGTATTGCTAAGTCAAGTCCTCTCTGGCCCCACTCCTATGAGATACCAAATTCAAACACACTGGTGCTAATTCAAGTGCACTTTACTTTACTTTAGGACACGTTTTTTCATTTTAGAAGCAAGTATAGGAAATCGCCCAAACCACAAGCCACACATTACGATGGCAGGCTGTAAGTAGATCTTACTCAAACAACTTTAGCATGTAAGAGTTAGAAGAGCCCCTCAACATATCTATTCCAAACACCTTCCTCCAAAGTTGACACAGATTTTCTTAGCAACAGTCAAGATGAGTAATCACCCAGTCTTCCCTTGAGCACTTTGAGTGATGGTGAACTCCCCATTTTTCAAGACAGCTCATTACCTTTTCAGAGAAATCTCTTCTAGACTTGGTAAACATGAGGTACATGTGCTGACACTCTGAGCCCCACACTTGTGGCAGAGATCACCAATTAATCACAATGTTTTTTTTTTTTCCCACCAAGCCTAGGTTTAGCTTTAGAATCATCCTCAACATTATTTTTCATTTGGATGGAGGTCAATTTTCAGTCCCTGCTGCAGTTATGAGAAAGTTAAGTCTTCTACACATTGCTCTTCTTCATGTTCTCTGTGAGCACACAGGACTCTAATAGTCTGGGGTGAGGACAGCGTCAGCCCTGAAGTTTTGAGCCCATTCCTGGAACACAGTTTGGGAAAGACAAAATCTGCAGGCTGGTGTGTTGGTATTAGGCTCTCCAAAGCCTGAGATCCACAAGGTCAAATATTGGAAACAGGCATTTCTTAGGCACTATGAATAATCTTTCCACTGACTTCTGAAAGCCTATATCAGGGATGGAAGCCTAGGGTCATTGAGGCACTGGGATCCAGGTTGAGGGCAGGTCAAGGCTGCTTGTGGTAAAGCTGGGACTAGAACCTCAGTCTGTGATCTCTAATCCGTTGAGTCCCCTATCAGACCAAATTGATTTTTCTTTGATAAAGCATTAACCTACTATTTCCCCAATTTCATTTTGAAATCATGGGTTGAGTCATGAAGAAGGCAGGTCATCTACCTATATAGAAGAACGCTGGGTCTACTGAAACATAGAGTGATTCCTTGCAGCTTCCAGAAGGGTTTGGGAGATTCAGTTGTGAATAATGCTAACACAGTTGCAATGTTAGATTAGTACAGGTTTACTTTTAAATATTTAATAATATAAAAGACTTGCATAGCTTCAATTCATTTAAGCTTCCCAATAATGGGTAAATTTTAAGTTTCCTGAAAAGTGAGATCATCCATGTAGACAATCCTGTTTTTGACATAATTGTCCAACGTGGAGGAGGAAACTTGTTAAGGCCTTCCATTTATCTTACCATCAGTGACAGCTGAGTCGATTTTCTCTTCTGGTGGGTATGCTTTGTTCCTTTTGGAAAATGCCTGGCTGATTTCTGCATAGGTTCTGTTTTTGGTCTCAGGCAGCACAAAATACAGGTAGATAGCACCTGTGATACAAATTGTAGCAAAGACTAGGAAACAGTAGGTGTCCAGACTTTTCTGTGGAAAGGCAGAGACAAAAACCCTCAAATAGATAATCAGTAAACTTGCTGTTAAACCATCTCTACACAGATTTTTAAGATAGCTCCACATTCATATACCAATACTCCTAGACAAAACACCATGTGTGATGCTGGCTCAATAAGGCAAGTGTACCCTACATGAAGTGTTATCACATAAGGCTTGAATAAATCAGCTTCAAACTCTGGGAAAGATGAGAAAATGGCACTTTTTTGTTGTTGTTGTTGCAAATTTGGCATTTAAAAATTAATCATCACGAAAGCAAAATGGAATGCTTGCTGAATATTAGCTTAAGCTTATATTTACAATTAACCACATTGTCTTCTTGCTTCTACTATACACATGAGACAAGAATGACATCAAAAGGGAAGAGAAATGCCTTAGTTCATAGGAAGAATGTGGAGCACAGAATAGGCCAAGGTAATGCCAGTTTTTTCTAATATGCAAATGATCTAACTCACTAATTGATACTCTGAGGCGGCCTTGCACAAATAAGAGAGATCAGAAAAAATAGAAATGCTCAATGCAATCACTCCGTTTTATGTATCCTGATTAGTGTTTGGACTAGAATAACCCTGCCAACTGCACTAGACCTTGAGCTTCTCAGTGACTCAGTCACCTCTGTAGCTCCTGTGCCTTATAGGAGGTACTCAGGACATATTTGTGGAATAAAAGACTTGAAATCCTAGCCTCAATCAATCTGCTTGCTTTGGTCTCCCAGGTACTGGGATTATAGGCATGAGCCACCATTCCAGAAATAAAAGACTTTCTGGGTCCCAGCTGTCAGGATTGTGACTATTATATGCAACAAACATCTACTGATCCAAAGATAAGGTGACACTGTCTTTGAATAATATTTCCCAAGAAGCAATATCCAGATTTTAGTCAATTCCATTCTATTCTTTGATTTGACAAACATTTATTTTTGGAGAATGGCAAAGTGCTTAAGCTTGATCCCTGGATCACATCCTAGATCTACCATTTACTAAATCTGAGACTCTTTGTCCCTCAGTTTCCATGATTGAAAAAGAGGATAATCATGGTACATGTAGGGTTGTTGTATGAATTAAATGAGACATTCCCTTTAAAGTGCCACATGCAGTAAATGTTCCACACCTGGGGGTGCTTAGCTCTTGAGACTGTGCCTTCTGCTCGTACAAAGACTTCAAGAGTAGTGTGGAGAAGGGGGAGAGTATGGGCTCTGAAGCCAGTCGAGTGGGATTCAAATCCTGATCCCATTACTCACATGTTGTTCTAACACTTATGATGTGCCATTTAAGATAGAATTTCAATCCACTGAGCATCTGTTTCCTCATTTGCAACATGGTGATATATACCCACACATTGTTTTGAAGATGAAATGAGATATATCAATTTTGCATTCAACATCCTCCACACCCCCATCTGCAGGCGGAATGGACATCTGACTTATCAAGTCCAAAGTGGAGCCTCTAAAACTGCCTGCTCTAGCCTTCCTCATCTCTGCTGATGGCACCTCCATCCTTCTGATTGATTATGCCAACAAAAACACTTGGAGGCAGGCTGAGCTTCTCTCTCTCTCTCCCACCCACATCTGCTCCATCAGGAAATCATGTTGCTCCACCTTGAAATGTATTCCAAATCTGAGGGTTTGTCATCACTTCTATTGTAACCTAATTTTGGTGCAAGCCACCATCATGTTTTGCTTGGATTTTTGCAATAGCTTGTCAACTGATTTCCCTGCTTTTCACTTTAAGCATAATCTTAAGATTATTCTTAACAGACAAGCCAGAGTGATCCTGTTAAACAAAGGACAAAACTTGTCACTCCTCTGCTCAAAACCCACCATGACTTCCTAAGTCACCTGCAGGAAAGCCAAAGTCCTCACCATGGCCTCCAAGGCCACCGACCATGTGTCCCTCTTATTTCTCTGATCTTACTCTCCTCACTTTCTTTGCCCCAACTCCACTGCCTTTATGATTTCCCTCCAGTATTAGGCCTCAGAATCTTTGCACATGCTGTTCTCTCTTGCTGGAATAATCTTCGTTTAGGCCTCTGTATATCCTGCTTTCTTACTCCTCTTCATCCGACTTAAAGGTCATTTTCTCAGAGAGGTTCTCGTTGACTCTCATTTTGAAATAGCCCCTCCCAGCCCTGCTTCATTGCCTTCAAAAACACTCATCACTATGCAGCATTATAGTGTGCAACTGCCTGTTTATTAACCTTCTCCCTACCAAGAGGTAACTATCTGAAGGCAGGAGTCATCATTTTTCTTGTATTCCCAGAGCCCGGAGAGTCTCTGATATACAGTAGATGCTCTGAGTATCTTAGTGAGTGGATGGATGGACTGAGGCTCAGAGAGGCTTCCTGCCGTATCCCAGGCCACAAACAGGGCTTCCTAGGACCTCTCTGACACCCACACAGCTGCCTCTTGCTTGGCTTTCTTTTCCCAAGGGACCTGATGGGTGTCGTGAGGATTATTCTCACAGTTTCACAAAATTCAGTCAAGAACATGTGGCTCAGCCGAGCACAGTAGCTCACACCTGTAATCCCAGCACTTTGGGAGGCTGAGGTGGGTGGATCACTTGAGGTCAGAAGTTCAGGACCAGCCCGGCCAACATTGTGAAACCCCATCTCTACTAAAATTACAAAAATTAGCTAGGCGTGGTGGCAGTCGCCTGTTATCCCAGCTACTTGAGAGACTGAGGTAAAGATTAAAACTGGACCCCCTCCTTACACCTTATACAAAAATTAACTCAAGATGCTTAAAGACTTAAATGTAAAACCCAAAACTATAAAAACCCTAGAAGAAAATCTAGGCAATACCATTCGGGACATAGTCACGGGCAAAGATTTCATGACAAAAATGTCAAAAAAAAAAAAAAAGAAGAGCAACAAAAGCAAAAATTGACGAATGGGATCTAATTAAACTAAAGAGCTTCTCCACTGCAAAAGAAACTATCATCATAGTGAACATACAACCTACACAATGAGAGAAAGTTTTTGCAATCTATCCATCTGACAGAGGTCTAATATCCAGAGTTCATAAGGAACTTAAACAAATTTACAAGAAAAAACAACCTCATTAAAAAGTGGGCAAAGGACACACACAGATGCTTCTCAAAAGAAGACATTCATATGGCCAAAAAACATATGAAAAAAAGCTCAACATCACTGATCATTAGAGAAAGGCAAATCAAAACCACAATGAGATACCATCTCATACCAGTCAAAATGGCGATTATTAAAAAGTCAAGAAACAACAGATGCTGGCGAGCTTGCGGAGAAAAAGGAATGCTTCTACATTGTTGGTGGGAGTTTAAATTAGTTCAATCATTGTGAAAAACAGCATGGTGATTCCTCAAAGACCTAGAGACAGAAATGCCATTTGTCTCAGCAATCCCATTACTGGGTATCTACCCAAAGGAATGTAAATCATTGTATTATAAAGATACATGCATGTGTATATTTATTGCAGCACTATTCACAACAGCAAAGATATGGAATCAACCCAAATGTGCATCAACGATAGACTGGATAAAGAAAATGTGGCACATATACACCATGGAATACTATGTAGCCATAAAAAGGAATGAGATCAAGTCCTTTGCAGTGACATGGATGGAGCTGGAAGCTGTTACCCTCAGAAAACTAACACAGGAACAGAAAACCAAACACTGCATGTTCTCACTTATAAGTGGGAGCTGAACAACGAGAACACATGGACACATTGAGGGGAACAATACTGGGGCCTATCAGGGGGTTGTGGTGGAGGGAGAGTGTTAGGAAGAATAGCTAATGGACTCTGGGTTTAATATTAATACCTAGGTGATTGGTTGATCTGTGTAGCAAACCACCACGGCATGTGTTTACTTGTGTAACAAACCTGCACATCCTGCACATGTACCCCAAACTTAGAATAAAAGTTGAAGAAAAACAAAAAGCTCAGAAAAAGTTTGACTAGTCCTGCCCGTCTCACTCTGCTTAGGCACTCAGGATATGACCCAATATTCTTCAGGTTGAAAAGAATAATTTGCTCTTTTCCAGAATTTATTGAGCTCAAACTGCATTTTATAACTTGAGTAGAATCAAAGAGGCATACATTTGCATGCAATTTTCTCTGAATCGGAAAATATTGGCACTCCACACTGGAGAGTGTTTTTCGCAGGCTTTATAACAAATGGCCCAAGCAACACTGATGCTGACCACAGCAAATGCTGCCAACAGGATCCCAGAGCCAGAGTGTGGAGGTGAGCATGAAGGGATGTGGGCTCCTCCCCACAACCACAGTTGCCTCCCTTCTCTGTTGGTGATGAGAAGGCTAAGGATTTTCCCTGTTTTACAGGTGAGGAAACCCAGGCTTGGAGAGGAAACCCATGCTTGAGGAGCATGCTCAGGGCCCTCCGCTAATACATGGGCTTCAATACAGGCGTGATTCGTGCCGTTGTCTGTGGCTCTACTGGCTCAGACATTTTATTCTGAGGAAGAAGCCCAGGCTTCTTAGGGGTCTGTTTGGGGGCTGGAATACATTTGCCACTGATACTTATTGGAATAAGTGAAACAATCAAGTTGTGTGAGTAGTTTCTCTTGGTGGCTGCTGTGGGCTGAACTGCGTCCCTCCTGAAATTCATACGTTGAGTCCTAAGCCCTAGCACCTCAGGATGTGATTAAGTTGAAATGAGGTCATTAGGGTGGGGCCCTAATCCAATATCCTGCTATTCTCATAAGAGAGGAGAAGAGGACACAGATCAACACAGAAGGGAGACCATGCGAGGACACAGGGAGAAGACAGCTGCAAGGAACATGGTTGTGCTTTGGTCAAGGGTAGGCTGAGGTAAACATCCAGAGTGACTCAGTGAGTTTAGAGGGCAGGTGTATAACTCTACTTGTTATCACAGCCATGTAGCCATAACATGGGAAGGGCATCCCTTGGCCCTACACCACTGTTGTCTGTAAAAGGTATAACTGCCCTGCTGACACTGTACATGCACTCTTGCGCTGCCGCCCAGAGAAAGAGAGAGAAAACCAGAGCTGTCCATCTGCAAAATGGAAAGAGGGGAGCCAGGACATAGCTTGAGTTCTGGTGCCCAGAGAAAGAGTTAAGCTGCTGACCTTGAAGGGCAAGCTGGCAGTGCAGCCATGTGTGGGAGCTGCTGGACTAAGCAGCCAAGACAGGGTGGACAGTGTGAGAGAACTAGTGTGAGTGAGCTTCTCATGAGAGACTACATTGCACCTGCCTACGGCCCCCTGAGTGTTCTTCCAGCTGTCTGCTCATCCACCCACTCCCTTCGGACCTCAGCATGAGCTGGAACCTGACCCTGGGGATAACAATTGGTGTAGTTGTGAACTTGACAACAGCCATTAACAAGCCAAGGAGAGGGGCCTCAGAAGAAATCAACCGTGCTAAGCCCTTGAGCTCAGACTTCTACCTTCTAGAATTGTGAGACAATAAATTTCTGTTGTTGAAGCTCCCTAGTCTGTGCTATTTGGTCATGGCGGCCCGAGGCCCGAGTAGATGAACACAGTAGCTCTTGATTGTGGCTGAGCTGGTTTTCAGAAGGGAGGTAGGTCAGAAATGGTTCACGTATGGCATCTAGAACACATACACGTTGCTCCCATGGGCGGGCGTGAGTGGGGCTGTGGTGGGCTGGGGTTGGGGGATGTGACTCAGAACTTGTTAGCCCTGTATTTCTCTAATGCATTGATCATTGCTCACAGCAGCCCCCTGAGCCCAGCTCTCTAACTTGCTAAGCTCCTCTCCGGAAAGGAAATTAACCGTGGGTGCCTTCCCAGGCTTGGGTCAGGAGGCTGACATTTCACAAAATACTAAACGTATCTACCTGCCCAGTGTCTCCATCTGTATGTCCAGCCTGGCTGTTCCTGCTCCGATGAAGGTTCATCAATAGTCACACCTGCAATGTTTCCCGAATGACCCCTGAAAACCCAGACACCCTGGACATACCCAGCTTCTCAGGAACTGTTTCCAGAGGGGATTTGTTTCGAAAATGCCCACAGGCATAAGAAAAGGCTCATAAATGACAGGCAAGAGAAGCAAGAACAAAACAAAGAATTGATTCCAGTTTTTAGAAATACAAAAAATTATCTAGGTTTGGAAGTGCAGTGACCTTGGAAGTTACTACATCTCTCTGAGCTCATCCCCTTGCCTGTCAAAGGGAGTGATACAGGCACTACCTCCTAGCACAGGCAGCGGTGGAGCACTCTGGGCACACAGCAAGCATTCAGTGAACACTATACTAAAGTGGCATGTTGGTGCTGTTAATGCTCAAACTGTGGCAGGCAAGCAAGGTCTTTCACACCCCACACCCCTGAGTGGCTCAGAAGATAGTGGCCTGCTTCTCGGACATACAAATCTCAGTACTGGGCCATGTGAAGGTGCTGGAACTTCTCTACTTAATTTATAAATGTGATGGGGGAACCATGTTGACAGAAGCAGCTTGAAGTTAACTTTTGCCACAATAATGAGGATTTTACTGACACCTGGCTCTGCTGGCTTTGAGCCAAACTGTAAAAAGCCACTTAAGGTTTAAAGTCAATTGAAAAGATACTTGTTATGTTCTGACTGCAGCCACGTGAAGGTGTCCCAGGATGGGAATAAATGAGTGTGGGATCTTGACTAACTCCATGGCTCATGGAGCCCCCAGCAGCCCTTACGTTTCAGAAATAGAGTGTTTGTTGCTAAAACACAAAGATGTCTTGAAAGTTACAGGGTGTGGCAGCCTTCTAACTCTGAGACGAGGAGGCTGTAGCAAGTGATGGATGGAGAGGGAAGTTGAGCACAAGGTGGTGAAGTGGAGAAACTGGGTTTGATGCTGACTGTGGGACCTGGGCTGACCATGTCTGCTTCCTGGACCTCCTTGCCTGTACAGTGGCAAGGATCAGAAACTCCAGCTCAGGACTGTGTGAGGGTGATGTGGGCACAGAAAGCCATGCATGGGGGAGGGTGCGGCACAGAGCAACTGCTCCGTAACTGTGAATGCAGGAACAGCCACCATGCTGGGGTGGCTGGGGCTTGGAGTGCCGCAAATACTGACCTTTGGCTCACCCAAGCTGGCAGCAGAATCTCTGGGATGTGTTGGGCTTGGCACTAGTAAATTAGCAGGCGGACTTAGAACTGAGTGTCCAGAATAGTTGGTGAGGGGAGGAAGACAGGAAGACAGGATTGAAATAGCTCCTGAGAATGGGTGGTGATGTATATGACGGATTCTCACCTCCTCCAGGTGGTACCACCCAGCACTGAGGGCAGCAGGGAGCCCTGGTGGGCATTTGAGCAGGGAAGCTTCATCCTCCTTCTGCAAATGCTTCTGGGCCCCTTGCTCTGTGCAGAAGGCTTGCAAAGCCTTTTGTGTTCCTGCTCCCAGATAACCCTCTTATCTGATCCTCTCTCTCACCCATCTTTCTTGCTCACTCTGTTTCAGTCATATAGGCCTCTGGGTGGTTTCTTACACAGGCCAAATATTAGCCCTGCCTAAGGGCCCTTGCACTTGCTGTTTTTCTAGCCAGGACTTCACCATTCCCAGACAGCTCTGCTCCCTCACTTCACTCAGGCCTCTGCGCAACGGTCACCTCCTTCCAGAGCCCTTCACGATTGCCCCATTTAAAATAGCACTTATGCCTCTTTTGTTTCCCCGTTCAGCTCCAGAACCAGGAAACACAGGCTTTGTTACCACTGTATCCTCATTGCCTAGAAAAGTGCCTGGCACACAGCTGGGACTCAACATATATATGTGTTGAATTAATGAATTCGGTTTCCAATGAACAGATCCTTTCCCTACCCAAAAAGACTTGTATCTGATTCTTGAGTATGTGGGCATTTTCCTACTGATCACTGTCACCCTTGGGACAATGATCCCATTAGCTGTGGTTATGATGATGACAATGAGGATGTTAAATGGGTGGTGGTTTGCAGTGTGCACTGGAACTATTAGATGGAATTTGTCTTACACAGTGATGAGCACATTGTAAAAATGATAAGTAGGTTGTAGGTTTGAGTTGCTAACCTAGGAGTCCTTGCATACCGTCAGCAATGGGTAGCCCACACCCTCTGAAAGAGCCCACAGCATTTAGGGAAGCTCTAGGAAGGCACAGGAAAGAGAAAGGGATGAAAGGTTTTGCCCAAAGCATAGTTTCTTCCTTCCTTAGGAAAATAGCATGAGTTTCCAGTTGAGAGGAGAGAGATCAACTTCTGCTCTATGAATCACCCCTCAAGTGCTGCAGAATCAAAGGGAACCCCATGGGCAAAAGACTCCTTGTCAGTCATACCTGAATGAATGGGAAGAGGAGCCCAACAGCAAAGTTGGAGAGCCAGTTGACGGTGCCTGCAATGATGAAGGCAGCCGGCCGCTGAGATTGCTGGAAGAACTCACCAGTCAAGATGAACGGGATGCCACCTGCAGTGTGTGAGCCAGGACATGGAATTAATCACTCTGAGAAGGTCATGCCTCCAGCATCCATCTCCATCTGCCACACTTTAGAACCCCCCCACCCCTGCCCCTTGACTGGATGTGTAGTGGGCCCCAGTTCCTGAGTCGCCCTGGTGGCATTGCAGTGGGACAAGTCTTTATTTTGAGAGACTGTCCTGTGCAATTGCAGGGCATTTATTACCCTTTACTTTCTGATGCCAGGAGAGCCTCCAGTCACCACCACAACCCAAGCCAACCCTACACATTTCCAAACTCACATGTGGTCTCAGGTCTATACCCTTCCTTTCCTCCATATCCTGTACAGTGAGACCAGTGATCACGCCCTGTGCCCAGACCAGGACCTAGGGCTCAGCATGACTGCTGGGATCCCACTTGAACCTCCCCATCTCCAGCTGGAGTCACCACTCTGCCAATGAGATCTACACCTGGGTGTTTCTCAGACAAGACAGAGTGGGTAATGGATGGGAAATCCCTCAGGGACTTTTACTAAACTCTAGAGAGACAGTGAACACAATTTGGAAATTACTAGGCTGGAGGCATTCATTGTGTCAACATCCAACAATTATTTATGTGCTGGGGCTGTTCCAACAGTGAGGTCAAAAGCAACATGTCCTTGCTTTCATGCGGAACCCTTGTCTGCTGGGATGACTTGTTCATTAAAATGGGAGTGAGTCCAGGAATGGAAAACCAAACATCGTATGTTGTCACTCAAAAGTGAGAGCTAAGCTACGAGGATGCAAAGGCATAAGAATGATACAACTGGGGCCAGGCGCGGTGGCTCACACCTGTAATCCCAGCACTTTGGGAGGCAGAGGCCAGTGGATTACATGAGGTCAGGAGTTTGAGACCAGCCTGACTAACATGGTGAAACCCCATCTCTACTAAAAATACAAAAATTAGCTGGGCGTGGTGGTGCATGCTTGTTATCCCGGCTACTCGAGAGGCTGAGGCAGGAGAATCATTTGAACCTGGAAGGTGGAGGTTGCAGTGAGCCGAGATCAAGCATATTGCACACCAGCCTGGGCAACAAGAGTGAAACTCCCTCTCAAAAAAAAAAAAAAAAAAAAAAAGATAAAAGAATGATACAACAGACTTTGGGAACTCGGGGGAAAGGGTGGGAGGGGGGTGAGTTATAAAACACTACAAATTGGGTGAATGTATACTGCTTGGGTGATGGGTGCATCAAAATCTCGGAAATCACCACCAAAAAACTTATTCATGTAACCAAACACCACCTGTTCCCCAAAAAACCTATGGAAATAAAAAAATAAAAATAAAAAAGGGGAGTGAGCAAATGAATAAATACATATAAATACAAAATGTGATAAGCATTCTGGAGGAGATGCACTGTCTATTTTGGCAGTGGGTGGAGAAGGATGCTCTGGGGAGGAGATGGTGGAGATGTGGATTGAAGACGGGAAGGTGGCTCCTGAAGATCTGGGGAAGATCATGCCGAGTGGAGGGAGGGGCCAGCAGAGGTCCTACAGGTGAAAGGATTGGGCCAAAGTCTACAACAGGGGCCAATCTGTCCAGACACCTGAAGGAGGCAGAGAGGAATGGGGTGAGGTAGCAAATGTGAGCAGGGCCAATGAAGCAGCCTCTTGTAGATCATGGAGAGGGGTTTGCAGTTGAAGAAAACCACTTTGGGCTGCTATGCAGCAGTTGAGGTGATCAATTTGCATTTCACAGAGGTCACTGCTCTTTGGAGAAAAGCCTGGAGGGTGTAGGAGAGGATGCAGCAGGCTGTTGGGGCAGTCCAGGGAGGAGGCAATGGTTGTTTAGGGGGGCTCAGATCACGGCAGGTGAGATGAAAGGAAGGGTCTGAATTTGGAGACAATTGCTCCATTGAGGTAAAGCTTTCAAGGTAAGCATTGCACATACACAATCACTTAGCAAGCCGACCCAACCAAGCAGCCCAGGGTGACAAAGCCACAAAGCCAAGGCCAACTCAAGTCTGAATCTCTCCAGACCTTTCACCGTTATCACCCCACTATGATGCCAGCAAGGCTTGCACTCCAACAAATCAAAAACAACTCGGAATGGAGCGTCCCCTCACCTCCCACTACACTGTGAGCCCCTCTGATCAGGCACTATCTCCATTTGTCTGGCATTTCCCACAGAGTAGATACTCCATCAATATTTACTTACATAAGTTAAATGCTCAAAAGTTGATTTTGACAAGATTTGATATGCTGTTCACTACAAAAATATTAGACTCTATATCTTAAAGGTATCTA
The DNA here is from genome assembly GCF_000001405.40 of Homo sapiens. Lineage (NCBI taxonomy): Eukaryota > Metazoa > Chordata > Mammalia > Primates > Hominidae > Homo > Homo sapiens. The sequence goes on from NC_000004.12 coordinate 9,837,279, forward strand.
TTGAACTGTGTGAGAATAATGGTTACACACTGAAATGTAATGAAACCAGCCTTTGGTTCTGCAAAATATTTCATTGTCAGAAAGTGTTTGTGTCACACACTCAGTTGGTCCTGCAGCTAACACCACTGGGAATCAGTTCACAGCAATTCTGAAGCCTGAACAGGGTTAGGTGATGATGTTTCACTTTCTGTGTCTTTCCTAGGTGTGTTTTTGGAAGCACCTGTGGATAACTCAGTACTTCTGAGGCTGGTACAATGGAATGCGGTACATCAATGTACAATGCAGTAGAACACTGACAAATTGCCTCCTGGTACATCTCTTTGTTTCTTCAGGGCTTGAGGCCATGACTTGTTTATTGGTTAAGACTCCTGATCCTAGCACAGTGCTGAACACATACCAGGTGCTCTGTAAGTGTTTGCAGGATTGATGAAAGAACAAATAATTAGGATGCCAGGGAATTCATGGTACATTGATATCAGATCCTCTCTTTCACTAGGCCTTCAGACCAAGCCCTAAGCAACCATGAGGAGCCTGCACAGCTCCACTGTACACAGGTGTGTTCACTCCCATTATCTCCCTTGATCTTCCCAACCAGAGAAGGTGGTAAAGCATAGTGGACTGGAGCTTGGGCTTTGGTGTTAGTAAGATCAGGTTTAAGTCCTATCTCAGCTAAATCTTTCTAGAACGGAATTCTCTCACCTGTAAAGTGAGTAGGAGCTTGCTACTGGGGATATTTGTGAGCATGAAATGAACTACTAAATGCAAACACTTAATATAAGTCTTGTACATGAAGGGCACTCAATAGGTGTTAGATACTATAATAATAATAATCAAGACTCCTCTCCATTATATCCCCCATTTTATGATGAGTTAGCTGAAGCTAAGAGAAGGGGAGTAATATATGCAAGGTTTCTTAGCAAGAAGTGATGGTGATGAAGAAGATGATGATGGTAATGATGATGACGATGGTGCTTCTGTAGCTGCTGGTGAAGATGATGATGGTAACTGTGGCAGGCATTATGAAAAGCATTTTACAAGGTCTCTACAAGGAGAACTACAAACCACTGCTTAAAGAAATCATAGATGGCACAAACAAATGGAAAAACATTCCATGCTCATTGATAAAAAGAACTAATATTGTTAAAATTGCCCACAGCAATTTATGAATTCAATGTTATTCCCATTAAACTACCATTGACATTCTTCACAGAGCCATAAAAAACCGTTTTAAAATTCATGTGGAACCAAAAAAGAGACTGAATAGCCAAGGCAATGCTAAGCAAAAAGAACAAAGCTGGGGGCATCATACTACCTGACTTAAAACAATACTACAGAATTATAGTAACCAAAACAGCATGGTACTGGTACAAGAACACATATATAGACCAATGGAACAAAATAGAGAACCCAGAAATAAGACTGTGCACCTACAACTATCTGATCTTTGACACACCTGACAAAAACAAGCAATGGGGAAAGGACTGTATTCAATAAATGTTGTTGGGATAAATGGCTAGCCATTTGCAGAAGATTGAAACTGGACTCCTCCCTTACACCATATACAAAAATACACTCAAGATGGATTAAATACTTAAATGTAAAACCCAAAACTATAGAAACCCTGGAAGACAACCTAGGCAATACCATTCGGCAAATAGGCACAGGCAAAGATTTCATGACGAGAACACCAAAAGCAATTGCAACAAAAGCAAAAATTGACAAATGGGATCCAATTAAACTAAAGAGCTTTTGCACAACAAAAGAAACTATCAACAGAGTAAACAGACAACCTATAGAATGGGAGAAATTTTTGCAAACTATGCATCTGACAAAGATCCAGCATCTATATGAAACTTAAACAAATTTACAAGAATAAAACCCATTAAAAAGCAGGCAAAGGACATGAACACTTTTCAAAAGAAGACATACATGTGGTTAAAAATCATATGAAGAAAAGCTCAATATCACTGATCATTAGAGAAATGTAAATCAAAACCACAATGAGATACCATCTCACAACAGTCATAATGCCTATTACTAAAAACTAAAAAAATAACAGATACTGGCTGGGTTGTGGAGAAAAAGGAACATTTATACACTGTTCGTGGGAGTGTAAATTAGTTCAACCATTATGGAAGACAGTGTGGCCGTTCCTCAAAGACCTAAAGACAGAACTACTATTCGACCCAGCAATCTCATTACCAGGTATATACCCAAAGGAATACAAATACAAAGATACATGCATGTGTATGTTCATTGCAGCATTATTCACAATAGGAAAGACATGGAATCATCCTAGATGCCCATCAATGATAGACTGGATAAAGAAAATGTGGTATATATACACTATGGAATACTATGCAGCCATAAAAAAAGAATGAGATCATGTCCTTTGCAGGGACATGGATGGAACTGGAGGCCATTATCCTAGCAAACTAAATGCAGGAACAGAAAACCAAATATTACATTTTCTCACTTATAAATGGGAGCTAAATGATGAGAACAAATGGACACATAGAGCGGAACAACACACACTGGGGCTTACTGGAGGGTGGGAAAACAGAGAGGATCAGGAAAAATATTAATAACAAATAGGTACTAGGCTTGGTACCTGGGTGATGAAATAATCTGCATAACAAACCCTTATGAAACACATTTACCTATGTAACAAACCTGCACATGTACCCCGAACTTAAAAATAAAAGTTTAAAAAAGCACTTTACATATATTATCTTATTTAATTATCACTATGATATGATAGTTACTGCTATTATTTTTCCATTTACTATACAAAGAAACTTAGGCTTGTGGAAGGTAAGTAATTTTTTCAAGAGCACATCACCAGTAAGCTGCAAACTCAGTGACTCTGGGTAACTCCACAGCATGAGTTTTAACTACTCCCTTGGGCCCCAAGCAAGTCTAAGATACTAACAAAACTTAAAATACTTGAAAAGAACTTAGCTATCTTCATAGTTTTATCTGAATGCTCTCCCAAACCCTGCAATTCATTTATCTCTCTTACTGAAGGCCTTGGTGGCCTGATTTCCTAAGAGTCTTTTAAGGTCTCTTTCTTCCAATCCAAGGTAAAATGAGAAAGAATGGGGTTTGATAAAGAAACAGAATGCATTTCAGGCAGGCCTTCTTTTATTTTTATTTTGTTTTTAAGAATGAAAATAGTTTTATTGTTTTTTTCTGACTTTCATGAATAATATTTGCTCATGTAAAATAATTTTTTAAAGCATGCAACATGACAAAGTATAAAAAGGAAACAAAAATTACCTCTAAGCCTTCCACCTAGAGATGATCTCCATTTGTATTTTGGTATTTAGCTTTGATGTTAAATGTTCTGTGAAGAAGATTGGGGCTACTTGGGATATTTGTCTTTTAGGTGTTTGCCTTTTTCTACCTAGAACCCTGAGGAAATTGTTCTTTATCTTTGAAATTCATTAACTATGATGTTTTTGGTTGTATTAGTCCATTTTTGCACTGCTATAAAGATATACCTGACACTGAGTAATTTATAAAGAATAAAGATTTAATTGACTCAGAGTTCCAAATGGCTGCGGAGGCCTCAGGAAACTTACAATCGTGGAGGAAGGCAAAGGGGAAGCAAGACACGTCTTACCATATCAAAAGAGGACAAAGAGAGAAAGCAGGGGAAACTTCCACTTTGAAACCATTAGATCTTGTGAGAACTCCCTCTCTATCACAAGAACAGCATGGGGGAACTACTCCCATGATTCAATCACCTCCTACAAGTCCCTCCCCTGACATGTGGGGATTACAATTCGAGATGAGATTTGGGTAGGGACACAGAACCAAATCATATTCTGGTGTTGATTTTCCTATAGCAACTTTTTGTAGAACATAGCATATCCCTTTGAGCTGCAGATCCACTCTTCATTTACTTCTTATGTTATACCTTTGAAAATGTCTTATTTTCTACATGTTGGATTCTTTGCTTTAGAGACACCCATTATCCTTGTGTTGGATCAGCTTTGTTTCCCTTTCCTATTGGCCATCTCGTGAGCGACTTTGTTCTCTTGTTTTCTGCATAGATATTGTATGCTCTGGGAAATCTCTCTCTTCCTTCTTCTCTCCCTTTCTTTCCTTTCTTCTTTGTTCTAGTTTCCCAGGTTGGCTCTTTCCCTGTGCATTGTCCTCCATTTCTCTTATCCTTATTGCAGTGAGCTACTTTGTCCAGATTGCCACCTGCTGTGATATGATGGAAGACCGATCTTTGACACCTTTTCTTTTTATCTTCTAGTTTATCTTGGCTTTCACATCACAGTTTGAGATCTGAGTACTAACTTTCAGTAAGTTTTCAATAAATTATGGGAAAATGTGGCAGGGGTGGGGTGGGTAGAAAAATTGGTTAGGGGTGTCAGCAGCCCTTTATGGAGGATCTGGGTTCTTCTCTCTCTCTTCTTAGATTTTGTAAAGTGACATGCACCGGAACCCATTCCATGTTGTCAGGGGCATATTCTACTCCAGTGGCCTTTAACTGGTTTCCTCAAATTAGGACATAGTCTTAGGAAGTGGCAATCCCCAGGACCCTTTGAGAGGGCTGTTTGGGGGGAAGGTATCTTCTTGATCTTTCTCTGCAATTGCTGACTCACCTGCTCACTCTGTCTCCCCCATAAAATCAAGGTGGTAGCAAGAGTTCTTAGGGTTCATAAAATCTCCTTCTCTGGTCAGTGCTGTTTTCTAAAGAGTGGAGACAGAATCTCCTATGCTAGAATTATCCTTTATTGGCTGCTAGTTTTCTAGGTATGTGATATATTTCCTTGTTTGGTTACTGCTGGCCATTTTTTTTCAATCTGTGTAAAGGTTTGCTTTGTTGGTATTGTTATTGATTTTAACGACTCTTTTCCTGCTCATTTTCTTAGGTATTTGCAGGAGGAAGGTTCTGTAACAAGTCTATACATGACCATATTTACCTAAAATCCCTTGATTATTAGCTTTTCAAAGGTAAGTTATTGGTATTTCTTGTGGTAGGTGTGTAGGTGCTGCTCATCTGAAAATCATATGCTTCAAAATTAAAGAGCAGGTGAAAACAATCCCTTCTTACAAAGGATTTTGCCAAGAGAGTGCCTTCTTTAAAATTCTGTGGTTTGCGACCTTTACTTTTGTGGACTTTTTTATTCATAAAAATACTTGGCACACCTTATCTCATCAAATCTTTCTTCATGACCAAACTATGAATTATGAATTGTAATTACAGATTCGGAAACTGAAATTTCAGGGAATAGAGGGCCTTGCCCAGTTACTAGTCCTGCTTGTGACTGGAAGAGATAGGACATGAAGTTGGGTCTTCTGACCATGTCCTTTTGATGGCACCTCTCATTTCAAAAGAACAGAAAGATGGGGAAGGTGTCATGTCTGTATCCAATGTGTCTTGCACAGGGTACTCTTCATATCACAGTACTCAATATATGTTGCCCAACAGTCCAATATAGCTTAAACTTTGAAAATTAGCCCCAAATAATTATGTATGTGGGTCCACTCATCTTGTTATCTTATTAGAGTCTTCTTTGCTATCTTGTTTGAGTATCCTATTCTGGATTGCCCCAGAAGCAGACCCTGAGAAGCAGTTTATGTGCCAGTTGATCCCAGGAAATGCAGGGAAGAGTGCAGGGAGGTGAAAGAGGTGGATAAGGGCTATGTTATTAGCAACACCACCATGGGAAGTCACATCTTAATCCAACTGGGACCCTCGGGAAACTGTGGAAAACACATCTCAGAGTTACCCAGTCTGAGGGGTAGGAGGGCTGGATTATTTATCCACCATGTCTCATCAGTCACTCATTGAGTGTTATACTTTGAGCAGTGCTTTTGGCCTGCCACAATGTGGGCTGAGAGAGCTGGGGAAGTCCTCAAGCAAAAAGCCACATACGGGAGCAGTTGTAGGTCTGTCTGAGAATCACAAAGGGGTGTGGACAAAGGGATTTGGGGAAGATAACAAGAATCTTTGCTATGCCATCTATTCCTTAAGTGTTTAACTTCTCATTGACTATTGCAATAATCAGGTAGCCATTACTAATAACAACAGTGAAGAAAATGTTTATATCATATACACCTAAGTACTAGTTTCAGGAGTTGGGGTATAACACTAGCATTAAGAACATGGGGTGGAGGTCCCACACTCTAATTAGGAGCATGGAGTGGGGGTCTTATGCTAAAGTTAGGGGCCTGGGGTGAGGGTGTAACACTATAGTTAGGGGCCTGGGTGGGGGTCTGATACTATAGTTTGGAGCATGCTGCTTGAATCAGACCATCTGGGTTAGAGTCTTGGCTCTGCCACTTGCAGGCTCTATGTGACCTTGGGCACATTAGTTCACCTTTCTGGCTCGACTTTCCTCCTCTGTAAAGCAAGGACAATGGAATTGATTTTATGGGGTCATTGCAAAGCTTAAAGGACCTAATGCAGAGAATACACATTGAATTGTGTCTGAGGTGTGATGAACACTCAATAGCTTTTAATGATGATTATTATTATTCAGAAGAAGCATGTTCCAGGAGAATATTCATCCTGTGATCTGAGTAAGCTTCCTGGCTCCTGGATCCCATGGACACTGAGCCACACTTGTTGACTAACTGTTTTTCCTGAGTGGGTGGTTTGCCCACCAATTTGCTTTGGCAGAAAAGGCCTTCCCCAATAACATATAGTGGCTCTTGCCTTAGTAGCACATGCACTGTGGAAAAGGAAACCAGATTTGAATCCATGCATTTGAGGCATAGAATCCTATGATACTGCCTAGGACTCTAGGTAAAATAAAAACTCTTATTTTACAGATTAGGAAAATGAAGCTCAGAGAGGGAAATGTATTTGCTCAAGGTAATGAAACTTGGTGGAAGAGCCAGATTTAGTAAAAAAAAAATAATAATAAAAAAAAAAAAAAGTCCTTCTGACTCCTTTCTTTACAGAATAACAAGAGGTGATATGGATTGAGGTATATGTCCCTCACCTTGAATTTATTTTATTCCCCTCTTTCTTTCTCTCCATCTCTCCTTCCCCCACTCATTTTTCTCCCTTCTTGCCAGGAAAATAGAAAATACGTGCTGATTAATTGAGTATTCTATGTAAAGAATTGCCAAGTAATTTAAAAAATTCTGTAGATATCCTAAAAATATTCCTAATAATTTTGAGACATTATCTACTTCATTAGTAATGCCATTATTTTTCCTTCAGAAATGTTCATAAGCAAAGAAATATTCTTCCCCCTCATTGGTAAATTCCTAATAGTTATACTTAGTTATGTTCAAGTGAAAAGGAATTGAATTATGCACGTTCTTCATATGAGACTTACTTTTTGAAAACTGACTTTTCCTCCAGATCTCTGTTCTCTGTGAATCTGTGCTACAGCTCAGCTGGTCTAACAACCAAGCTGTCTTGTGGCGACAGCGCCCTGGTGTCTACAGTGAGGAACAATCTGCTACCTTTCTTTCTCCAGAGATAAACCTGATATAAATTCCCATCACTTTACCTACTAGCTATGTGACCACATGTATCTATGGTTCTCAGTTTTCTCATCTATAAAATGAAGATAACAATAGTTCCTACTTAGTTTTGTTTTATGCATTAAATGAGACTGTGCTTAGCAATGCACACCTGTGGTATTTCTGTAAAGCCAGCTTTGTTATTTCTGCTTCCAGCAATGTTTCCTACATATTATCTTTAGGCCCTTTCTCCCTCCTCTCTATTTTCTAACTCTTGCCCACGTACCCTAGAAAAAGTTCAATTTTTTTTTTTGAGACAGAGTCTCGCTCTGTTGTCCAGGCTGGAGTGCAGTGGCGCAATCTCGGCTCACTGCAAGCTCCACCTCCTGGGTTCATGCCATTCTCCTGCCTCAGCCTCCTGAGTAGCTGGGACTACAGGTGCCCGCCACCACACATGGATAATTTTTTGTATTTTTAGTAGAGATGGGGTTTCACCGTGTTAGCCAGGATGGTCTTGATCTCCTGACCTCGTGATCCGCCTGCCTCGGCCCCCCAAAGTGCTGAGATTACAGGCGTGAGCCACCACGCCCAGCCAAAAGTTCAATTTTAATTTTATTTTTGAATAAAAGAAATAAAGGACAACTGCCCAAGCTTTTCCTTAATTCATATTTATTAAAATTATTCCAATGGAACCACGATCATCAATTTCTTTTTTTTTTTTTTTTTTTTGAGACGGAGTCTCGCTCTGTCGCCCAGGCTGGAGTGCAGTGGCGCGATCTCGGCTCACTGCAAGCTCCGCCTCCCGGGTTCACGCCATTCTCCTGCCTCAGCCTCCCGAGTAGCTGGGACTACAGGCGCCCGCTACCACGACCGGCTAATTTTTTTGTATTTTTAGTAGAGACGGGGTTTCACCGTGTTAGCCAGGATGGTCTCGATCTCCTGACCTCGTGATCCGCCCGCCTCGGCCTCCCAAAGTGCTGGGATTACAGGCGTGAGCCACCGCGCCCGGCCCTGATCATCAATTTCTAAAGCCCTTCAAAATGCCTATAAACCCCCTTAGAAATTTCCTTAAGTGTATCCATATGTCACTTAATCCTTTAAATAAATTTTCCGTTAAGCACCATGTTTAAAAATAGCTCTTTTCTTTTATTGAAATACAGTCATTTTGAAAACTCTTCACGGGCATTCTGTTTTGTTTATGTAAATAGACTTAATCTTGTTCATCCATTCGTTCATCCATTTCCATCCGACATTTACATGTCAAGTCCTGTGCTAGGCAATTGCAGACTCTACTAGTTGATGTAAGAACTATCTTGGGAGGCAGTTATTCTAACTCCATTTAACGGTGAAGAAGTTGCGACCCAGAGTAGAGAGTGACTTGCTCAAGGTGGCACGAGCAGTAAATGATAGACTTGGCTCCGAATCCAAGAGATCCGGACCCAGGTAAGAGACTCTCTCCTCTGCCCTTTCTCTAGGAGAGACATTTGAGAATTTGAAAATGCACAGGCTCCCAAACAGATGTGTTCCATGACAACAGCCAAGATATATCAGCAAATAGAACTCATGCCCTGCAGCATGTTGGAAAGGGTGGGACTGGAGTGCACACAGGAAGCTCCTCCCCTCACAGGATGTATGCCAGGTCTGTCCTCTCATTTCTGAGAGGAGCTTAGACACCCACCTGCTCAGGCATGTGCTTCCTAGGTAGGGAGGCAGGGGAGGCTGCTGAGCAACTAGGGATGAGGAGGTATAGCAGATGCTTCCTGGGGTCTCCTTGCAGAGCCTTGACTCACCCTGACTCTCAGTGGGCTCCTCTGGCTCTGCTGACCACCAGGTGAGAGGCTTTGGTCCTTCTCTAGACCTCAGTTTCCTTGCCTATAATCTCATTTAATGAGCTATTTAAAATCTCAGTAAAGTCGAAACCTTGATAGTGCTTACTTGGCACATGGCAAATTATTACCATGTGGAGGTAGCCAGGCTAGTAGCTAAGACCATTGGCACTAACTCTTGCCCAAGTAACCAGAGAAAGCTCAATTGTAATTTCATTTTTACATAAAAGAAATAAAGTGCACACCCAAACTTTTCCTTAATTCATATTTATTAAAATTATTCCAGTGGAACCACTATCATCAATTTCTAAAGCCCCCCCAAATGCCTAGAAATCTCCTTAAAAATCTCCACAAGTGTGTCCATATGTCACTTAATCCTTTAGATATATTTTCTCTTAGTCACCAGGTTTAACCCAGTTTAAATTCCCACCTCTCCACTTCCAAGCTGTGTAACCACAGGTAAGTCGTATCTCTGGCTCTCCATTTTCTTGTACATAAAATGAGGACAGAACAGGAGTTCCTGCCTCTTAGGTCTGTACTGGGGATTAAATGAGATAATGCTTAGCAACATGTTTAATGTGTGGCTGTATTAGTCCGTTTTCACACTGCTGTGAAGAACTACCTGAGACTGGGTAATTTATGAAGAAAAGAGGCTTAATTGACTTACAGTTCTGCACGGCTGGAGAAGCCTGAGGAAACTTATGATCATGGTGGAAAGGGAAGGGGAAGCAAGTATATCTTACTGTGGTGGAGCAGGGGAGAGAAAGTGAAGGCGGAGATGTCATACACTTTTAAACCATCAGATCTCATGAGAACTCACTCACTATCATGAGAACAGCATAAAAGAAACCACCTCCGTGATCCAATCACCTCCAACCAGGTCCCTCCCCTGACACATGGGAATTACAATTTGACATGAGATTTGGGTGGGCACACAGAGCCAAACCATATTGGCAAAGGCCCAATCAATATCAATGATTACGGCGATTCCTCTTCTGCCTGTCATTAATCCCCTCAGTGTTTGCTGGGAACGGACTACGTGCCAGGAACCCATGCTGGGGCATCAATGGTGGCAGAAAGCTGATTCAACTTCTGCCTTCAAGGAGCCGTCAGCATCTGAGGTCCACTGAGTCAAGAAAACCAGCCCTGAGCACAAGATTAACGTTCTCCTTCATTGGGCAGTAATAATAAAAATAGTTAAAATTTATTGAGCACTTTCTATGTGTTCTTGAAAGGTTTTCCCTTTGTAGGGTTTCTAATTATTTTAGAAAAGGAGTGATAAAATGTCATCAGATATGGCATCAGACATTGTTGATCTTGGGCAAGGAAGATCAAATTATCAGGAGTCACTGGTCTGAACTGAAAGAGCAAAGGAATTTTCCTCCTGTTGTATCCAGAGACACTGCAAAAGTTAGAGGCAGAAAATATCTTAGGGACCCCCTAGGCCAGCCCCAACCCAATATTTCAGGTGGGGAAACTGAGGCTAGAGAGGTGGAGTGAGACTCCCAGTGTTTCAGAGGAGTAGGATCCAGGACTTCCAAACTAGCCTGATTGACTGCTCTACTGTGTCCTCCCTAGGAATTCCTGGTGCCCACCCATGCTTAGACTGTTCCCACTGCTGGAAATGCCCCCGAGCTTTGGAAAGATTTCAAGGCACACAAGGATATGGGTAATTTACTTCACATGAGCTTGGCTCCCAGTATAGGATAAAGAAGCAATGGCGCCTTTTTCCCCTTCTACACAGCCCAACCAGGTAGCCAGCATAAGTAACTACACAAGCCTGTGGTCTCACCACATGGGATGTGTTTTCTAAAAAAAAAAAAAAAAAATGGAAAGGAGACTTCTCCAGGAATGGGCATGAGACATGAGCATGTATTAATTAGGCAAAAGGGGCAGGTCCCTCCACCACTACCTTATTCTCGATCACAGCCTCATGTTTATTTATTTCCATGGATTGCATCATCATCTTTGCATTTATCTTTTGCTTGTTCATTGTGCTCCTCGAGGGCAGGCATCTTGTCTCTTTTTCTCCCTGTTGCTTGCCCCATAGCCAATCATGTCTGTCTCTTGGGTGCTTGACAGATGTTTGCTGAATGTGCAGATGAAGGGAAAATGATGACAGTTAAACAGATCTTTTAAGGATGAGTGGAAATTCTTTTTTTTTTTTTTTTTGGAGACCGAGTCTCACTCTGTCACCCAGGCTGGAGTGGAGTGCAGTGGCACGATCTCGGCTCACTGCAAGCTCCACCTCCCAGTTTCACGCCATTCTCCTGCCTCAGCCTCCCGAGTAGCTGGGACTACAGGCACCCGCTACCACGCCCGGCTAATTTTGTATTTTTAGTAAAGCCGGGGTTTCTGCATGTTGGTCAGGCTGGTCTCAATCTCCTGACCTTGTGATCCGCCTGCCTCGGCCTCCCGAAGTGCTGGGATTACAGGCGTGAGCCACCGTGCCTGGCCAGAAATTCTTTATGCAGTTGAGGAGATGGAGGGCTAACCAGGGTGCACGTTCAGTGAGAGCCTGGGCTGCGATGGGGAGGTGGGACAGGAGAGGCATCTTGTGAGGGGCCAGCAGGGGTGGATTCTAGGGTGTCTAGGAGGCCATGCTTGGGGCAGGAGTTTGCAGGCAGAAGCTGTAGGCCTGTTGGAGGGTTTTAGGAGGAGAAAGACAGGATCAGATTTGTGATTTGAAAAGTGTCCCCGATGCAGAGTGGGATATGGGTCAGCAGAAGGAGGGTGTGGAGGCAGACTGGGACACTGGTTAGGAAACAGTAGTTCAGAACTCCAGAAACAAAAGGGAAGTTGTTTGTGAAAAGAAGTTCGTGCCTCTCAGCATTGTTAACAACCATACATGGTGATTCTAACTTGAATTTGTGTAGGATCAGTCATGAGACTTAGATTGTTTCCTGAACTCTGCTCTAGGGAAATGTAAAGTGGTTCTTCCTCTTGACTATCAATTAGCATGTTTTGACATAGACTTTCTTCCAGTGGGATTTAAAATCTGTGTTCTTTAGTTGAATCAATAGGCTTGAACATTACCATCCTGGACTGTCTGGGGGAGAGGATGTTTTTGAAGAGTCTCAGGAGCAAATGGGCCATGAAAGGCCAAATTGACTGTTAATTCTAATTAAAAAGAGGAAGCTGCTACAGCATAATGAGTGTGGACAGTTAATTAGCAGGTAAGAAAACACAATTAAAGTCTCTCAGAACAAACCTACAGTGATGTGTTCTGTTTGGTGGTGAGTTAAGCACACTCAGATGACCTGTTTCTAAGCTTGGTGAGGAGTTTCTGTTTCAATAGAGACGGAGGTCAGCAGTCTTGCTGGTAGGTTCTCATGGGCGCATTTTAACATTCTTCCTTTTTGGATGAGCATGGTGCTGGGAGGGGGTGTTGAAATAGAAAAGCAAGAGTGACTAGATAAAAGATGGTCGAGCTAGGAGGAACATCTCCCACCGAGAGACCGGGACATCAGGAAGACTGGCACACTCAAGCCACATCTTCAGAGAGAAGGCATTGAGAGTGGATAGAGGGAGGATACAGATGCTGGGCTGAAGCAGGGAAGTCTGGGAACCCTGCACGGGGCTGCTGAGCAATGGGACTTGTTTCCTGGCCCCCAGCGACTCCTGGGGAAGGGATGAGTTGAACAGGTGAGGAATGGCCCGCTCTCACCATGGACCTCCAGAATCCTAGCAGCAGGATACCCCACAACCCCCACAGACACTTGAGACGACAGGGAGAACTGCTTAGACAGGTGGCAGGGGCAGGACTCCAGCCTGTGTGTTGCCCAGAGGGTTTGGTGTGGGAACATCTGCAGTGAAGCATGGCCAGTGATGCCCATTCCCCAAGGCTTGCCATGCTCCTCTAGGAGTGTGACTGTCAGACCTGGACAGAGCAGGGTGGCCTTGCCTGTGGGATGAGGCCGGTACATTCTGAATGCCCCCCATCTGCTGGACTCTCTTGGGGCCCCAGCCTGGTTGTGCCCAGAGGGCAGTATCAGATGCCCAACCAGGGTGCTTCCCTGGGACCCTCTTCATGGCTTCTTTGCCAGCAGACCATGTCAGACCATCGAAGAACTCTAGCAGACTGGCTCCCACTGGTGTGCACCAGCTCACCCACAGCCTCCCCTCACCGCAGCCTCCCTTCACTGGTGCACACTCATTCGTGCCCCACTCCCCCACCATCCCACATCGCTTTGCTGGTGCACTGTGAGTGGACCTTGCCTCCCTCTCTTCCAGCACATGTGTGTGCATTCATCACATAATGCCACCACTGCTGGCATGTGCGTACCCTGCTGTGCCCCCTACTGATACATGGGTACCCTACCATGCTGCCACTGCCAGCATGAATGCACAAATGGACACTGGCAACCCTGCCCCTGCCAGTGCCCCACCCCCACTGGTGCAAGGGCTAGCACAGGTGCTGGCAACCCCACCCCCACCAGTGTCCCACCCCTGCTGTGCTGCTGCCATTCATCACTGGTGCAGCTATATGCAGGAACACCACCACCCAACTCCTGCTGGTGCCCCACCCCAGGCAATGCACGTGCACCCCACTGCACTGTTGCAGCTGCTGGCACACTTGAGCGAGCATGGATCCCACTGCCGAAGTGCTTTGGCTGGCACACCCATCGAAGTGTTGTGGTCATTGGGCTGGGAACACCTCGGCCCATTCAGCGTAGCAGGTTCCTAACCTTGAGGGGCCAGAGAACAAATCTAGGGGCCCAATGTCAGTCCCCCAGAGCCAGAGCATGAAACCCAGGAGTGCTGAGCTGAGCGTTGGCTCCCTAAAATCTTCCTGAAATGAAGACAGTCAACTGAACCCACCTCATGCTGCAATCAAACCCTCAAGGGCATCAAAGAAGATAAAAGCAAAAAACCCTATCTAAAGGTCAGTAGCCTCAAAGATTGTAGGATCATCAGTCAACACAGATGAGAAAGAACCAGTGCAAGAACTCTGGCAACTCAAAAAGCCAGAGTATCTTTTTATCTCCAAATGACCACACTAATTCCCCAGCAATGGTTCTTAACCATAGTGAAATGACTGAAATGACAGACATAGAATTCAGAATATGGATAGGAATGAAGATCACTGAGATTTGGGAGAGTCAAAACCCCCAAGGAATCTAAGGAATTCAATAAAACAATACAGGAGGTGAAAGACGAAATGGCCATTTTAAGAAAAAACCAAACTTATCTGATAGAGCTGAAAAACTCACTTCAAGAATGCATAATATAATCACAAGTACTAGCAGCAGAATAGCCTAGGATGAAGAAAAAATCTCAGAGCTTGAAGACTGGTTCTCAGAAATAATTCAGTCAACAAAAATAAAGAAAAAAGAATAAAAAGAATGAACAAAATCTCTGAGCAATATGAGATTATGTAAAGAGAGCAAATCTATGACTCACTGGTGTCTCTGAAAGCAAGGGAGAGAAAGCAAGCAACTTGGAAAACATATTTGAGGATATTGTCCATGAAAATTTCCTTCAGGAAATGCAGGGAACCCCTGTGAGATACTATATAAGATGAACATCCCCAAGATACATAGTCCGTCAGATTCTCCAAGGTCAAAATGAAAGAAAAAATGTTAAAGGCAGCTAGAGAGAAGAGGCAGGACACCAACAAAGTGAACCCCGTCAGGCTAACAGTGGATGTTTCAGCAGAAACCCTATAAGCCAGAAGATACTGGGGGCCTATATCCAGTATTCTTTTTTTTTTTTTTTTGAGACGGAGTCTCGCTCTGTCGCCCAGGCCGGACTGCGGACTGCAGTGGCGCAATCTCGGCTCACTGCAAGCTCCGCTTCCCGGGTTCACGCCATTCTCCTGCCTCAGCCTCCCGAGTAGCTGGGACTACAGGCGCCCGCCACCGCGCCCGGCTAATTTTTTGTATTTTTAGTAGAGACGGGGTTTCACCTTGTTAGCCAGGATGGTCTCGATCTCCTGACCTCATGATCCACCCGCCTCGGCCTCCCAAAGTGCTGGGATTACAGGCATGAGCCACCGCGCCCGGCCTCCAGTATTCTTAAAGAAAAGAAATTCCAATCAAGAATTTTGTAGCCAGTCAAACTAAGCTTCATAAACAAAGGAGAAATAAGATGCTTTTCAGATAAGCAAGTGCTAAGGGAATTCATTACCACCAGATCTGCCATATAAAAGTTCCTGAAGGGAGTGCTAAATTTGGAAAGGAAAGACCATTACTGGCCACTACAAAAACACACTTAAGTACACAGACCAGTGACACTATAAAACAACTACACAATCAAGTCTGCATAATAACCAGTTAACAATATGATGACAGAATCAAATCTGCACATACCAGTATTAACCTTGAATGTAAATGGGCAAAATGCCCCAATTAAAAGGCACAGAGGCCAGGTGTGGTGGCTCATGCTTGTAATCCCAGCACTTTGGGAGGCCAAGGTGTGCGGATCACTTAAGGTCAGCCTGGCTAACATGGTGATACCCCATTTCTACTAAAATACAAAAATTAGCTGGATGTGGTGGTGTGCACCTGTAATCCCAGCTACTCAGGAGGCTGAGGCAGGAGAATCACTTGAACCTGGGAGGCAGAGATTGCAGTGAGCCGAGATTGTGCCACTGCACTCCAGCCTGGGCAACAGAGTGAAACTCCCTCTCAAAAAAAAAAAAAAAAAAGGCACAGAGTGACAAGCTTGATAAAGAAGCCAGACCCAACTATATGCTGTCTTCAAGACACCCATCTCACATTCAGTGACACCCGTAGACTCAAAGTAAAAGGATAGAGAAAAATTTACCAAGCGAATGGAAAACAGAAAAAAATCAGGGGGTTGCTATTCTAATTTCAGACAAAACAGATTTTAAACCAACAAAAATAAATAACACAAAGAAGTGCATTACATAATGATAAATGACTCAATTCAACAAGAATGCCTAACTATGCTAGATATATATGTACCCAACATGGAGTACCCAGATTCATAAAACAAGTTCTTAGAGACCTACAAGGAGACATAGGTAACCACACAATAATAGCAGGAGATGTCAACACCCCACTGACAGTATCAGACAGATGATCAGGGCAGAAAACCAGCAAAGATATTTGGGACCTGAACTTAACACTGACCAAATGAACCTGACAGACATCTACTGAATTCTCTACCCAAAAACAACAGAATAGACATTCTTCTCATTTGCACATACTCCAAAATTGACCACACAATTGGCCATAAAACAATATTCAGCAAATTGACAAAAAAATAAAATTATACCAACCACACCCTTGGAACACAGTGCAATAAAAATAGAAATCTTTACTAAGAAGATCACTGAAAACCATACAATTACATGAAAATTAAACAACATGCTCCTGAATGACTTTTGGGTGAATGATGAAATTAAGGCAAAAATAAAGAAATTGATTGAAATTAATGAGAACAAATATATAACATACCAGAATCTCTGGGACACAGCTAAAACAGTGTTAAAAAAAAAAGTTCACAGTGCTAAATGCCCACATCAAAAAGTTAGAAAGATCTCAAATTAACAACCTAACATCACACCTAGAGGAATTAGCAAACCAATCCCAAAGCTAGCAGAAGATAAGAAATAACCAAAATCAGAGCTGAACTGAAAGAAATTGAGACACACACACAAAAAATACAAAATATCAATGAATTCAAGAGTTGATTTTTTTAAAGAATAAATAAGACTGATAGGCCACTATCTAAACTAATTAAAAAAGAGAGAAAATTCAAATACACAATCAGAAGTGACAAAGAGACATTATCACTGACCCCACAGAAATACAAAAAGCCCTCAGAGACTATTATGAACACTGAGAAGAAACTGATAAATTCCTGGAAATATACAACCTCCCAAGATTGAACAAGGAAGAAACTGGAACCCTGAACAGACCAATAACAAGTTCTGAAACTGAATTGGCAGTTAAAAGCCTACCAACCAGGAAAAGCTCAGGAACAGATGGATTCACAACTGAATTCTACCAGATGCATAAAGAAGAGCTGGTACTATTCCTACCAAAACTATTCCAAAAAATTGAGAAGGATGGAATCCCCTTCAACTCATCCTATGAGGCCAGCATGATCCTGATACCAAAACCTGGCAGAGACACATACATACACAAAATAAAACTTCAGGCCAATATCCTTGATGAATATAGATGCAAAAATCCTCAACAAAATCCTAGCAAACCAAATCCAGCAGCACATCCAATAGCTTATCCACTATGAGGAAGTAGGCTTTATCCCTGGGATGTAAGATTCCTTTGACATATACAAATCAATAGATGTGACTCATCACATAAACAAAAGTAAAAACAGAAATTACATGATCATGTCAATAGATGCAGAAACGGCTCTGATAAAACTAATATCCCTTCATGTTAAAAACCCTCCACAACTTGGCATTGAAGGAACATACCCCAAAATAATAACAGCCATCTATGACAGACCCAGAGCCAACATCATACTGAGTGGGCAAAAGCTGGAAACATCCCCCTTGAGAACTAGAACCAGATAAGGCTGCCCACTCTTACCACTCCTATTCAACATAGTACTGGAAGTCCCAACTGGAACAATCAGGCAAGAGAAAGAAATAAAAGATGTCCAAATAGGAAGAGAAAAAGTCAAACTATCTCTGTTTGCAGACAATATAATTTTATACTTAGAAAACCCCATAGTCTCTGCCAAAAAGCTTCGTGATCTGATAAACAACTTTAACAAAGTTTCAAGATACAAAATTAATGCACTAAAACCAGTAGCATTTCTGTACACCAACAACATCCAAGCTGAGCACAAGATCAAGAATTCAGTCCCATTAACAATAACCACACAAGCATACAAAATAAAATTCCTAGGAATAGAGCTAACCAGGGAGGCGAAAGATCCCTACAATGAAAATTACAAAACACTGCTGAAAGAAATCAGAGATGACACAAACAAATAGAAAAACATTCCATGCTTATGATAGGAAAAATCAGTATTGTTAAAATGGTCATAGTGCCCAAAGCAATTTACAGATTCAATGCAATTCATGTCAAACTATCAATGACATCCTTCACAGAATTAGAAAAAACTATTATAAAATTAATATAAAACCCAAAAAGAGCCCACATAGCCCAGATCCTAAGCAAAAAGAACAAAGCAGGAGACAACATGGTACCTGACTTCAAACTATACTACAAGGCTACAGTAACCAAAACAGCATGGTAGTGGTACAAAAACAGACACATATACCAATGGAACAGAAAAGAGAGTCCAGAAAAAAGGCCACCTACCTACAACCATCTGATCTTCAACAAGCTGACAAAAACAAGCAATGGGGAAAGGACTTCCTGTGCAATAAATGGTGCTGGGATAATTGGGGAACTATATGCAGAAGACTGAAACTGGACCTCTTCCTTACACAACGTACAAAAATCAACTCAATATGGATCAAAGACTTAAATGTAAAAACCTAAATCTATAAAAACCCTGGATGAAAACTTAGGAAATATCCATTCTGGACATAGGCCCTGGCACAGATTTTATGACAAAGACGCCAAAAGCCATTGCAACAAAAACAAAAATTGACTAATGGAACCTAATTAAACTAAAGAGCTTCTGCACAGCAAAAGAAACTATAAACAGAGTAAACATACAACCCAGAGTATGGGAGAAAATATTTGCAAACTATGCATCTGACAAAGGTCTAATATCCAGAACCTGTAAGGAACTTAAGCAAATCAACAAGCAAAAAGCAAATAACCCCATTTAAAAATGGGCAAAGGACATGAACAGACACTTTTTAAAAGAAGACATACACGCAACCAACAATAATAATAAAAAATGCTCAATATCGGTAATCATTAGAGAAATGCAAATCAAAACCACAATGAGATATCATCTCACATCAGTCAGAATGGCTATTCTTAAAAAGTAAAAAAATAACAGATGCTGGCAAGGTTGCAGAGAAAAGAGAAAGCTTATATACTGTTGGTGGGAATGTGTTAGTTCAGCCACTGTGGAAGCAGTTTGGCAATTTCTCGAAGAACTTAAAACAGAAATACCATGTGATCCAGCAGTCCCATTATTGGGTACACACTCAAAGGAATATAAATTGTTCTACCATAAAGACAGATGCATGTGTATGTTCATTGCAGCAACTATTCACAATAGCAAAGACATAGAGTCAACATAAATGCCCATTAACAGTAGACTGGATAAAGAAAATGTGGTACATATACACCATGGAATACTATGCAGCCATAAAAAAGAAAAAGATCACGTCTTTTGCAGCAACATGGATGGAGCTGGAGGCCATTATCCTAAGTCAACTAATATAGAAACAGAAAACCAAATACCACATGTTCTCAATTATAAGTGGGAGCTAAACATTGAGCACACATGGACACAAGGGAACAATGACACTGTGGCCTACTTGAGGGTGAGGGATGGGAGGAGGGTGAGGACTGAAAAAACAGGTACTATACTATGCTTATTACCTGGGTGATGAAATAATCTGTATATCAAACTCCTGTAACATGCAATTTACCTATATATCAAACCTGCACATGTACCCCTGAAACGAAAAGTTAAAAAAAGAAAAAAGCGTTCTCTGTATGGGTGCTGGAGTTATAAGGCTGCCTGAAATAGGGTAAAAGGATCCAGGGGACATAGCTCAGAACCTGGGTTCCCACTCATTCCTGTGATTTGAGGCCATCGCACCCTCAGTCTAGGTCTTGGTTTTCCCAGCTGCAGAGCATTTGTTTGTTCATTCAGTGAACAAAAAGTACTGAGTTCCTGCTTGGAGGGGGCGCAGGGTTGGATACTGAAGATAGAGCCCGGAAGGAGCCACAGTCCCTGGGCCAGACAGTGTCTCAAATCCTGTGCAGTTCTGTTGTTCTCCGGCTCAGACCCTGGAATGCTGGGGCAGATGTGGATGACTGGTTCTTTACTCCATCTTCCCTCACCATCTCAGGCTGTCCCACATCCACCTGCCGGCTGGCATCCCTGGCAGAGGCTTTTGTTGGCTTTTCACAAGCCAGAAGGGCTGTGGAACTGACAGAGCTTCTCTCCAGGGTGGACTGAAGAGAGCTGATGCCCTAATGCTTCCTGTGAGATGATGCAGTTGTCTTCCCCCACAGTCTCCCAGAGTTCCCCAGAGAATCACACTGCAGGTGCCCACAGCAGGAACTTGCCCTGAAATGCACTCCATGGCTGCCTGCCTGGCCCTGCCTGACTCAGTGCCCACTCCCTCCTGATGTCTCCTGGGATCACCCCCCAAACAGACTGCCTTCACTGGAATCTGTGTCTTAGGGTCTCTTGGAGAAACACTTCCCAGCTTTTCAAAGTCCTGCTATCCCCTCCACTGAAGCCTACTCTGGCATGCCCTTTACTGAACTCCTATTGGTTTCTAATCTACACTGCCACGGTACCTAGGGGAACAAACTTATTGTCCCAGCTTTAAAAATAGGATGTCCCATGTCTCAGAAACCCCTTCAGAGTCAGCAAATCAGAGCAGTTGGTCACTCTAATAGTATCACAATTTAATTATTTCTTGATTACCTAAAAGGGTTTATTGTATTATGATATGGGGAGAAAGAACATACTGAGTTGTAAATGGTTCTGAGACACTAAATTGATCTGCATAGGGAAGCACTGAGTAGAAAGAGGGGAGGTGAAAGATGGAAAGGTACAGAGGTTCAAATATGAAGTAGACCTGGGGGCATGGAGTGGGCAGGAGCTGGACTTTGGCGGTAGCTTGATACTTTAGCAATGCTGAGGTTAATTGATGCTGTGAACGCATTTCAACATTAGTGTCTTTGTGACTGTCTAGGGTTCTCTTTGTTAATGGACTGATGTTTCCATGCATGCACTTTATCAAGGCTGCTATGGTGGAAAGGGGTGGCATTTCCATGTTTATCAGGGTTTTTCCTTTGCATTCCCTTCATTCTCCCTCATAAAAGTCCTTGAGTGTGGCACTGTCCATTTTATTGATGAGTAGAGACACTATGCTGTTTACTTTCCAAAATCAGACATTTTGAGAGTGTAAGGGGGGATGGTATTAATAGTCACGTCAGGATGTCAGGCATAATCTGAGAGTGTCCCCGGCAAACTACTGATGAGGGCACAAGGTAAAAACTCTTAGCTAAGGTCCCACAGCTAGTAAGGCAGAGGCAGAGGTGGAATGATGGTTAATATTGAGTGTCAACTTGATTGGATTGAAGGATGCAAAGTATTGTTCCTGGGTGTGTCCGTGAGGGTGTTGCCAAAGGAGATTAACATTTGAGTCAGTGGACTGGGAGAGGCAGACCCACCCTCCATCTGGTTGGGCACCATCTAATCAGGTGCCAGTGCTGCTAGAATAAAGCAGGCAGGAGAAGATGGAAGCACTGACTTGCTGAGTCTTCCAGCCTTCATCTTTCTCCTGGGCTGGATGCTTCCTGCCCTTGAACATCAGACTCCGAGCTCTTCAGCTTTTGGACTCTTGGACTTACACCAGTGGTTTGCCAGGGACTCTCGGGTCTTTGGCCACTGACTGAAGGGTGCACTGTCGGCTTCCCTATTTTTGAGGTTTTGGACTTGAACTGATCCACCACTGGCTTCCTTGTGCCTCAACTTGCAAATGGTCTATCGTGGGACTTTACTTTGTGATCATGTGAGTCAATTCTCCTTAATAAACTTGTTTTCATATATACATCTATCCTATTAGCTTTGTCCCTCTAAAGAACCCTATTATAGGTGGGATTTGAAGCCAGGTCTATTGGGCTGTCCACGGGGTCCTCTCCGTCAAGGTGAACACCTTAAACAAACACATCTACCATGTGCTGACCACCTACAGTGTGGCCTTCCATGCAGAGCTATATTGACTGGTAAGACTCTTTCTAGGTAGGTGGTCTTATCTCCAATTTACAAATGAGGAAACTAAGGCCCAGAAAGATGGATTGCCTAAAGTCATTCACCTAATTTGTGGTAGAGATAGAAATTGATAAATGGTTTTTCTCCTATACCAGCCATGAGGCCAAGTGAGGGAGCATAGAGACTGAAGCCCTTGTTCAGATTAAAACAGGAGATCCTGAGGGTGACAGAACAGGTGAAGTGAGGTCTGCTTTAAGCACTCTGTGCACAAGTGACCTCATCAGCCTTTGCTACTGTTTCTGACTTCTCTTGGAAGTTTCTTCCAGTGAAAAGTGAGCTTATTTTTCTTTTCCAGGTGTCTTCCTCCAACTTGCACAGCCTGCAGCTCCTATTGCTGTCACATATATTAATGCTGATATCAAAGCCCCTGCTGGAAGTCAGGGAGCGCCTGCTCTCTTTGCAGAACCGGCAGCCCCAGGTGTGCTATCTTTCCCCAGTTGGCTGTGACAAGCGGCCTCTGCAAGGCCGAACCATTTCCAGATCCAAAAGCTGAATACCCCTTGGCTGCACTCAGCCCCCAGCTCCTGAGGGTGTGGAGAGCAAAAACCTTCCTGCTGAGCCCTGACAGCTGCTCAGTCTGGGCCCCTTTCCACAGCCTGGCTTCTTCCTGCCAGGAGAAATTCATCTTTTCACAGCAGAGGGAGTGAGAACAGCCCGCAGTTCCTGTTGGATGGCACCTGCTATCTCTCTGCCCCCTGGGTAGTACCAGGCGTTCTCTGTGGGAAATGCCCTTCCTCCTCCTTCTCCTCCCTCCCTGTCTGCCTGAAAAATGACTCAACTTTTTCAATTCACTGCACATCACTACCTCTTCCCTGCCTTCGAGGCTGTTGGGGTCTTCCTCTGTTCCCACAGCCCCTGCCCAGCCATCTGGCACAGCCTCCTGCACACAGAAGGACACTACTTGTCATCCTTATGGATTCATGAGTGGTGAAGCGACAGACCTGGCACAGATGAGGTACTTTGTGAGGGTGTTGAACGAAGATGGGGAGATGAATGGATGGGTGTGGGAACACATGAACAGGAGTATTTAGAAATGAATTAACGACTGACCCAGTAAACAAACGAACAGGTGAAGGAACAAGAACTGATGAGCTGAAACCCTGCCTTCCCCAGGACAGGACTGACTTTGAACTTGGCTTCAAGACTCATTCATTTCGTCCCTTTAGGAGTGACGTTGTCCCTTTCAGGGCCCCACCTTTCCCATCTAGGGCTGGACTTCAGGCCAGCCTGGCTCCCTTGTGCACCTCAATTGATGGGCAACTCATTCCTTTTTGACAGAGAGTCCAGTTTTCTGATGGAGCCCAAATATGAGTATCGATTGTCTCCCAGGCCCCTGATCAGATATCACAACCCCGGGAAGTCCTCCCTGAAGCCTGAGGCTGGTGCATGCATCTTCGGAGCTGCGATCATGAATGCTGAATGACACACGGGGCCTTTGTACCAGCTGCTCCTCTGCCTGGATTGCTCATGCGCAGATGTGTGCGTGGCTGCCTCCTTCTTGTCTCCTGATCTCTGCTCCATGATCAACTCTGTGGAGAGGCCTTCCCTGGCTACCCTAAGATAGCATTTTCTCCATCATTCTCCTCCTCATTTTGCATGACTTCTCTTCTGAGCACTTATTGCTACACGTATTAGTCTGTTCTCCCATTGCTATAAAGAAATACCTGAGACTGGTAATTTATATTAAAAAAGAGGTTTAATTGGCTCACGGTTCCAACAGGTTGTACAGGAAGCATGATGCTGGCATCTACTCAGCTTCTGCGGAGGTCTCAGGAATCTTCCAATCACGGTGGAAGGCAAAGGAGAAGTGAGGTGTCTCACATGATGGCAGCAGGAACAAAATAGAGGGTGGGGAGGTACCACACACTTTTAAACGATGGGATCTCATCGTTTAAAATGATGATAGTGAGAACTCACTATCACAAGGACAGTACAGGGGGGATGGTGCTAAACCATTCATGAGAAATCCAACCCCATGATCCAATCACCTCCCACCATGCCCCACCTCCAACACTGGGGATTACAATTCAACATGAGATTTGGTGGGGACACAACTCCAAACCATATAATTACATTATATTTTCATGTGTTTACAATAAGCCTCCCTCAACAGAATGTCCATTCCTTGAGGGCAGGGATTTTGTTTGTTTGTTTTGCTCCATGCACTGCTCCAATTTCTACATTATCTGCCATATAGGGGCTCCTCTTGGCATATGGGGCCTCTATACCAATAGTTTCTGGTATAGGGGCTCAATAAATATGGATAAGTGAATGAATGAATGAATGAATGAATGAATGAATCTGGCTGTGTCCTCATCCGGAGAGTCTTATTCATCTTTGCATCCCCTGGGTCTAGTATGGAACCAAGTATGTCGTAGGTGCTTAAAAACTACTTGCTGAATTAATGATTAAAGTACAGACACATCTTTCACATTTTGATCAAATCCTTCCTCTGCTTCAAATCTCCAATGGCTTCCCATGGTATTGAAAGTAAAATTCCTGATTCCTTACCACGGAGTTATGAGATCTTCTATCCTCCGGCCCCTACTATCCTTCCAACTTCATCTCTTTCCTTTGCTAATATGGAACATCATAATATTCCACCCCAAAACACGAAGAACTGTTGAGCTGAAGGCATGTAAAAAGAAGTAGATGCAGGAAGGCTCTCTGCCTTCCCTCTATTTGCCTAAAAGCAGGACATAGATTTACAAAGACAAGAGATATTCTGCTCCCACCCTCTTCTGCCAGGGAGAACAAAGGGTAACCAGTGAAGACAACTTTGGATGCTTATAGGTCTGGAGCTTACACCAGAGGAACCTACATGAACCAGTTTCCCTAACCCACCTCGATCTGCTATTTATTTGTTTTCCCCCAAGTTGCTGTCACTAGAGACTCAACGTTCTTTTCCTTTGTCTTGTTGCTTCTTTCAACATTTACTGTTCTTTCTCGAAGCTGGAATTTAAAGCCACTTCTTTGAGCACTACTCATTCCCTGGGTGTCTCCCATGTATGTGTGAAATATACATGTTAATAAACTTCTGTATTTTTTTTCTTGTGTTAGTCTGTCTTTTGTTACAGGGGTCTGTTTCAACTAAGGACCTATGAGGGTTGAAGAAAATATGTTTTTTATCCCCTATGCTAACAACACTGCAGCCTTTCCTGAGCCTTCCAAGCGAGTTCCTGCCTCAGGACCTTTGCACATTCTTCCCCTACATCCTCACAGGGTGGCTTCCTTCTCAGACCCAAGTCCTGCCTGCAGCGCTAGCTTCTCACGGAGGCCCTTCCTGTCCATATCACAAAAGCAGTCCTCTCCTCCCATCACCCTAGCCCCTTACCCTGTTTATTCCTTCCTAGCACTGGTCAGTAATCCTCAATATTTATTAGCTTACCAGTAATGGCTCTATAAATATACATTTGTAGTGGCCTGTGTCATTCGCTGGGGTATCTCCTGTGCCTGGATCAACATAAGAAGTGCTTGATTAATACTTTTAATTAACAAATGCTCTTGCCTATCAACCTTGCTTTTCCAGCTCCTTTCTATTGCATTGGACAATAAAGCACAATGAATGTGCCCCGCCCAGGGAGGCCAACTGTTATCAGTGTACATGTCTTCTTGATTGGATTATGAGCTTGACGGGGACCGAGAAATGTCTCTGACTCTACTTCTGTGTCATCAGTACAGAGTGTAGTACCTGATACATAGTATGTGTTCAAAAATTTTTTTTGTTTTGAGACAGGGCCTTACTCTGTCACCCGGGCTGGAGTGCAGTGGCATGAACATGGCTCACTCTAACCTCGATCTCCTGGGCTCAAGCCATCCTCCCACCTCAGCCTCCCAAGTAGCTGGGACTACAGGCATGTGCCACCATGCCTGGCTAATTTTTAAATTTTTTGTAGAGATGAGGTCTTGCTACATTGCCTAGGTTGGTCTTGAACTCATGAGCTCAAGAAATCCTTCTGCTTCAGCCTCCCAAAGTATCGGAGCCACTGTGCCCAGCTAAAATCTTTTGTTGAATGAATTAATTTGGGGCATGACTGAGAATATATAAAAGGGGAAAAATGACTGTGAATGATCAGCATAT
This sequence comes from Homo sapiens, assembly GCF_000001405.40. Lineage (NCBI taxonomy): Eukaryota > Metazoa > Chordata > Mammalia > Primates > Hominidae > Homo > Homo sapiens. Next base: position 9,863,517 of record NC_000004.12, read on the forward strand.
ATTTCAGAAAATCCTGCATTAAAGCACATGCATTAGTTTCCTCATTAAGACAGCCTCCCCATAGGCCCTCTTAAGGCATAATTCTGACAAGCTTGATTTTATATTTTAATCTATATTTTGTTTCAATAAAGAAGTTGGGCATGCAAAGGGAAGCACCTAAGGGGTGAGAGAATGCATGTCCGCTGACCACTCTTTTGCTCGCTAGACCTGATGAATGAGACTTCACAGTGGGGTGAGAATTTCCATCAGAGGCTATGTGGGAACAAGAGTGACTTTACTTTAAATGCTAATCCACCATGTAACTTCTGACTAACCCCACGTCCAGGAATGCCTCCAAGAAGTCGAGTTGATGTATTGCTCTTTATGTAGAAACATCTATTCACTGTAAGTTTCCTCCAAAACAACTCTTGATGCTGTTGCAGAAATCAAAGACTGTGATGCCTGCAGCCACCTACACATTCCTCCCAGAGTGCATACACTTTTTCCCCAGATCTAGGCCCTGGGACTGGGGGGTTGCCATACAGAGATCTACCTGTCTTGTGGCTTCCCAAGACCATGCTTCAGTCTGCAAGTTCCCCTAACAAATCACCCTATACCATCAGACTGGACTTGTCTGCCCCTTTCTTTGGTTTCTTGGCTTCTTCTTTGCCATTTGGGGATTGCTTTGTGTACACAGCCATTTCAAGAAACAGGCTGCCACTGTCTTAGAAAAACAACCCCTGGCACATCCAGTGTGATGCCCTCTCAGAACCAGTTTTCTTCTGGAAGGCTGGTTTGATTTAGCCAAGACACTCATGTCCCCAAAGCTTCTTGACAGCAGAAGTGACCTCCTGCAAGTGCCCAGAGCTGTAGAGCTGGAGGGGAGCTGCCCCAAACAGCCTTCTGCTCTCCAAGGGCGATTCCATCAGGGTTAGTTTCCCTAAGACAGAAGGCAGAACCACAGCTTAGGGAAATTCTTATCATAGTCGCCATTTCTTGAGTGCTTTCTATGAGTTGGAACTTTATTGTCCACCTTTCAGAGATTTGTTTTAAACTCAGACCCTGCAAACTGTGCATCATCTTCATACTATAGATGGGACCTGGCTTAAGGTCACACAGCTGTTAAGCAGGGTCCCAGCTCTCCAAACCCAAGCCTGGAAGAGTACAAATTCTGCAGCTTCTCTACAAGCTATCCATCTGGGAAGCATAAAAGAGAGAAAATGCCATTTCATATTTCCATTTTCTTCCTGTCCTTGTATACTTAGAGCATAAAGGATGCTGTGGTAGACAGAATATAACCCCAAACCCTGTGCCTGTGTTGTCTCGCATGGCAAAAGGGGTTTTGCAGATGTGGTTAAGTCGAGGATCTTCAGATAGGGAGATTATCCTTGATTATTCTGGTGCCTTGGGCATGGTGCCTTGGCCAGGTCTTGGCTGGAAGCCAGGAGAAAGGTTGGAGTACCACCTGCTTCCACCTCTTCTGAGCTGTGAGCATGAACACTTGAGTACCCCACTTTTTGACTCACAACCCACAAGGTTTGAGACCAACTTGCCCCAAATCACACATTAAGAAGGAGGTGGAGCCAGACTGGTCTGAGTCCCAAGCCTATGCTTCTTCCAAAACACCAGGTTAGAACAGCGGTTCATAGCCAGGAGTGATTTTGCCCCCAGGGAACATTTGGCAATGTCTGGAGACATTTTTGGCTATTACAGCTAAAGGTAGGTGCACCTATCAGCTAATGTGCAGAAGCCAAGAATGCTGCTCAACATCAGACCATGCGCGGGAGAGCCCCCAACAACAAAATACTTTCCAGTTCCAAATGCCAGAAGTGCTGAAGTCGAGAGACCCTGTCATAGATTTTTCTCTAGTAAGTCATGTAATGGCATCATTAAACTATCACGTGCTCATCCTTTTGGTGGGTTTGTGAACAAAACAAATTTGTATGAGACCATTTATCATTTCTTTCTAGAACTCTGAATTTATAATTTATATTGTTACAGAGTACATTTAAATCTGCCTTAATAAAGGCAAGGAGGCAAAGAAGGAAATTCAAACTCACTAAGCACCTTCTGTGTACCAGGCACCATACATATCGCTTAGCAGTCTTTATATAGTTCTTCTTGCATAATAGCTCTCAAGGTGGAGGCTTAGGGAGGCTGGTGACTTTCCAAAGACATCACACATGGCTGGAGGTGTAGCCTGTGTCTGACCCAAGCTCATGTCTTTCTCTCGATGCCACATGGCAGGGCTGGGTTTCCCACCCTTTCCAGGACATAAAGGAAGGGAGTGGGCAGGAGCTGGTTTTGTTAGACGGTCTTTGAAGATTTGCCACAATTGGATTGATGAGACAGCCCAAGGTCCCTGCAGGAACACTGGTTTGCAGGAATCTGGCCCCGGGGCCCATGATTTGCCATTTTGGCAAACAGAGCATTTCAAAGCATATGGCTCCCAGACGCAAGGATGTGATACAGAGAAGTGAGGCACAGCCGAGCACTTCACCCAGGACCCCTCTGCCTCCAGGTAGTGGTTTCATTCCTCAAGCCATTCAGGAGGGCAAGGAGGGACTTGTGGCATGGGGGAAAGGGCCCCAGTCCTTGCTTTGATACTGACTGCAATATGCAGGGCCCGTTACTTATTCCCCAGCTTTCTCATCTGTAAAATGGGTGCACTGATCCAACAGAATGGATATGAACATGGATGCTAATTACTATTGTATTATTATTATACCATTATTATTATTAATATTATTATTATTATTATTGAAAGATCTGGCTCAGGGCAGCTCCCCTCTGTTGAGAACACTCTGGGCACACCTCCTCCAATATGTTAATCCACACAACAGCCCATGTGATCATTTGAAATAGAATTGAGATGAAGTCTGTCCTCTGATGCAAACCCGCCAAGCGTTTCCCATTGCATTTGAAATCCAGCTGCTGAACTGACCAAGCTCTGTGGCCATGGAGTTTGCTTCCTTCCTGCTCTCTTAGTTTTCCTTCACTTTGACCCTGTTGATTCCATTCCAGTCACACGTGCCTCCTTGTTCTTTCTACAACTGCCCAGTATTCACGCTCATGTCAGTGACAACCCGAGAACTGGGGAAGGAAGATGGGGCTGAGACCTGGGATCCCAGGCAAAATGGCACATCCATGGATACGGGGACGATGCTGCCATTACTCCTCCTAAGGCAGGAGCTGTGAGGAAAGCAGTGGCAGCCAGCACCTTGGACGTACTCCCCATCCATGCGTGTGAGCTGCATCTAACTCGCTTCATGTATGTTGTCTCCTCACAGCACCTAGCACCCATTTTACATGTGGGTAAACTGATGCATGAGGGTGGGAACAGGCCAGCACCACTCTACTGGTTGCATGGAGAATTCCAACCATGGTGGGTGGACTCTGAGCTCACAGTCCTCCCCACTTCATGTTGGCTGTCTGGGAAAATCATCTTTTGTTCTTTACACATCCACTTTTGGAGCCTAGAATCTCCTGAATGCTGGTCACACTGCTCCCAATATGGGGAGACGAACAGTAGTCCTTCAAGAACTTTTTGTCAGCGTGAATCTTGCCTTTCCTCAGTTTAACAGAAAAACAATGGGCAGCGTGTGAATGCAATGGGCACTTTTCCATCCTAGCAGTTTATTTTTGACACCTCACAGAAGTGAATCATTGTCATGTAACTACATCTCATTTGCAAAAGTACAAATTGAAACAGAGTTAATGCCAATTCCCTCAGCTTCCATAAGAGCTTGGTAATTAAAGCTGCTAAAGAAGAAAGAAAGTAGACGCAGTGTTTCCTTCAAGGCCTGGTTCCGCTCCCCAACCCAGCCTGCACTCTCTGCAGCCATGTGGGTTTCTCATGTCAGCTGAGGCGGCTGGAGTAGAATGTCTCCCTTTCTTTCTCAACTAACTCTTGAGTTTCTTGTGAAAGGAGATAATGCAGGTAAAGTACTTAATTCCATGCTTGGCCCATAATAAGTACTCAATAAATAGTATTGGTGATAATGATGATAATGATGAAGAAGATGATGATGATTATTTTGACATTAGGAATGGAAGAGAAAGCGGAGAAGCAGGGAAGATTTCTGTAGAGATAGACGGGCGGCTATTGCTAAGCCATAAGCCCCTTTCCCTCGCCCCATCATGGGGAGTACAGGGGAGCCTCACTCAACCCAAGCCTGGGAAGAGGGACTCACACTACCCCCTGAGAGCTGGGGACACCGTGGATGGAGGTCTGACTGCCTGACTGCCTGGGAGAGAGATGGGCTAATGATCAACTGCTTAAAACGATGTAGGGGTTGAAATAATATTCCTGAGATCTAATGGACTGCCCCCCTATGCAGGGGACTAAACATTAAGCCTCTGCATGCTGATCCCATTCTGTGAACTGGTGGGAGTGAATTCACACATGCAACTCACATGCGTGCCCCCCCCACCCGAGGCCCTGGAATGCACTGCCCAGACACACTCAATTACAGGCCTCTGAGAACGTGCCTTGCACAGTCACACCTCGGCAATTCTGCCCATGCTGACTTCTCCACCAGGCGTGTCTTTAGCCTCTGTCAGCCTTGGAGCTGAAAGATCCCCAAGTGGTGGATTTGCGCCTGACCCGGGATAGTCCCATGCCCTCCTCTGTTGTCCTCCAAGCCCTCTGCTATGTTCCTGCTGGAGAAAGCGGTCTGTTCTGGTGGGCATTAGTCAAGTTCCATCTGTCTCCCTTACCAGAGCGCCACTCATCTCTGATGGGGCCATGCCCAGAGGAGGGGCTCAGGAGTGTTCTGACCTCAGAGTCGCCTGGCAGTGCAGCCTGGTGCCTTCACTAGTCCACTGTGGCAGGGCAGGCAGCTGTTCCCATAAACTCCCTTGGGCAGGTGGCCCATCATGTAATTAGAAGCCAGGTGACCTGATAATAATCAACTCCTGCCTGGCTGGAAAGCCCTTGACTTTAAAGCATCCAGCTAACCAGGGCTTCTTCCCCAGAATTGTTTACTACCCTGAAGGGGAAATGCTATCCACCCATTTATTTCAATTGGGTACCTGCACCTTCATAAAATGGCATAAACTAAACAAGAAAGTCCCTAGAGTCCTCTGCACCCCAGTTGTCACCTGTTGAGGAGCTCATATATAGGGGATATGAGAAGTGAATTGTCTGTGGAGCTGACAGCCAGCTTGAAGCTCTCCCTCTGTCACCCCAGGAACCCCCATACCTGTGGGATTAACTGAGCGCTTCATAAGCCCAGAGCAGAACTTCTCCCCTCAGCAATTTTGTGACGAATGCTGAAGATTTTGGAACATAATGTTTATTTTTTTTCAAGTTTGAACATTGAGATAACTAAGTCAGTTCATGTTTGCATTACATTTTGAGCAGTGGTGAGGTTCCCAGGGGGAGAACAGCTCTGTGTCTGCAGGAACACCCCCCAAAGGCATGGGTTCTGATTCCCTCTAGGGTCAAAGTTGCTGACATATAAAGGGGAATGTTTTCCTTCCTCCAAGAGGTTATTCCCTGCTCAGCCAGGCTCCCTGATGTTTTTATTTTAGTGTTTATTTAACCCACAAGTGAAGACAATGAAAATGGTCAACTAAATTCTATGTATTGACAGAGCCTATTGGCAATAATGATCTCATTTGACTCTCACACTAATCCGTAAGACAGAGACAGTATAAGTCGGGATCTGGACTTTTCCACAGAGAAAACGGAGGCTGAGAAGTGGATGGAACGGGGGAGTGGTCTCCAGCCTCAGGTCTCAGCATCAACCTCCGTCTCCACCCAGCTTCTAGAATCAATTCTCACATGCAAACCTGGTCAGTCCATGCCTCCTGCTTAAAACCCAACAGTAGCTTCCCACTGGCTTCAGGGCAGTTCTACACATTAAGGCCTTCTGTGTTCTAATTTCTGTCTACCTTTGCACTTTCACCAGCTGCTGGTTCCCAATTCCAGGCACAGTGTCAGTCTCCTGCCTCTGGCCCTGGGCTCCTGTGCTCCTCCTTCCTCTTACAATGCCCCCTCCTCACATTTGCCCAGTGAACTCCTCCCTGCTCACCTTGCTAGACCACGGCCAACCATTTCCTGCTCTGGGACTCTTATCTGACACACCAGGCAGATGGGATGGCTTGGCAATATGTCAATTATTACTCTTATTTGATTTTACGCCAATCTTTCTCCCAAGGGTCTGGTGGCTGTCCTCTGCTCATCTCTGTAGCTTAGACCTAGCACAGTGACTGGCAGACAGTAAGTAGGTGTCCAATAGACTAGGATCTAACTTGAATGAACTGTTTTTGGTAGAGGAGGCCAAAGTGTTTATCAAAGCATATGAGAAAACAGATGCTTATCTCTAGTCCAGTGCAGTGGGCTGAGTGGTGGCCCCACAAATATACATCCATGTCCTCATCCTGGAGTGTGCAAATATTACTCAAATGGCAAACATATGATTAGGTTAAGGATGTTGAGAGGAGGACCTGGGTCCTAAATGCAATCACACATGTCCTTGTAAGAGTGTGGAAGATGGAGTTTTGGGATGCACACATAGGGGAAGGCCTGTGAAGGTGGAGGCAGAGACTGTGTAGTGATGTGGCCACAAGCCAAGGAGCACTGGCAGCTGCCAGAGGCCAGGAGAGGCGTGTGGAAGGGACTCCCCTCAGAGCCTCTGCAGGGGCACTGCATCCCTACTGAAGCCTCGATCTCTGCCTTCTGGCCTCAGAACTGTGGGAGAACACATTGCTGTCATTTGTGGAACTTTGTCACAGCAGCCACAGGAAATGGATACAGCCCAACAGAGGACTGTGTTCTCACCATCTCAGCAGCTGCAAGGAATAATTAAGTGACAAATTCCTCAGCTGGATTCCCAGGGATTGCCCAAGTGACAGTGAAGAGGAAGACAGCTGCTGACAGAAACCACGAGAAAGACCTATGAGCCTGACAGGTGTCACTGATTTCAAGGACTGCAGAGCCAGTTTTGAGGTTTTCTACATTTCTGTTGAAAACCCCAGCATACGCACCAAAACTTTGAAGGGCTCAAAATCTTTCTCAGAGCAGCATTTGCTTGGACTGCTTCTGAGGGGAGAGGTTTTCTGGAGGGTTTTGGCAAAAAATCATAAGGAACACTGCCACGTTTTCGCATTCAAGTTTCAGGCGATAAGCTCACTAATTAACTCTGCCATAGGCTGCGGGAAAGTGATAAGTACTAAAACCGAACATGTGAAAATGCAAGGGAGAACGGCTGGAAAAAGGAGACTTTGGAGTTGGGCAGGCATGCGTTCAAATCCTGGCTGGGCCACCTAAACTATGTGCCATGAGATGTGGCCCAAGCAGGGCTCCCTGGAGCTGTGGTGTCCTCATGGGGAGAGGAGGGTCTCCTTGCGGAGACTTTGTAAGGATTAGGGTGAGTGTGGCCAAGTATCTAGCGCTGACCAAGTGCTTAACTTAGGAAGATTTTTTTGGGGGGTGTGTGGGGTCTTGCTGTGTCACCCCAGTTGCAGTACATTGGTGTAATCTTAGCTCATTGCAACCTTCAACTCCTGGACTCAAGAGATCTTCCTATCTTGGCCTCCCAAAGCATTAGGATTATAAGTGCAAGCCACTGTGCCTGGCTTGGAAGATAATATTATTAATTTTAAAAGTTCCCTGGTCTTCTTGAAAAAGCAGAAAGTGCACCATAACCTTGGCAGGCAGCTTGCCCACTCACCATTGTTTGGCATTAAGAGTCAGATGGTGGAAATCACTCATTTCCAAAGCCCTGGTACCCTGCATCTACAGCTATGTAGAGGATTAGGAAATACTTTCCTGCCAACTTAGTGGCTATATTCGTTTTCTAGGGCTTCTGTCACAAATCACCACAAACATGGGGTCTTAGGAGAACAGAAATTTATTCTGTCATTGTTCTAGAGGCAGAAGTCTAAAATCAAGGTGTTGGCAGAGTTGGTTCTCTCTGCAGACTCTGAGGGAGAAACCATCCACGCCTCTCTCCTGGCTTCTGGTGCTGCTGGCAATCCTTGGTGTTCCTTTGATTCTAGATGCATCGCTCGCTCTAATCTCTGCCTCCACCTTCATATGCCCTTCTCTTCCCTGTGTCCTCTCCTTGTCTTATACGGACACCAGACATTGAATTTAGGGGCCACCCTAAATCCAGGATGGCTTCATCTTGCGATCCTTAACTGAGTAATCTGCAATGACCTTATTTCTAACCAAGGTCACATTCTGAGGTTCTGAGAGAACAAGAATCTTTGGGGGATACTACTCAACCCATTACAGTAGCTAAGAGCACAAACACTGCCAACCCACTGACTTCAGGGGCACCTGCCCCATAAAACCTATGAGTTATGACCTCTCAGAAACTCAGCCCTTCATGTGCAAAGTGGGAATAAGATGGTCTGTCTCCTGGGCTGCCATGAGGATTGAATGAGGTGAATTGCACAGCCACAAGGTTGGTAGATCTGGCCACCAATTCTGGAGGCTTCCATGCTCAGGAAAGTGGCTTGGGCTGGGATGGCTGCTGAGGAATCATTCAGGAAATATGTGGAAATGCTGTCCCTAGGCCTCCTCAGCAGAACCTGGATGAGGTCCCTCCTCATCCAGGGACCCGGGTGGGGGATGTTTCCCCAGGGAAGGGGGTTCTGAAGTGCAGCCATGTAGTTAGAGAGCCCTTAATCTGGTTCATCCCCTCATTTCACTGATGGTGAAACTGAGGCCAGAGAGGGACAGGGACTTGTCCAACTTACTGTAGATTTTGGGAAAGTCACAGCAAAATTCCAAGAGCATCCCAGACCATCTCTCCTGTGAGTTGGGGCAGGGTGCAGTGGGATGTGGTACCTCTGTGTCCTGGCCAGGAATGAGGGCTCAGAAATGCCATGAATGAAAGTCACATTGTCAGCTCAAGGTCAATTCATCAAAAAGCAAAGACTGGTAAATGCATTTTTGAATAAAAATATGTTAACAAAAGAAACCCAGTCTGTGAATGTGCAGGAATCCCTCTCACTATCTGAACCTTTGCTATCCAGACTCCTGTTTTCCAAACGCTTGAATGAATAAATTCGATAAATGTGTTGCTATATCGCTTGCTATCCAAATCCTATTTCCTGTTGTATGCATAAATTTCTGGAATAAAATGGATTTGGAAAGGGAAAGATATATATATTCTTTTTGTGGATAAAAGTATATTTTATGCCACTTGGCTGAGGCTTCTCTCTGTTTACTAACCTCCAGCTATAACAACAGGGAACTGAAGCAGAAGGAACAACAACAAAAAAAACATTCTACAGAATTCACTACGCAGACATGATGAAGAACTTAGAAACTGATCAAAGCTGTTAGAACCATTCCATTCTATGCACAAAAATGTACATTGTTCATAAATAGTTAAAAGAGATAAGGTAAATCCAGCAAATTGTGTTTCTCTATGATTTGACTTTCAGCAATGTGACCTCTCAGTGCATTGACTTTTGATGAATTAACTTTCATTAAGTTGCTTTGTTTTCTTCACAGCTAACAGCTAGAGGGGTGGACCCTTGGAAATGACCATAATATGTTGAGACTGCTGGAATGGTCAAGGTCTTCAACATTCCCCTATAGCCTTTTTGCACCATAGCAATTTGTGTCCTTATTGAACATTCCTCAGAATACTCCAGTTTGAGTGTACCATATGTTCCCAGTGGGGACCCTGACCCATGACTGTTATTGAAGGTAAGATCCCTAAGGGCAGAGACTCTATGTGTGTGCACATGCATGTGAGTGTGTGTGTTTGTGTGTTTGCTCCTCCACTGCATCTCCAGGCCTAGAAGGAGGCCCACTTTCTAGTAGGCTCTCAGTGATTATTTGTGGAATGGGGGTAAGTGAAGGAAAGCCCATAATTCTCATCTCTTGCCTATTCTACAGTTACTGCCTCCAGGCAATTGTAGAATAGCCACAGTTCTTTGCAGCCCCTCCAATGGGAGGGAAAGTCTTTCCCCATCCCTTGAATCTGGGCGGGCTTTGTGACTTGCTTTGGCTGATAGAATGCAGCAGAAATAGTGTGGAGTTCCAAGCCCAGGCCTCAGGCAGTTTTGCACACTTCCCCTTCTTTTCTTGCAACTTTGCCACCATCATATAAACAAACCTGGTCTAGTCTGTGGGACAGTGATGGACATGTGGTCAAGTTACCCTTCTCAGTGCCAGACCAATGAGTGAGGCTACTTTGGACTAGCTGGTGCCCAGATGACCTGCCAGCTGGATGTAGATAGGAGGAAATCATCTAGCTGAGATCAAAGAAGCCTGGGCCAGAAGAGCAAAACTGCCACACTGACTAACTCTTGCGAGCAATAATAACTGGTTGTTGTTTAATCCATGAGGCTTGGCGGTTATTTGTTACACAGTCATAGCTAACCGATACAAATTCCTTAGTGATCTTTCTGAATTCACTCTTCCCAAGCCTCTCCCATATTCCACATTTTACCTCTGGTTTATTCCCTCCTCTGCAGACTTTTTAAACACCAGTGTGATAATGCTATGTCCCAGCTCAAAATTCTTTGGTGGCTGCCCACTTCCACAAGGACAAAGTTTAATTATTTCAGCCTGTGAGGCCCACGATGATCTGGCCACCACTTTCCCTGCACCCTGATGTCCCCTGAGGCCCTTTTACTCCAGAGCGTCTCTCCAGTTTTACATGTGTCCTAGGCTTCCATTAGCATCCTCTCTGATGTCTGTCCTCTACTCAGACATTCCTCCTTTTCCCTTTAGCTGGCTACCTCCAGGTCCACTTCTAGCTCAAATGGCACTTTTGCTATTAAAAAAAAATGCCCCTTTCTCAAATAAAATATTTTACAAGTTAGTACATTATTGAATAAACAGAATGATCACACCCTGTGGCCAGGCCCAGCCTTGCCAGGGGAGTTCTCCAGATGCCCTCTCTGATGGCAGCAGCCCTGCAGATGCACATGTGTACCCCCACAGCTGTCTGCTTACCCCACCCGTGAGCCAGTGTACACCTAAGCTCTGTGCCCTTCCCACAAAGTGGAGCACCATGCCAGTTTTGGAACCGCGCAGAGGATGAGAATCAGGCCTCTGAGAGTGGGCTAGAAAGGAAGCTCAGAGGCCATCTGGAGAACGGAGTGCACATGTGTGTATGTGCATGTGTGTGAATCAGTATATGTGGATGTTGTGTAATCCCAGCTGTGTGCATGACTGTTTTGCTTGTGAGTTGATGTAGGAGATGGTGCAGTCCTGTTGTGTCAGAACCTGGCTGGGAGACCTCACATCCCCACATCGGCACCCATGTTCTCACAGGTTAGTGTCTAAGGTGGGATGCTGTGTCTTTAGAAATGGCCATAAGTTAGTGTCTGTCTAATGTGGGACGCTGTGTCTTTAGAAATGGCCATAAGTTAGTGTCTGTCTAATGTGGGACGCTGTGTCTTTAGAAATGGCCATAGGTTAGCGTCTGTCTAAGATGGGATGCTGTGTCTTTAGAAATGGCCATAGGTTAGCGTCTGTCTAAGATGGGATGCTGTGTCTTTAGAAATGGCCATAGGTTAGCGTCTGTCTAAGATGGGATGCTGTGTCTTTAGAAATGGCCATAGGTTAGCGTCTGTCTAAGATGGGATGCTGTGTCTTTAGAAATGGCCATAGGTTACTCTCTGTCTAAGATGGGATGCTGTGTCTTTAGAAATGGCCATAGGTTAGTGTCTAAGATGGGATGCTGTGTCTTTAGAAATGGCCATAGGTTAGCATCTGTCTAAGATGGGATGCTGTGTCTTTAGAAATGGCCATAGGTTACTCTCTGTCTAAGATGGGATGCTGTGTCTTTAGAAATGGCCATAGGTTACTCTCTGTCTAAGATGGGATGCTGTGTCTTTAGAAATGGCCATAGGTTACTCTCTGTCTAAGATGGGATGCTGTGTCTTTAGAAATGGCCATAGGTTAGCGTCTGTCTCAGATGGGATGCTGTGTCTTTAGAAATGTCTTCTTGTGCAGTGCACACCCTGAGAACCCATACTTGGTGGCTCTGCTTGCTCTGACTCGATATTTAGAAATCAGTCTAAGTTGTACCTCCTCTAGGTAACCTGACATCCATTCACCCAGACACACATCTCCTCTGTGCTCCCTTAGTACCTGGGACCTGCCTTTAGCTTAGTTGCCTATTGTAGACCTTAAGAACTCTGGCTCTGGAGTCAAACTGATAGGAAGTGGAATTGTGGTTCACTGCTGTGTAATCCAGGTAAAGCTCTTAACCGCTCTGAGTCTCAACTTCCTCTATCCACCTCCCCTTTTCCCCCCAGTGACAAAGCCAATGACTACTTCTTCCTCTTCTTTACTTGGAAACTGAACTCCAAGCTCCTGATTGGGACATTTCTTATTCCTCTTTGTGCTCCCAGGGCTGAAGGACTAATTACAATGTTATTGACTTAACCTCCATTGGCACTGGGCATTGCCCTGTAAAAGGACATCAGAGTGTGGGGTCTGACATGGGGCACCAAACAAAGCCATAGGCAAGAGCACATCACATTGTTGAATTTGCCTGTTTGGTTCTCAGAATCTCAAAATAGTTTTTGATAAAAGCGGAAATGAATCTCTGCCATGCTTTGTCGACAGGGGTGAGAACTGGTTCTTGGGAGGTGGCAAGAAGTCTTAAATATCACAATGGTTTGCAGAGCTGCAAAAGCTTAGCCCTACCTGATGAAATCTTACTTCTTAGTGTTTATATTCTTCTGTTATGGAGAAATTTAATGAAAATTAGTTTACCCCTGAGGTGGTTGAAGCTTCCCACTGTTGTTCGTCCCAAGGGGCCTCCATCTCTCTCTGGTTCCCTATCCCTACCCACAGGGCTATAAATAGTCCATTCACAGAACTGCTTTTAAAATCCTGGCAGTGCATGCTTGTAATCTCAGCACTTTGGGAGGCCAAGGTGGGAGGATAACTTGAGCCCAGGAGTTCCAGACCAGGTTGGGAAACATAGCAAGACTCTATCCCCACAAAAAAATTTAAAAAGTAGCCAGGTATGGTGGCATGCACTTGTCCCAGCTACTCAGGAGGCTGAGGTGGGAGGATAGCCTGAGTCCAGGAGGTGGAGGCTGCAGTGAGTCATGATCACACCACTGCACTTCAGCCTGGGTGACAGAGCGAGACCCTATCTCTAAAACAAACAAACAAACAAGCAAACAAACAAATAAAACCCTCTTGACTGTATCTCCTGATTCCCTGATTCCTGCTGGACCTGGATGAAATTTCACATTTATATAATAGTTTAGAGTTCACAGGGTAGTTTTAGATAGCTCATCTTTTAAGTCCCTTCCCTAAAAGCCTGTGTGGTAATGGGTGTGGAGTCTGAGTCTTTGTTTCTAGACAGGGACTAGCACCAATGCTGGAGTTAATTCTCACCTTCTGTACGAATTCATTTTAGAGACATTGATGTGTCCTGAGCAATGGCTACTATTTAGTTTTAAGTCTAGATTTGTGAGACATTTCCATTTAATTTTCATTAAACAGTTTTTCAAAAATTATGACTATATGCCAAGTTGGTGTCATTATGTCTCTTAACTTATAGCTATAGTTATTTTAATGTGCATATATTTATTCCTTCTATGCAATACTTTCTGCTTGGTCCGGAGGATTAGAAAGCAATTTGTCATTCTGCTTTGCACACAATTCCCTAACTTTTGAGGGGAAAGGAGACATCTGATTCGACTCCCCCTAAAGTGCTGGGATACTTAAGGTAATTGGGGTGAGGCCAAGGCCACGGATAGGGTTCTTTCTTTCATCTATTATTTGTTCATTCACTTGTTTATTCATTCAACAAGTAAGAATGTGCCCGTACCTGCCTAAGCACCCCATCCCAGGCAGGGAGACCTTGCTGTCTGCTGGCTGAGCTCCCTCTTGGGGCAGTGCAGGCTGGTGCACAGAGCCCTCCCACCCAACTTGGGGTAGTGCCTGCCCCCCTGGCAGGAGATTCAGAGGCAGACATATCTAGGGTTGAGTCTGGACTCCACCTTGCCTCTTTTGAGATCATGGATTCAACCTTGCTGGCATGAGAGAATTGAAAGGGATCATGTATGAACAATGTTTGGACGAATCCCAGGCATTTGACACACATGGGTTCCTTCTTTTTTCCCTCTCCTGCCTCCTGTAAATCCAGTAAGCAATACTTATTCATTCCCAGGTCTGTCTCTTCTGTGGGCTCCTCCAGCATAGGAGGAGTTAAAGGACTGAGCCCTTTCACTTGCAGGGCAGGGCCAGGATGTTTCATGGTTTCTTCTTTCCAGATGTTGCAGGTGCAGGCCTGGCATTGAGATAATGTCATACAAGTGGGTGGCTTTGACTCTTTATGTTATCTGATGCTCCTGCCATCTTCCTGTCCCAGGCTCTTCTGGGTCTGCTGGACACAGCCTTTACCCCTTCTGGATCTCACCAGGCTCCTGTTGGGGCACACCTGCTGTGTGCAATCCTAAGAGCCTGGCTGGGATTCTCAACACTGTTTGCAGGAGGGTTTCCTCCTCGGGGTCAGCCGGGGCCAGCAGCCAATGCAGTTGAGAGTGCCAGCCCCCTTCCTCCTATAGAATGTCTATAGTGGTCATTCTCAACTGTGCCCTGTCCCTCTCCTCTTCCTCTGTGGGGGTAGAGACACTGTCTTGCTCATCCTTTTATCTTCAACTCCCAGCCCAGGGCTGGCACTGTGGCATAACACACACACACATATATATATATATAAAATTGCAATATATATATATTTGATTTTTGTCCCTAGTTTTTGGCCCAGATTTCTTAAAAGCCTTGGGATTTCTGGAGTAACAAGAGTGGCTTTTGTCATTTATAATGAACCCCTAATGTGGTGACTCAGGTGGGTCATTAGATGGTTTCAAGGCAGCGCTGGCCATGCTTGGAGGGTTGGAACCTTCAGCTCCATCTTCCAGCCTCTAAGGAAGGGAGAGGGGCTGCAGGCTGAGTTCAGTCACCAGTGGCCAGTGATGGAATCAATCATGCCTATATAATGGAGCCTCCATAGAAACGTCTAAATGATGGGGTTGAGGTGTTTCCCAGTTGGTAAACGCACTGAAGTGCTGGGAGGCTGGTGTATCCACAGAGGGCATGAAAGCTCCATGCCCCGTGATGCACCCCCATACCTTCTGTATGCCTCTCTTCCACTTGGCTGTTTCTGAGTTGCAGCCTCTATAATAAAGCTGTAATTGTAAGTAGGGCACTTTCCTGAGTTCTGGGAGTCATGCTAGCAAATAATTATCAAACCTGAGGGTAGCCTTGGGAACCCCTGAATTTGTAGTCAGCAGAGCAGAAGTGCCGGCTCCCTGGGACTCTGTTTTTGGTTGGTGTCTGAAGTGAGGGCAGTCTTGTGGGATTGAACCCTTTAACTCTTTCTGACACTCTGGGGAGGCAGTGTCAGAATTGAGCTGAATTGTTGGACACCCAGTTGTTGGTGGAGACAAATTGAAGAGGTGGTGTGGAAAACATGTGTTTGGTGTCAAAATACACACACACATTTGGTGTGAGCTGTGGTGGTAGAAAACACCACACACCACACAGTAGGAACTTAATGAGTATGTTTTGAATGAATTCATGAAAAATACAAGCATTTATTGAGTGCTGACCCACTGTCAGGCTGTGTGTTTGGATACAGGTGATAGAAACAAGGTTCTTGTCTTTGAAGCAGTCCCTGATGTTAGGAGGACTGACCAACCATGGCCATTGTAATGGGGTGGGGGTGGGGATACACTAGGAGTTAATCTAGGGGGCTGTGGGAGCCCAGAGGGGCGGGCTGTTTCTAAGAAAGTCTCAAGATGCAGTATGAGCTGACTTTTTGAAGATGAGAAGCCACACCTCAAATGGATGAATAAGGGTGGTTGTTGCAAGAGGGGAAATAGCACATGCAAAGGCTGAGACCATGAAGCGTGTGTGTGTGTGTGTATTTATGTGTGTATGTGTGTGTGTGTGTGTGTTTGTGCGTGTGGGGCAGGGGGCAGCTGCCTGTGGCTCCAGATGGCTGCAGTGCAGGGAGAATGCGGGATAGAGAGGGAGGGCAGGCAGGGCAGGCAGAGACGACCACATAGGTTCTGTCAAATGCTGATACGCCCCTGCAGTCTTTCCAGAGGGGTCCTTTTTCCAAGCAAGGTATGTGCTGAGGCATCTTCCATCAGGACCGCTCCATCTTCTGGGGTGCTCAGACCTTAATTCGCACCTTGATAATGGCAGTGGCCTTACCGCTCCATCTTGTTTGCATCTGTCCACTCCATTTAAACACAAACTCCCCATAGAGGACTTAACTTGGTGCCAGGCACAGAGTCAGGGCTTCATGTGATTTTTAAAACTGGAATTGACACATTTTGGCAACGATCTTCTTTTTTTAAAAGGTGAAGCTCTTTTATTTTGCCTCATTTATTAGACTTCCCTGCCACTGCCTTGGGGTTATGCACACAAATAAAATATGCAGCAGGAAACTGCCTCTCTTGTTTTCTTTCTTTGCTTTCACCTAATTTCAACTCCTTGTCAAGTCTTCTTACATCGACCTGTTCCTCACAGAAGCTGCCTCAGGCGGCCTCCTGGCCCTCTCCTGGGAGATCCATCCCTCTTCTTTAATCATGGAGAGCAGGCCCATGAGTCTCTCTGCCATTCAGCTCTGAGCATCTTCCTGCCACACTTTCCCGGGTGGCTCCCCTGGGGACTTGCTCTTCCCTGTCCACTTAGGAAGATGCAAGATGGTCTCATGGTCTAAGTGGCAGCTTTTCTTAGACAGGTAAGTTCCCTGAGGCTTTAAACTGTACACTCTCAATGTGAGTTTAAATGAAGCTTCTAAACCCTGGTCCATCTTGTGGCTAAAGTCATTGCTAGCCAGCGAGGCCCAGGTGCTGGGTCAACACAGGGGGTTGAAGATGGATTGAGGAAGCGGAGGGCAGGGGCTGACAGGTGATCTGGGATTGGGAGGTGCAGGTGGCCTTCCCTCCAGGGAGTCCCATAGACACTGATGGGGAGCCCAGCATTTAAAGCCCTGGAAATGCAGCATGTTCTACAGTCAAAAGAAAGCCACAGTTGCAAACACTTGGAACAGAATCAGGATCATTGCAAAAAGTCTTGGGAGGGCTTAGGAAAAAAAAAACAGAGAAGGCTAAGCTTAGTGATTTTTGGTTAGCAAAGAACTTCAGGCAGATATGCAGATGAGTCCAATCTGGCTTGTTTGTGTGCATGGGTGGGGAAGAAGGTCAACTTTTCACTCAGATACAATGCTGACATTTACCGTTTCTTCTGGGAAAACAGCTGTTATGGAAAAAGATAACTCGAGAAGCATTAAATCACACCATGAAACATACAGCTTTCTTGCCCTCATGACCTGCACTTATCATAGTGGCAATGCCCACACCTTTGCAGGGGTGGCACTGTCCCAGATAACTGCCCTGGGCTGGCTGCTCCAGGCCCCTGGCTGGTGTCTCTGCCTCCAGTTTCTTCTCACTGCAGGTCTGCCCTGTGAAATTCATGCACACAGACTCCCCAACAGACCTCTAGTGAGTTCCATAAAACCGCAAATCCTTAGTGCAACAGCCAAGACGCTCTGAGATTTGCTTCTAGCTTATCTCCTGACTCCTCCTCTGTGTCTCACCCTGCACTCCGGGGAGTGGTTCCTGACGAGCACTTAGCTGTCATCAGATGAGGCCTGAATATCAATGTTTGCTTTGGTTTTCTTTCTAAGCCACCAAGTGATGGTAATATATTCAGCCAGGGTTTAAAAACTGCTCTAGCCCAGTGGTTCTTGAACTTGGCTGCACCTTGGAATCATGCAGTGTTAGAAAATGCCAAGCCTGGGCCCTAGCCCTCCAAGATTATGTCTTGGTTGGCCTTCAGTGCAGCCTGAGCACCAGGGCTTTAAAAGCTTCCCAGGTGACTGAGCAATGTTTGAGCACCACTGCTGTGGCTCTGATGGTTTATTTAAGGTTCGTTTGACATGAACTTCTTCCTATATTCTGGCAGTGGCTGCTCTCACTGCCTGGAAATTCCTCCTTCCCTACCTCACCAGCTAGCCCTCTCCCAAGTTCCAAATTTCAGAGCTGAGGAACTATAGCAGGGGTTGACACATGTTTAAAATAAAAAGTTAGAAAGAAAATATATTAGGCTTTTCAGGCCACATGTGGTCCCTGGCATGCATTCTTTCTTTCCCCCTTTTAAAATGCAAAAGCCATTCTTTGCTGGTGGGTCACACAAACTAGGCCAGGGACCAAATCTGACCTGTGGACAATTGAATTGCCTGTTTTGTGAGGCAGTGGGTTCCCTGTCAATAGATGCAATCAAGCCATGGCTGAAGGAATTCCTGGCAGGGAAACCATGACTAGGACTTAAGCTTCTGATAAATGACTGAACTAGAACATCTTTACGGTCTTTTCCAAACTTGGGATGCCTTAATTCTAATTCATCTCAGCCCCTGGAAGGTTTCCTCATCTGCCAGATGACCTCCCTCCAGCGCTGAAGTCATTCCCATGTTGTGTTCCGCCTCAGTTAATTGTGAAGATCTGCATGTGTCAGCACAGACTTCATTTCAAAACCAAGTGCTATGATTTAGGTGTCTTTGAATTTAAGAGACAAAGACCAAAGATTGTTCTTGACCTCTGCATTGAGATAATACCTGAAGCAGGAATGGCTGGAACCATGAAAATCAACATGCTTTTAATTCATCCTCAGCCAAGCTGATCTGACAACTAGAAACAAAAGACAAAAGTATTTCTTTCCACATAGACACAAACAGGACTGATTTATGAGGATCAAGAGTAACCCCATCCTGGGAAGATAAAAGCAGGAGCCCCCTCCCCTTATCCTCAATTCTCTGTGTAGGCCATTTCTCCTTGGAATAGTTTTTAACCTTGCAAGTAAATTTCAAAATGGGCATAATTCCACTCAATCTTTAGCAAAGAGCTGAGGTTCTAGGACAAGATGGTGAAGATTTAAATCTAGCATTTGCCTCTTAGCTATGTGATTTGGGAAAAATTACTGGATCATTCTGAATATTGGTTTTTTCATCTATAAGAGGCCGAGGCAGGCGGATCACGAGGTCAGGTGATCGTGACCATCCTGGCTAACACAGTGAAACCCCATCTCTACTAAAAATACAAAAAAATTAGCCAGGCGTGATGGTGGACGCCTGCAGTCCCAGCTTCTTGGGAGGCTGAGGCAGGAGAATGGCGTGAACCCGGGAGGCGGAGCTTGCAGTGAGCTGAGATCGCGTCACTGCACTCCAGCCTGGGCAACAGAGTGAGACTCTGTCTCAAGAAAAAAAAAAAAAAAAAGGATTAGTTTGGGAAGGAAGGATTTAGCAGCTGATCTATAAACCATCTTCTATCCTCTAGGACAGACAGACAGAAACCAGGGAAATAAATGGCCGTGTCCATTCTCCACATAAACTTCCTACCCCAACCTCATGATGGTATTTATTAGCAGAACAATAAGGGAGAGTCCTTATATTCACAATGTTTTTAGTGGGCTATACCTGGTCTACTTAGATGGTAAGGTTTAGCTATGGGGCTAGCTTGCTGGAAAATGTCAGTGTTAGCTGAAAAATTATCTGAATATAAAATGCAGAAAATAGCTTCTTTCATGGAAGTGATGCATGTATGTCCTTTTTAGAGCCCTCATATGTTAAATCTGGACAACTATGCATCCTAATGTGGCAAAGAAGAACAGCAAGCTATCTACACACACACACACACACACACACATACACAGATTTGAAAATCTGACTCTATTATCTTATATTCACCTAGTATTTTTGTGAAAATTAAAGCACTTAGAACAGGGCCTGGAATAGAGTAAGTGATCAATAAAAGTTATTACCAGAGACTGGATTTGGGGACAGATGTGAATGTGCTATGGAAAGTCCAGGGTAGTGTGTAGAGGTGAATTTCTTATGTTTGTCGTGGAACGAAAACAGCATAGATTTTTAACACTTGGGTTCACATCCTAGCTCCAACACTCACTAGCTGTTTCTTATCAGGGGAGCCCCTAACCCCTGTGGACTTCAGTTTCTTCATTTGTAGATGAGAGTGGTAATCCTAATTTGCAAGCCCATCTTGCACAGTAGGGGTGATGTATATAAGGCAGCTGGTGCAGTGTCTAAGTTAAAGTTGATGCTCAAGAAAGGCTAGTGGCTGAATGCCATTATGAGTGGAAACTGAGCAAGTGCGGCAAGGACTGGGCAAAGAACAGGACAGAGCCTGGGAAGCCCTAAGCCACTGCTTCTGGGTTTAACCAATCACTTTAAGGGTGCCCTGTGGGTTCAGCACCTCCCAGTCCACATCTTACAGCTTAGTGCCTACTCAGCCCCTTCTATCTGAGTTCCCTGGTCATGATTAAACCACCTGCAAATACGTCCTGACAACCTTCTAGATGTCAGGCCAGGACTGGGCACTTTAGGAGAGGCTGATGTAAAAGTGCCAACTCTGCATCCAGGGCTGGCCATGGGACTTGTCATCACCACTGGAATACGAGTGGAGAAGAGGGTGTTACCCCAGGTCAGGGCTCTTAAGAAGCTTTCTGCACAGTCTTTCTCCTTTTCACCTACTGGATGCAGTAGACCAGAGACACTCGGGGTTGGCAGAGCCACAGCCCAGGAGGAAACTGGGTGCATGTGCTCATCTACCTGGGACACTAGCCATGGGTGGTTCTATGAGTGAGACATGGATTTCTATTGTGTGAAGCTTCTGTCATTCAGAGACATATTTGTTAGGCAGCTAGCGTTACACTGACTGATACATGCTGTTAGTGACTCAGAATTCAGACTGCACATGTGAAACATTCAAGGTGCCTGCTCAGGAGCATGTTACTTTTTTAAACAATTTTTTTAGAAAAGAGATGGGCTTTTTTTCTCTAGCACCCTGGCTAGAGTGCAATGCTGCCATCATAGCTCATTGTAACCTAAAAATTCTGAGCTCAAGTGAGCCTTCTGCCTCAGTCTCCTAAATAGCTGAGATTACAGGTACATTCCACTACTACACCTGGCTAGAAATGTTTTTTTTTTTAATTAGTAAAGTTGGGCTTGAAGATACAAGACCATTTTTTGGAGGGTTGGCAATTAAGAAGCCATTGGCCATCTGTGCAACAGTGTATTTGTTGGATGGAGGAAAGTGTGGGAGAATGTATGTGATAATAGACAAACCCTTCAGTTTTGACTTTAAGGTATTAAAAACCTGGTTCTCAGAAATACCATTTGACCCAGCAATCCCATTACTTAGTATATACCCAAAGGAATATAAATCATTCTATTATAAAGACACATGCATGCATATATTCATTGCAGCACTATTCACAATAGCAAAGACATAGAATCAACCCAAATGCTCATCAATGATAGACTGGATAAAGAAAATGTGGTACATATGTACCACGGAATACTACACAGCCATGAGAAGGAACAAGATCATGTCCTTTGCAGGGACATGGATGGAGCTGGAAGCCATTATCCTCAGCAAACTAACACAGGAACAGAAAACCAAACACCACATGTTCTCACTCATAAGTGTGAGCTGAATAATGAGAACACATGGACACAGGAAGGGGAACAACACACACTGGGGCCTGTCTGGGGTGGGAGTGGAGGGAGGGAAAGTATCAGGAAAAATAGCTAATGCAGGCTGGGCTTAATACCTTAATTGCTGTCGATAAGTACAGCAAACCACCATGGCACACATTTACCTATGTAACAAACCTGCGAGTCCTGCACATGTATCCCGGAACTTAAAATAAAAAAGCAACATGTATCCCATGAAAAAAAATATGGTTCTATTTTATCTTCCTCCTGCCTACCCCTGCTCTCCTCTCCCTCCAGCTTGGCATACAACAGGTGCTCAATAAAGGCTTGAGAAATTGATAAGAATGGAATTCAACCTTATATTTGTTCTTTCTCTGAAAAGAATCTTGGTATTAGCTTGACTAATCCTTTTGCTCCATGCAATTGGCTAGTGCCACCTTCATATTTTTCTGATATCATTAAGCCCCAGCTGCCTCTTCCCTGGAGCTCAGGGATATTGCAGGAAAAGGGGTCTGCTCTCTCCACTTCTTCTCTCCTCCAAGGTTTGTTTTGAAAAACCCTGCTGCCAGGGCAGGCTCCCGTGTTACGCTGCTCACAAAAGCACACATCTTCCCTGCCAGCCTTTGCTCAGTTATTTTATTCCCTCTCTAACAAGTACTTGTGGAGCCTTACTATGTCTTCAGCACAGTTCTAGGTTATCAGGATAAGATTGTGAACCACACACCAGGTCCTTTCATGGAGCTTATTTTCTAGCCTGGAGGAGACACACATTAAAGACAGACTGCAGCACACAGGCCGCATGCAGCCCACTGCCTGCTTTTGTAAATAAAGTTTTACTGGGACACAACCATGCAGTCCATTCATTTACTCGTTATCTATGGCTGTGTCCACACTACCATGGCAGAGGTGAGTAGTTGTGATAGAGAATGCATGGTCTGTGAAATAAAAGTATTTACACCTGGCCCTTTGCAGGAAAAATCTTCCCATGTCTGCATTAAACAAATGAGTACGCAGGAAACCAACATGCCTGTGAACAATGCTATGATGGGTGATGAGATAGAGGGTAGGTGTGCATGTGTGTGTGAGTGTATATAGTAAATGTGTGTGTGCTGGTTTTAGAATAAGTGGCCAGGAGAGGCCTCACTGAGCAGCTGACATCTCAGAGGGGACTTCCACACCAGAGGCAAGCCCCTCTGGGAGCAGAGACTGCTCCTGTCTGGTTTGCTCACGCATGTCCCCAGGCTAGCATAGGGCCGTAGGCTGGACACCTCCAGAGCACTGATGTGAAGATGTGGATGTGAGGTTGTGATGCAGATGCCCTGGAAGACTAAACACATTTACTCCTCGCGTCCACTGTAAACTACAACATGTGCTGTGTGTTCATCCTCTAATTCGCTGCCCTGCCTGGGAGGTGCTTGCTTTCTTTTTCTTGCAGCCGTTCTGACCACCCTCATAGCACTGTGTGTGTGTGTGTGTGTGTGTGTGTGTGTGTGTGTGTGTGTGTGTGTGCTGTGTGCATGTATGTGCACCTGATGCCCTCCCCAACCATTCCATGGCCCACCTTGCCACCTTGCCATCTTATTATAATATCCCGATGTCCTGAATGGACACTTTCCATCCACCATGAATGCAATAGAACCTGGAATGTAATGGCTTACGAGAATCAGCAACACAAAGGGAGAAACAGAAGTTCAGTTCCCTTTGTTCTGATAGAAACTTACTGTTTGCATCCACCAAGAAACACAACCAAAGAACAGCCATGAATATCATCCCATGAGAGAGCACATGGCTGTGTCAGACCCTGCCCTGAGCCCCCCTTCTCAGTCTGACCTTGGACTCTGCTGGAGGTCCCTGCTGGACGTGGACACAGGGCCAGGGAATGGTAGGGTCCTCAGTTGCATTGCATCCTTGTCGTTGTACAGATGGGGAAACTGAGGCTAACAAAGAGAAGAAGTCTCTCCTACTGACCCATGGCTAGGAAACAGCAGGGCTAGAAGTGAGTCCCAGGTAAACTGAGGCTGGGATACTCCAGCTGCACACTCACACAGCTACCATGTAAGCTGGTGGTTGGGGCCTGGGCCTGGCAGTCAGGCCACTCCACCTACTCGCTCATGCAAGTCACCTTCCATCTCTGTCTTCTTTGGCACTGTCCTGAGCCTTAAATGAGCTCACACAGGTCAAGTTCTTAGCCAAGTATAACACAAAATCAATGAACAATATGTCTTAGACATGATTATTGCCACATCTTTCACCATAGACGGTAACTGCTTAGGCACAGACTGTGACTTGGTTGTCTTTGATTCAACACAAACCAGTGTCACCTCTGGATCAGAGCCCTCCCGCGTATGAACTGCTCTTGCTGTGTGGTGGGAAATTATCTCCCACTCATCTTCAGGTGAGTCCACTTTCACCTTCTGTGGGATAGACTGCAGACAGTCGGCTACATTTAAATTGGGCCAAAAGAAAGGCAGCAGACACACATCCCCAGTCAGGCTTTGCTTCTTCTGGGCTCTGGGTTCCCCATCTGTATGAGGAGAGCCCCCCAGCTTGGTGATGCCATGAGTCCCTGGGCGGGGCAGTGGGGAGGGTGGGGTGCCTTACCTGGCCCACTGCAGAAAGAGGCGATGATGGCCAGAATGCCCACGATACTCAGGTAGGGGACCCAGGGGGCGTGGTCCTGGGAGAGAACAGGGAGTGGTCAGGTGAGGAGGTGATGGTGTGACCGGAGGACCTGAGTTCCCACCCCAGCTCCTCCTCCATCCATCTGTGTGACCTTGGACAGGTCACTTGATGTCCCCAAGCCCCAGCTTCAGCATCTATAACATGGGAACAATGATAACCCTTCGGTCACTCCATCTGCTTATTTTATAGCCATGATGAAATCAGATGAAGCCTGTGATGAGTTTGACATAGTCCTGGCATACAGGAAGTGGTAAATAAATCAATAACTCACATTGATTGAGGGCTTAGTTGGCATCAGGCAATATGAGCAATTTTCACAGCTTTATCACATTTATAAAAGTTCATCATTCTCAGCAAACTGACACAAGAACCGAAAACCAAACCCCACATGTCTCACTCATAAGTGGGAGTTGAACAATGAGAACACATGGACACAGGGAGGGGAACATCACATGCTGGGGCCTGTTTTGGGGGGTGGGGGGCTGGAGGAGGGATAGCATTAGGAGAAACACCTAATGTAGATGATGGGTTGATGGGTGCAGCCAACCACCATGGCACATGTATACCTATGTAACAAACCTGCACGTTCTGCACATGTATCCCAGAACTTAAAGTATATATATACATATATATATATATATGTATATATATGAATGTTTCCTCATATACATTTTAAAGGCTTCTATATTTTGCTTAAAAGAAGTTATCTTAGTTCTGATATTATTACATAAAGGACCTTATTTGTACCCCTGCCATCTTGCAAGGTGTGAGATGCGTTAATTCATTTCATGGAATATGTCTGGAGAAGCTGTCACTCATCCGGGGGGTGGGTGGCTTGGTGCTGGTTGGGATTGCTCCTGCTCTAGCAGACTGGACAGCTGAGCATTAGAACACAGTGTCACCAGTTCTGAATCTGTGGGGGTGCCAGGGCTGCCCCAGGAGAGGCCACCTGACTTGAAGGGAAGGTAAGAGCCTGCGTTCATCTCTGTAGGCTGAGCCAGAGTCAGCCCAGTGGGAAAGGAAAGGAAAGAGGTTCCAGTAGGGGGTTCAGCATACACAAGGGCATAGAATCCTAAGAGGGCACCATCGGCGGGGGGGTAAGCTGCAAACAGTCTGGAGTGGAGGGCGAGGGGTACAGAGGGCAGACAGAGGAATGGGGAACTCCCTCCTTCCCCTTGTTCTATGTCCAAATCCATTAGCTTTAGGGGTTGAGAGGAGCTTCATGGACTCTTGTACACTGTATGGCTTGCTTCTGTACCAAGTCACTCACTCACTCACTAATTCAGCTGATTGATCCGAGCTGCCCCTGGGTGCCAGGCACTGGGATGGGAGGTGGAAATGCAGATATGGTTCATGCCAGGCCCTTGCCCTACACAACTCACTCACTGTCTATTTGGAGAGAGACATGTGCCAACAGTGAAAGTCAATGGTATGTGATAAGTGATCTCACAGGGTTCCCCCTTGGGGCTTATGGGAACACAGGAGAGAGCACCTCACCCAGACTTGGAAGCAAGGGGAGGCTTCCTGCAGGAAGAGGTGTCCAGGAATGTCCAAGGCCTCCTGAGTCCAGAGCAAGGAGAAGCTAGCCAAGCACAGAAGAGCCCTAGGAGAGGAAACTGCCAGGTTCCTTGAGGAGCTGCCGGGGGCAGGGTGTGGGGCACTGGAGGAGACAAGGGTGGCCAAGCCAAGAACAGCTCTGAAACCTTGTGAAATGAGGCTTAGATGGGGTTTGTGGGCTTCAGGCTTTCCTTTTAAACTTCGGACACAAGTTTCAGAAAGACAATGGCCTGGAACATCGCCTAACTGGCTTCCTGAGAACTTTGAAGGACTGTAAAGATGCTGGAGCTTGGGACAGCTTGGGCCTGGCTGTCAGGAAGGAACTGCATCTGCCAGCACATTGTCCCTGAAGGCAATGCTTCCACCTCCTGCCGGTCAGCGTGCTTGCCAGCCCCACCTCTTCAAAGGGCACCCATCAGCCACCACCATGCTAACAGTGCCTTCTTCTAGAAACATTTGGGCCACTAAGACATTTGACAGGTGATCAAAATGTGCACCTATCAATTTCCAGATGCATTTTTGAAAAATGCAAAGATTAATCAATTGCTGCAACCTTGCTTCACGCTTCCCATGGCACCAAGATGAGTTGGAGGTACTGAGGCAGTGTTCAGTTAATGCAAGCTGCCCTGAGCCATGCAGGGGGCAGAAGCCCAGGATCCGGGGATCTAATTGCCACCTTTTGGTGGTGTAACCTTGGGAAGCTTATTTATTTATATTTATCCCTCAGTTTCCTTATCTCCATAAAACAAAAAAATACTGATGTTGTAAGGATGAAGTACATCGCCACCCCTCCTCCTTCATGGACATCCACTGAGTGCTTGTTCCAAGTGCTTTCAGTGCATTTTCTCATTTCATCCCACAACACCCCTGGATGAAGGGACGACTGTTTCATTTTAGAGATGAGGCCCGGAGAGGAGCTGACTTGCTAAAGTTTCATTACAAGTAAGGAAAAGCCAGGGTCCACACAGGCTGTCTGGCTCCAGAGCCACTGTTCCTAAAATTGTGACAACTAGGGAAGTGGCTGATATGCAGCACCTGGCACTCATGCTGGGAGGTGACAGCTGGAAGGAGCACCTTAAGGTTGTCTAGTGCAAGCTCTTCTATTCCATAGATGGGTGAACTGAGGCTCAGAGATGGAAAGTGTCTTGCCCAAGATCACACGGCTCATCAGTGAGAGTGACAGGACCAGAAGTCAGGTCTCTCATCTCCCAGTCCAAGGACCCCTCACCAAACCCTCTTCACTGAGACCCTCAGCAGCTCCAGAGATGAGATGTCCCCGGGGAGAGCTTTATCACAAGTGTTTTCTGTAGAAGTATGAACCCACAAATCAAAGGCCCCAAAACGATGAAGCCAGAAGTCAGCTCCATGCTTATCTCCCTCAAATGTGACAAGAACATCGTCTCACCTGCAGGGTCAGCGTGATGGTGAGGGTCCCAAAGAAGAGGCCCATGAGCCCAAAGCCACCAATGAGGAGGGGTCTCCGTCCCAGGTGCTCAATGACCAAACCCTAGTCCAGGGTAAAAGAGAGAGAGAGAGCTATTATTCCATTTCTAACCACAACAGGGGAATGTGGCACTGGGAACCGGCAATGGCATCATGATTAAAAACCGGCTTTGACCCTGAGACAGTTGGGCCACCTTCTTTATGGCCACAGCCCTGAAGCAATGCTCTTTATGAGAAAGGAAAAAGCGAGGGAGAGAAAGTCACAATTCTTGAGCACCTACAGCATTAATAACGAGCACTCTCCTCCGAATCTTCCTTGCTATGGTGGACTCCTCCAACAGGGAGTCTGGGAGAAGGAACTGGATGGATATGGTCACCACAGCCCTTCTCCTCCTTCAGAGGCAACCTGCATGGAAGGTGACTCCTCTGTGTCTCCATGTTGTGGGTTTCATAGGGGTAGGCATCCACAGCGGGGCACAGGGGTGGGAGTAGGCAGAGAAGCCCATGTCGTTTTCCAGTCTGCCTGTGTCTGGGGAAGTCAATTTCATTGTGGGATGTGATGTGGGGAGTCCCTGGGGAAGTCCCTAAAGCTGTGTCCTCGAAGCCAGCTTCCCTCGGCCTAGGACTGTCACTGACCTCCATCTGGCTGGCCCCTGTGCCCCTTGTCCACTTGGTCAGGAAACAGCTCCTCAACTGCCAATGACTGAAAGAGTAATTGTAGCCGAATGTCAGAGACAGGAAAACCTGGGTTTATATTCCGGCTTTACTATTTTCCAGATGCACGAACTTTGGCATGTCACTTCACTTCCCAAAGCCCCAGGGCCTTTATCTGTGACAAGAGAATCAAAATATCCTTCCACAAGAGTGTCTGGAGTGGAAGGGTGTGTTAAATAAGAGACTGCACTCAACACACAGGTTAGGTACTCGGATTATGTGAGGTATCCTCCTCTCATGCTCCATATCACAAAAAGAGAACACGGAGGGTCAGAGAGGTGAGATAACAGCAGACATCACAGAGCAAGTAGGTGAGAGAGGGCCAGAAATTGAGCCCAGAATGAATCAGAATCCATGGCTTTTCTCAATGAGGCAATCAGGCGAGGCTTCCTGGAGGAGGCAGGAGCAGACAGAGATGTGGAGAGCTTGTCAGGCAGAGGGATTAGTGGGGGAAAAGGTTTTGGGGCTGGATGGTCCCCATCACGACAGTCATTTGGCTTGGACAAGGGGAAGCAGTGACGCTGCTGAGGGCCATGAAGCCAGAGCACACATGGCTCCTGCCTGCCAGCTTCAGGTGACAGTGCGAAGGTCACAGCACTGAGACGAACAGTTGCAATCCTTCCCCAAAGCCTCAGGGTTTCTCCACAATGGAACCCAGCTGCAGGGACCCCAGTGCCCTCTACCTGTTCCTCTTTCCTCATACCCTGCTCCTTAGAGGGAGGCAGGTGAGAAGCCGTCTAGGCAATGGGCGTTCTCCCCCAAGCTTAGCATGGGCTGTTGTTCTGCTGGGCAGAGCCGGCACTGAGGGGTGAGTGACAGCTGCCTGTCCGAAGGGCATAGCCCTGTGGGTCAGCTGAGCACCCCGGCCATGTAGTGCTGCCTGGGGCCATGGACCTCTCAGTCACCTGGGCATGAATGTTGAGGGGAACGGAGGGTGCTGGCCCCGAAAGTCAGAGGCCTGGGAGGAAAATGTGCCTGGCTGATGACCACATGTCTCTAAAAGCATCCAAGACTTCTGGTCAGAAATGCCTTTCTCCTGGGTGCTTAGGGAAGAAGGGCAGACTCAAGCCTTTAAACTTGGCCTCCTAGAAACCTGGCCCAGTGGAACAGAGCACAGGTGACATCCAGGGGCACAAAAGCCTGAAGATGGGCCATCTGAGCTGAATTCCTGGCTTTGCCACTTAGCCTTCTTTGCACCCAGGACAGGTTATTCAGCTTTTCCAAGTCTCAGTTTCCCCACCTGGAAAATGAGAATGATAATACCATTTTTGCAGGGTAGCTGTGAGATAAAGCGAAAGAACTCACAATGCCTGAAATAGACTCATGAACAAAAGAGGTTGCCAATAAATGGCAGGAAATATATTATTCATTTTAACTAAGGAGTGCCCTGGGGATCTGGTCCCAACTCTTACCCGTAGCTGGCTGTGTGGCCTTGAACAAGTTAATTAACCCTTCCATGTCTTAATTTCTCATCTTTTCTGATGATAATGGAGTTAGTCTAGATACCAATAGCTAATGATCATTTACTGAGCACCTACTATGTGCCAAGCACTGTATTAAGCACTTTTCATGCAGCAACTCATTTAATCCTGACAATAATTTTGAGTAGGTTCTATTATTTGCTCCATTTTACAGGTAAAAGAACAGAGGCACAGAGTCTTTGGAAACTTGTCCAGGGTCACATGGCTGGTAAGTGGCAAAGCTGGGATCACCTACAAAATCTTTTCTGTTGTTGTGACATTACATTTTCTTGACATTAAACTAGAAACAGTCAATGCCACCACTTGGTAACAGCCCAGTGTCTCACCTGGTCCAGCTCCCGGACCCGAACAAGGGCACTGATCACTTTTCTGCCCCCCCACCCCCTCCCCCCTCCGCATTCCTGGCTCTCTGATTCTCTTTCTTCACTTGAAGGCTAGGAGCCTTCATCTTTGCTTTCCCAGAGCCTGGAAGAATACCTGACAGGTGTGGCGTAAGTGTTTGCTGAGGGAGGGAAGGTCTGTCTTTATAACGCAGGCAGAATGATTCTCATTTGCAGGGGGAGGGCGGGGAGGGCAGTGAGGTTCAAGAATACTGAGGGACAGTAACTTCACTTGGTGGGAAGTGGGGAGGGAAGTCAGGCCCAGTGAGAGTCAGGAGGGAAGCAATGACCAACAGCTTCTGAGAAAGAGAGATAGGGGGAGGCAGAGAGGGACGGAGGGAGAGAATGAGGGAGGGAGGGAGGGAGTGAGGGAGGGAGGGAGACACAGAGAAACCTGCATTTAAAGCATCCCTTCCTCTTAGGCCCTCATGAGCTGGGTTTCATCAAAGAGGAGACACTGATGGGGCTGCTGTGCCAGGTCCAGTGCAACATGGGCAAGGGAGCTGGGTCCTAGTGCCAGGAGGGACCCCCGCAAAGGTAATAGGAGAAAAGGCCCAGAGATATCAGGGGCTTAGAGAGATTATGAAATTATGGGCCCAGAGAGATTATGCTTATCTCTGTGTAACTCATACTAATTTCAGTGTAACAATGCAACACATGTTAATCTCAGCGCAACACATGTTAATCTTGGCGTAGCACTCTCAGTGATCTGGGCCCAGGATCAGAGGCCAAGAGTGATTATGGGATTTACCAAAAGTCACCCAGGGCTAACTATTCAGAGAGAAGGAAGTGGGATAGATGCTGTTTTACACCAAGGGGCAGTTGCAAACGTCCACACCCTTGGACTCAGTCACTCACCTTCTGGGCATTGATCCTAAGGAAATAGATGTTTGGTCAAAGATGCATGGACAACGATCTTTGTTGGTGTGTTATTTATACTACTGGGGAAATAGAAATAATCTAGAAATCCACCAACAATTAGTTAAATAAATGCTGGAATATCTAGATGGTAAATATGTAGAAATTAACATAGTTTAAAGAATTGTAAAATGGTACAGAAAAATTCTCAGGGTACAATCTTAGGCGAAAAGAGTAGGACATAAATCTGTATATACTAAAACATGTAGTTATATAATATCAATTACAATTATGTTAAGCTAATACACCCTGGAAAAATATATGCAGAAATAGTTTATAATGGCTAACTCTGGTTGGGGGAATATGTGATTATTATTTTATTTGTCTGTCAGTTTTCCTGATTTTCTCCGGAGAGTTTTGACTTAAAAACACCAAAAAGTAGATTTAGTTGAAGTGTTGGATGCAAATCTCTGTCCCCTGTATTATGTCTTTATTCTTTCCAAATCACCAAATATTTCCAATACCCATACTGGCAATTTTTCATAACTGTGTAAAATATGGTTTTGGTACAATCTAAAGATGTCACAGCTTTTCTTGTGGCTAACAGGACAGAGCCAAAAGTTAAGCTGTTGCTGAAAATGAAGGTTGTTCATAACTGGAATATGCAGGAACTCTGTCTCCTAAGCTTCTTAGGGGAGTTGGATTAGAGTATCCAGTGACCTGGTGCTGAAATGACAACAGAATGTGCCATGGAAGAGCATCACAGTTGCTGGGAGATATTATTACACTGCAATCAGCATGTGTTACATTGTCATAGGGAGATCAGCACATGTTACATTGTTATAATGAGATTAATATGTGTTATATTGTTACACTAAGCTTATCATGTGTTACATTGTTTTACGGAAATTAACATATATGTTTACTGATTTCAGTATTTTGAAGTTTTTAAAAAAGAGTTTCAAGTGCACCACCCACAATTTCAGAGTCAGAAAGTGTGCTTACAAAAGTCAGTTGAGAACCATTATCTTACACCATGATGCTGACGTTCAAATACTTTGGAAAGGGTGGGGTGAGGGACATGTGGCTTTTTGTTTCGTTTCCCTAAAGTCTCTTGATGAACCAGTAACTTGAGCCAATGAAAGGCTGAACACATTCTCCCTGATTCAGAAATGATCTTTAAAGATGGTCTAGGAAGACACCAGGGAAACAGCTTTGAAAGAGAAAGAAGGGATAAAAACAACCCTCCCATCTGACAATCAGTCTCCCGGCTCTGTTCTTCTTCCCTCCCTCCTTTAAGTCCAGTTAAAGTGCAGCCTGTTGGAAGGGATTAGAGCGAACGTGGTATTTCCACTTGACATTAAAATCATGAGTGAAGACATTAACTCAGACGAACAGCAGACTGAAGGCTACTGATGTCAGCTAGGGATGACTGTCAAAATCCTAATGCTCCCAGGAAACCCCTCTGGGGACTCTGGAGCCATGGGGTCACCCATCCACTCAGCAGCCATTCACCCAGCACCCAGTGCCCTTCCCCACAGGGCTGGGACCTCTGGTGAAATAATAATGGGAACCTTTTGTTCTGGTTAGGATTTTAAGAAGCAGCTTTATAAAGGTGTAGTTTTCATTCAGTCTAATGTACCCATTTGAATTGCACAGTCTTGTATGTTTTGACAAATGTATATACCTTATAACCACAACTACAATTAGGATATTGAACATTTCCATCACTTCCCAGAATTATCTTGTGTCTCTTCCCCCAACTCCAGGCAACCTCCGATCTGCTTTCCAGCACAAGGATTCGATTTATCATTTCATATTGCTTATTGCAGTGTTTTTGAGATTCATCCTTCTTGTAGTACATATCAACAGTTCTTTTGTATTGCTGATCAGTATTCCATTGCATGGATATACCAAAATTTGTTTCTCCATTCACCTGTTGACCCAATAGCTGTTTCCAATTTTCAGCTCTGAGAAATAAAACCATTATGATTATTGAGTCTTCATGTAGACTTGTGCATTGATTTCTCTTGGGTAAATATGTATAAGTGGAATGACTGAGTTGGATGGGTAAAACCTTTATAAGAAACTGCTAAAATGTTATCTGAAGGGGTTGTGCCATTTTATGTTCCCACCAGCAGTGGATGAGCCTTCCTGTTACTCCACATCCTTGGCAACACGTGGTATTATATCAACCATTTAAATTTTTGTCACCATTTTGGTGAACAATGGTATCTCACTGTTGGTTTTAGTTTTAATTTCCCTGGTGACAGTAACAATGTTGAAGATCTTTTCATGTGATTTTTGATGTTTTGGAACTCTTCTTTGGTAAAGCATGTGTTCATATATTTTGCTCATTTTCAAGTGGGCAGTTGGTCTTATTTTTGAGTTTTAAGAGTTCTTTATGTATTCTGAATTCACGTCCCCTCTCAAATGTGTTTTATAGGTATGTTCTCCATGTCTGTGACTTACCTTTTTATCTCCTTAACAATACCTTTTAAATAGTCACAGTTTTTAATTTTGATGAAATCCAATGTATCATTTGAAAAATGGTTTGTGATTCTGTATCTTTCCTATCCTAATGTTGCAAAACTTTCTCCTTTGCTTCTAGAAGTTTTAGAGTTTAGCTTTTATGTCTAGATACGTGGTCCATTTTGAGTTAATTTTTTGTATGGTATAATAAGGGTTGCCATTCACATTTTTCCATGTGGATATCTACTTTTTATGACACTACTTGTTGAAAAGACTATCCTTTCCTCATTGAATTACTTCAGCAACTTTTTGTTTTCTGGATTCCATTCTGTTCCATTGATCTGTGGGGCTGCCCTTATGCCAATCTCATGCTGTCTTTATTCCCATGTTTGAACATTGTTACAATCCTTGCTATGTACCAGGAATGGTTCCGGCTGCTTTATATATATTAATAACTTAACTCTGATTACATTTTCTTGGGGTAGGTGCTGTTATCATCCACTATTATATCCAGAACTTGAGGCTCAGAGAGGTTTAGCAACCTGGCTAAGGTTGCACAGTGAGTCAGAATTCAAGTCTAGGCACTCCGGCTCCAGAGTCTTGCTCTTAACCTTTGTGTTCTACTTCCTCTCCCCAGTGTTTCTGAGGCAAATACACATTCACATTTATCAAAAGAATATGCACATGCTCCCAAAGTTTTTCTCCCTTCATTTGTGTGAGCTGCCTGAGGTCACTGAGAGCCTCCAACAGCACTGGCACTGGGGCACAGAGAAGACAGAGCCAGGAGTCTCTGCCCTTGGGGAGCTTTATGGGCTGAATTGCATTCTCTCAAAAAAGGAAATATTGGAATCCTAATCTCCTATTCCCTAGAATGTGACCTTGTTTGGGAATGGGGTCTTTATTTTTAGGTGATTCAGTTAAAAAAATGTGACCTTGTTTGGGAATAGGGTCTTTATTTTTAGGTGATTCAGTTAAAATGACATCATTTGGATGGGCCTCAATCCATGATGACTGGTGTCCTTGAGCCAATGGAAAAGGGAAAGTGTGGACACGGAGACAGACACGCACACAGGCCTGTAATCCCAGCACTTTGGGAGGCCAAAATGGGTGGATTACTTGAGGTCAGGAGTTCGAGACCAGCCTGGCCAACATGATGAAACCCTGTCTCTACTAAAAAAAATACAAAAAGTAGCCAGGTGTGGTGGTGCATGCCTGTAATCGCAGCTACACGGGAGGCTGAGGCAGGAGGGAGGTTGAATCGCTGGAACTGGGATGCAAAGGTTGCAGTGAGCTGAGATTGTGCTACTGCATTCCAGCCTGGGTGACAGAGTGAGACATTCCACCTCAGAAAAACCAAAAACAAAAAAAGACATACACAGACAGAATGTCATCTGAAGATGAGGCAGGGGTTGGGATGATGCTTCTGCCAACTAAGAAACACCCAAGATCACCTGTAAGTTCCTGGAAGCTGGGAGAGAGGCACGGGACATTCTCCCTCACAGCCCTCAGGAGAAGTGAGCACTGCTGATGCTTTGCTCTCAGGCTTCTGGCCTTGAGAACTGTGATACAATAAATTCCTGTTGTTTAAGCCACGTAGTTTGTGGCACATTGTTTTGGCAGCCTGGGCAAACCAACACAAGGAGCTAACACCTGATGGAGGGCAGGGCTTGTAATGTTGCCTGCTAAATGATTGAATGTATGTAAAAAAAAGAAGGAAGGTAGTCTCCAAATATGTACAACTATTATATGACAATAAACAACATTTTAAAAAGGAAGAGCTGGAGGGCAAGAAAATATCGCCTAAAATTTAATTTATTTCAAATTTATCTCAATTAAAGCGTCCAAATTTGATGTAATGTGCTTTCATATTATTTCACATACATTACTTTATATACACTTTATTTATTGCTCATTGTCTATATTGTATTCAATGTGTATATCTCTCTATATAAACTGCATGCGGTACTCCGTGCATGGCAGGAGTTCCTGACTTTCTCAGGGACTACAGCGTCCTACATGAGTTCTTCCCTGTGCCAGGGTGAGCCTTTTGGTCGTAGAAGATGCCCCATTCTCTGTGTCCAACTCCAGGCCGGGGCCTTTTTAAATTCTTCTGATTTACATAATCCCCATCCTTGCCTGGCTTGATGCTTCTGGGTCTGTGGGCCGTGTGGACTGATTGTGCGCAGGGGCCCTAGAAGCCTACCAGGAGGAAGCCCTGTTGGTTGGGCTCTGCCTCCCTCAGGACGTCCTGTCTGACTGCTCCCTGCAGGGATCCCAGCCAAAGGCAAGAGCTCCCTCTTTAGTCAGCTGGTGTGATTTCCTCAACAGGCTTTACTAGAGCCGTACTCCGTTGAGCAACCATTAATGGTATTGAATGCATGACAACTACTATGGCCATTTCTTTAAACATGATGCATGACACACACTCTCTCTCTCCCTCCCTCCCCCTCTCTCTCTCTCTTTCTCTCTTTCAAATTTACATTTTAAAGCAACTCTATGAGGTTTCCCCTAATAACTCAGCCAAAGCGGTGCAGACAACTGAGACTCTTTCAGAGAGAAATGTAAATGCTGGGGCAAGATGTGGCCCAGATGAGGGCCACCCCGCAGGCATCCCAAACAGCTGTTTCCTAATCCTGACATGTTGGAATGGAGGAGTACCTGAGGAACCCTTGGCACATGAGCAATTGGTGACTTTCTAGTCAGAAGTTGGATTATTGTCAAAGTTTTAGCTGCAAAAGGATGGGAGAAAGGAGCAGAGAATGGTGTGATTATCACTGACGCAGCTCCCTCTGCAGAGAACAGAAGGCCAAGGTACATTACATGAAAAGCAATTTCACATTCCAGTATTACTTTTAGCTGCTGGTAATCCTGTTTTAAACATGCAAAGGCTAATCTTTACTTTCACAGATCTCTCTAAAAAGAAGCCAAGACCTTGGAAAGCTGTGGTTATTGCAAGTTAGTGAAATTTTAAAATTTATGTTCAGAGGACAGAGTGCCAGAAACAATTTTCTGCTTGGGACAGGCTCTCTCTAAGTTAAAAACGGAATATAATTCAATGAAACAAACTTTTTTGGGAATTTCTGCTTAAAAGATGAATGTGCATAAAAGGTATCGGTGTATCTGTTTGGGCCAAAGGTGTGAGAAATGAGAGTTGTGTTTTAAATAATGATCATCCCAGGGTGGCCCATGATCTCTAAGTATAACAAATTAAAATGTCTTGAGATATTTCAGCCAAAGTGCAAAACAGACATGGGTTTTCCTTCCATCCCATGCCAACTGGGATGGAAGGAAAGGCTGGCAGCAGACAGGCTTTTCCAAGTTCTCCAGTCCTGTGGACGTCTCCTCCACTTGGGTCACTTTACAAGCTTGGCTTGAGGCCGTAGCTTCTGCAGTTTCTAAGTGAAGCACTCCCCCTCATGCTCTTACTCTTCTCAAAAAAGGCAAAATGTGGTTCTCAACAGGTTTGTGAGGATACATTCATATTGTTCTTGGAAATTTGGGCAAGTAGAAAAAAAAATAGCTCTTCAAGGAGCAGAGAAAGAGACACTGGATGTCCAGATGACTTAGGAGTCAGGGCTTCCATAGCAGGAGCATCGAGTTGGCAGAGGGCAGTGGGCAGTGGGAACAGCCGCCACTTAGAACTGACACAAGGGGATGGTAAATGCTGTCTCCACCCTGCATCCCATGAGCCACATCCGCACTTTCCTTTGGTGAGTGAAGCTGGTGGGGCCGGACACAGGGGAGCCAAAGGATGTTATCAGAGGGATGGGGAGTAAATCAGGAAAATTTGGTGGGAAGTAAAGACTCAGGAGCACATCCCAAGAGTCAGAGGGTGAGCTGCAGGAACGGACTTGTGGGTATGTCCTTGGCCAAACTCAAAAATAGAGCTACTTACTTAAAAGATATTATTCAGAGCTTGGGGTGGGTGGGAGTGGAAACTGCAGGGGAATGTGCTTCCAGGGCAAAACCCCACCTTTTCTGCTTGGGGATGCTGGGGCACTGACTCTGTTTCTTCCCTTCCTCATCCCCACCCAGTCCTCACCCCATGAGGATAACCTGTCATAACCAGAAGTATTAGTTCATTCTCATGCTGCTATAAAGAACTGCCGAAGACTGGGTAGTTTACAAAGGAAAGAGGTTTAATTGACAAAGTTCCACAGGGCGGGGGAGGCCTCAGGAAACTTACAATCATGGTGGAAGGGGAAGCAAACTCATCCTTCTTCATGTGGTGGCAGGAAGGAGAATGAGTGTCCAGTGAAGGGGGAAGTCCCTTATAAAACCATCAGCTCTCATGAGAACTCACTCACTATCATGAGAACAGCATGAGGGTAACTGCTCCTATGATTCAATTACCTCCCACCGGTCCCTCCCATGACACATGGGGATTGTGGGAACTATAATTCAAGGTGAGATTTGGGTGGGGACACAGAGCCAAACCATATCAACGAGAGTCCACATTTCTCTGCCTGCTTCCTGCTCAGGCAATGGTAACACTAATGCTTTTGATCTAAGCTCTGAACATGAAAAGCCATTTAGCCTGAGTTTTAACTTCTCAGATCTGGGGATGCCACCCAGCTCAGACTGAGCTCAGGCCCCCAGGGGTTTGGGTTGGGAGCCAAGGGGAAAATCTAGCTTTGTTTCTGCTTGCTACAACCCTCATTTCTCCTAAGGTCCTGTAACATTTGTTAAATAAACTGGGGACTTGATCTAGTATTTTAGTGGAGGAAGGGTGTAGTTTCTTCTAGTCTGTGACCTATAGAAATGCCATAGAATCATTATTTATCAATGAAAAAGGAATGTCTGTCAAGGGAAATTAATTGAACTCAGTCCTTTCGAGGCCAGTTCTAGAGCACATGTCAGTGTGATGATTCACAGGGAAAACCGGCCTCTCTCCAAGCCTTGTGACAACGCTGTTTCTACCCTTGTCACCCTCTGCCATTATCTATTTTGTCTACAGCAGTCAGAGGGATTTAAAGCATGACCTGGCACTCTCCTTTTAACACCCCTGTCCACTAAAAGCCTTATAGACAGCAAAGAAAACAATCAACAGAGTGAAGAGAAAACCTACAAAATGGGAGAAAAGATTTGCAAACCATATTTGAATCCCCTCAAGCCCCATGCCCCCCCACCAGCCCCTTGGCCCCTCAAGCGGCAGCCACATCCTTGCCCCTGCCTTGGGCTGCTGCAGACATCCCTGTCACCTCTCAGATTCTTGCTGTCTGTCCTAGAGGGAGACCCATTGGCTCAAATCAACAAGCTCCCTGCCCTCTGACCTCTAGGCGGCTTCAGCAGAAATCAGAAATCAGAGGTCAGAAATCAGAAGGCAAAAGAAAGAGAATGAGGCCAGGGGTTGGTTTCTTGGTTCACTTTCTACAGAGACATTTTGCCTGGCTTTGTCCCTCTATCAAAGGTTGCAGCTCCTGATAGGTGGCGTACCCACCCTACATGCCCTCGGCTGCCCTGAATTAATCTGCCTTCGAGCTGCTCAGGTTCACTGTGTCCCTCTTTCCCAAAGGTTTTTCTTTCAGCAGCTTCTTTTGCCTGACATGCTCTTCCCAGACAGCTGGGCTCACCTGGAGCCTGACCACAATATTTAAAATGGCAACTGCCCCCGTCTCTCCATTCCCCTTTCTCTGCTCTACTGTTTTCTCATAACATCCTTCACCTTCTAAAACACTGTGTGGGGTACTCCCTTGTTACACTGTCTGTGACCCCATGAGGAGCTCTCCTTCTCCACAGCAGAGACCTTTGTCTGTTTTGTCCACTGGCACAGAGCAGGGGCCCAAGTGAGCACTTGCTGAGTGCTGGAGGAAGAAGCATCCTGGCCTTGGGCTCGTCTTCTAGTCTTTGAGAGGTAGCAGGGCAGCTTCGGCATTTTCCATGTCTGCTTCTCTTCAGGAATATTAATAACAAGAGTAACTGCGTGAGTTTCCCAGGGCTGCCGTGATAAGGTCCCACAGACAGAGCGGCTTCAGCAATAGAAACGTGTTGTCTCACAGTTCTGGAGGCTGGAAGTCCAAGATCAAAGTGTCTGCAGGGCCCTGCCTCTGGAGGCGCCAGGGAAGGGTCTGTTGCAGGGCCCTCTCCTGGCTTCTAGTGTGTTTTGGCTTTCAGCAGCACAATTCTAATTTTTAGAGGGCGTTCTGCCTGTGTGTATGCCTGCATCTAAATTTTCCCTTTTCATAAGGACAGTCGTATTGGATTAGGGGCCCACCCTATTCCAGTATAACCGTATCTTACCTTAACTAATTACAACTGCAATGATCCTATTTCCAATTCAAGTCACATTCCGAGGTACTAGGGACTTCAACACATGCATTTTGAGGAGGTGCAATTCAACCCATAACAATAGTGAACATTTATTGAGTATGTTCTCTATGCCAAGCACTGTGAATTACAGTATGATTCCCATGACAATACCTGCTGAGGCTTAGATCTGTTATTATTGCCACTTTCACTAAGAGAAAAATGGGTATCAGAGAGGTTAAGTGACTAGCTCAAGGTCACCCAGCTAGCAGCTGCGGGGCCAGTATGAAACAGAGCCCAGATGATCTATCACCCTGCTTTCTCCCTTTTACCACGTTCTGCTCTCACACGGGCTGGATCCAGTGTCCTGAGTTCCAGCAGTAAACTCTGAGGCCTTTGATTCTGAAATTGTCGAATTTATTGGGAAGCAATGGAGACTACAGGCAACAGAAACCATAAGGATTTTTTTTTTTTTTACTACAAGTCAAGAGCATATTCCATTCTTGCTAATTATGAAAATGTACTGCAGTGAATCAGAATGACTTCCTGTGAATTCTGACCCCTGATTTGTAAAAGCACAGAGTCTGTGCTTCTCAAGAGTGAGCCCTCACCCCACAAAGCTCCTGCCCCACATGGCCTGAATGACGCTCACTGGAAGTTCACTCATCAGAGAGTTAACACTGTGCCAGGCAAATCAATTTGGAAAACCAGCTGTTTCTGAAAGATGGCGATTATTTACAGTTCCCCAAGCTGATGACTGACGCCCTGAGCCAAAATTAATTGCAGATCAAATGAGCAAAGATGTCTTTCCCCTCTCAACTTTATTAGCCTCCTGAGCCATTTTAATAGACTGTCAAAATCTCATAAGAGGAATGAAAAAAATTGGAAAGTCTTTTTGGATAAGCAATCACTTCAAAGGGCTGGATGAAATATATAGACATATATTTGTGTGTTTATTACATATGTAACTGTATATATATAAATATATTTATTGCCTTCTTTTCAAATATATTTCAAGATATATAATATATTTTGTATATTATATAAATATATAAAATATATTTTATATATTATAAATTTTATATATTTATATATTTTATATCAATAAATATATAAAATATATCTACATATTTTATTTCCTTGTTTTCAAATACATAATATATAAACATTATAATATATTATGCATATTATATATATAACCTATATAAATATGATATTTTTATATATACATAACTTTGGAAAGTGCAAGGAACTTACCTTATATTGATGCTCTGTGAGGAACAGGGGAGTGGCTTTCACACACTTTGGATTTTGTTTCCATAATTCTGTCAGATGCTGTATTAGTTTCCTATTGCTGCTGTAGCGAGTTACCACAGACTCAGTGGCTTAAAACAACCCAGGTGGATTATCTTATAGTTTTGGAAATCAGAAGTCTAGAATAGATCTTGCAGTGCAAACACGATGGTGTCTGCAGGGCTGGTTCCTTCTGGAGGCTCCAGGGCAGAATCTTGCCTGCTGCAGCTTCTAGAGAACATCTGCATTCCTGGGCGTGTGACCCCTTCCTCACCTTCAAAGCTGGCAATGGCGTCACTCCTGCCTCTGCTTCCACCATCACATCTCCTTCTCTGACTCTGACCCTCCTGCCTCCCCCTTTCACTTACAAGGACCCTGTGATAATATTGGGCTCACCTGGGTAATCCAGGGTTAGCTCCCTATCTCAAGATTAGTCCCACCTGCAACATTCCTTTGTGCCATGTAAGGTAATATATTCCCAGCTTCTGGGAATCATGGTGTGGACATCTTGGGGAGCCATTGTTTTGCCTACCACAGGTGGGAATGGTTATGTCCATTTTACAGATGAGCAAATAAATTCAGATGTGTTGGGCAATGTTCCCAAGACCACTTAGCTGGTAAATGGGTGATCAGGATTTGAATTCAGAGTAGCCTCATCCTAAAGCCAAAGCTGTTTCTCCCCAGAACATTTTTCTATTCCACACTCTCAACCTCATGCTGAATTTAGTTTCATGCCTTTCCAGGAATTGGGGTCAATGCTACCATTTTAAGGACTGTTTCCAATGGACTATTCTGCATCCATCCTTGCATCTCCAGCTCTTTGAGAAGATGAAAGGGGGACAGACTACCCAATGCACTTCACTTCACCTAACTTCTGCTGGCCCTTCAGCTCTCAGGTTCCTGGTCCCTGTCTCCAGGAATCCCTCCCAGAACCCCTTATTTGAGAGGGAAGCTCGTCTCAGTGTTGCATGTGGTAATTGTTTCCAGGTTTGCTTTTCTCTCTAGATCACGGCAACGTCACCTGTGACAGCTGGCACAGTATGAGTGCACCTTAGGTGTCTGTGGAATGGATGAATGCATGCCTGCATGAAAGAATCCACCACCCAAGCTCTGAATCATCACTTCCTGCTCAGAGGAACCTCCCACACAGAGATTCCTGCACCTCTAGAACAGCAAAACATCATTTATCCTTGGGTCATAGTCAACCTCCTCCATTGGACTGTGAGCTCCTACAGGCAGGCACCATGGCAAAGGCCCTCTGTAAGCCCAGCACAGGGCCAACAGCCTGACCATGGGAGGAGCTGGCAAGAGCTTGCTAAATGGCGGGGTACCAACTGGCCATGGTCCAGATGACTGAGATCCACTGGGTCCAAACTTAAAGGCAGTGGCAGGAGTGCTCTCCAGAGGCTGAGACTCTGAGTTCTGATTTTAGAAAGGACTCTTCCTTCCCTTCCAGGACTGTGAAGTCATTTACCCTCCTTTCTGGGGTTTCCAAGGAATACTTTGCCCAAAATTGTCAGCTTTTAAGGAAGATGATCTGCCTGCCAGAGCATCGGGATGAGAAGGAGTGGCTTCTGGAGTCTGGAATGAATAAGAATGGCTTCCCGTGAAGTCTTCTTGCACCAAGGGAAGAAGTGTAGCCACTTCCTCAGTGTGCCCCTCTTTCAAACAATGGCAGTCATTGGACTTTCAGGCATGATGTGAGCATTCATGAGGTCCCATGTAGAACACTTTGGGGTGTCGGTGGCAGGGACAGTAGGGGCCCCATGATGTTCTCTTTCCCCACTCTCTTGGGTTCTGAGCCAGCTGACTGTGTGACCCAGAGTAAGTCACTCCTTTTGGTCTTAGTTTCCTCAACTGTCAAAAGATAGCAAGACCCCCTGTAAAATCCTGCTCTCCACAAGGATGTCCATCGTAGCCTTATGTAAAATCACACATTATGGAAATCTACCTAAATAGGACAAGAATAGTTACCACTTACTGGGTGTATACCATTTGCCAGCCAC
The DNA here is from genome assembly GCF_000001405.40 of Homo sapiens. NCBI lineage: Eukaryota > Metazoa > Chordata > Mammalia > Primates > Hominidae > Homo > Homo sapiens. The sequence continues at coordinate 9,906,098 of NC_000004.12, forward strand.
TGCTGGAATCACTTAATGTATATTCATTGGTACAATCCTCAGCCCATCCCTATGAAGCAGGGATGATGGCTTTTAGAAGTGGGGAAACTGAGTCACAGAGATGCTGAATAACTTACTTGGGGGTCACGCGGCTAATAAAAAGACACAGAGCTGGGACTGGAACCCAGAAAGCATGGCACTGCCATCAGGTTCCGAGCAGAGACATTCAACAACCTCACCCGCAGACAATGGTTAAGGAAATTATCATACAGAAAATTACTGGAGAAGGATAAATCGTTCAGCACTAGTGTTAATTCAGGGAAGGTGATGATCTACATGATTTTCTGCATATATGATACACTTCAACAAAAAAATAATAAATAAGAAAATGGAGAGTCATTCTGACATAAGATTATGTGAACAAAAGCAGATCAGAGCTCGTATTTAGAATAGGATTACTGTGCTACTATGTAAGAAATATACATCTATGCATAGAAAGACAAGGGAAGAATTTGCCAAACTTCCTTGGGTAGTATGATTGTAGGTAATTTCTTCTTTGTTCCTCTCTATTTTTCCGAATTTTACAAATTTGCCCTAATGAGCTGGTATTGATTTCTTCACAACACCAATAAAATACTTTACAAAAAACAAAAAACATCTCCCGTACTTCCCCCATAAGTTTCATCTCAGACTGTGTTTTTCCATTGCTCAAAGTAAAAATAAATAAACAAAACTGGGTGCAGTCTATAACTTGAGAATAACAAGAATGAATCTTGTGAAACTTCCAGAATGTGAAACGTTGAAATGTTTTCTTCTAATAAAAAGACCACAAAGTGGAAAGGGAAAGAGACAAAACATCATTCCTCTACATTTTTTATGGTATCTATTTTTTAAAAGCATCTTGTTAGAATGACCCATTAAGTGCAAGGTACAAAATGAAATGTTCTGTCAACAAGAAGTCAGAAAGACAATTGCAAGCCTCTGCCTGTTTGCATGGGCATCAATCTTGTCAGTGCAAATCAGTGAGCAAGAGTGAAAATAAATGAACTACTCCATCAAGGTCAGAGAATATAACTCTCTAATTTTAGCCCTCTCTTTCCATTTGGAAGGGAGCCTAACTGTGTGCTGTGTGCCCAAAATGTGAGGCACAGACATAGCTACAAAAAAGAAGAGACACAAGCATTTCATAAAGAGGACAACTGAAGCTCAGAGATGTTGAGTGCACTGCTCAGTGCTACACAGCCAAGAAGTGCCGGAGCCAGGATTCAAATCCAGTTTGATCTGATTCCAAGATCTGGAAATTTCTACTAGGTTCTGAAGCCACCCAACTTTCCCCTCCACCAGATGTTTGTTTTGCATATTGGAGGTTGAGAAACAGTGAGGAGCTCTATGCCTTCTTTTGAACATATTGGCTTATTATTAAGGTCTTCCTCTCTATTATACTGGTCAACTGAATGTCCTTTCTCCTTTGCCTTGCAAACTCCCACATGTCTGGGGTAATGAGATGACTGCTAATGGTTTTGAAACATTTTAAATGTCATGGTAAGAGATTGGAGATTCAAGCCAATTCTCTGATCCGAACTCCTGGGGACAATATGGCCCTGTTTCACAGGGCATTCATATTTCATCATTTGTGACTAGGTGAGAATTCAAAGGATGGAGTTATTTATTAAAAGGAAGATGACAGGGAAGCAAAATCTAGGAAGGAAATATTCTCTAGATGGGTAAAATGTCAGTGAAGAATATTCTCTAGATGGGTAAAATGTCAGTGAAGAGCTGCATGATGACCTCCTAAAATCCAGCCCCCTTTGGCATGATAAAGGACATGCTCCTCTAAAGAGATGCCTGTTTGTTGCCTTAGGTTCCCACATTGCAGTGTTGCCTGCCCCGGAGGTGTCAGGAACTGGGTGAGAATTGTCGCTCTTCAGTACCCACTTTGAGGTTTTGGGTCAATAGCCCAGACACAAATGATGTCTGGGTTCTCCCCATCCCAGCTATTTCTTTAAAACCAAGAGTTTGCTGAATGATAGGAAACCACATTGTCCTAATTGATGAATTCTGATGGGGAAAGCCTGTGCCTTAAAGGACCTTATGAACATTCCCACTGTGCTGTGTAACCCCCTGTGGCATTCTCAGGAGTAACCCTCAGTTGACTTACAGAGAAGACGGCAGCCAAAGTCTCGATGCCCCCTGTACTCAAGGTGACGTATGGGATCTTTGCCGGAGGGATCCCAGCTTTTCCAAAGATGCTGTTGGTATAGAACCAAATCTGTAATTCAGGAAAGAATGAGCAGAGAGAATGGTCAGTGGAAGGACTTAATCTATTTTCTAAATCAAATTTGGGTATCAGGTGGTCTCTGGATTAAACTCAGAGTCCCAAGGTGGAGAGGCGTGGATGCTCATTTTTCATTTTCATCCCACCTTCTCCCTTTCTTCATTACTTTTTTTCCTTATTTTATTATTTTATTTTTTATTTATATATATATTTTATTATACTTTAAGTTCTAGGGTACATGTGCACAATGTGCAGGTTAGTTACATATGTATACATGTGCCATGTTGGTGTGCTGCACCCATTAACTCGTCATTTACATTAGGTATATCTCCTAATGCTATCCCTCCCCACTACCCCCACCCCACAACAGGCCCTGGTGTGTGATGTTCTCCTGCATTACTGGGAATGTCCAGCTAAAAGACTACACTTCCCAGTTTTCTTGCAGCCAAGTGTGGCAGCGAGATAGAAACAGTAATGTTGGTGGGGCTTCCAGGAAGTTTCCTTTTTTTAAAAGGAACTTTTCATCAAGGAGGTCTGCTTCCATTTTTGTTTGTCCTTCCTTCTTTCTGTGTCAGGATGGTGGAGGTGATGGCTGGAGCCTCAGCAGCCTTTTTTGGATTACTAGGTGACTTCAGAACAGCACTGCCATTAACCTCCATCGTAACTTTATGAGAACCAGAAAAGGTCCCCACTACACAAAACGCTTTACTGTCATCCACTGAAAAATTGCCATAGTAAATCCACAATGCATACAAGGTGAAAGATGTTCCCCAGAGTTGGGTAATGCACAACCTGTTTAACTATACATAGAGCCCCTGCCTTGGGATAAAAGCCACTTGTTTAGATGCTGGACCAGGAAGTTAGAAAGAGTTAGCCTGTGCCCTTACTGACTACACTGGTTCTGTAATTTATTATCCAAACATGAGGACTTTTGAGAGTGTTGATAATTATGCTAGGATGACACACTTACATTGAGTGTGTCCTGGGAAAACCAGGATGTGTGGTCTTGGAGTTGCTATACCAGCCCTCGCAACTTATTTCATGTGAGACTGAAAACCTTCCATCTTGTTGAGGTCTCTGTTGGGGTACCTGCCACATGAGGTTAGACCTAAATCCTAATTGATGCCCATGGCATCAGACAAGAACTGATTAGGAGTTTGGAGACCTGGCTCCATCTTGAACTAGCTGTGTGACCTCAGGCAATTCACCCTGCCATGAGGAGATTCCTACTCCTCCCCAGTCAAATGAACATGACCATGCTTATTTTGCCTGTCCCATGAGGTGTCAGGAACTGGGTGAGAATTGTCACTCTTCAGTATTCACTTTGAGGATTTTAGCCTGGACACAAATGATGTCTGGGTTCTCCCCATCCCAGCCATTTCTTTAAAACCAAGAGTTTGCTGAATGATAGAAAACCACATTGTCCTAACTGATGAATTCTGATGGGGACACCCCCTGCATTAAAGGACCTTATGAACATTTATGAACAGTTTGATACTTATTCAGCAGAAGTGTTAGAGCACATTGCTCATAACCTGTCAGGTCCAACGTTAGCTGGCCACACTCTCGCATTTTGCTCTTTGTTTCTGGATGAAGCTCTTGTTTCTATAGATCTGTTTTATTGCCAGATGTTTTTAGCAAAAATTATTCATGCATTGGGGGGAAGATATAGGACCTACTTATATCTACAGATGGTTAAATTTTGTGAAGAAAGTAAACCTCCATAAAGTTATGGGCATACCAAGAGATGCCAGTGAAAACTACGACACCCATTTCTTCGAGCTTGCAGGCATGGATACATCCATCTATTGGCAAAAACAGGTTTTAATATTCGTGTAAAACAAGAACCTTCATGTTCTGCACCTGTTTCTCACTTGAGTGAACGTTAGACTCCATCGTTAGCCTGAACCTTTGCTGTCACATCCATGGTGTACAGAGGTAGTGCCTAATAAATCCACTAATTCCTATTGTTCTCAGGGCTGTGACAGAAGCTGACATTATAACATTATCCTGAAAACTCTATGTCCATTGAATATGTTTATACAATTGCTTCCCCTTTAGAAGGTAACTATGATCCCCAGTGCACCGTCAGGGTTGGATTCCAGAAGTGTAACAGCCTTTCTTAATCATCAGCCAAATTCACTGATTTTCAATGGCCAACGTTCTCTAGGGACCCTCTTAATGCCCTCAGGCTGCCAGGCTGTCACCCATGTGAAGGTGTCTGACATTTGTGTTATTCACAGCCGTGGTTCTGATCCCCATGGCCTGACCAGCTCATGGTCCTGAGGCTCCCAGCCCTAGGTCCCACTTAATGTGAATCCTCTTATGATGTGGCCAGCACCTCCTTCTGGCTCCTCTCACCCCTCACAACCCCGTCTTCCCTGGTTTCAATTCTCCCCATAGAGACACTGCTATAGATGTCCCTTAGTAGGTTAGTGAAGAGAGTCATTGTACATAAAATTCTAAGTTCAGTGAGGGACAGTTATAACTTTTGCAGGGAAATTGATGAAGCTGGAAACCATCATTCTCAGCAAACTAACATAAGAACAGAAAACCAAACACCACATGTTCTCACTCATAAGTGGAAGTTGAACAATGAGAATACATGGAAACAGAGAGGGGAACATCATACACCAGGGCCTGTTGGGGTGTGGGGGGGCTAGAGGAGGGATGGCATTAGGAGAAATATCCAATGCAGATGACAGGTTGATGGGTGCAGCAAACCATCATGGCACGTGTATACCTATGTAACAAACCTGCACATTCTCCACAGGTATCCCAGAACTTAAAGTATAATAATAATAATAATAAAGCAATAAAAGCCATATTTAGTCTTATATTCATTCATGCACCAAAAGGCAGAAATCAGTCCACAGATCCTCTCCCGCTGCCCAGGGGCTACAGGGGTCCTGCCGGGCTGGCCCTGTCTGCCCCGGGGCAGACCTGTACATCACACACACTGCCAGTCTTAATCTGTTTGTGACACGAAGCCACTGCCCTCCCCCTACATCAGCTGATAGAGTGGGAAGGTGACTGCCTTCAGCTTTACCTCTGCTCACACTGAAGCTTATTTGATTGGACAGTTTGAGTTCACTGTAAAATAAGAAAGCACTCAGGAAACTTAAGAGTGCATCCTGCCCCGGAGCCCCGCCAGCCCCCACGGTGTGTGCTTTGTGTTGACCTTGTTCACCACACAACTCTGTTCTCGCAGGTTGCCCCTAGCCTCCCCGTGCAGCGTGGCAGGAGCAGCAGTTCTGGAGGCATAGAGTGGGGATTCTAGCCCCAGCACTGTCTCTCATGACCTGCGTGACCGCAGGCAAGCGATTTTGCATCTCGGAATCTCTGTTCTCCAAAGAAAGGTAATAATACTTCGTCTTTCAGGGTTCTTGTAAAAATTTTAATGATGATAAAAGAAATCATCCAGGACAGCACCTGTTATAATTGGCATATAACAAATTGTAGGTATCATTCTAGAAGGTTCTGTCTCTCCATGGAGATGTGATTGCTTCTTGGTTAAGAAGAGCATCTGGAACCAACCCAAATGTCCAACAATGATAGACTGGATGAAGAAAATGTGGCACATATACACCATGGAATACTATGCAGCCATAAAAAATAATGAGTTCATGTCCTTTGTAGGGACATGGATGAAGCTGGAAACCATCATTCTCAGCAAACTATCGCAAGGACAAAAAACCAAACACCGCATATTCTCACTCATAGGTGGGAATTGAACAATAAGAACACATGGACACAGGAAGGGGAATATCACACACCAGTGACTGTTCTGGGGTGGGGGGAGCGGGGAGGGAGAGCATTAGGAGATATACCTAATGTTAAATGACAAGTTAATGGGTGCAGCACACCAACATGGCACATGTATACATATGTAACAAACCTGCACGTTGTGCACATGTACCCTAAAACTTAAAGTATAATAATAATAAAAAAAAAAGAAAAGAAGAGCATCTGACAGTGGCACATATGCCATGCTAGGAATGCACCTCTGGGTCTCTTTTCAGCCTCCTTCTTGTGGGATGGGGCTTTGAAGAACTGTGCAGCTGGCAGGTGTGGGGGTAAGGGCAGCAGGAAAGAATTTGGGTCTTCTCAAGTCCCTGCCCTTAATGCCCTGAAGCTCTCATTCTTAACTCACGTCATAGTGTTTTAGAGACAAAGTGTAACATACATAATCATTTTTGCCCCCTCCACAGTTGGGCATGCCTAAGGATGCCCAACATGTCTAAGAAAGCAGCATGTCTAAGGATCAGTCAAGGGTCCATAAGAGTAAACATCCCATTTACTTTTGCCTAGAACAAGGTGATACTGACAAAGAGTATGGGTTTAATTTATGCTTTCTGGATGTGGTGAGCAGAACAACAGCCCCCCGCTCTCAAAATGTTCACATGCTAATCCTGGGAACCCCAGAACATCTTACTTTACATGGCCAAAGGGACTTTGCAGATATGTTAAGTTCAGAATCTTGACATGGGGAAGTTATCCTGGATTATCTGGGTGAGCTGTAAATGTAATCACCAGGGTCCTTAAAGAGGGAGTCAGGAGGATCAGATTCAGAGAGAAGACGTAAGGATGGAAGCAGAGGTCAGAGAGGAAGAAATATTTGAAAATGCCATGCTGCTGACTTGCAGATGCAGAAAGGGGCCACAAGCCGAGAGATGCAGGTGCCATCTAGAAGTTGGGAATGTCAAGGAAGTGGATGATCCCTCTGGAGTCTCCAGAAGGAATGTGGCCTTGCCAACACCTTGATTTTAGGACTTCTGGCCTCCAGAATTGTAAGATAATAAATTGGTGTGGTTTTAAGCCACCATGTGGGTGGGGCTCCTTCAACAAAATAATAGCTAAGCTATTGCAGTAATTTGCTACAGAAGCAATAGAAAACTAATATATACTGGATAAAGATATAATTAATATATTTTATGCATTTCCTGTGTGTTTGTGTGTGTGTGTGTGTGTGTGTGTGTGAGAGAGAGAGAGAGAGAGAGAGAGACAGAGAGAGAGAGAAACAGATAGAGAGAGATAAAGAGAGAAACAGAGAGAGTTGTAAACACAGAGGTGGCCGCCACAGACAAATGGTGATGTATAGGATCTATCTTGAAGTACAGAAGACAGAGAAGACCTTGCCCATTTATTAAACACTGTGTTCCAGGAACTGTGCCGATGCCTCACCTACTGTTTCCAGGGACCTCCTTTCCCTTCTATTTCCTGTTTCCATTTGGGGAGCATCCACTAGGGAACATACCTCCCTCTCAACCCAAGGGACAGGGAGGTAGGGAGTGCCCTCTTGCATCCCCTGGGCTCTTTCTGTATCTGCCTCCTGCAGGAAGCTGGAGATGTGTCTGCTGCCTCCACCCAAGGAGGGGCTTGCCCTGTAGAGGGGTCTGGGGTTGCTCCTTCTGCCTGTGGCTGGGTCTAGCATCTTAAAGCTAGAGGTGCTGAACTAACTGCCACTTATGAAGCCATGCTGTCTAATCCAGCTCCACTCAAAATAGAGCTAACATTTTCATCCCCATCTGGTTCTTGTGCCTCTCTCTGTCTCCCCCTCTCTAACCTTTTCTGAATTTCAGAGAAGAAGGGGGCTTATCTATTGTAAATCCCCAAACCTATCCCCTACATGACGTAACTGCATTCCCAGCACAGCCCAGTGAGGGAGCTATCACTGCTCCATTTAACAGATGTGAAACTGAGGCTCAGCCAGGTAAGGGTGACCCAGCTATGAGTGGCAGAGCTGAGATCGAGCCCTGATCATCCCAAACATTTCTACTGTCCTCTGCTACCTCTGGGTGAGAAGGAATCTGTTTTCCTTCCAGAGATGCTAGGGGAGGGTGCTAAGTCCTATGGAGCAGGGCAAGTGGAATTACCCGAGAGGTGAGAGGAAATGGGAGCACCAGGGATGAATCACTACCGGCAGCTGCCAAGCAAAGCAAGACCCTCTCCACCAAGGGCAGGCTGTGTGCTTCACGGCAATGTATGGAAGCCCACTCTCTCTCAGCAGAGCTGCTTCATCCACAGCCCCAAGCAAATGTCAGCTCCCATTCTCATCAGACTTTGCTTCAGCTTGGCAGTGGAGGCAGAGGAATGAGCTGACTCTCCCACATCTCTCACTGGGACCAGTTGCACCCCGACTACAGCTGCGCACCTTACGCTTCACAAAACAGGACCTGTGGGTCACTCACTGGCCTTGAAGGGTTAGCTGGGCTTGAAGCTCTGGTCCCTGGTGGTTGAATCTCCAAGGCAGGGCAATTGACCATCTAACGTCCCCTCTCTGTGAGCTCCTATTCTTGGGAGGGACGGGAGTCTGTGGGCTGGACAGAAGGGATTTGACCCCAGCAATTGCTATGGTGGTGAGAACGTGAATGCAGATTTCAACCACCCCGGCCTTGCTTTATATCCTTAGAGCACATGTGAGCATGAAACTGGACAGCATATCTAGATGCCCAACAGCCGGTCCATGCTCAGTAAAAGGCTGCTTCCTTCTCTGACCTCCACTGTCTTTCTTTATAAAAATCCAGAAGCATACAAAGTAAGGACTCAAATTTTAAGAGTGGCCAGAAAATGCTTGCTTTTAAAAGCTTTTCTAAGAGTGTTGGATCACCCAGTCTTGCTTCTCATCTTACGGATAAAAATCTAACCTCACACTGACCTAGCCATTAGCCCAATGAATGATACCACCTTTCTGGCCTGGTCTTCTTTGAACTCTGACATGAGTGATTGAGGCTCAGAGGGGTGAAGTGTCTCACCCAGGACTACACAGCTGGGAAGTCAGAGGATGTGGGCTGGAACCATAGCCTCCCTGGTGGTCTCAGTGTGGGGCTCCTTCAACAAAATAATAGCTAAGATTATGGAGCACCACCTATGTGAATGACCCCATGCTGAACTTATTTATTTGAGACGGAGTTTCGCTCTTGTTGCCCAGGCTGGAGTGCAATGGTGCGATCTCAGCTCATTGCAACCTCTGCCTCCTGGGTTCAAGTGATTCTCCTGCCTCAGCCTCCTGAGTATCTGGGATTACAGGCATGTGCCACCACGTCCAGCTAATTTTCTATTTTTAGTAGAGACTTGTTTCTCCATGTTGGTCAGGCTGATCTTGAACTCCCGACCTCAAGTGATCTGCCCACCCCAGGCTCCCAAAGTGCTGGGATTACAGGTGTGAGCCACCATGCCCAGCTGCTGAACTTTAAATGCATCCTTTCATCTATCTTCACCACCACTCTACAGCTGGGGAAACTGAGGCACGGAGGAGTCATGACAACTTGTCCAAGATCCCATAACTCAAAAGTTCAATGTTGCAAGCTGCATGCAGGCAGATGACCCCAAGCCTGGCACTCTTGACCACAGTTCAGGGTGGCCATATGGAGGGTCTCTTCTCAGCTTTCTCCCTGTTCATCAGGACATAGCAAACTGCTGCAGTGAGATGGTCTCCACTTTTATGATTACAGAGCATTTTAGATTCTTCCAACTTGATCTAGGAAGTGATTTCAGGAGAATCTTTTCAAAACCAAAGTTATTAATAACTGCTTCTGAAATTATAATTTGAGACTTTGTACAAAACTTGATTTGGGCTCCAGAACTCCTAATGATGGTTCAACAAATCAGATGGACCTTCATGTGGTTCCAGGCCAAAAGAGGGGGAAAGTACCACAGTTTTCTGTAAACACATCTAAAGTTTTCATGTCTCCTTCCCCTTGTTCCTCCCAGTCACCTCCCTTCCCTCCCTTCTACTCAACTGTTTAGAGAAAGCGTAAGAAATCTGGGACTCTCTTAGGCACTAAGGTGACAGCAGACAACACAGGTCCTCGTCTACCCTAGAAGACCTCTTAGTCTAGCAAGGAAGGGAGGAGTACACAACGATTTCCCAACTAAGTGGTTAGAGGAACACACCAGGAACCCTGTAATGCATGGGTATCCCACCAAGTGCAAAGACCCAGGCAGCAGTCCACCGCCGGTGAGCACCCAGAACCAATGTCACCAGGCCCATATGGCTCATTCACAGCTGGCACTCTGATCCTCTTTGCTCTTCTTTTACATCTATTTCTAACACACTTGGGTGTCTTGTTTCCCAACCAAGACTGCATATCAGGAAGCAGCAGATTTTGAAACTGCATGGCATTGAGAGAGGAGAAAACAATGCTAGAAACAGTCGTGCTGATGACAGCAAGGTTGGGAGGAGATTCATGCAAGCTGAGCAGCTGCCACCTGTGAGATATTTTACATAATTCCACAGATTCCTCACAGCAGTTGTGCAAACTGAGTATTATCATCCCCATTTTTCAGGATGGGAGACTGAAGCCCAGGGAAGTGACTATGATTGGCTTCTGTGTTTAAGAAAGAAGGAATCCCAAGGAAGGAAGGGTCATCCCAAGTAGATAAGAGAACCACCATGACCCTGGGCATTCTGGAAGATAAGGGAAGGTTCAAGAAAATGAAGGCTTCCCCACACTGGGCTTGACAATTGGTATTGATCCAATTTTCAGCCCAAGAACTCCCTATCTCCTGCCCTCACCTCCTTTTCTCCCCCAGACACTCAGGTGCCCACCATGTGGCATGGGCTGCTCTGGTGCTGGAGGCACAGGGTTGATAAGATGCAGCCTCCATCTCCCAGGATGGAGACCCACTAATAGCTCTCTCCAGGTGAGGGGAGCACAGTGGAGGGGCAGGAACTGCTGTGGCCACCCCAGCAATGGGGACGGGGATGGGCCTAAAGCCAGGAGCCTCTTTCACACTGGCAACAGACTGACACTCACACTGAAGCCTGGTTTTCATGCTGAGGACAAACTGCTCGAAAGGAAGGCAGCTGCCTAAAATAAGTCACTTTAAGCGACAGGTCTAATTTTAGAGAATGGAATTTGAAAGCCTATTGTGTAAGGCAGAGGGAAAAAAAAATCCAACACCAAAAAGGAATTTAGAAATAAATAAATAAATGTTGGTTATCCCAACTTTTGAATAATTTCTTTTTTCCTTTTTTTTTTTTTTTTTTTTTTTTTGTGATGGAGTCTTGCTCTGTGTCCCAGGCTGGGGTGTAGTGGTGCGATCTTGGCTCACTGTAGCCTCCGCCTCCCAGGTTCCAGTGATTCTCCTGCCTCAGCCTCCAGAGTAGCTGGGACTACAGGTGCCTGCCACCATGCCTGGCTAATTTTTATATTTAGTAGAGATGGGGTTTCACCATGTTGGCCAGGATGGTCTCAAACTCCTGACCTCAGGTGATCCGCCTGCCTCAGCCTCCCAAAGTGCTGGGATTACAGGCACAAGACACTGCACCCAGCAAAATTTTGAGTGACTTCTAAAGTACGTGAAAAACATTCATCAGCTCCTTAGCATAAATATACTGAGCCATCTGTGATGTTTGCTTGATACAGAGGTTCTCAGCCAGGGGCAATTTTGCTCCCATGGGATGTTTGGCAGTGTCTGGAGCCATTTTTGGTTGTCACAGCTGGTGGGGCAGATGGTGCTACTGGTACCTAATGGGAAGAGGCCAGGGAGGCTGCTGAATAGCCTAGGCACACAGCACAGCCCCCATGACAATGAATTTTCCAGCTCAAAATGTACACAGATATGAGGCTGAGAAATGCAAGTTTGGTACAAAGTGTCTGGGTGGGCTGTCCAGGGAGTGCACCCAACACCAGCAGGTGTGACTTTGTCTGTGCAGGCACCACCCCTGGGACCTTGGGCAATGCCTGACCCTCTGTGAGTCACACGTCCTTCATCTAGAAAATGGGGACAATACCACTTACCCTGTGGGGCTGTTTGGGGCTTGAATAAAATGACAAACACAGAGATGCCTGGCAGTATTTACGGATGTCTCCAGTGACATGTCATGTCCCCCAAATAATGTCTGGGATAATGAAGAAGACAAAGCAAGTCTTCCAAGGCAGCTGAAGTTTTGGATCCCAGGGGTGGTGCCTGCACAGAAAAAGTCACACCTGCTAGTGCTGGTAGCTCTCTTTGTCCCGTGAATTTGGATGACAAGGCAGCAGGTACAGGGGAGAGCTGGACCACAGTGTGGCTGTGATGCTGGCATTTGCCACTAAACAGCATGGGTCTCTCTGTATGTAACACGGAAGAAGACTTGTCCCCATGGCTGCCTAGGGATGGCCTGGGGACACAGCCTGAGTGACATGCATGGGGGTGCTCTGAGGGGGACCTTGGGGCCAGATAGCTAGGGCTCAAATCCTTTTACTATTCCTCACTGTTTGACCTTGGAAAAGTTTCTTTATGTCTTTAGGCCTAACAGTGCGGCCTAACTCACAGGGCAGCCATGGGGACAGCTCCTGGCCCACTCTGAGTGCTACATGCATGTGCACTTGATGAGGTTTGCAGCCCAGTAGGTGGAGGCCAAGTGACGGGGAGCAGCTGGCCTGGGTTTCTCACTGCAGGTTTGTGTCCCACTGAGATGGGAAGCCAGGCCTCTGACTCTTGGTCCAGAGCTCTGCTCCAGGTCAGGTAAAGCACGCTCAGCTGGAAATATTATCCCGACTTAAAGATTGAAGATCATCAACATGGGAGGGCAGAACACTCTGAGGATGGGGCCTCATGACTGCTGGCTTTGGGAGCAGCTGAGATTTTTTTTCAACAGGTGCTTAGTCAGTGCGGCTTGCAGGTACACCATAGAGGAATTTATGAAGTTATACGGGGGATGCAAATGGAAAAATGATGTCCCTGTGGAGAATTGAATTCTGTTTAGAACTGATGGTTCTCAGTGTAAATGCCTCATTCACTACAGGTTCCATATTCGGTCTTTAAGGCTTCAGGTGTTAGCTTGAAGAAACAATTCACTTCCCCTCTCTACTCTCTGAGAACAAGCAGCGCCTCCTTCAGACTGTCTGGCAAAACCTCGGTCTCGTCAACAGGAAGAGACAACAGGACTCTCCCAGGATCACTCAGTTAATGTAGGTACAGCCACTGACCCAGGCGCCTGCTCAATCTGCTGACTTTAACCAGACCAAGGAGAAAGGTAAAAGCAAGAAGCAAGGTGATCTCATTTCATCCCAGTGTTTCCGAAAATAGAACCAACAGTTGTTGAAAGGAGGTGGAACAACACTGTGGTTGTAGATTTCTATGCTGCTGTTTTTCCTTCTCTGGACAGGAATGACTCCCCTTCACATCACCTTCCCTAGACACCCCCAAACACCCTCCCTGCCCGCCTTGGGGGGTGCTGGTCTCACGCTTATTTAGTATAAATGCAAGCTGTCTTACTGGGGCCCTTTGGAAGGGTGCTGGCGGGTGCCCCTTCTCCCTCTCTCTGGGTTCAGTCAGTCTCCTCCCAAGTGACATGAGTGACCTCAGAGGCAGTTTGGATGCTTTATGCAAGAATCTCCTCTACGCTCCCCTGCCAAGTGGTTGGCCAGCCTATTTGCACACTTCCATAGATGGGGAGATCACCACCCCTAGAGGCAACCCACTCCATTTGTCAGAAGCAACAGTAACAGTAAAGATCCAGACTCTGCCTCCCTAAGTCTCCAACTGGGAATTCCACCTTTGAGTGCCCTCAAGGGAGAGGAGACTGCTGTGAACATCCAAGCATCTGGGGAACCTCATGGAGAGACCTCCTCAGACTTCCCTGCCTGCAGCAGCTCAAGCCCCAGAACATTTCTTACTTAAAGCCTTGAGGTTTTTTTCAAGCCAAAGTTGTGAGTTGAAGACAGCCCAGTCAAGAGTACTTTTATGAAAATCATCTGAATGTCTCTCACTTCTGACTTCCTAATATCAATTTTTTAAAGAAATATAACTTTTAGACATGTCTAGGAATAATTAGTGATAGCATTTATTATAGGATATCTCTGTGGCTAGCAGCTGAACTGAACACTTTGCATGGATTGTGTCTTTCCATATTATGTGATCCCATTTTACAGATGAGGAAACTGAGGATCAGTCAAGTTACATGGTTACCTAACAGCATAGAGTTTGTGGCAATGACAGAACTGAGATTTGAACCTGGGCGTCTGGGGCCCAAGCCCTGAACCTCCCCACCCTCTGATCCCTCCAGTCATGCAAGGATGCCCACCGGGCCCCAGGACTCACTGCATTGAGGCCACAGAGCTGGTAGCAGGCCATGGTGACAATCACGGTGACCACCTGCCAGCGGACGTAGGGAGCTCTCAGCAGCTCCAGCACGGACACCAGGCGGATGCTCCTCTGCACGCGGCTCTCAGCCAGGACCTCCTCTACCTCTTGGGAAACGTCTGCTTTACCCAAGAACGTTTGGAAGGCTGCAAACAGAGGCACACATGGACTTTCAGCAGGGATTAGAGTGTCCATCATGTCTAATGCTGGGCCCTGCAGGGACGGGTCCCACCTCCTAGCCACACACCTTAGCTGGGGGCGGAACTTGGCAGGGGCCTTTGAAACTATGGAGTCCAAAGCCCTTGTTTAAAAATGGGAAAACAGAGGCCCAGAGAGATGCCATGATTTGCTCAACATCACCCAGCTGGCTGGGAGAAAAGCTGAGAACGTGGGTCTCTTGACTGTCCGCAACGCAAGGCAGAGCACACCCAGAGTTCAAACCCGTCTATAACATTGGGCAGTTGTGTCCCTGTTCATCTTTTGTTATCATTCCTGCCTCCAATGGCTGTTGTAATAATTGCATGATATCATATACATTCAACCATGGCTCGGAGCTTCCCACACTGGAGTTCGTTTGCTGAATATTCACTAAGCACCTCCTGTTTGCCTGGCTCATGAGTTCATCCTCATTGCAGGTGTCCGGAGACCAGTAGGATGTCACTTGGCCAGGATGCCCTGCAGTCCATGCTATTGTGAAAAGAAGGATTGAGCTTAACGACTGCAAGGCCCCTTCCATGTGATCCTCTGAAATACAAGAAAACTTGAGTGGAAATAGTCCCAAAGAGTGAATCTTACCAGGACTCAAACCCACCCTCATGATTTATGCCTTTTCCATGTTGAACACTGCAAACTTCCAGCCTCAGAGAACCCATCATTTTTTTTTTAAATGAAGACCTTAATTGTGCAAACCTCTATGAATGTGTGCTTGAAGGCGGGCTGACTGATTAGATCCCGGAAAGCACAATAATCAGATCATGGGGTGCACTTTTGGACACAGATTTCAATGCTCAGTGCTCTGATCTTTCTTCCTCCCACAGGGAAAGGTGGCTATTGTGCTGGCTCCTGCGGACAGTCCATTCCAGACACAGCAGGCAGCATCCCTAAAACATGGCTCCGCCCCTCAGGGCGTGTGAAAATGCTCTTCTTAAGCAAATGCCATTAAACTTGCTCCAGATTCTCCAAGAAGCAAGAACCCTTCCGAAGGCTTTGGAGTGTTATTTCCAGCAGGGTACTAAAAACTGCTTCAGAATATCTTTTTTTATGAACTATAATTTAATGCTCTCCCCAGCATTTATTAAGGGTAAATGAGAAAAGCAGCTGAATGAGCAATGTTTCTGTTTCATGCATTAAGTATAATATTTCTACTGTTTCCTCAAAGTTCAAAATGCAACATCTATGTGATAAAATAACTCTAGACTTCTGGGGTAGAAAACTATTTCTTTCCTTCATGACATACATATTTTCCATTATAAAATAAGGATAACTTCATAACCTATGTTTTTTTTTTCTCTTTTCACCATGGCTGCCAGGAAGCTCTCAGACAAATGCAATGTTTAGCCCTTAACAGAATTTCCTGAAACAAAAAATCTCTCTTCTTTCTCTTAAAATTTCCTATCTTCCAGCTCCATCCATGTCCCTGCAAAGGATATGATGTCATTCCTTTTTATGGATTCATAGTATTCCATGGTGTATATGTACCACATTTTCTTTATCCAGTCTATCATTGATGGGCATTTGGGTTGATTCCATGTCATTGCTACTGTGAACAGTGCTCAGCAAACTAACGCCGGAACAGAAAACCGAACACCACATGTTCTCACTTATAAGTGGCAGCTGAACAATGAGACCACATGGTCACAGGGAGGGGAACAACACACACCAGAGCCCATTGGGGGGTGGGGTGGGGGGAGGGAGAGCATTAGAAAAAATAGCTAATGCATGCAGGGCTTAATACCTAGGTGATGGGTTGATAGGTGCAGCAAACCACTATGGCGCATGTTGACCTATGTAACAAACCTGCACATCCTGCACATGTATCCTGGAACTTTAAAATTTAAAAAAAAAATTCTGATCTTTTCTTAAAGCTTCAATTTAACCTTCCTATTGTATATATGTTCATAAAGTGGGTGATACTGTTTCAGAGTGACCCCCAGCCTATGAATGAGCAAGGAGGCAGTCCAAGGGCCCAGCCATTTCTGTCCAGTGGGGGACCTCCTGCAATGCATGAGTTTCTCCTGAGTTTCTCCAGAGCTCTCCCCTGGACTTGCCAAGACTTTGCCAGGGGCACTGTGGCCTGATAGCTCCTCCTGCCCAGTTCTTCTCCCATCCTTGTCACTTTCCATGTGTTATTCTCCATTGAAACTTCTGCTCTCCTAACTCGTTCTCAGACCTGCTTCCAGGAGAACCCAAACCTGCACCAAGGAGTTACCTGCCGGCGCCTCCCACACCCTTCAGCCCCTGCCTCTTCAGTGCCCTGCAGGACCCTGGCCCAAGCGCACCAGCCTTCTATTTCCCTAACTGCCAGGTAAGTCCGCCCCCCACCCCTCCATGACTCCCTCACTATTTTCAATCACTCCTAACAACGGCCTGTTGGGATTTGGGCTTGGAGTCCTCCCTATTCCACATGCACCCTTTCTGGCTGAGGGCTCACAGATATTCTTTTGAAAATAGCAAACATAGAAGACTGAGCTGGAGTCCTGAGGGGGCACCAAGGAGGGGGCATTTCAGGCTGCCAGAGAAGGCAGGGGCACTCTGGGCAGGAGGCAGAAGGATGGAAAGTTGTCTCCTATTCCTGGCACTAGGGAAAAGCAAGAGACATTCTGTAAGGTACATGGATGTGCTTTGGTCAAGGAATAGGCCGAGGCAAACATCCAGGCCAGAATGACTCAGTGAGTTTAGGTGCACAGGTGCATACTCCACTTGTTATATAACCTGTTTGTGTAAGTTCATACTTGGCTTGGAGCCACTATTGTTTGGGAAGGTATAACTGCCCTGCTGACACTGTACGGGGGCTCTTGGGCATGGCTCCACATGACTCTTGTGCAGCTGCTGGCACCCAGAGAAAGAGAGGAGAGGGATAACCAGAGCCGTCCATTTTGCAGATGGACAGAGGGGAGCCAGGGCAGGGTTCGGCACAGCACGGCATGGCACGGCTCACGCTTGTGCCCAGAGAGAGAAAGAGTTAAGCTGCTGACCCTGAAGGCAAGGGAGAGCTGGCCGTGCAGCTGAGCGTGGGAGCAGCTGGCTCAAGCAGCTGAGACAGAACGGACAGTGTATGAGAGCTGCTGATGAGAGAGCTGCTGAGTAAAACCATATTCACCTGCTTACGGCCCCCCGTCTGTTTTTTCAGCTACCTGTCCATCCATCCACCCTCCTTGGGCCTCAGTTGGGGCTGGAACCTGACACATTCATCTGCATATCTGGCTCTTTCCTCAATCTGGAATGTTCTTTTGACCTTTCTGCACCTGGCTACTTGCCTCGTTCTTTCAGCCTTATCTCAGACACCTCCAGGAAGCCTTCTCTGATGCTTTCCTGGCTGGACGACAAGGGAGGAGCAAGCCGAGGAGGGCCTTGAGTGTTTGCACGGAGATGAAGTTCCTGCCCACAGGTCACAGGGGGTGGCAAGACCTATAGTTCTGAGACCCCTGAAGGTGCCAGGCATGGGGCTTGGGAGCTGGGCATATGGTGATTAAAAAAAGAAAAACAACCCAGATTGTCCCATCCTCTGGTCCAGCCTCATTATCTTATGACCAACAAGGAACAAAGACAGAACCTGGTGCTTCAATTTGCTGACGTGTTCCTTGTGTCCCTGTAGCCGGCACTGCATGCCACCCATGTCTCTCCTGCACATGGACAGCTTCCTACACCCAGCACCCGTGCCTCTCCGCCTGCGGCTTTCCCTGGGCACAGGTGTGTGCTCAGCCCTCAGCAGTTAACACCCCCAGGAGCAGCCCTCGGTTAAGACAAAGCTGATGTTAACAGAGGTATACCTAGCTTCCTCACAGACACCTGAGTGAGTCCTACGCTGTCCCCCAGAGGTGACTGGGTGGGTGGGGTCCCAGTTGCCCACAGCTGACACCTGCTCATTATTGAACCTCAATGCCTCCTCCACTTCCCTGTGCCATTTCCCAGCTGGGGAAGTGATGCTTCCTCAATTGTACCCTCTCCTTCCCTGTCCCATTTCCCAGCTGGAGAAGTGGTGCTTCCTCAATTGCATCCTCCATTTCCCTGTCCCATTTCCCAGCTGGGCAAGTGGTGCTTCCTCGAGTCACCTCTCAAATAAACTTCCCATCTTCAAAACCTTGACTCAGGCTTTGGGGGCACCTGACAACAATCACAAAGTCACCTAAACTGGATGCCTGTGGTCACATAACCCAGACACTGCCTTCCGTGTCTGATTTGTCTGATCTAGTGACTAAGCCCCTTCAGCGTCTACAGTCCATGTGCTCCTCTCTGCCTGAGCCCAGGCCTGCCTTAGTTCAGGCCTCAGCCTCTCCCCACTGGGCTCATTATCCCCAGGCTAATCCCCAGGAAGATGATTGGGCCACTCTTCTGCACACAAATCTGTGCTGTCTTGCCCTTGCCAGCAGGATCCAGTCCAAATTCTCATCTGCCATGCAGAGCCTCCTCCCACGGTCCCTGTGGCATCTGGAGGCTCCCCCCATCTCTCTTGGCTGCTGCCCTGGAAAAGGCACTCGTCCTCCATTCCACATACCCCCATGGCCTTGCCTCTGTGCCCTGCTCGTGCTGTTCCTTGTGTCCAGAACACCCTGCCACTTTGTTGCCTGCCTAGGACATCCTTTTCCGAGGATCCCCTCAGCAGTTACATCTTTTGGAGACCTTCCCTGCCCCCATGATGGCTAATCACTGTTACCCTCTCATCCGGGTCGCTCTTGCACCTGTGTCTGTCTCTCTTGTGCACTTTCACTCTTGTCTGGGGCGTTCTGTCTGCACACCTGCTGTGCCCACCCCTGGGAGCGCCCCCTGACCAGGGGCCATTTAAGGGATGCTGTGTTACTGTGGAAAGGGGTGGGCCTTGGAGTCGGAGCAACCTGGGCTTCACACCCAGCCCTGTCTCTGCTAAAAGACCCCAGACTAGTTACCTATTCTGCCCGCCCCATGCTTGTTCTTCCATGAAACAGAAATAATAAAACCTACCTATGAGGTTGTTTTGGGGAATAAAATCAATGTGTGTTAAGTGTTGGCACATAATTTGTGTTCAATAAACAATTATTGTTATTTTATTTCCTCTCTGTTGAGCCTTGCATAGAATGTACATCCAACCCATGTGTTTTGAATGAAATAGTAAAAATCAAGACTCAGGTGACAGGGAAGGAGAAGGAGCATGTTATAAACACAGAAGCGGGGGAGGGCTGAGCAAACAGGAACAGAGGAAAATTATGCTAGATGTCAACCAAATTGCATCAGCAGGGGGGCCAGTATCTGTTCGGTGTTCTCCCTACTGTTCCGGGCATGGTGTGATTTTCCAATGGCAGGCTCCCCATGGTCCTCAGACACCTTCAGAGCACAGCAGAGTGACAGACACTGATGCATCTGGGGGTGGCCCACATACGACTGCAAGCAGATGAGATGGAGCCCGCCAGCCTCCCTTGGGGTCCTCAGAGAGCCACGCTGTTAGCACAGGTGCCATCCTGGCCTGGAGACCCCTCCAGGTGTCTGTACACCTGCTGAGCCCACACCTGGGAGTGCCCCCTGAGCAAGAGCCACTTAAGGGACGTTGTGGTACAGTGGGAGAGGGCAGGTCTTGGAGCTGGAGAAACCTGGGCTTCACATTGTCTCAGGGCCAATGGGTGCTCACTAATGCAAACACACATTGTCTCAGGACCAGTGGGTGTTCACCAATGCAAACACACATTGTCTTGGGCCAATTGGTGCTCACCAATGCAAACACACATTGTTTCGGGGCCAATGGGTGCTCACAAACAAATCCTGGCTGCACCATTTTCTATCTAGTATGATACCAGGTGAAGTATTTAATGTTTCCATGCCTGAGTTTCCTTGTCTGTAAAATAAACATAATAGCATTGGTGGTGTAACCAGTGTTCGATGTTGGCACACACAAAGTCCTCAGAACGGTATCTGGCTCTTGATGAGCAAGGAGCATTATGAATATACATGCTATCACTGTGGGGTACTTGCTACATTCTCCCTCTCCCTTTCATCTTTAGCCTGGCAGAGGGTACAAAATGCTATAACCTTCTGTTGTGGGTTGAATTGTGTCTTCATAAACATATGCTGAAGTCCTAACCCCTGGTAGCTGTGAATGTGAACTTACTTGGAAATAAGACCTTTGTCAATATAATTAATATGTAAGTTATGAGGAAGTCATACTGTAGGAGGATGGACTCTGGATCCAATATGACTCTTGTCCTTACAAGAGGAGAAGAGACACAGATAGATACACACAGGGAAGGCAAGCTTGTGTTCACGGAGGAGAGGTTGGAGTGATGCAGCTGCAAGCCAGGGAGCACCAAGGACTGCTGGTCCCCGTCGGAAGCCAGAAGAGGGAGCATGGCCCTGCTGGCACCTTGACCTTGGACTTCTGGCCTCCAGAACTGTGAGGGAATCCATTTCTGTTGTTCGATTTTTTTTTTTTTTTTTTTACAGAGTTCCGTTCTTGTTGCCCAGACTGCAGTTCAGTGATGCAGTCTCCACTCACTGCAACCTCCGCCTCCCAGATTCAAGTGATTCTTCTGCCTCAGCCTCCCAAGTAGCTGAGATTACAGGCATCCGCCACCACGCCTGTATTTAGTAGAGATGGGGTTTCACCATGTTGGTCAGGCTGGTCTCGAACTCCTGACCTCAGGTGATCCACCCGCGTTGGCCTCCCAAAGTGCTGGGATTACAGGCGTGAGCCACCACGCCCAACCCCATTTCTATTGTTGTAAGCCACTAACTCATGGCACTTTGTTATGGCAGCAGCCACACTTTGTCACCTCTTTTATCACCTCCTGCTAGAGCAAAGCGCAGAACAACCCGGAGGCCTCTTCCCTCTTGTGATCGGGGGCCTGGGATGAGACAGGCAAAGGGACTTCACGTGGAGCATAGGGCAATAGCCTCGTATAAGTTCCATGCCCAGAGTGGCACTGAGCTTGTTCTCCCTTACACAGGGCAGGCCTCATGCTTCTAAAAATAGGAGATTTCATCAAAGCATTTATTTTTCAATGACTAATGGAATTTAAGAGGAGGAAGTCATTGGGTTTTTAACTTAGGTTCAGTGTGTTTTTATTACCGACAGCAGTTGGATCCAAGGTAGGGTATGTAACAAGGGGTGTAGGAGGAGATATTGGAGCTCCTATTTATAGCTTTATAACGTTTTATTATGGACCGAACCTGGAGCCTTCACATGGCCTATGTGACTGGGGATCAGGGCTCCACCGTGTGGAGAAGCTGACAGGGTGCCTTCGATCTGTCTTTTGAATGACATATTGCTGTTTACTTGTGCAATTTACCAGTTAGCAGATTTGGAAATGGTAGTATTTGGTTTCAATTGAATTAACCCCAATGAATATACAGGTGGCTTGTAAAGAATCCCCAAAAGCTGAGCATAGTAGTACATGCCTGTATGTAGTTCCAACTAATCTTTTTGGGAGGCTGAGGTGGGAGGACCTCTTGAGCCCAGGAGTTCGAGGCCAGCCTCAGCAACACAGTGAGACCTCATCTCAAGAAAAAAAACAAAACAAAAGAAACCACAAATTAAAGGTAAAACTAACAACTCCCACACAAAGAAAGACAGGACAATCAATAGTGGAACCCGCTATCTCCATTTCAGGTGCAAGCCTGCTGCTAGCCTCAATGACCATTGACAGTACGCTGCCTCACAGAGATTTTCAAATTCAAGATGTAGTCAATCTGTTGCTTCAGGATAAAGATGACATTTTAACAGGAGTGAGAAAGTAGCAACCTTTTATAAGAAACTGTTCCATAAAAAGAGATGTGTCTGTCATGTGGTTTGGTAGACAAAGTTATATACACAGATCACCAATAAAAACTCTTGGATCTCAGCTGGGAGCAGTGGCTTTCGCCTGTAATCCCAGCACTTTGGGAGGCCAAGGCAGGCAGATCACCCGAGGTCAGGAGTTTGAGACCAGCCTGGCCAACGTGGTGAAACCCCATCTCTACTAAAAATACAAAAAAATTAGCTGGGCGTGGTGGCGGGTGCCTGTTGTCCCAGCTACTCGGGAGGCTGAGGCAGGAGAATCGCTTGAACCCGGGAGGTGGAGGTTGCAGTGAGCCGAAAGTGCATCACTGCACTCCCGCCTGGGTGACAGAGCAAGACTCCTTCTCAAAAGCAAACAAACAAACAAACAAACAAAAAACTCTCGGATCTGCACATTCAAAAAGAAAAACTTGCAAGCAGTTTAAAAAACTTTCTGTTTAAACATATTCCGAATGAAAAGTTTCAGTAGGTTTTGCTAAATGATTATTGTTAAAATATAAAAAGGCAACAACTTCTTACTACTCAGCAAGGACAGTGGTTGATACTAAGGAAGATGGAAATTCACTGGCCTGCATTTTCAACTCCCAAAACATTTCATTCCTGATGGACGGGATTACAGGTTGAAGCCGCTTCATCAAGTTCAGCCAGCCTTGTCACCTGCTTCTGTTTGGAGCTACATCGTTTAATGAGGTTCATTTTTGAGCTATCCACGTTGCAATAACATTGGTCACCACTTGCTAAGGGTTCCCTTGTGTTTTATGTGCCCTTATTCATTTAATTCTCGTATAACTATCCCCTGAAGTAGACACAGTCAGTATTCCCACTTTGCAGGTGAGAAGATGAAGCTTGCACATGGGCAGTGACACTGGATGCCCTCGCAGCAGAGCCTGAGACACATGCTGGGTGTGGGAAGTTTACCGGCTGGAGAGCAAGGCAGTCCAAGGTGCATCTTGGGGAGACTTCTATGGGCAAAGGGCATCAGTTCTGCGGGGCTTCTGAGCAGCACATGGAATACCTCCAGAACTGTCCCACAGGGGAAGATGGGGCATTTATCTGCCAGCTCCTGCCCCCAGGGGTATTAACTCCCTGAATGTCTACACTGCGCTGCAGATGGCTGAGCAGCTTCCTGGCCATGGAGAGGGCCTGAGCATTTGGAGAGGCACGTGCTGTGCTTAAGGTGGGCAAACATTGGCCCATACCTGAGCCCACATGGACTGTCTGCTGCAGCAAGGCTGAAATTAGAGTGGGCAGAGGGAGGGTGTGAGGGGGACACTAGAAGGGGCTAGTGCTGTCATTCAGCAGGGGAGCGGAGGAGCGAGAATTACAACCCACACCGGGGCTCCAGAAGTATCATTTTCCCAATGTCCAGCAATGCTTCCTGGAAGCTCAGCCAGCTGGGGCTGCTATAACATCATACTACAGATGGGTGGTTTAGACAACAGACTTCACAGTCCTGGAGGCCAGAAGTTCGAGACCAGGGTGTCCGCAGAGTCAGCTCCCTGGTGAAAGCCTCTTCCTGGCTGCAGACACTGCCTTCTCACTTCTCTGGAGGCACCACCCTCATGACCTCAGCCAGCCCTCCCAAAGACTCCCCTCCAAAGACCATCACTCTGGGGAGCTGGGGCTTCCAGATACAAATTAGGGGTGGTGAGGAGCACAAACATTCAGACCATGACAGCAACTTAGAATCAGACCCTTCAGAGCTTTGGAATGCTGTCCTCCCCGCAAATCCTGCCTGTCTCTCTCCCCTCCCCTCTCCTTCCTCCCTTCCACCTTTCCTCCTCTCTCTCTCAGTCTCATCTGAAATTGAAAGACACTCATCATGCTCTCTGGTTTTCACCCAACCTTCCCTTCACCATCACTTTCATCAGAGCAAGACGGATATCTGTGTTGCAAGTTTAGCAAATGCCAGGTCTTCCCCTAAAGACGGGTGGAAGGAAATGTAGCTCCTCACAGGCCCAGGGTGAAAAAGAGGGTAGGAGGGAGAGCCAGAAAGTCCTCTCTGTGCTTCCAACATGTCACAGAATTGGTGCTAAACTTGCAATTGCCTGTAGTGCAGTGTTGGGGGTGTGCTGTGATTGGTACGTGGCCACACCTGTGCTGGCTCCTGTCCTCACAGTCCTGTCAGCTCGGGGCAGCGCTTGCACTAGGGGAAGGCTCATGGCAGATGCTTCATGGAAGAGGTTGGTTTTCCTCTGGGTCTAGAATGCAGAGGTGCTCACAGCATGCTGGATGAAGGTAATGAACCTACTCATATTTGCAGATGTCTAGTCTGCAGAAAAGAGTTTCCCAAGA
Source organism: Homo sapiens (assembly GCF_000001405.40). Classification (NCBI taxonomy): domain Eukaryota; kingdom Metazoa; phylum Chordata; class Mammalia; order Primates; family Hominidae; genus Homo; species Homo sapiens. The sequence continues at coordinate 9,930,682 of NC_000004.12, forward strand.
GGAGATGCCTGGATTGGATTTGCTTTCCTTGGCTCTGAGGTCAGAACAAGGGCTCCAGGCAAGAGCTCTGATGTGTGGGACCACAAGGAAGAACTGCCTGATGGATGTGTCCAAGGATGAACGTGTTTTTTGCACAGTGAGTTCCCCATCCCTGAAGGTGTGCAAGAGGAGCCAGGTGACCACCTGTCAATCATATTGTGGAAGGGACCCAGGCACTGGAGAGGAAGATGAACAACAGGGTCTCTAAAGCAAGCCCAGAACCCCAGATGTGTGCAGGCTGTGTAGATGATTGGAAGGAGATGGGGCAATGTCACCCATGGGGTGGGAGGGGACAGAGCTGATACCTCCAGTTTAAACTGGCTGCCCTTGGAGAGAGAGGAAATGGCCTGGGAAATTGCTATCTATCAGCCCATTTAAAAATTACATGAGTTTATGGAAGGTAACTCTCTCAGAGGAGTTCATTCTCTTCACTCTCCAAGTCATTTAAAAATAGTTCATCCAAGCCCTACCCCCTGAATGCATGTTCCCCACATTCTCCCTTCAATTTGAAAGTAAGAGGGCTTCCTGTGGCTCATACCTCATGCATATTCCTAGCCATGTTCTAATCACTAACTCCAAAGAACTTGAAAGAGGAATGAGAAATTGCATTTCCCAACTGGGAAAAAAACCTCTGTGTAGCATGGCAAACTCCTGGGCTGGGAGAGGGAGCTGTTACATAATCAGATCTTGCCCCAGTTACAGATTCAACTTTATTCAAGAGGAGTCAAGAGACACTGAGCAGGGGAGAAGAGGCTAAGGTTTATTGTGTACCTACTGTATGCCAGGCTTTGTGCGAGGTGTCTTACAGAAACAGCCCTTCAAGGCGAGTGTGTTTCAGTCCACAGCTTCAGGGAGGTGAGGAAATGTGCCAGTGTTCGCCCAGGTAATAGTGAGGAGTTCATGCTCTGACCTAGATCTGTCTGATCTTTCTTTCCACACACCTCACAAGAAATCTCAGGGCTGAGAGGCTAAGGAGCCAAATTCAGCTCATTGCCATTATCCGGCAGCTTGTGAGAGCTTGCTGTGCATCTGGGATGGCGTGCAAAGATCCACTGTGTTAAGGGAAGAACAAGGAACGGGTTCTGCTCCCAGGAGGTCTCTAGTGAGAGACAGACACGACTCACTACCACTTGAGTTGGTGGGGCTTGATGCCACATGGAGAGTGACTGCAGGGAGACCTGAAATGAGAATGACTCTCTCTCTCTCTCTCTCTCTCTCTCTCTCTCTCTCTCTCTCTCTCTCTATATATATATATATATATATATATATATATATATATGCCTTGCCTGACTTGGAAAATCTCTCTCATGAGGAAACCTCTCCAGAACAGAGGTAGAAACTATCAAGACAGAAACATCACAGAAGGCCCAAAGCAATGATCTAAAATATTTCCCTTGTAAAAATGGCACTCTCTCTCTCTTTCTCCATGCCTGCTTCTCCTCTGGGTGAAACTGCTTCATGTTCCCACAGCAAGTAAGTCTCCATCCAATTGCTATAAACACCTCCAAGAATGTACTACAGAGCTTTAAGCAGCAGCGTGCTACAGACTGTACTCAGCCTTTGGTATACTTTGGTTTTCTTCATTCATGCAACAATTATTTAGTAAGTAAATGCCTACTGTATGCCAGGCACTGCTCTAGGTGCTGGGGTTTCAGCAATAAGTAAAATAGGAAAAGTGTCCCTCCTCGCATGGAGCTTTTCATTCTCATGGAGGGGAGTGATACTAAGCAAATTCATTTATAAACATATCATTTCAGGTCATAATGAGTGCTAAAAAGAAAAATAAATCAAGGTAAGTGGCAGTGAGAAGAGGGGACACTGAGCTATGGCAGCTGGGGGAGATGTTTTTGAGAAGATGCTATTTCACTAGAGACCTAAAGGAAGTGAGGGAGGTGTGGGTCATGCAGACATCTGGGGAAAGAGCCTTCCAGGCGAAGGAGCCAGTGCACAGGTGCTGAGATGAAATGTGCTGACAGCATCCCACTACTTATGAACTTGTTGCATTTGCCCTATTGGGACTCAGCCCCACAACCACCCTTTTAGAACTCTTCTGTGTCATGGGGGCTAGCAGCCTACAAACTGCCTGTCCTTACTCCCTATAAATGATATCTCCTTACTCCCATGCTAGCAGAGTCCTGTTAGATTCCAGCAGTGAGAGGCACTGATGCATCGTTAGAGGAAGAAAGGACCTCTTCTGCTAGTCAAAGTTCCAGCACCATCAGCTGTGGCTCCTGGTTAGCCTCAGAGGCTGTGGTTCCCACGTCATCTGTGCCAAGAACATCAGCCACGTTAACGAGAGCAGCTCCAGCATCTGCCCTGCTGCCACAGTCATGCTTCCAGCAGTGTCAGTAAGAGATGGGATCAGTTCTTGAACCCAAACTCACCTGGCATCAAAACTGGCTCTGTAAGACCACAGAATCTGGGATATGCATGGTGTGGCCCAAAAAGGAGGACAAAGTTTGACACAAATGGAATGTGACTGGAGGAGAGTAGCTGAACTCAGCCTCGGCAAAGAGGAGCTTCTTTTAGGCTTCAGAAATTAGAAGTGAGCCAATGCCAATGCAACTCTTTCATTTTGCAGAGAGGTGAGCACTTTGAGGCCACTGGGCAGGCCAGTGGCTGAGCTGGGACTGAGCCCTTTCTCCTGGAAAGGGGAGGGAGGGTGAACGCACGGGCTCCAGGGTGACTCTGCCCAACTCCTTTTGCTCTCCCAGCCCTACTGGCACCTCTGTAACCATTTCCTGGCATCCAGTGCCTCTCTGAAATATTATTTCCACTTTCCTGGGTGGAACATTGACCAATGCACTAGCTCTGTGACCTTGACATTTCCTCGCTGAGTCTTAGTCTTCTCATCTATAAAGCAAAAGGTAGAAAATGTGTAGACTTTAGGGGGGTGAGGACTAAGGTAATGGTTGCCATGTACCTAGCTCTATTCACTTCCTCTTGCTGCTACAGCAAATTACAATGGAGATTTATCATCTTCCAGTTCTGGAGGTCAGAATCTGAAGCAGGTGTCACTGGATTAAAATTGAGTGTTGCAGGGCTGTGTTCCTTCTGGAGGCTCTAGGGAGAATCCGCCTGCTTGTCTTTTCCAGCTCCTATGGTCCACCTGCACTCCTTGGCTCCTGGTCCCATTCCTCCATCTTCAATGCCAGCAACCTTGGGCCAACTCCTTCTCAGATTGCCACTTCTCTGGTTCTCTCTCTCTTTGCCTCCTTTTTCCACTTATAAGAACCCTTGTGATTGCATTGGGCTTACCCTGGTAGTCCAGGACTACTCATTCCAAAGTCAGCTGATGAGCAGCCTTAATTCCATCTGTGACCTTAATTCCATCTGTGGCCCTAATTCCTTCATCATGTAACCTAACATATTCACAGGTTCTGGGAAGAAGGAAGTGGACATCTTTCAGGGTGGGGTGGAGGTCATTATTCTGCCTCCCACACTAGCATATAAGAGGAACTCAAACAAAGGAAGCCATGAGATCTCCCAATCAAATCCCCTCTTTGTACAAAGCAAAATTCACAGCTTTGTCTGCCCACTGTACCACTCCACCTGGGTAAGCACAAAAATGATGCCAAGTAGATGAAGACACTATGTGTCTATCGGGACCACTGGAGCAGATGCTTCCCTGGGTAGCTGGACACTTTCTTGACCACAGATGGCTTTTCATTTTTTCTCAAACTACTTTGCCCTGCTTCTTGTGTCCCAAAACAGCTATGTCCCTAAGACACTGTCTGATGGCAGAACAAGAATCCTCACTGTTCTTGGAGGAAGTTTCCATCCTGACAGAGGTCTGGGATTGTTGCTGGAAAGGCCCTTTGGTACCATCCAGCACTATCCTAGCCATGAGCAGATGAGGAAACAGTCATCTGGAGAGATGCATGATGGCCAGTTAGTAGCAGAGCTGGATTTACCATGGGGAATTTTTTAATTTTTATTTTACTTTAAGTTCCAGGATACATGTGCAGAATGTACAGGTTTGTTACATAAATAAACATCTGCCATGGCGGTTTGCTGTACCTATCAACCTGTCGTCTAGGTTTTAAGTCCTGCATGCATTAGCTATTTGTCCTAATGCTCTCCCTCCCCTCAGCCCCTGCCCACAGGCCCTGGTGTGTGTTGTTCCCCTCCCTGTGTCCATATGTTCTCATTGTTCAGCTCCCACTTATGAGTGAGAGCATGCGGTGTTTGGTTTTCTGTTCCTGTGTTAGTTTGCTGAGGACAATAGCTTTCAGCTTCATCCATGTCCCTGCAAAGAATATGATCTAATTCCTTTTTATGGCTACATAGTATTCCATGGTATATATGCACCATATTTTCTTCATCCAGTCTATCATTGATGGGCATTTGGATTGGTTCCATGTCTTTGCTATTGTAAACAGTGCTGCAATAAACATATATATGCATGTGTCTTTACAGTACAATGATTTATATTCCTTTGGGTATATGCCCAGTAATGGGATTGCTGGGTCAAATCTTATTTCTGGTTCTAGATCCTTGAGGAATCACCACACTGCCTTCCTCAATGGTTGAACTAATTTACATTCCCACCAACAGTGTAAAAGTGTTCCTATTTCTTACTGGGGGGTTTTGAGCCCACTTAGTGCTCATTCTGTGCTGTCTCACTGTCCCTCGGAGGGGGAGCAATGACACTTACAACCACCTGCTGTGGGAGCCTATGGGTGGTGGCAGAGCCCGAACACCTGCTTCCAGGAGCCTTGGGCCTGACACTAGTCCCTGCCCCTATGTGCCCTGGTTCTGACCTCAGAACCTGGAGCTGAGCTGGTTCTTAGAGAGCATCTTGTTCTACTTCTGATGGTGCAGGTAGAGAAACACAGCCCAGAGAGGTGTTGTGACCAAACCAGAACTCCTGACCCCTGCCCAGTGTCAACACTCAGATCCCACAGTCTCTCTGCACCTGCTATGTGGAAGAACTCAACAAGATTGCTGTCCAAGAAGTCATTGGTGAGGAAGCCCAGGAGATGCTGCATGTTGTTTTAGGACGTGTGCCCCTGAACATATGCTCCCAGCACCGTCTCGCCTGCAGATGCACCCAGTCAAACCTGATGGGTCCCAGGACCTCACGCTGGGGGCTTAACAGTTTCCATTCCACTCTTTCCTGCAGGAAGCTCTGTGGCTCATAAAACATTAAAATGAGCACTGCTGCCATTTCATGAAATGCCCAGCCTGTGAAGAATGGGTTAAGGGATTTTTGGGAGCTGTTGTGTCTGAACACACCAGGCACATCTGGGAGGCACATCTATGAATCTCCTTCCTCATTAGCATGGCAGCTCTTCACCCTAGGGCCCCAGATGGGGCAGTTGTCTTACGCTGCCTCCTGCGAGAAATTGGAGCCCTTCTGCCAAAATACCATTGCTATGGGTGGAATGTTTGTGCCCCCCAGAAGTAAAAAGTTGAAAATGAATCCCCAAACTGATGGTATCAGGAGGTGGGGCCTTTGGGGAGGTGATCAGGTCGGGGGTGCAGAATCCTTACGAACAGGATTCATGCCTTTATAAAAGAGAATTACAAAGCACTCTGATATCCATGATCTGATATGATCATTTCTCTGGGCCCTAGAGATAAGCATTCACAGGCAAGAAAACTGAGCCTTTGAGATAACGGGCAGCTTTCCTGAGTCACACAGCTGTGGTATGGGGAAGACGGGGCTGGACCCCAGCTCTGCTAACTCTCAGCTAACCCTGGGCCACATGCTGTGACACACAGTAGGCCTTCCAGAGAGCCAGGGAGCATGATGATACTAGCAGCAACATTACCAGGTACAAAGAGGGGAAGAAAAGTGTGTCAACTTCACGGCTGACACCAGAATGTTTCTCAAGCACTGTCATGGCTAAGAAAAATATTTAGATGAATGTCTGGAGCAGCAGGTGTCTGCTGAATGTCTGCATGTGTGCTGGTTCCAGCTACAGAAGGGGCGGGAAGGCGCTCGACATGCTAGAGGGAGGAGAAATCGGGGCTCCAGGGGCATCTAAGAAAGCAGAGGGGATGATGAGCAGAGATGACAGGGAGAGGAAAGAGGAGGCTGTGAGTGGCAGGATGGAGTGACTCCCCCACCACCCTGAAATCTTTGATATGGTCTCTAAACTCTCTGGTGATTTGTTGTACATGGGTGCTGTTGTTTTTGAGAAAACCAAAGAAGGTACTGAATTTCAAGTTGGGACTATCATGTCATCCCAAGAGCAACAGAACTGGTCCCCAAGAAGCAGAGGAGACTCAAAGCACAGGGATGCTCTGAATGGTAAAGAAATGTTGAACTTCCTTCCCTGTGCTGTGGAATTGAAGGTACGTTGAGAACTTCCTCCCAGCTCTCAGGGGCACAGAGACCTCCAGCAATCTCAAAGGTTGCACGGGAATGGCACCCATCACAGGCACAACATAGAAAACATCCTCTGCTTCAGCAAAACCCTAAGCAATTCTCTAAATCTAAAGTGAGGCTGGTCCTTACAGCAAGAGTTGCTTGTTCTTTAAAACGAAGAAGTGTGTGGGCAATTTCTAGGAACGACTTCGTGCTCTGAGGGCTGGAGGCTTTGGTAGGGTGGTTTCCGAGCTGTGTTTTCCCGCCCCTTTTTGGCCCTTGGGTTTTCTGTAGGAGACATTTATCTCTGTGGGCCTCTGTTTCTTCACTCAGCACCCTGTCCCAACAAGTTCTCTCTAGCCAGGGAAAAGGGAGTCCTGGGGCTTAGCTAGTCCATGGGCCAAAATGAGAAGACTCTCAGAGGCCACCTATCTTGGCTCACATCTTAGAAATGAAACAGAGTAACAGTGAGGGAGGAGGGCGCTGGTCTTCCGGGAGCAGGTGACTGCCAGCAGAGACCGAGAGAAGACCTCTGAGGCAGTGCGTCCCCACCTCCCTCTGCCCAGCTCCCTCTGCCCGGTTTAGGAGATGGGGACATCTTTATCATTGACAAGGGCAAGCATGGAACGTTACACAGCCCCTCTTCTCTCCTCAGCCATCTCCAGATGGGTATAGGTGAGCTGAGGGCCTCCAGGTAAGGCCACCACAGACAGCAGGGCCTGAAGAGCCAGCTGATCACCCCGTGGCCTCCTTCCTGGGTTCTGCGTTGGTTGTTGGTGGGTGTGTTTGGTGCACAGGTGAGGGAGTAAGCGAGGAGTTTACCTCTGTTGCCCCTCCCTCAGCAAGAGCCTACAAAGCACAAAGCCCAGCTCCCTCAAGCATCAGCGGCCTCCGTTTGTGCCTGCATTTACCTGGGCCTGCCCGTATCTATGATGTCCACACTTCTGTGATCACACAGATTCTTTTTATGTTCTCTTTGTTCCCCCCCGAACATTATGTCCTAAGCATGCCTTCATAATGCTACAATCATCTATAATTGTTTGTTAAATAAGTGAATTAAATTGGCATTGGGATATCATTTTCAGTTTTAAGCAGATACACGATTACTTATCTAACTGTTCTTAGATGAAATGGATGCAAATCTGGAATTTAACCCTGGCTTAATATATAAAGTCATAATATTTCAGGAGAAATTTTCTGTGTCTCCAACCCATGGATTAATGATCTTTTGCTATTTTTTTTTTTTTTTTTTTGAGATGGAGTCTCACTCTGTTGCCCAGGCTGGAGTGCAGTGGTGTGATCTTGGCTCACTGTAAGCTCTGCCTCCCAGGTTCACGCCATTCTCTTGCCTCAGCCTCCAGAGTAGCTGGGACTACAGGCGCCTGCCAACACGCCCGGCTAATTTTTTTTATTTTTAGTAGAAACAGGGTTTCACCGTGTTAGCCAGGATGGTCTCGATCTCCTGACCTCATGATCTGCCCACCTCGGCCTCCCAAAGTGCTGGGATTACAGGCGTGAGCCACTGCGCCTGGCCGATCTTTTGCTATTATGGTTGTCTTTATGTGCACGTTATGTCTTATAAATAAGAGTCACACACACGCTCAAGGCAGCACCCTGCACTTCAGTGAATTCAGGTTTGAATGAGACAAACTGAGTTAGAATCTCGCTTCTGTGATGAACTATCTGTGGTATCTTAGGCAAGCTACTCAGCCTCTGAGTGGTCATTTCCTTGTCTGCAAAGTTTTGGAGATCACAGAAGCAAAGCACCATGTGTATTGCAGGCACTGGAGGCTGGGATTCTCCTAAACTGACAAGGGTGGCATAAATAAATAAGACCCAGGGCCTGGGACTCATTCCCTGCCACTATGAACTGGGGGTGGGGATGGAGTGGGGATAGGAACATCCCGAAAGGGGCCTCTTGTCTGAAGTGATTGTGTTGATGGCCCAAGTTCGTGGCCTCCCTACGTTTATGTCCTCTACCCTAAAACTTTGAAGCCCCTTCCACTCTGACTTTGGGTTAGCTATGTGACTTACTTTGGCCAATAGGATTTTAGGAGATTTCAAGCTTAGAGAAAACGCTTGTGTTTTCCATTTCCTCTCTGATTACCATGAGAATGTGCCCTGCTGGCCAGCTGGGGATGAGGTGCATTGAACAGAGCTAAGGCCAACCTAGGTCAGCCAGGTGACCAACAGACATGCGAGTGAACTTCAGCTGGCCCCAAGAAAGATTTTAAGGTCAAGCCCTACTAAGATTAACAGAACAACACTGTTGACCTATAGGTTTGTGAACTGGGGCATGCTATTATCTAAAGCCAATGTGTTTTGGGTGTTTTGTTATGCAGCATTATTACAGTAATAGTTGACTAACACAGGGCCTCTTTTCCCCAAATTATCAACAGACTGGAGAAGGGGTATCTCCCACAGTGCCGAGCATGGTGCTAAGTAATAAAGTGCATTTTGTTTACATTCATAAGTTCCAGAGCCAGACTGTCAGAATTCAAATTTCGGTGCTGTCATTGGCTAGCTTTATGTCCTTGGCCAAGTTATCCCATCCTTGGTTTTTTTTTTTAGGTCTTAAAATGGGAATAAAAATATTACCTACTTTCTATGGTTGTTGTGATGATTTAATGAGCTAATGTATGTGAAGTGCTTAGAATGAAATAGTTTTCAATACAGATGAGCCATTAGTGGGTGTTTCTGTCCATCTCCCTTAACTAGACCTTCACCCTCCCTCACTCCTGGGGGGCAGGAATGTCATCTCATACCACTGTCTCACCCTGTCACCTGGCAGAACACCCAACATGCTAAATATCCATTGCTTGCTGAATGTCTGGAGTAAAATTAGCACTTTTATAGGTACAGATGAAAATTTCAATAAGCTATTTCAACTTAAGGCCAATATCTTTGTTCTTTTTATAGAGTGCACATGTAATATTTATCACGTTTTGTAACTGTACTTCTCCCTCACTCCCTACTGTGCTATGAAATAAAACTTTAAAACCTTCTTCACTGTCTGGCATTGACATGCACTATTCATTCCAACTGTACTTAATTGAAGCATTTCTCAAGAGAGCCAGAGGGGGTGCGGGTTACCCTCCCAGGCTAGTAGAGACAGAGCTGGAGGCCTCACCCTCTTCCAATAATGCACAGCCCAGGTGCATCTAGAATCAGATCCCCTTGGTTCTCTCTCTTAGTCACCTTCTTTTTACTCCAGAGACTCTGCCATCTGACAACCATCTGAACCAAACTTTTAGGTGGTTTTTCTCCTCACTGGCCACATGGGAAGTCACCCGGTACAATAGCCACTACTTCCGTTTCCTGGTATCTCTCTGTGCACGAGGGGTGTTGGAGGAAAATCTTCTTTGGGTTCCAATCCTTTGGTTACTAACGGGTTTAAGATTGGGGGTGGGAGTTACTAACCAGGGTCCTCTGGAGAAAAGAGGGCTCAAGTCCCAGGTCTATCACCAAGCCATAGGCAGAATTTTGTGTATATGGTTACTGTATTGAAGAAAACACTATCATTTCCATCATATTTTCAAAAGCCTCTATAAATCTCTATAAACCAAAACCCACAGCTTTGGGAAACGGAATTCATCCCTGTAAGCCTCAGTTTCTTCATCTGCAAAATGAAGGTAATAACAATTACCTTCTCTGACTTCACTTTAGAGAAATGTTATAAATGAGAAAATGAATCTGATCCATAAACTGCTAGACAAATATAGGTAATTGTTAATATTTCATTATGCCATTTGTTAACTCAGAAAATACTTAGGTAGTGTGAATTTCAAAAGATGTTGCACAAATTGTATATATAATTCTCAAGTCTTTTCCTGGATTTGGACATAGATGAAATTTAGAACTAAAATGCACAGAGTTCTCAGTAATAATGATAGCAGATAATACTACGAACCTTATATGCACCATCTAATTCAGTCCTCACAATGGCCCCATGAGGGAAGTTTATGTCATTTCCTTTTTACAGATGAGGGTTCTGGGGCTCAGAAAGGTTTAAAAAATTGCTCAAGGTCAGACATCAGAGCTGGATGTGAAGGTAGTGCTGGTTACCTTCACATGCCTAACTAACCATGGTGCTGTCAACTGCATCTCATTTTATAAAACTAAAAGAATCAGAATGTGATTGTTCATTCTGCATTGTCTATCTCTAGGCAACATAATTTTGCCTTTTCAGGGCTCTGTAGAGAGATGTCTCTGATTCCGAAAGCCAAGATTTGAATCTGACTCAGCATCCCCCCATTTAGGGCATTTAAAGAAAGCTACATGAGACAACTCCCAAGCCCCTTTGCGAGCCTTATTTTTCTCCCCTGTAAAATGAGTGTATACTCCTTCCTCCCTCGAAGGACTGTTGGCAAGGTCCTGTGGGTCATTGTGAAGAAGCACTCAGACCAGTGCCTGGTGGGATCTGGTGTTCACTCTGTGCTTGCATCTTTTCCTCTCCTGGCAGGTAAATATTAAGACAGAGGAAGTCAGTGAAGGGAGAAGAAGTGGAAGGAGGGCCGCCATGCACCTAAGCCACTCAGAAATTTCAGATGGCTTCATCTCTGTGGCTGGGAACAACTAGAGAGGTGGTAGTGAGACACTGCACAGAAGTGAGGGAACCTGCGTCTTATCTTGTCTGTTCTGGCTTTTCCAGATTCCCTGGGAGACTCCCTGGGTGACTCTGTGTCCCCTCTCTGTCCCCCAGCAAGGCTGTTGGGAAGATGAAATGAGAAGGTACCCTATGATACCCAGCCCAGTGCCTGCAAAAAGGAACAATGACAACACCCCTTCCTGTGCCCATTGGCCCAGGTCCCAGCATGCCTTGCAGTGATGATCTATGCAGGGGCTGGAGCTGTGCAGGAAAGGGAAGGGCCCTCACCTTTCACAGCTCTTGCCTCGTTGTGCTTCTCCAAGAGCAGGTAGCGTGGGCTGTCCGGGAGAAAGGGAAGGCTCAGCAGCTGGACAACGGCAGGGACCACAATCACTCCAAACAGGTATGGCCAGGTACTCTCCTGTGGGAGAAGGAGATGCTGCTGAGTGCAGTGGCCTTTGGTCATTGTTGAGGGGACTGGGCCACTGGACCAGGTGGTTTCGACCCTGCAGAAGGTCTTCCTGCCCAGCATGATCCCCAGGAACAAAGGCTGAGGGAAGGAACTGAGCCAGGCTGGGCACCAGTCCCACGTATATAGCATTTTCCATGCATGAGTCCAGAGACTCCTCAAGAGTCCCCTGTGAGATAGTGACCTGCAAGGTAGCTCTGAAAAGCAGGCGGCTCTGGTTGGCCAAGGCCACTCAAGGGCTGCTTGACCCCACTCCCTGGGGAACCATGGTGAGCCTGGGGGATCTTAGGGTCTCCTTCTCTTCAACACCAGGGCTGCCTCCCAGGCTGCCCCAAGAATGGAGCCTGCATGTGGAGGTGACATGGGCACCACCGCTAGATATCTAGACGCCCACGACATTCAACCATCTCTGTCTTCTCAGTGAGGACACAAGAAGGGCAGCTGGAGCTCTTGCAGACCCCATGGGAGTGAGGAAGAGGGGGCCAGTGGGGCACAGCTTACCCCTTAGGGAGAGGAGGCCTTTCACTTTCCAGCCAGCTATGAAAGGCAAACAGATCCCTACGACACGCACTATTCAAGAGGCAAGTGATGCACTCCAAGCAGTGACATCCCCTGCAGTGCAGCTTAAATGAAGCCCAGAGCACACGTTACGATGCCCATCAAGGTAGTATTCGTCCTAACCTGCTTTCTTCCTACCCAAGTTTACAAATAGGCTCTCAGTGTGCCACTGAAAGAAGAGAATCCTGCTCACAATGCAGTTCTGATCATGAGAAGGAGGAAAAACCAAGTCCTCAATGCCACATCCTTGACACGTTTATTTCCCAAGAAGGTACAAGGAGATGGCCAAGGGCAAAATAAGACACACTCAGACCTGAAAAGACTTCACATGATAGGCAGAGGTTCTGTTGGCTTCAGGTGGGGCCCATGGGAAGTTACCCTCAGGATCCTGGGGCACCAGAACTGGCAGGGCCTGGGGACAGCCTCCCCACCTCTCCCCCAGCTGCCCGCTGGGAGGCAGGGCTTCCCTCTGCTGCTCTCCCAAGACTCGCTCCCTACTGAGGTCCATGGTAACAGAGACTTTTGCAAGTTCTAGGATCCCATGAAGGGAGAGCAGCAGGGCCCCAGGGCTCAGAGTGAGTGGGGAAGTGGCCTGCCAGGGGCACACAGCCAGCAGCTGGTCCAATCATCATCTCCATCTAAGGGGTGCCTTAGATTTGATTCCCTTTTCTGTATCTAATAACAATTTTTATTCACAAAACTCCTCTGGTTCCGCCAGCCAGCATAGCCCTTCCATCGCCCTTTGAGGAACTGGCAAGGCCAATGTCAGCTTTCCAGTTTCAGGAGGAGCTCTCGCTAGAAGGCTGGGAGGGGTAGGCTAGGGCTGTCGGGGGCCCAGGAGGGCCAGGGACAGGGGAGTGGGGAGTGACTGCGCATGGGTGTGGGGTTTCATCTAGGGTGATGCAAATACCCTGGAATTAGGGAAGGCCGATGGTGGCCCGACTCCGTGAAGATACCAAAACCCACTGAGCTGTATACTTTAAAAGGATGAATTTTATGATATGTGTGTCATAGTTTGATCAAAAAGAAAGACCAGGAAGAAAAAACCCCAACATACATAGAAGTGGAATTTTCGCTAGGCCTGTGTGTGGTGGTGTTGATTTTATTTTCTCTCGGGGTTTGGCTGCCGTCTCAGTAAGGGTAAAAACAGAATCTGAGAAAACACGAGGGAACCAACCCCATGAAGCTCCTACCACGTGCCGGATGTGATGTGAGCCCTTCCCATGGCTGTCTCCTTCCACCGCACAGCCGCCAGCCCCACACACAGCCAGCAATACTGCTGCATGTTAAAGGTGTGGCAGGCGATTCCTGTGCTGAGGCCTCCCAGCCAGGAGCCACACAGGTGGAAATCAAGCCTAATATTTTCCCACAGTATCGTCACAGTGGGAGCACTTCCCAGGGGTGGTGTTTTTGGAGCTGCCACTGGGTGGAAGGGCACCCCCAGCATAGGAACAGCATGTATAACCACACAGAGGCATGATCCACCCAGGCTCATTGGGGAACAACAACTGTAGTGGAAACAGAAGGTCAGGGGATGCCGGAGATGTGGGAGCTGAGGCTGGAGCCTTGAGCAGAGGTCAGGTCATGGGTGGCTTTGCTGCCTTTCCATGGCTCTTGGACTTGGCTTGAGGACAACAGGAGCCTTTGAGGGGTCTATGCACTAGCTGAGATGGACACTCTCTATTTCCTTGAATCTACAATTCAGTGTTTTTGGAATCTTAGTCAGTGGGTATGTTTCACATTGCATGACTTATTCCTGAAAGGCTGTTATCAAGTTTATGGCATAGCCTTTGATCCCTGGTCTCTTAAATACAAGGACGTGTGGACTCTTTCTTAAGGGGGGTCGCATGGGTGACCATGGTCTTCTTTCTACCTCTGGAGAAAAGGTGGATTCTTTAAACCTCAGGGTGGGCAGCCCCCGGATTGGGATGCCAACATTTCTGAACTGGGGAAGGACAATGGCAGTGGCCACTCTGCACACATCCCTGGGGTGAACAGCGGAAAAGGTGAGGGTCGGGAGTGTCCAGAGTGGAGCTCAGATAAGAGTTTACTCCAGAGGGACTGAGCTTAGCCAGCAGAAGAGTCTGAACCTGGCTTTTTCCAGCAAGTGTTCAGAGATTTCCTGGAGATATTAGCTGGCTGCAGGGAGAGGTGTTATAGTTAGGAGAGATTATTCCCCTCACCTTCTACCAAGAAAAGTGTGACTGGGTGTGTGGGTAGGGTGTGTGTTGAATGAAGTGTTTCCACCCATATTATACATGTGGCCCACCCAAATAATAAAAATAGCTAGGATGACCTGCGCACACGTCATCTCAATGAGTAAGTGCCTAGCCTGCTCACTCATTCCTGCCGTGGGGCCACAATAAAGGCTCTGCTATGCCCTGTGCTTTATGGAAGAATTTCTGACAATGAACATGCACGTCTTCTCTCCCAATGACAGTGGTAAAGATGTAATCGCCATCAGCAACCCTTACTGAGCAGGGGCTTGCAGCCAGGATCAGGGCAACCTAGTGAGTGGCTATGGGCACAGCTCTCTTGCAGGCTGTCTGGATTTGAATTCTGCCTCTACCCCCACTCACTGTGCTGTGGGCAAGTTATCGAAATGCCTATGCCTCAGTGTTCTCATCTGTAAAATGGGGACAGTGACAACACGTATTCCTAGGGAGGATTTCTGTTGGGAGGATTTAGTCCATGAATGGATGTCGGGAGTGCTGAGCACAGGCCTGCACACACTGTAGGTGTTCAACAGGAAAGAGTGGCTTTTATTACTAAGCACATTGGATAGTTCATCTCTTCTCATCCTCACAATAGCTCGCAGACAGAGAGCCTGTGATTATCTCCACTATACAGAAATATTAACTGCAGCACAGAGGGGTTCAATAGCTCATTGAGGCCACAACTCGGTCATAGAGGCATGACTGGCCGCCAAATCTGGGATCCCAGAGTCTGAATTCAAATCCAGGAGGCCTGATAAGACATACCTAGTGACCAGGGAGGAGCCATCAGACCACCAGACTCAGGGGAAGGGCCAGGAGAGCTTGGTCTGAACTTCTACCATCTGACCCAGGCCTAAGACCCTCAGTGGCCCTTGATGGAGCTCCTGGGCACTTGGTCCCAACACAGAGCTGAGGCCTCAGTGTTTTACATTAGATGGGCATGGCCTGAAGGCAGAGACCTGCTAGCACACAGTAGTGGTTCAATACATGTCTATTGAAGGAGCAAATCAGCGTGGGAAAGGGCTTTCCTACACACTGGTCCCTTTCACAAACAGCGCTTGCCATTTTCAGACAGTGGCCTCTGAGTGTCTTTTTCAGGTGCTGTTCAAAAAGGAAGGCATGTTTTAAAAAACCGCATATTACTCGCCTGACACAAGACCATGAGGCGCCACCAAACGACAACCTCAAAGATGAGTCTTTGTGGTGTCGGTCCAGCCTGCTGGGTTTGGTAAAGCCCTAGAGCGTCCATCTAGGAGAACACAGGCAGAGTCTTTGCACCTGCTATTTCACTCAGGAGGAAAGAAAAGGATAGTCTTGTCAGCCAAGGTGATTTTTAACTCCCAGTCAGGTCAGGCGAATGGGCTTTGCAATTATCTTGTTCTATTATCTTGTTCTTTAATCTGCAGGTTTCCATGTTTTAAATAGACTTCCAGGTCATATTTCCCCCAAGCTATAGACTACTTTAGTCCATAAATAATATCATCCTGGACTATGATGAATCAGCAAAAAATGTTTAAGTAGAGTTGAAATCATTACTCTTACCCCAAGTCAAGTTCTTATAAAGGATGTTCCAATATGCTCATGGCCCCCAGACAAGGGAGCACGGTGAGGGGGTTGATGCTGGCTGGGCCACTTATGCCTCTGACAGCAAAAGGGCTCCAGAAGTGGCCATTGCTCCATGCTGCTGGATTGGAAAGGGGAAGAGCAAGCCCTACCTTACACAGCTATTTGGGGGATTAAATGAAATGCTCTTCTTTATATTTCTTCATATTTAGGCTCTTATTCTAATAATGGCTTACATTGATCAAGTGGGCTCCACGTGCCCAGCTCCCTGCTAAGTGTGTTACAAATGTAACCTTGTGTTACATAAGAACAGTCCAGAATGTCATCTAAATACAACCTTGATCTTTGTCTCCTTATTCCTCTAAAATTTAATCCCTGGGGCTTTATTTCCCTGCCCCATTCTAGGGGCTCATGTCTTTTCTGCTGAAACTGAGCAGAGTCCTATCCTAGAATCACAATTTCAATTTAGACATCAGAATTGCCAGTATAAAATAATAATCAAAATCAACTGAATTGAATGGATTGACTGACACTTCTTCCATCTCCCATACCCCTTCCTCCAAGCCTGCTTTAGGCTAGAAGCCTGCAGTGGAAAGAGCTGGGGTGGGAGGTAGATGGTTGACTTCTCTATTTCTCTCCTCCTTCCTACCCCTCTTCCCCAGGCTTGCTAGCCAGTGTCTGACCCCTCTAGGAACCAAGTGTGTGAGGCTGTACGTTGGGACTCTGGGGCCAATGGATGTGTAAAACTGATATTGTTTCCTCATGAGCACTTTCCGAGGGTTCTGGAGTGTCCCAACCTTGGGACCACCCACTCGTCCTTGCAGTTGTCCTAGCCTGCAGGTTTGCAGGTGCTCTTTCTCTGTCTCTGCTGCAAGGTGTACATCTCTTTCTGTCTCTCTCCATTGCAGCTCAAGGGATCCAGGGTCAAGGCTGCTCTGCATATTTGTGAAAGGTGCACCGAGCACTCAGCTCCCTGATAAGGGGGTGGGCTGAGGCTAAATCCAGCCCACTCTGACCCCAACCTAGGTGGCCATGAGGTTAGTGTATTAATATTAATCATGTTTTATGTGTTCTGTATTTTATTTCGCTTTCATATTGTATGACCTTTCTGATTTCAGAGAGACCGACCTTTCCCGAGCAGTTATTAATAGCAGCTCCCTAGCTATTAATAATTCCTAGAGCTAGTAAACAACCTGCCTGAGAGCAGGCCTTTCGTATGCAAACCCACCAATCCAAAGTCTATACTCCAATCACTTCCTTTATCAAACTCTCACACTCTGAGCCAACATTTCCCCTCCCACAGGCCACTCCAGAGCCAGGTATCAGACAACTAGGGAACAGCCCTGTAGCCCAGAGCCTGGCAACATGATCTCAAGCCTGCCTCCCCTGCTCACTCATTCCTGCCATGGGGCCACAATAAAGGCTCTGGTGCAGGCTGTCCCCTCCCTCTTTCTGCCTCCTGACTGACCCAGTGCTTCCCTGCGTG